>NC_000004.12:60171381-61421381 GCF_000001405.40 Homo sapiens
TCTGGCAGGTCACTGCTGTGTGTCATGATCTGTCTCTGGGTAACACATTCTTGTCTAGGGAAGAAATACCTGCCAGGAGCAGAATGGGGATTAACATGGTGTCAGCATTGCGGAAAAGTCAACATTTGTTCTGTAGTTCACTGCAAGACTAACGAAAATGAAAGGCAAGTCTAATAGAGTAATAGTAAGGAACAAAGTAATCAAGGTGAAAGGAGGGCTGGGTTCCTAAAATTATTTCATTTTATACTTCTTGTGTATTAATTTGCTAGGGCTGCCGTTACAAAGTATCACAAACTGGGTAGTTTAAACCCAAAGAAATGTATTATTTCACAGTTCTGGAGGCTAGCAGTTCCAGATCAAGGTATGTCTTTGTCCACTTGTGTTGCTATAAAATAATACCTGAGGTGGGGTAATTTATAAAGAAACAAGATTTATTTGACTCATAGTTCTGCAGGCGGTACACAAAGTGTGGCATGGACATTTGCATCTGACGAGGGCCTCAAACTGCTTCCACTCCTAGCAGGAGAAAGGGATCTGGTGTACACATGGTGGGAGCAGAAGCAAAAGACAGAAAAGAAGAGGTGCCAGGATCTTTCCAACAACCAGATCTCTCAGGTACTAAGAGTGAGAACTTTCTCCCAGGAGAATGGCACCAGGGCATTCATTAGGGATTCCCCCCCACAATTCAAGCACCTCTTACCAGGGTCTACCTCCAATGTCAGGTTCAAATTTCAACATAAGACTTGGTGGGACCAAACAGCCCATATCCAAAGCGTAGGAAGGTATCAGGAATATTGGTTTGTTCTGAGAAATATGAGGAAAGAAACTGTTCTACATCTCTCTCTTTGGCCTGTAGACAGCCATCTTGTTCCTGTGTCTCTGTATCATCTTCTTTCTGTACCTTTGTCTGCATCCAAATATTTCCTTTTTATGAGGACAACTATTATATTGAATGAGTACTCATGTTGATGACCTCACTTTAACTTGATTACCTCTGTACAAATTTTATCTCCAAATCAGTTCATGTTCTGAGATACTGAGGGTTAGGACTTCAACACAGGATTTGGAGGTAACACAACTAAACCCATAGAGCCTTGAAATGCCAAGAGATAGTTGTTTTACCAAAAACTTCCTGAGGCTCTAGTTTCAGTTGGTCACTCTTACCAATATATTCATATTATGTGTGGGATTTAAGTAACTAGCCAAAAAATTACAGTTAACAATTTATTAAACATATGTGAAGAGAAAAATATTGGTTAAAATGCTGACCCTATTTTGATCAATGTAACATCTGCAAGCACTTGCCATTTTGGATTTAAAGGCAAATATTGTGGGAGCTGTGTGTTTCAAATCTTTTGCCTTGAATCTACATCAGATCGAGCTCAACAGAATAATGTTTGGTACAGTGGATTTGGCAACAAGATAGATATATAGCTGTTAGGCTCATTTTGAAATGATTACAAAGGTAATGTAATTTCAGTTGACATTTTTGAATTATTTAATATAAACATTGTATTAAATATTGTAGTAATAGATTTTAACTTTTGAGAATAAGATGGTGTTAGAGGGACTCAGTTTTTTTCTCTTTACTGAAACAACTAAAAATCAGGAAACTATATGGAATAATGATTCTCAGAACATTGAAACAATGTAGTTTTTTTCCCCCTAGGGAAATACTACCCATAGAAAACCACTCAACATCATTAGCCATTAGGGAAATGAAAATCAAGACCACAGAGAGAGATTACCTTACACCCACTAAGATGGTTTTAATCAAAAAGGCTAGACAATAACAAGGATTGACAATAATTTGGAGAAACTAGAAACCTCATGGTTGCTAATGGGAATGTAAGATGGTAGGACCACTTTGGAAAACAGTTGTGCAGTTCCTGAAAATGTTAGACAGAATTACTTTATGACTCAGCAATTCTGCTAGGTATTTACCTACAAACAAAAATATATGTCCACATAAAAATTTGTAGACAAATGGTTAGGTTATGGTGGTATTATTTATTAAACCCAAAATCTGAAGACCCAAAAATCCATCCTACTTTTGAAGCAACAAAAATGTAGTAGATCCATATAATAAATTTTATTTTGCAATAAAAAAATGAATTATTGCTAAATGTAACAACATGAATTACGTTATGCTAAATGAAGGAAGAAAGTCACAAATGTTACACATTTTGTTAATCTGGTTAAACGAAACTCCAGACTAGGCAAATACAAAGTCAGAAAGTAGGTAAATCATTTTGTTATGAGAGCTTTGGGTTGTTTCTTTTCTGGCTGGAAACCTGTGACCAATGGTGCCTTTACCCGAGTTTTGCTTGGGATCACTGAGCTCAATCCACATGCTCAGCCTGGCAGGATGCACTCAGCTCATACTATTGACTTGGATTCCATGCCTTCAAAGAGAGATCGTGAGTCAGGCATGGAGTGGTGAGGGGTGTGTGAGCGAGCATGGAGTCTGGCCACTGAGCCATCAGACACACTGACTGCTGTTGTGGGGCAGGCAGCTCCAGGTGCCAGCATGGACGCCAGCTGTCTGTGAGGCTGCAGCTGGACCAGGTGCACTGCAGCAGCTTCCACAGCTGACACCGGGAAATGTGGTGGCACCCAGAAGCTTGGAGATGCCAGGAACCACAGAGTCCCAAAGAGGGAGTTACAGCCGTGTCTTGGGGAGCTCCCAAGTCTGGGTTCCCTGAATGGCTGCAGTTTTTGTCTTCTTTGCCTGCAATATGGTGAGCAAGGGGCATGTTTCAGCCCTGTTTGCATTTCAGCTATTTTAGCTTTGCCATTCAGAAGGTCCTGAGTTCTTGTTCTGCAACCAGGAAGAATTAGGTACGCAATGGAACAACTCAGAGGAGAATTGCAGTGGGTAGCCCCTTTTCACAGCCAGGGTGTCCCAACAAATGTTCAGCTCCTAGCAGAGAGGAGATCTTGGAGTGGGAAGCTCCTGTCTGCAGACAGGACATCTTGTTATCTCTGCAGCTGTCTGAAGACAGGACATCTTGTTATCTCTGCAGCTCTCAGCAGAGAGGAGGGCCTAGAGTAGGTGGCTCCTGTCTACAGGCAGGTCAACTCATCATATCTGCAGCTCTCAGTAGAGAAGATAGCTCCTCTCTGCAACTAGTCTTCCCATCATCTCTCCATCCTCTCAGTAGAGAGTTGCTGCCCTCTGGAGCTAGTAGTCTCATCTTTGCAGCCCTAAGTAGAGAGGAGCCCTTGGAATAGGTAGCTCCTTCCTGTGGCTGGTCCTCCTCATGTCTCCTCAGCTCTGACTGGGCCCAGGGCTTTTATGGGCCTCAGAGGGGAGGAAATGAATGCCAATTGGTACATGGGAAGTTATGGGATGGCCCAGAAAAGGCAACACAATCTGGTCCATGGTACTGGCAGCCAGGTCCCTAGCCTTCAAATCCTCCCTGGCCTAAAGTTGGTGCCTCACTGTGGACCCACTGTCTTCCCTCCTTCCCTCCAGGAAACTGTCTGCCTCCTGCTTCTGTACAGGGTGCCTGGGCTCAGTCAGAGTAATTTTCTCCATATATATATAAATTTATAGGAAGATTTCCCCCATATATATATATTTATATATATATATATTCACCATATATATTTATATATATAAATACATTATATATAAATGTATTCTATATATTTATATATATACACATATATAAATACATATATATTGTATTGTGTATATATATAATGTATTTATATATATATAAATGTATACTGGAGTCACTGAATTAAAAGGGTGACAGAAGGATATTTAAACAAATAAAGTCAAAAATTTCCCACACTTCATACCCAACTATATATATATATATATAATATATATACTATGTTAAGAAATATATGATTAATCAAAATAAATTTGGGAGACTTTTTATTTAGTTCAGAGTTGTAGAGACATGGAATAATATCCCTCCCACTCTCACAAGAAGGCAAAAGCTTCACAAAATGCAAATTAACAACTCCTCTTGAAGCCAGCAGAGAAGAGAGGCACTAGGGCACACAAGTAGCCAAAAATCTGAAGAGACACAGATGCCAGAAGAGAGAAACAACTTTCCAGTATTTGCCTCCTTGGAACAGATTCAGTAGAACACATTATAAACCGTTAAGACATTATAGCCAAAAGACTTTAAAGACTTCCTAAAAGTGAAGTGTAGTCAAGTGTGAGTGTAAAACCCTTGGAGGCCACAGATAAAAGGGAGAAGGAGTGAGATCTTATCCTCTGCAGGCTTTTTCTCCATTAACCCTACCATGTACTCTCAGAGAAGACTGGAGAAAATCCCGAAGAGGTTTTTCTTGTGGTGGGAGCAGGGAACACTGATTACTGCAGAAATTTTACAGAGGAAGATTTCCCCATCTTCTCAACAGATTATAAACCTTAATCTGTAGAGGAAAAGCAATAAACACTGCTGCCTGAGCCCTTTAGGGCATGGGAGGAAATGCATTGCAGCTAGGGGAAAGAACAGAACAGAAATAAAACTAAACAAAAATGCATTCTCCTTGGGGGGAATTGCAGGACCACATCATATTACGTATTAGGTTTAGTACTTCAGCTCCAAGAGGGCAAATAGCACTTGTGAAGTCTCCACTACTGAAATGTATAGACACAGTTCCTGCCTAAGACTAAGGTTTAGTTATAACACCCCAACCTCCACTCCCCCACCCCACCATCATAGGCTAACAAACACTGGGGAAAGATAATGATGGAATATACCTGGGAGAGCTGTAGGAGAAGGATTTTCTTTAGGCCACAGCACAAAAAGGAAACCCAAAGCCAAGAGGAGAGCAAAATGGAGGAAACAAATAAGTAAAAACAAAAAAGTACCAACAAAAAAGTACCAACCACCATGGCACGTGTATACCTATGTAACCAAACTGCATATTCTGCACTTGTATCCCAGAACTTAAAGTATAATTTAAAAAAAAAGAGAGAAAACATATGCATCCACAAAAAAGCTTTACTTGTAAGAGTTAAACCTGTACACATCTCATGTACATGTTGCTATGATCTGAATGTTTCTGTCCCTCCAACATTTATGTTGAAACCTAACCTCCATTGTGGTGGTATCAAGAGGTGGGGCCTTAAGGAGGTCATTAGGTCATGATGGTGCTGCCCTCATGAATGGGATTAATACCTTTATAAGAGAGGCTTAAGAAAGCGTTCTTCCTCCTTCTTCCATGTGAGGACTCAGTGAGAAAGTGTCCTCTTTGAAGCAGAGAGCATTTATCACCAGACACCAAATCTGCGGGTGCCTTGATCTGGGACACCCCAGTTTCCAAAACTGTGAGCAATAAATTTCTGTTGTTTATTTAAAAAAAAAAAGTACCTACCTTCTGGCATATTAACCTCCACCCCAAAGCCAAGTCATTTCTAAAGGAATTTGCAGGCTATGGTGAAATGGGAGTAGTTACAGCAATAATGGACCCTGAACTCAGATCAACTGCTCACTAGATTATCCGAAGCCCACACATAAGAGACCACGAAGAATGAAAGTTTGATTTTACAAGCAAAACAAAGGATGTCCCTCAGTATCTACTATCCTACAAAACATTTTAAACCTCTGACAAAATTTGTTAGACATACAAAAGGGCAAGGAAAAAGAAATTCAGAAGAGACAAAGCAATGATCAAAACCAGACTTGGATGAGACAGATGTTAATGCAATCAAGCAATTAGCTCTCAGTGGCATTTGTAGAACATTCTAATCTACAAAAGCAAACTACACTGTGAGCCCATGAAAAAATGTTCAACATGATTATTAGGAAAATAAATAATAAAATACCATTTAATTATCAGAATGGTTAAACAGACTAAAAATACCAAAAGTTAGCGAGAATGTGGGAAAATCATAAATCTCATACCTGTACAATCATTTTGTCAAAAACTCTGTCAATAAATCATCTAACTAAACAAATACTTATTTTACAATCCTTTAATTCCATTACTAGATTTTAACCTCCTCCAATGAAAATATATGAATCCAAAAAAAAAAAAACCTCAAATGTTTCACAGCAGCTTTATTAATCAGGGTTAAAATGTAAAAGCAGCTGAGTCTGCTTTCAGGAAAATGTATTTTGAAATTGATGTATTTTCACACAAAGCAATACTGCTTACCAGTAAAAAGAGGTGATGCTATTTGACTTTATTTGCTTTCAGTTCTGAAACAGACACAAGTAATCTACGGTCCAAAATTAACAGAACAAGCATTGCCTCTTGGGAGTGGGATGAGGATTGAGTAGAGAGGGTAATGAACAAACATTCAAGGCTGAGAGTAATATTTTATATCTTGACTGGAGTTTAGTTTACAATAGCATGTACATTTGTCAATACTCAAAAAATATGCACTAAAAGTTGTGCAATGTAATGTGTATAAACGACGTCAAACTAAAAGAACTCTATATAAATATTGAATTTTATTGAATGTTCTTTATCCAGATATATTTAAAACTCTTCTGATGTTGTTAATTTAGTTTGAATGTCATCAAAAATAATATGAATTGATGGAAGTATGAATAAGGGAATGGACATCTAATGAGCAAGAACAGTAAAATGACTTTAGTGTAATCCAGGGCTGTGTATAGGAATGTTCGCTATATATTTTTTAACTTTACTATGTGTTTTAAGGTTTCCATAATTTAAAAAAGGGAAAAAAAGAAATATAGAAGAGGCTGGCCACTCTTTCCAACTACTAGCTGAAACATAAATTTTTAAAATGTTTATAGTTTTGCCATATGAGAAGGGATTTATAATAACAGAAATAAGACTTCATTGTACCTAAAGTAACAAGGGAACATTTTATTATCTGAAAGAGTGAGCAGAAAAGTCATAGATCCTGCCCCAGATATCATCCAAGGCACAAGGCAAAACAAGCCAAACACAATAATTTTAAAAGGACAGTTATGGGAGGAACAAAGTTACTTTGTTGTTAAATTCTGTTGTATTTTCCTTTTCATCCTAACAGTTCCACACAAAACAATTTCCTGGCAAAGTTAAATGTCTGGCTTAGATTAAACTTTATATAGTTACAATGTCCTGAAATAATTCAGGGTGTGATTTTTCACCAGTGGGATGAGTTATTTGGTAATGGTTAGAATAATAGACAGTGTAGCCAAACTACCTAGAATTTTACATTGGCTCTACATTTATCAGCCATGGAACAAAATTATTTATCCTCACATAGCAAGTATTATCATCTGTAAAATTGAGATGATAATGGTACACGTCACATGGAGTTATTGTTAGAATCAAGTTAATTAAAGACTACAGAATCTAGGGGAGTACAATATAAATACTATACATTATTATCTTGTTCAATATTGTTTGCACTTTTATAAAGGCATTTGATATAGTAGCTAAAGGGCTGTCTTTTACCTTTGCCGTATTTAATAAATTTATCAGCAATGCCAAAGGTATAATCAGTCTAAGCTATTTCAATGAAATTTTTAAAAGTGTAATTGAACAAAAAAATGACTAATCATGTTACAAAATAACTATTACAAGTTCAAGAAATGTATATTTTTTCTTCAAATAATTTACAATCTTGCACACATATTTTGTCACATCAAACATTATTAATATTGGATTTTAGTTTTAAGTACACACATTCATGCAGGTACACACACATGCACACACACATTGATGATTGGCATGTATTTTCTAATATTTAAAACGTTTATATTTTCTATACTATATTTACATAGACTTGATATGCACCATATGTTTATCTTTATGCCGATTATCACGTGTAGCATTGTTGTTGCATGGATTTCTTAAGTACTTATTTTCTCTCCTTATTTCTGACTCTCCAGAAACTTCCTTCTATGCAGCCTTCTAGAGTTACAGATGAAACTGAACAAGATCAGAATAAACACAGGTTAAAACAAATAACAACGCACCCTTAGGGATTTAGTTCCTTCGTGATGATTGCCACCATTTCAGGGTCCTCTCTTGATCCATTTCAGCTCTTTCACCACTTGAAATGGTGAGGGAGGAGGCAACTACACTCATGTTTCAACACCAGGTCACAATCTGCATTTTTATTTATCTTGTTTCAGCCCTCTATTTCATACTGTTGTTGTTGTTGCTATTGTTTTAATTGTATTTTCTAAGCCCCAGTACATTGTTGTGGATTCCATACTACACCTTAATGTCCATAGCCAGAAGTGCCACTCAATTGTCTCCTCCACAAAAGGGAATTTTACCACTGAATATGTGGGGTGTGTGTGTGTGTGTGTGTGTGTGTGTGTGCCTTTACAGAAAATAAATGGAAGTATGTTCTTAATAAACAAAGAGATTTTCCAAGTAAATTAAATCTGGCTTAATTAAAATGGCATCTTTAATTACATTTCTAAATTTTAGAAAACATAATTGTGATGTAAGGGAGAAAAAGATTTTGTACTCATGACACATTTATTTAGACATTTAATCACTCTAAGTTTTAGTTTCTCTTTCTGTAAAAGAATAGCTCTCTTCAGTATATTTTTAAAGATTACAGAATACATAGACTTCTTGATCAAAGGAGTTTCTCAACAACTTGTAGCTATTATTAAGTACTCTGTTTATTATCCAAATTTTGTATCTCAGCTCAATTCAGAGCAAAACAAAGAATTTTAAAATAGACTTAAATAAATGTGCTCAGTATATAGAGGAACTGTGCCAAATTTGGTCAGAATAAATGACATCTAATGGAATTCAATTAATGTTCAAAATAGTTTTTGGATAAATTTTGAAGACAGATATAATTATAACTGATTTTTAATTTAGAAAAAAACTATTTTAACAATTGAATCATCTGCTATTGCTTTAAGAAGACACAAGAGTAGTATTAAGAGGCAACCTGAATGATTATTTACGTAATTATTCATCTCAATAATAAAGAGATTTCTAATAAACCCCTGTTCAGAAAAGAATTATATGGAATCTGCAGCTATCTCATAACACAAATATAGGAGTTTACATAGAAGGACTATAAGACACATTGCCTTTATTCTGATAATAGATATTAAGTCTTTTGGATATTAAATGAGAAAATTCAATCCATTTTTCATGCGAAGTAATAAACAGTAATTTATCTAAACTTTGTTCAGACATAGAGGAACATTCTGTCTGAGATAATGTGAAGAAATGAGACTTGGGTTCCAAATAAGATTATACATTCTCATTCCTTAAAGATAAAAATAAGACCCCTATCTTTATGGGATTACTTTACTGCAGACCTAGGATTAAAACAGGGAAATGAATGAAGTAAGCATTAAAGTTTCATTCTAGGACTGTAACTCAATGGATTTCATGAATTCACCATTTTCACCTTGTAACAGATTTCAGCAATGCAGCAAAATTACCAGGCAACCCAATTTCTTAGGGTTGTAGCAATGTCACAGATAATTAAATTGAAATTGGGGTTTTGTCCTGGTTTCAATAAATTGGCCAGCTGGACCACCAGCAACATCTCCCTATGTAGTTACAGAGATCTAGCAGTATGTTAACAAAGCCTCAGGGAGGTCCCACAAACCACTGGTCATTTTCTGCAGGAGATACAGCTCCAGGAAAAATTCAAAATTTATATATAGTATACCTGTTCCAAAAAACAAAGTGTAGGAGTCCATGGTGTATATATGTACATGTGAATGTGTATAAGGCAGTCTAGAAAGTATTGAAAATTAATGAGACATTATGGATAAATGGCTTATTCCTCCCCATCCTCAGTGCTGTGAATCCAACCACGCACTGCTGTCAATGCTTAATACTCATAGGAAAAACACATTTGCAATTTAATCAAAGCACAAGCTGGTACATTTTATTTAGAAATTTCATGGTAAAACACATATTCTCCCCAACACACTTTTATTAAATCAACCTCATACCTGACATTTCTCACACTCGACTTGCCAATGTTGTTAACATTGAAATTAGTCTAACGAAAATAATAATAAGCTTATAATGGAAATAAAATAACTCAATTTATGTATAATTAAATTCAATTAGATAATTAAGCATAATATAAATAATATCATTCAACACTTTTGAAGAATTCAATTCACTTAAAGTTAATGACTGAGTAAAACAAGATGGGGATAAAATTATGTACATTCTTTTACATTTTATTCAGAAATTAAGTAAACATATTTTTGCTCATTCATTTAATAATTCAAATCAACAATACTAATGATTTTAGTAGAATTGCAACACAAAGTTATATATTACTTTTCCCAATTTATAATACTATAGTAATAATAATAATAATAAATATTAGGTTCTGATGGTGCTAGTTTTTTCTCAGTCTGTTAAAGAAAAGAGAGCTCTGATTAAAAGATCCTCTCCCCAGGGAACCAATCGTTGACTATACATTTCAATGGCAATTTTCTCACTTATCAGAACAGTTTGTAAATTGCACATATCCATTTTTAGGTCTTTCATTTTTCAAATTCAAACATTATAGCCGTTAAATGTTTTAATAAAAGTTAAATTGACATGCTACAAATTTTCAGACTAAAGTTTTAGAATATTTCCTTTACGCCAATAATATTTAAGTATGGATCTCCATTTCTTGTCTGTATATAACTTATAAATATTACCCACATAAAAACAAGTATAGAATCTAACAAAGAACTTCATTATAAATTACTCCTATGGTATTTGTGACATGTTTGTCTGTAAAATATTTTTTAAAACAGATATTCCTAAATCACAACATAATTTTTTTTTTTTATTTTGAGATGGAGTCTCTCTCTGTCACCCAGGCTGGAGTGCAGTGGCCTTATCTCGGCTCATTGCAACCTCTGCCTCTGGGTCCAAGCCATTCTCCTGTCTCAGCCTCCTGAGTAGCTGGGACTACAGGCACCTGCCACCACGCCTGGCTAATTTTTGTATCTTCAGTAGAAATAGGGTTTCACCATGTTGACCAGGCTGGTCTCGAACTCCTGACCTCAGGTGATCTGTCTACCTTGGCCTCCCAAAGTGCTGGATTACAGGCACAAGCCACCGCGGCCAGCCAACATAATTTTATAATGAAGAATTTCAAGAAAAGAAACAATATTTTACTGAAATGCAGTCCTAGACAATTGACATATTCTTCTCAAAAAACTCATCGGTAAAGAAGTACGTGTAATATATATTACATATATACATGCATAAGCAAAAGGACAAAAAGACAAATACATAAATATACAAATTAGAGTTATTAATAAAATGTTATAATGGTTATCTCTTGTGGTGAAATTAGGATTACACGAGAATATTCTTTCTTTATATATTTTTTAATTCTTAAAAACTTTATGTAGTAAGCATGTATTTATTTTATGATAATAAACATAAACATCGCTTTTTAAGATTTGTCTCATGATTAGAGACAATTATTAGCTTTAATAGCAAAGACATTAATATTTCTGAGGCAAGATAAAAAATAACTGTTTTATGTCCATTTAATCTGTACACATTGAACTGATAGTATTCAAAAGAGAATTTTTTTCATAGCTACAGCATGCCTTATAGAAAATCAAATTCCTAATACTAATTCTTTCTGATATCCACCTAACCTGTATTAATTGAAAAGCTGAATGTCATGTATAAATCTAGCTCTTGTTTAATTTAATTTAATACACTTCACAGCCATTTTTTACATTAGTTTGGAATCATTTTATTTAGACTCCTTCAGTGATTTGCTTATTTTAAGTTATCCTTACTTCTATCCCTCCTGAGAAGGGTCTAAACAAAGGCAACACAATGTGGTTTGGACAGCAGAAGCTCAAATAAGGTATAGAGGTTACCCAAAGGAAGAGATTAAATTTGCGTGTAAAAAAATTGAAGGACAGTAAAGTCTTGCCAACTTCATCATAGGTGATGATATCTAAGATTTGAAGACTATAGAGTCATCCAGAATTAGATATCAGAAAAACTGGACAATTCATTGTTCTTTATTTCCTCCTCGAGGTTCTTTCGTTCACCTGTCTCCCACAATAGACAGGCCACAGTGCTGTGGTTATTGCCAGTGCTTCCAGAAAAGTCATTCTGTTATCTCTGGGCTAAATAATAGTGGCTGCCTCCTAACTGCTATAGAGTTTCTTTTCTTTTTGTTTTTCCATTTTTTTTTTTTTAATTTTACTTTAAGTTCTGGGATACATGTGCAGAACATTCAGGTTTGCTACATAGGCATACAAGTGCCATGGTGGTTTGCTGCACCTATCAACCAGTCATCTAGGTTTTAAGCCCCACGTGCATTAGATATTGGTCCTAATGCTTTCCCTCTCCTTACCCTCTGCCCCGCGACAGGCCCCTGTGTGTGTTGTTCCCCTCCCTGTGTGTTGTTTTTTTGTTTGTTTGTTTGTTTGTTTTTTTGAGACGGAGTCTCTCTCTGTTGTCCAGGCTGGAGTGCAGTGGCATGATCTCAGTTCACTGCAACCTCTGCTTCCCAGGTTCAAAGGATTCTCCTGCCTCTCCCATAGCCGGGATTCCAGGTATGTGCCACCACGCTCGGCTAATTTTTGTATTTTTAGTAGAGACGGGGTTTCACCATGTTGGCCAGGCTGGTCTCGAACTCCTGACCTCAAGTGATATGCCCTCCTGAGCCTCCCAAAGTGCTGGGATTACAGGCGTGAGCCACCATGCTGGCCTATTTCTAAAACAAAGATTTAACCGTTCCACATCTGATTTAAAAAGGTATCAGGGTACTGTATTGTTTGTATAATAAATTCCAAAATGATTTCTATTGATCCTAAAAGCTCTCAAACATGCTCTTAAATAAATTTCTAACTTCTCTCCAGTAATGAACTCTGCCCCACCATTCATAATATCCCCAATGCTTCTCAAAATGATTCCTATGTCTAGATTTCCATTGCATCTCTGTTCAGCCTCATGCTTAACCTCTGTCAGTATGGCCTCCACAATGCTACCACCTCTTCTAAGCTCAGCTTGAATTCCATCTTACCTGAAAGGCTTTCTTCAATAATATCACTACTTTCCCATTCTAATGGAAGTAAAAGGTCTGTAATCTGCTTTCCATGGAAATTTTTTTTTGTTAAAAACATCTTTTACAATATTTAGTGCCTCTTCTATCATTTAGTTTTTACGAATAGATATCTTCTCTACTGTGATGTGAACTCCTTCATGGTGAGGATCATATCTTGTTCTTCTTTGTATCCTCAGCATTTAGTGTACAAAAGAAGGAATGAAATAACAAGGTGATATCCAAAGTTCCCACATAGTTCCTTTACTCTGTATTATATACACAATTAAAAACTAATATTTATCTTTTATTTTGTAACATAGTGCTGACCACTTATTTCTCTTTTTCTAATTCCGCATTTCAAGTGTGCACAAACAAAAAAAAAAAAAGAAAAAGAAAAAAGCCACTATTTTTTTTCCAGTAACATATGTTATTTCTTTCTCAATAAATTTTAACCACTGATTTGATATATGATTTTTGAACATCCTTGAATAAATTTTATTTTAAATAGAATAAAATTAGGTTGGATTTTACTTTTTTAATAGACATTTTTCTAAGACAGGCAGAGTTTGAATTTAAATACATCTGCTGCATATAATATATGTCTAATAGTCCTTTTTTTCTCAAAGCTAATATTTCCATTCTTCCTAAATAGGCAATAAAATGAAAGAAAAAATACAAAGTACTTGAGTTTTATAAGTGAAATAATGCTTCTGTGAATATTGATAATGCTTTGCAATTGCTTAGTTTTATCTGGGAAATACTTTTAAAGGATAGAACATTTAAGTGTGATAATTTAAAGCTTCTTGGTTTTAGTGTTTAGAAAAATTGAACTTATACGTATTCTGAAATCACTTTTTTTACCAAACTTGCACTCTTATCATTTCCTCTTTTCAATATGTCAAAAAGATAAAAGCTTTTCCCCCCTTTCCTTTAAAAGAAACTATTTTTTACTATGGTTAACTGAAGAAAAAAAAAAGCAGAAAAGCAGAATCTTAGAAATTGAAATTTACTATGTGATAAGTCTTTTATAATGAATATCTTTGTATTTCCTTTTGTTAAATTAAGCATGTAAATAATAATTATTTAAAATTAGGCACAAAATTTATTGATGTATATTTTCACAATCCTTATGTCTACAATGTCACAAAAGAAAAAATAATGTCCTAGCAGCTGTGAACTTACTCAGATTGGATAAGAAGATTTAGAAATTGGTCAAGGAAAGTTGGGCAGTAGTGTCAACAAAATTAAGCAGTATGACAAAACAATACTTGAGATATATTTGTGTATGCCAATGAAATATTTTTATTCTGACTAACAAAGTCTGCACTACCCTTTAGATTACCAAAATAACTGATTTTTATTTGTCATAAAAAAACATTTAAAATTCAAAATGGAAACATTGATATTTAAGTGAGTTGTTTCTCATGATGCCTTCTGGATTCAAACAAAGTAAGGAAAACTTTGTTACTCTCTACCTTACCTTAACCGTTAATATCAAGAGAAATTTTGTTCATATTGATTTTTCCCTCTACATAAAGTGCAGGCAGGAGGAACCCCAGGTGTATCAAGTTCTGCCATCTTTTTCTCCATTATTTTGTGACTTCCTGGCTATTAAGTAGATGGAATGATATCCAATGTTCACACAACTCTCCACACACACTTGCAAGCTGGCACCTACACCAATCCTTAGGGAATCTACAAATGAAATGATGCGAACAAAGTTCATCTTCACTAGCCACTCTATCCTGGTGGGATAACTCCAGGTTCTAGTGCCAAAATAAATGAAAGAAAAACTTTGTCTCCGAAATATCTTATAGAAAGAAACAAAAAAAAAAACTGAAAAATTTTTGGATCCTTTACATAAAGTAGAAAATGAAATAAGTTTTAGGTTTCAAAACAGTCTGACATATTCTCTCAGAAATGTCAATAATGCAATGTTTACTATGTTTCTTTTTTATTATATTCCATGTTTTTCAGAAGCAGGTTCATATACTAAGGGGACAAGGTTTAGCAGTTACATGTCATAGCAATCAGGCTGAAGTTACAGCATGTTAAAATGCCAGAATCTGCATATGTTTATTGCAGCACTGTTCACAATAGCAAAGACTTGGAACCAACCCAAATGCCCATCAGTGATAGACTGGATAAAGAAAATGTGGCACATATACACCATGGAATACTATGCAGCCATAAAAAGGGATAAGTTCATGTCCTTTGCTGGGACATGGATGAAGCTGGAAAAGATCATTCTTAGCAAACTAACACAGGATCAGAAAACCAAACACCACATGTTCTCACTCATAAGTGGGAGTCGAACAATGAGAACTCATGGACACAGGGAGGGGAACAACACATACCAGGGCCTGTCAGGGGTGGTGGACTAGGGGAGGGACAGCATTAGGAGAAGTGCCTTATGTAGATGACAAGTTGATGGGTGCAGCAAACCACCATGGCACGTGTATACCTATGTAACAAACCTGCACGTTCTGCACATGTATCCCAGAACTTAAAGTATAATAATAGAAGAAGAAAGAAAAAAGGAAAAAAAATTATGAATCAATTTTCTCAAACTCGCCAAATCAAACTTTCCGCTTAAAATATGTAAAAATAAATATTTTATATTAAAAAATTCCAGAATCCAGAAAGTGAAGAGAGAGAACGGATGTTCAAATAGTAAAAAGTAATACTTCAGTAGGCCTGAATCTTACTATGAGAATAAAAAAGGAATGACAGAAGAAACTAATGACTTAATCAGGGGAGGAGGTGGAGCAAGAAGGTTCCACCAATTATTTCCCCCCCACAAAGACACCAATTTAACAACTTTTTACACATAAAAAGCACCTTTATAAGAACCAAAACTCAGGTGAGCACTGACAGTACCTGGTTTTAACTTCATATCATTGAAAGAGGCAGTAAAGTGGTAGAGAGAACAGTTTTGAATTGTTAGTGCTAGTCCCTGCCTTTCCTCACTGGCAGAGAGCATTTTACTGCAGTTGGGGAGGGAGAGCACAGTAATTGTATAGCATTTAACTCAGTGCAAAAAGCAAAACTGGACCAAATTCAGCTGACTCACGCCCACAACGGGAGCGTTTAAACCAACACCAGTCAGAGAGGAATCGCCAGTCTCAGTGGTTGGAACTTGAGTTTCCCAAGCCTCACCACTGCAAGCTGAAGTGCTCTGGGGTTCTAAATAAACTTGAAAGGCAGTCTTGTCCACAAGAACTCCCAACACCTAGAGGAGTCCTAGTGTTGAACTGGTTCCGGAGGCAGTGGACTACATGGTCACGTGACCTATTGAGACACCAGCCAGGATAGTGAAGGCTGCCCTAGCCCCAGCCTGCACAGCTCACAGTTCCTAAAGAGAACCCTTCCTTCTGCTTGAGAAGAAGAGAGGGAAGAGTGGGGAGTATTTTATCTTGCTTCTTGCATACCTGCTCAGTCACAGCTGGAAAGGGCAGCAGTCAGAGTCCTGAGGCCCTCTTTCCAGGCCCTAGCTCCCAGATGACATTGCTAGACACATTCTGAGCCAGAAGAGAACCTACTACCTTGAAGGAAAGGACCCAGTCCTGGCAGCATTTATTGCCTTCTAACTGAAGAGACCTTAAGTTCCGAATAACCAGCAGCAGCATTACCCAGGTAGTACGTCAAGGGCCTTTGGGTGAGGCTCTGAGACTTACTGACTTCAGGTGAGTCTCAGCACATTTCCAGCTGTGCTGGGTATGGAACAAGGTTTCTTCTGCTTGAGAAAAGCCGTGGGTGAGTTACTCACAGCTAATATCATACTCAATATGGATAAACTGAAAGTCCTTATTGTAAGACCTGGAACATTACAATGATGCCCACTTTCACCACTGTCATTCAACATAGTACTGGAAGTCTTATCCAGAGAAATCAGAAAAGAGAAAGAAATAAAAGCATCCAAATTAGAATGGAAGAAGTCAAATTATTCTTGTTTGCAGATATTATAATCTTATATTTGGAAAATCCTAAAGACTCCACAAATATATTAGAACTAATAAATAATTCAGTAAAATCATGGGATACAAAATCAGTAGCATTTCTATATGGCAACACTGAACAATCTGAAAAAGAAATAAAAAAGTAATCCCACAAATAAAATTAAACCCATGAATTAACTTGTCAAAAGAAGTAAAATATTTCTATAATGAAAACTATAAAACACTGATGAAAGAATTTGAAGACTATCAAAAAATATGTTTGTTGTTCATGTTTCAGAAGAATCAATATTATTAAAATCCATACCACCCAAAGCAATTTACAGATTCGATATAATTTCTATCATAGTACCAATAACATTCTTCACAGAAATAGAAAAAAAAATCCTAAAATTTATATGGAACCACAAAAGACCCAGAATAGCCAAAGGTATCCTAAGCAAAATGAACAAAAACTGGAGGAATCACATTACCTGACTTCAAATTACACTACGGAGGTATAGTAGTCAAAACAGAATGGTATTGGCATAAAAATAGACACATAGATCAATAGAACAGAATACAGAACTCAGAAACAAATCTTCACATCTAGAGGAGACTCTTTTTGATGAAGGTGACAAGAAAATACACTGGGAGAAAGATGATCCTGTCAATAAGTAGTGTTGAGAAAGCTGGATAGCCATATGCAGAAAAATGAAACAGGATCCCTATCTCTTGGCATACAAAAATCAAATCAAAGTGGGTTAAAGACTTAAATCTAAAACCTCAAACTACTAGAAGAAAACATTGGAAGAAATCTTCAGGACATTGGTCTGGCCAACATTTTGAGAAATAGCCCACAAGTATAGGGGACCAAAACAAAGCTGGACGAATGAGAAGACATCAAGTTAAAAAGCTTCTGCACAGCAAAGGATACATGCAAAAGTGAAGAGACAACCCAAATAGTGGAAGAAAATATTTGCAAAGTACTCATGTGACAAAAGATTAATAACCAGAATCTAAAACAACTCTATAGGAAAAAATATCGAGTAATCCCGTCAAAAAATGGGCAAAAGATTTGAATACACATTTCTCAGAAGAAGACGTACAAATGGCAAATAAGCATATGAAAAGGTGTTCAACATCACTGATCATCAAAGAAATGCAAATCAAAACTACAATGGGATATCATCTCACCACAGTTAAGATCATGACGTCATAAAAATTGTTTTCTGAGTGAAACAAAGTTAAAGCATCTATGGTTGACACGGTTGAAGATAATTAACAATTTTCACTGAGAGAAAATCAGTACTCCACACATAAAGAAAATAGACACATATTTTCTGTTCAGTGCCTGTTAAGAATCCAGTGATCAAAAATATTTGCTCATTAATTTTATAACCAGAAGTAGTGATAAGGGTCAAAAACTCACCAGGGCTTGATAGAACTGTAAAATGAGTTTCTCAGAGATGTTCCAAGAGATATTTGAAATCATTGAAACGAACAGAGCTTCACTGAGCAGCTGAATCTTCCAAGTAACAAAAAACATCACAGTAAACCATCAATTTCAAAAGGAAATAAGTGATTCATATTCTATAGCTGATATATAGGAGGTAATTTTTTATTTTTATATAATGTCATCCTTTAATAAAATACTTTTTTATTTAAAACTTCATTCAATTAAATAAATTTAAGTGTGCTTTATTAAAGAAAAAACGAAATTCAGAATTAGTGGCATCTTCATATATCTGGCATTTGGAAAGTGAATCTTGGGGAAATCTTCTTCCCCTATGCTACCCCAACCTACCCCAGCATTTATTTATATCACACAACTGCCCCTAAAGTCAATAACCCTCCCCAGCCAAAAAAAGCCCAGGACCAGACAGATTCACAGCTGAATTCTACCACACGTACAAAGAAGAGCTAGTACAATCCCTACTGAAACTATGTCAAAAAACTGATGTGACAGACTCCTTTCCAGTCATTCTGTGAGGCCAGTATCATCTTGATACCAAAACTTGGAAGAGATAGAAAGAAAACTCCACGCCAACATTCTTGGTAAACAGTGGTGCACAAGTCCTCAATAAAATGCTTGCAAACCAACTCCAACAGCACATCAAAAAGCTAATCCACCACAATCAAGAGGGCTTCATTCCCGGAATGAAAGATTGTTTCAACATACACAAATCAAAAAGTGTTTTTCATCACATAAACAGAACTAAAGACAGAAGCCACATAATTATCTCAATAGATGCAGAATAGGCTATCAATAAAATTCAACACCCGTTGATGTTAAAAACTCTCAATAAAATAGGTATTGAAGGAATATACCTCAAAATAATAAGAGCCATTTATAACAAACCCACAGCCAACATCATACTGAATGGGGAAAAGCTGGAAGTATTCCCCTTGAAAACTGGCACAAGAAAAAGATGACCTCTCTGATTCAACATAGTACTGGAAGTCCTAGCCAGAGCAATCAGGCAAGAGAAAGAAATAAAGGGCATTCAAATAGGAAGAGAGGAAGTCAAACTATCCCTGCTTGCTGACGACATTATTCTATATCCAGAAAACCCCATAGTCTCAACTCAAAAGCTCCATTAGCTGATAAAGAACTTCAGAAAAGTTTGAGGATACAAAATCAATGTGCAAAAATCACTAGCATTCCTATATATCAAAATCCAGTGCGAAACCAAGAGCCAAACCGAGAACAAACCCAGTAAGGCAATTTTATTCACAAGTGCCACAAATCAACAAGATGCCTAGGAATACAGGTACCTAGGGAAGTGAAAGGTCTCTACAAGGGGAACTACAGAACACCACTCAAAGAAACTAGAGAAGACACAAATAGAAAAACATCTTGATCATGGATAGGAAGAAACAATATCACTAAAATGACCAAACTGCCCAAAGCAATTTAGAGATTTAATGCTATTCCTATCAGACCACCACTGACATTCTTGACAGAACTAGATAAAACAATTTTTAAATTCATTTGGAGCTAAAAAAAAAAAAAAAAAAGAGCCCAAATTGCCAAGGCAATCCTAAGCAAAAAGAACAAAGTTAGAGACATCATGTTACCCAACTTCAAGCTATACTACAAGGATACAATAATCAAAACAGCATGGTCCTGTACAAAAGGAGGCACATAGACCAATGGAACAGAATTGAGACCCCTGAAATAAGGTCTCACACCTATGACCATCTGACCTTTGAAAAAGATGACAAAAACAAGCAATGAGGAAAAGACTCCCTATTCATTAAATGATGCTGTGATAACTGGCTAGCCATAGGCAGAAGATTGAAGCTGGACACCTTTCTTATACCATATACAAAAATCAACTCAAAATTGATTAAAAACTTAAATGCAAAACACAAAACTATAAAAATCCTGGAAAACAACCTAGACAGTACCATCCCGGACAAGGAACAAGCAAAGGTTTTATGGTAAAGACACAAAAAACAATCACGACAAAAGCATAAGTTGACAAACAGAATATAATTAAACTTAAGAGCTTTTGCGTAGCAGAAGAAGCTAGCAACAGAGTAAACAGGCACCCTACAGAATGGAAGAAAAGTATTTGCAAACTATGCATCTGACAAAAGTCTAATACCCAGACTCTATATGGAACTTAAACAATTTATAAGAGAAAACAACCTCATTAAAAAGTAGACAAAGACCTGTAATTCCAGCACTCTGGGAGGCCGAAGCGGGCGGATCATGAGGTCAGGAGATCAAGACCATCCTAGCTAACATGGTGAAACCCCGTCTCTACTCAAAATACAAAAAATTAACTGGGCGTGGTGGCAGGCGCCTGTAGTCCCAGCTACTAGGGAGGCTGAGGCAGGAGAATGGCGTGAACCCAGGAGGCAGAGCTTGCAGTGAGCCGAGATTGCGCCACTGCACTCCAGCCTGGGTGACAGAGCGAGACTCCGTCTCAAAGAAAAAAAAAAGGTTGGGGGGGGGAACAAAGAACATGAACAGATACTTTTAAAAACAAAACATATATGCAGTCAACAAGCATATGAAAACAAAAGCTAAATATTACTGATCATTAGAGAAATGTAAGTCAAAACCACAATGAGATATCATCTCACACCAGTCAGAATGGCTGTTAATAAAAAGTAAACAATAACAGATGCTGGTGAAGTTGCAGAGCAAAGGAAACACTTATAAACTGTTGGTGGGAGTGTAAATTAATTCAACCATTGTGGAAAGCAGTATAGCAATTCCTCAAAGAACTAATACAGAACTACCAATCAACCCAGCAATGCTGTTACTGGATATACACTCAGAGAAATATAAAATATTCTACCATACAGACACATGCACATGAATGTTCCACAGCAGCACTATTCACAATAGCAAAGACATGGAGTCAACCTAAATGCCCATCAATGACAGAATAGATAAAGAAAATGTGATACATATATACCATGGAATACTATGCAGCCATAAAAAAGAATGAGATTATGTCTTTTTGCAGGAACATAGATGAAACTGGAGGCTATTATTCTTAGCAAACTAACTCAGGAATAGAAAACCAAGCAACACATGTTCCCATTTATAAGTGGGAGCTAAATGATGAAAACTCATGAACACAAAAAAGGGAACAACAGATACTGTGTTCTACTTGAGGGTGAAGGGTAGAAAGAGGGAGAGGATCCGGAAAAATAACTATTGGGTACTATGTTTGACACCTGGGTGATGAAGTCATCTGTACAGCAAACCCCCATGACAAGAGTTTACCTATATAATAAACCTTCACATGTACCTCCAAACCTAAAACAAAAGTTGAAAGAAAAGAAAAAAACAATTCAATATTGTCACACTTCTGACAATGTTTTAGAAATTGCATATTCATTATTTTATGTTTAAGATGTAATGTTGAATATCAAATGGTCAAAAAACGATTATCTATTATTAATAAAAGCAAACATTTTATGTATAGTCTTTCATATTCATACTTACCTTTAAGAGTGATAGGTAAGTATTTTCAAAACAAGGATCAAACAAGTTTTTGAATTTATTACTTCATTATATTTATTGGCTAATCTCCATGAAAGAGATTGGCAGCATAATTTTAAATGAATATGCTAGAATTTTAATAAATATGCTAAAATTTAACCCAGCCTTGAAAATTGACATGTGGATGTTGTTTCCAATATTCAGATATTATAAACAACATCATTATGACCATCTTGTAGCACAAATTGTGGTTCATTTGTCCAATTATTTCTATATTACTTTTCAGGAAGGAAATTCCTGTGTTAAATGTATGCATATTTTGAAGATCTTTTTTAACGTGGGAAAAACATGCCAATTTGCTGGTATACTAGCTGTGTATGACTTTGCCCATTTTCCTACCTTTCACAATACAAACCTGTTTCACTTTTTAAATTGTGGAAATAATATTGACATTGATCTGAATCCATTATTGTTAGGCATGTTCATTATAACCCACAGCCAGAAAACAAAATGAAACAAAACACTTTTCACTGAGTAATAAACTATAAATAATTGGGTCATTCTGTTTAATTCTAGGCTCCAAACTTAATAAAATACCAGGCATTTTTCCATAAATTGATAGTTCCTAAATGAGACAACGCTTTTATTTATTTTGCTTAGTTTTTATCTAAAGGTATGATATGACCTTATTGGTTATGATGATGATGTAGGAAAATTGTTCACCATAAATAGGCTAACTGTAAACACAGTAAATTTGATAATTCTGCTGTGTTTTTTTTTTAATTCAGTGACTATTGTGTGTTTCTTTTTCAAAATTTGGTGAGCAGTGCTTTTAAATCCTCAACTTCTGTTCACCTTTTTCAAAGTAAACTTCTCTTTTTTGTAAATATTTTTGTCTCTATTTCTTTTCTTGATGATATCTATCTCATGAGTTAAAATGATTTTTCAATCTTAAAATAGTCACATATCTAATTACTACATATTTCAGCATATATTTATGAGTTAATGCTCCCTTTGTATTCCTTGTTTTGCAATGTATATGTCCTGTCTCTATTTCTATATTTATTAGCTGTGTTTTTTAAATTGCTAACATTGGTTCTCAATTAAAAATGTTGCTATTTAATACAACATGCGGTTGTATTATTATTATTATTATCTTTTATTATTATTTATTATTTTTTATTTATTATTATTATTATTTTTTTAAATAGAGACATGGTTTTATTCTGTTGCTCAGGCTGTAGTGCAGTGACACCATCACTGGCCCACTGCAGCCTCAATATCTCAGGCTCAAGTGATTCTCCCACCTCTGCCTCCTGAAGAGCTGACACTACAGGTATGTGCCACCACACCTAGCTAACTTTTTATTTCTATTTTTAGTAGAGGAAAGGTCTCACCAAGTTGCCTAGGCTGCTCTTGAATTCTTGAGCTCAATTGACCCTCCTGCCTCAGCTTCCCAAGTTGCTGAGATTAAAAGTGGGAGTTACTGCGCCTGGCATGCTCCATTTATTGCCAGGTAGTTTAAAACTATTGGTAGTCAAATTTATCATTACACATTCTTGCATTAGATTTTCTTGCTTTGGGAAACCATTTTAATGCTAAAATTAAAAACTTGTTCAAATTTCTAACATTGATGATTTTGTTTTTAATATTTAAATCATTAATTCATCTAGATTTCAGCCTAAGGAGAAGTGATTCAAATACCAGCTTTCTCTATTACTAGTTCAAAGTTAGAAAAAAATTCAGTGATCTTTGAGCTTCACTTTCTCACCTTTAAAAGGAGTTTGATATAATTGAGCTTATTCAGTGTTCACAGACATTAAATTAGATAATGTATATACATGGTTTAACAGACTTTCTGCTGATTGTAAATAATAAATGACAGAGGAAAATTTATGGATTCATACATAATGAGATGTTTAGATCTATTATTTAGCAAAGACATTTAACATAGAAGTTTAATTCTTTGGACATTTCAAGCAATATTTAATGTCAGAACATAAATGAATACAGGCTTGGAGGTAACTTCATCAAAATGTTTTCAGTGGTATTTGAAAGAGAATGAAAAGTTAAGCAGTGGTCATGAATACTGGACATGCAGAGAATATTCCCATTCATAGAAGCTACTTTGGCTTTTGGAGTTTTAATCTTTGTTCTTCCACTATTTTTAATGGAAAGATGCAACAGATAACAAATGATTAACCATGACGACAGATCAACAAGCAAAGATAAACACAAAAATGATACAAGACAGAGTGTTTCTGTTCACTATCCTTCAAGTAGTTTCAGATTTAGTTTACTTCTAGGCATCCAAGCTTCTGAGCTATCACCACAAATATCTAAATTGCTTTCTCTCGGGTTCTACAAAGCACTCTCTTTACTTTATCTACTCATTTTAGATGGCACCTCATTGAATTTCTCCTAGCCAATTTGCTTTCTACAAAGCTCACATTTCTCTTACAATGGAGAAATTTCTTTAGCTCTACTCTTTCAACTTTAGCTTAATAGCATGAGAGCTTTCTTTAAGTTTCACTGTCAGCAGAATAGCACAAATTTAACATTTATGTGATCCATTTTTACTAAATAGCAGAGGAGAAAGTGTTATGCCAAGGGCAAAGTGGGTATTAATTTTCTGTATGGTTTATACAATTACTTGAATGCTTCCCTAAAGAAAATTAATATATTGATTAAACCTAATTAGCTTCAACTTATACATAACTATAGCATGAGTTATTTCTATGATGCAGGAAAATAGGTTGTAGTGAAAATAAGCCATGGGAGTTAGAATACTCATCTGGCACACAAAGAATTTAAGGTATGATAAGAGTAACATGAGACAAAATTCATGTTTATTACAATAAATATACATCCATATTTAATTTTTTTAAAATAGTAAAAGAGGGAATAGTTAAACATTCACTAACAATACCACTCTCCAAAGATCAAATGTTAGACTAATATTCTGGTAAATCTTCCAGACTTTCTCAACACAATTACACACCTACACAAGTACATACATACAAACACACACGGAAGTTTCATTTCACTCATTTAGATTTAAAATCTCTTTTTTTCATTTAACTTTATATTATCACCCTATTTTCTTGTCATTTCTTTAATAAACATTTAATAAACGTTTGCCACAATGGTATGTTACTTAATAAACATTTGATACAGTGGCATGTTACTTATGTTCTAAACAAAAATTTATAAAACAGTCATTGCTGTTTTCTTGTGGAGCTTATATTTTGATGGAGAAGACAGACAATGAACAAATGGACAAATAAACTATGTATTTATGTTTAGATATAAATATGGATATAATCATAAATCATTAAGAAAACTATGAATAAAAGACAATAATCAAGAGTTGAGTGCGATACCCAGTAAAATAAGATAGTGAAAATGGCATGCTACAGGTAACATTTGTGCTGGGCTTTCAGTATCACATAGCAGCATTCTAAGAATAAGGAAACATACATGAAGACCCTAGATGGCAAAAGCTTTCTTTTGGAGGAACGATTTTAGAATGCTAATTCCAGGGTATAGTGGGAAAGAAAAAGTAACAAAATGTTGTAGAGACAGACAGAAATCAAATCACTCAGAGATTTTTTTTAAATATTCTAATAAGATTGAAGCAGTTGAATTGAGGCTAATTTTGAACTCTTTTTGTTCAATAGAATATAATAAAAGTAATACTAAGGCTTTTTGCAGGTTGATCGCTTAAAAACCCTATCACTACAATTTTCACTCATGAATCTAGTTGTCATATAAGAAATTCAACTACCCAGAAGGTACCATGCTGTGGTAAAGCTCAAACTAACAGCATGAAGAGGCAACATAGAGGAAAACCGAAACAGCGGACATGAGAGTGAAGTCACCTAGGATGTTTCAGTCCAGCTCAGCCATCAGTTTGATGCAGCCTTTTGAGGGGCTGCAGCTGGCAATAAATTAAGCATAACCACCCAGCCAATTCCTGTTCCAATACAAAATAAATAAGTAAAATTTTTTAAAAGTAAATAAAATAAACTAAAAAATATTGAAAAAGAAACCATAAACACAGCCTCCCAGCCAATCCCTGCTCAAAATTCTTGACAAAGAAGATTATTAAAAAAATAAGAAAATGGTTATCTTATATGATGAAGTTTAAAGATGATTAATTACACAGCACTAATTAAAATAAAAAATAAACATATCCTATAATATAATATAGCATTAAATAAAAGGATATGACATAATATAATTTCAGATTGTGAGATTATTTGTTCACCTTTCCTAACCAAATATTTTTGATAGGATGTCCCAAGTTATCAATATAATATGAAATCATGAAATAATAGATTGACAATTAAACTAGTGCAATTAATGATGCAGCTCTTTTCTCACCAGTGAGAAAGTAAATAATATTACTGACAGTTTCTTTTTAATAAGTCTCTTCAACTACCAGCCCTAGATGTATTTAAACATTAACTCTTATGTTGTCAAAATAAAAGTTTTAAAGATTTTGTTAAATTGTCCTTGTTAACTCATAAAAGAGAACTATATATGTTTTTGAAGTGTGGTACAGTATTTGTAATATTATATTCTCAGTTGTAATATAGCCTACTATGCTCTTTTCTAAAATACTGTTCTTATTCAACAAATATAGAAGCTCATTGTAATGCTAATTTTCTCTATTAGTAATCAATTATGTTTTTAGTACCTTGTAACAGTACCTTAAAATTTTGTTTGAAATATCTGTGTTCTCCTAAATACCCCTCCTATTACTCATTTTATAAAAATGCCACAAACAAACAGTAACCAAAAAAATATATTGTAAGTGTAAGAATATATTGATATTTTTTCTGCTTCTATTGTTAAACTTCCCTATTTTCTTCTTAATAAATGCTGACATTTATTGGGTTACCGTTATAAATATCCTGACTTTATATTACTACTAATAATTATTAAACTCATTGAATTTATACTGTTTCTTTCTAGCCAATGAATTTATTTCATGTAAGAATTAAAGATACAAACTACAAAATAATTATTGAAATTTTATAATATTAGAAAAAATGATCAAAAATTAAAGTCAAAATTATTATTTTTAAGATGAAGAATAAATAGAAAATCTATACAACCAAGATAAATTTATAATTGGAATGTTATGCAATAGGAAGAAAATTACTTCCCATGTAACATATTTTGTATTAATACTTCACTTGAATAGCTATTGATTGTATGTTTCATTTTATTATTTGCCATGCACTCATTTTTATTCAGCTCCATCTAGTATTACCTTAGATGTTAGTATGTTATGCTTCCATCCTGTTTGCGCCAAAGATTAAACTTTACTAATACCACAGATAAAAAATACTAATCTCATGTAAGTGTATGCAAATGATTCACATGTTTTTGAAATTACAAGATTTCCTATCATACAAATACATAAAATTGTTGAAATCTCTTTTTGCAAGTTCAGTTTTCTTAGAGAGGAAAATGCACTCTCCCCAACCTGTGGAGAGGAAAACCCATTTCTTCCCGACCTATGGAATCTACATCCAGTCTCAGGGGATCCTCAACTATTTGACCAAGGATCATCTCTGCCACAGGTGCTAGGGTTGTTTTATGTAAGGTTATTTATCAATCATGCACAGTTCTGCTGTAGCAATTGTGCTCTTAGGGAATGTATATTAGCATAAAATTACTATCAACAAAAAAGTGTTGGGAGATAGAGGCCTTCATAATTGAAATAATAAAATTAAATTTTCTCCAAAATTTTTTAAATTTTCCATTAATGTGAATGTAGCTAAAAGGTGAGTTAGGTGAGTAGCAATAAAGCTTAAATATATCCACAATATGAATTGACCTAGTTTTGCCTAAGAAAAATGGTCTTTACTTTTCTCTCAACGGCAGCATTATTTTAATTACATATTGTCGTACATATTTGTATTACCTTTTCAGTTATTGTCTTTATATGAAAAAAATGAAATAAATACTTGCAATTTGTGTTGCTGGAAACAACTTTACTTTTTCTCTATATACCTAGAGCTAATTACATTCATGATTATATTAATATGTAATGCAGAGTTGTTCTAAGAGGAGTGCTGAAGTACAATTCAATTAACCTCATGAAAGCTCAGCAACAGGAAAATTTCTTATGCTCACTGACAGTGTGGTCTGTTACTAACATTGATGGATATGAAACTACAGATACATGGCAGACAAACCCTACAGTAATCCTCAATGATGTCTGCCTACTGGTGTTCATGCTTTTGTATAATCCCTTCTGTTTGGGTGTGATTGGAGCCTGTGACTTGTTCCTAGCCAATAGAAAATGGCAATGATGTAGGAATATCTCTCCCATACCTAGGTTACATTTTATAACAAAGGTGATGAGATATCACTCCTATGATGCTATTATGTTCTGTAAATCTCTGTCACTAGAGTTGCTCTTGCTCCTTGCTGGCTCTGAAGAAGCAAGTCATTGTGTTATGAATTACCTACAGAGAAGCTTCCAAGGCAAAAAACTACAGGTTACCTGTAAGAGCTGAAGGTCTCAATCTTACAGTCACAATGTAATAAATTCTGCTAACAACCTGAATGGACTTGGAAAGGGATTTGTTTTTCCAGTGGATCCTTCAGTTGAGAATGTAGCCTGGGTAACAGTGATCGTGACATCCTGAACAGAGGATACAGCTCATCTATGTCCAGACATCTAAATCATGGAAACTATAATATAATAAATGTGATTGTTTTAAGACACTAGATTTTTGATAATATGTTATGCAGCAGTAGAAACCTCACATATGGAATTACTTTTGTTGAGTTCAATGATGTTGAATAGAAGTAAAACGTGAACTACATATGTTATTTTAAGTGTCTAGTAACCACATTTAGAAGCAACAAAAAAATAAAAATTAATTTTGTAATATATTTTATTTATTTACTTATATTTATTATATATTTCTATATTTATATTATCTAATATGTAATAAAATGTTTTATTTTGTAATACAATATAATATAAATATATATATTAAATGTCCACATTATATACTTTTTGCATGTATTGTTATATGTAATATTTAGATGTTATGTATTTATTATTTATGTGATGGTTATAAATTATGTATATATATTTATACTTAATTTTTCTCAATATGGTGAAAACAGTATCATTGCAACAAGTAACATAAAAATTATTAATGAATATTTTACATTCTTTTTTCATGTCAAATTTTTAAAATCCAGTTTGTACTTAAACATAGCACATATCAATTCATATGTCATATTTTTATCAGAAATGCATGTATGTAATGTTTACAATATTTACAGTATTAAAAATAGGTTCATATAAACCAGTTGTTCCAGATATACTCAAAAGTTTTACTGATAGAGGCATAAGGTTTTAAATTTAAATTTAATTATAATTATATAAAATTAAAGATTCTGTTCTTCATTCACTAGTAAATAATATTAGTACTCAATAGCTGCATGTAGCAAGTGGCTACTGGACATTGTATTGAACAGGGCAGGTTTAGATCCTGAAATTTATGGCCCATTTTTTTAGGCCCATGTTTATATTTCACATCTGAATCAATTGTTCTAAACACTAGGAAACTTAACAATCATAAGAAGTGCTTATTTTAAATGCATTTTACCAGGAAACCTCCCCCTCCACTTCATTCTGATTCAGTATATCGGTGGTTGGATTAGATAATTTTGATGCAGGTGGTCCAAAAAATTACAGTTTAGGAAAATAATGGCGATAGAAGTTAATGAAGGCAGCAGCAAGGTGGGGACTGATTTGCCTTAATGCCTAGAGCTCATCTGGGTATCACATACCCAAAATTTTACTGACTTAAGTTAACACTTTGGCCTGAAGGCCATATTCCTGGGAAATAAGAGAAAAACTAAAGAAACAAATCTCAAAAAGAAGACCATGCCACATCTTGTGTAGAAAAATAACATTGCCCTTTAACTTGGCCCATCCTTAATGGAAAAATATTAGCAAAGAGGAACCTTGAGCGCCACCTAGTGTTTGGAGTGTGCTGTGCTGCTCACAGTTTTTCTTGCTATCATTCCTATTTCAGTTACTTCATTATTTCATTTTCAAGTAACCATTCTTCAGATTGTCCCTTGAACGTAAACATAGAACAGCGTTTTATTCTTAGACAATGTTCTTTTGCTTTATATCAAAATCCTAGGATATTTTATTTATATCCCAAATTTCTGCTACCACATATATATGTTGATGATTTCCAAAACTTTAACTCTCTGGACCCACATTTCTGAATTCTATTAGTTGTCATCACCATTTGAATGATACACAGGCACCTCAAACTCACTGTCTAAAATGGAAATTATAATTTTTACTTCCAGTAATTATGAATTCTCCTTCTGTATTTTATTTCTTGCTAAATGCATGACTATCCACACTGTTAGGGCCAAGCATCAAGGGTGTATTCTTGATGATTTTTCCATCTCATTTTCTTGTTTAGTCATCAAAACCTGGTATTTTATTTTCTTAATATGTCTTGAGGCATTTACCTCCTCTTTATGTTCACTGTCATTGCCTTTTCATTCACACATGACTACTTTGGAAACCGTCCATGTTAATTCTCTGAGTGCTAATTCCGCTTATTTTGTTGCTTTTAATTTTGGCCCAATATACTTCATCTTGCACTTGTCTAAATAATCTATGTAAAATACAATGTTGATCTTCATTATGCTCCAGTATAAAAATGACATCTCAGAGTTTTCCAGAAAATTCTAATCACCCTAGTGTAGTTATCAAAATCAGTCATGGTGTAAACTTTGTATCTGTTTGGTCTGATTTTTCTATGCCTTGTACGGTGCCTGCTACATAGTACGTGCTCAACAAATTCTGAAGAGTATTTGAGATAGTTATTTTTCAAGAATCAGAGAACAGATGTCTTCACACTTTCTCATTTCACTTGTGTTGGTATTTCAAATATTCACTTAAAATGTACCCTGGAAATTTATTTGGAAATATTGAATATTTGATTATACTCCCTGAATAAAGTAATTTACAAATATGTACTATCATATGAAGGAAATAGTATTACTATTTTCCTAAAACAATAAGATTAATATAAAATAAGTGTTAGTAGCATATTTTAAAAAATAACATTTTGGTTTTATTAAATAAGAAGTCTAGCATGGCTTAGTAGAATACTGAAATGGGCTCAGAAAACTCAGGTCTTGGTAGTAATTCTGCCAATAACTAGCTATACAAACTTTTGTGAGATAAACTAACCTCTGTAGGTCTCAGCTCACAGTTTTCTTATCTGTAAAATAAGTTGACTAAAGTACATAATCTTTATGCCCCTTTCTACCTTATTATATCTAGGTCAGTACTGTTAAACAGAATAATGGCCTCTGTCTCAGAAGACTTTGTTGAATCTACTCTTGAATATATCAGTAATTTCACTGGAATCATTTATCGAGTGTTTTCCATATGCTAAACATAAAATTATTTTATTTTTTGATATTGAATAGAGATGCAATAATATACATATATGAAGGCAAATTGAAAAACTCTGTCTTTTGTGAATAAAAATGGGCTTTAACAAAAAACATAAAAGAAATTTTGTAATCATCAGCCTTCATACTCTTTCAGATAGCATCATTAACAAATGTTGTTATCCACTCAGCCTGCTGGGACAAAGAAGTTATCTCTTAACAGACAGATTAAATATTAATTATTTATAACGTGTTATTGTTTTTCTACTATGGTAACTTGAATACTTCATAAGCACTCAATTTATGTTTAATTTATTGGTGACAATAATTATAATCTACAATCTAGATATTCTTATTATTTCCTAGGAACATACATTTATATAATTGTTTCAGTTTTGCTAAATATTAATACAAGACCAAAGAAAATCTATATTACAGTATTTATTTGTTTAACATTTTTCCAGCTAATATATAAAATGTTCATTTCATTTTAAATAGCAAACTCTCTATAACAAATTAAAAACCAGACTTTTCATTTAAAAAATACAATGGTACATTCCAAAGTTGTCAATTCAGTAATTAAGTAACTAGTAATTGATAATGAGATTCCATACTGTTGTTTTCTATTATTATTTGAAAAATTCCCCAGAAGTTCATAAAAGAGAAATCTATAGAAATTAATATGTTTCCAATGAAATAGAGAAAAGCAATTTGGAGCTGTTATTAAAAGCAGAACTGACAATATATTTTTTATATTAGCCTCTTTTTTTAGTGATGAAATCAGCTAATGAAGTATTTCTTAATTATTAGAGTTTGGAATTTGAAAACCAAGCGTGAGAGAAAAAAAAAAAAAGTAAAATCTCCCTATCATTCAGCAAGATAAACAATGGAAGTACTTATTGCAAAAAGCTAAGTAAAAAAAAAAAAATACTATCAAAAGGTATGTGATATAAATATTGCAGAGATAGTCAGTTTTCCTCCCTGAGATTTTACTCTGTTCAATTTCAGGATATTTTAAAATATCAGAGGGGCAATTTCTCAGGACAAGAACATATTCTGCTGTCACTATTCTTTCCTCCTTGCTTTTTAATTTTTATTTTATTTTATTTTATTTTATTTTTATGTCCTCAATGGAGAACAAATGTGTAACCTATGCACATTACGCAGGTTATTAAAAGAAGTATAATGTAGGATGGTGTTTAATGACTATGTGATCCTACTTTTCTGGATTGTATTTTTCCCAACTCTTCATTTCAATTCATAATTTTTACTACTTTGGATATAAAGGGAAAATTTTAAGGCTGTAAAATCTGGCTATTCCTTTGCTATATTGTTATCTAATAGGTAGTGTGGTGTAGAAGAAATAATGAGACTTTGAAATCACAACTAAACTTTAAAATTCTAGAGGCTCAAAAGCTGAAGAGAATAATTCTGAAAGAATTTTAAAACTCACAGAGCATACATTTCTGAGACACTAGTCAAAATACTATAAGCTGTCCACAGAAAACTCTCTGTTGATTTATACTGAGGTTAGAAAACATATTTCTCTTCCCTAAAGGATCAGTGAAAAAATGATGTTTTGTTTCCTTCCTGTAGTTCTGCTATTCACATTGGTCTTTCAAATACCAGAAGAAAAGAATTACATAACATCAGAAAATAATGTTAGATGTTCAATATGATTTGGATACAAGAGGGACAGATAAATGAAAAAGGGAAGTCTTGTATATTCATACATTTGTTTACGTTTAAAAACATAATCAAATTTTTTATGTTATTGTTTTGTTATTGTTTATAAAATATAATATGTTTAATATTTTGCCTCTGTGGGAAAATAGTTCCTACAATTTAAGCAAAGGAAATCTTCATTATGTAGTATGTTATAGTTGTTTGTATCCTTTTTAATTTTAGAATTAAAGGAAAATAATATTAATATTTTAAAAAAATATTTAGTATTTAGCAGTTTATATTCTCATCATATTATAATATTATTTTTTAATATTGAAGTTTTATAAAGTTAGGGAGAAAAAGATTTATCTTAGTTATTGTTGCAGAAATACAAAATCATAATTCAGCAAACTCTCAAATGTGTTTAATAACATATATTGTGTCTTATGATTCCTCTATATATGTTTTAAAAACCGAAAGTATTTAGTAGATTTAAAAAATAATATAGATGTCTCCAAGCTCACAATGTTTTGTGTATCCATATTTTTCCTATCAAAAGCCCAAAATTTCTTTCATAAAAATAATAAATAAATTTACAGTGAGATTGATTTTCCCAACTGGGTCGTGGAACAAGGCTTCCTTGGTTATAGGAAGTATTGCATTTATAAGGTAATTTTATATTAGACAACAGATAACTAAAGAGAAAGCAGTCTTTACATAATTAAACACATAACATAGCATACACTATGCCAAGTGTTAGGGGCATGGGGATGTATGTCAGTGAAGAATACGACAATCATGTTTACAAACAGGGTCTGTCGGTGATGAAACAGAGTATGACATATGCTTTGTTAGTGTGGCACTCCAGGTTGGAGTGTCCAAGGAAAAATTATAAGAGGAAGAAACATTTAAAATAGAAACTGAAAATTAAGGAAGGGGAAGGTAAAAGAAGAAAATAGGCGAAGAAGTTCAGGTAAAATTAAGAGCTGAAGCAGAGCATAACACCTGTAACAGCCTGTAAAAAGGGATGGGAATCTGAAATACAAATAGGAGAGACTGGTAAAAGTCGAAGAGACGTTTTCAGGTATGTATCCATGAAGAGCTTTGAATATTAATTTAGGAAATTTGAGGCCGGGCGCGGTGGCTCACGCCTGTAATCTCAGCACTATGGGAGGCCAAGGCGGGCGGATCACGGGGTCAGGAGATGAGACCATCTTGCCTAACACGGTGAAACCCCATCTCTACTAAAAATACAAAAAATTAGCCGGATACAGTGGTGGGCGCCTGTATTCCCAGCTACTTGGAAGGCTGAGACAGGAGAATCGCTTGAACCTGGGAGGCGGAGATTGCAGTGAGCCGAGATCAGCCACTGCACTCCAGCCTGGGCAACAAGAGTGAGACTCCATTTCAAAAAAAAAAAAAAAGAAAAGAAAAAAAGAAAAAAGAAATCTGAATTTCATTCAGAGATAAATGAGCTGCTTGTGTCTTTAAGTAGGACATGACTGGTGATGTGACTTTGAGATAGTAAATAATAAAGTGTAAATTTTTAAAATTTAAGAAAATAATGTCTACAAATATAAAATAATCACATACCAGTCAGATTTTTAACTCATTAGCTAGTGAGGGTAATAGCATTCACGGCAATTCAGTTGGATGGTGTCTCAGTCTTGCTCTTGGCCCAAGCAGGAGTATCATATGCTTGCTCTACATTATAGCCATGAATGCCAAAATTTATTTACTAATAGATGAAAACTGGTTATTATCTCCAAGGGACAAAAAAAGTTTAAACGTGGGGTCATCTTTTCTATAGGGCAGAAATTGATTATATTAATAATTTGCATTCCTATGGTCAATAATTCTTTTCACTGCTATCAATTTCAACAAGTTAACATTACCATTATAGAATTGTAAAATAACTTGGTCAAAAAGTATTTAAAGACCAAAAACTCATATTCTAAAGTCCCCAGAGCTTCTGCAAGGCAATGCTCAGCACTCTACTAAAAGGAAATAGCAAACTGTTTTACCCATTTCCAAGCCTTGGACAATTTCTCTGGACATAATTAAAATTAGTAAATATATAATACTGAAACATATATAATTATATGTAAATTTAAAAATTTAAAAATATATGGCTTAAATTAAGATAGTAATGTAAATGAAAAGAGGGGGATTGATTTGAGAAGTATTTAGAGACAGATTTAACATAATGATTTAGATGAGGTAGCATGTCTATACATTTTCTATAGCTGCTGTCAAAGAAACGGCACAAACTTGTTGGCTTAAAACAATACACCTTAATTATTTTACAGTTTTGTAGATCAGAAGTTTAATACAGATTTCAGTGGTCGGAAATATAGATGTCTATAGGCTGCATTGGTTTCTGAGAGCTGTACGGAAGAATCTGTTTTTCGGCTCATTTGGATTTTGTAGAATTCAGTTCCATGGGGTTGTGAGACTGAGCTGAATGCTGTCATGAAAGAATAACTGAGCTGACTAAATTTTAAGAAGAGATCAGAATGTAGAAAAATCTTTTTTAATCAGTTACTAAATCCTGTTCTGTTGACGATATGCTATAGTAGAATTTTAAGTTTTTTAATTATTCCATGGATTTAGACTAAGCTTAATTTTCTTGGTGCCAGAATTCATCCATAATGAAATACATGTTTATGCCAACTGCATGGTCCATGGAATTATATAAACGTGTCCATATACCTAGGGCATATAGCACTGGGAACTGAATTTTTATTTCCTACAATGTTACTGATATCACTGATGACCTAGTTTTCCCTGACAGAAAAATAATTTGTCCAGAACTTGAGGTGTTGCACATGAATTATTCTTTTATATAACAAAGTATTCCTTATATTTCCATTAAGAAGGATGTAAATGTGAAATACACAAATGTAAAACACTTATGCATTATGGGGAAGAAGAGTATATATGAGTATGTTGGGCCAATTATTAACCTCTGTTTCTACCTCAATAACTTAGGAGAAATGAGAGTAACTGAGGAATCTGTGGCAAACCAATTTTTTTTTTTATGAGTGGCATTTTCAGGATCTTCTAACTATAATTTTTAAACAAAAATGAAATATGTTCCAGTTTAAATTGTGACATGAAGTGGTACTAAAATTAAAAGATGCTATGCCAGTGGCAATGGCCAAAACTCTCAATTTTTGCTACCTATAGTTGTTAGTGGTAGAGAATAGCAAAATGAAAATACAAATTACAATGTAAAGTACTTAAAAATTGAAGACTTTAAAAAAGAATATAAGAAGACATATTAAAGGATAAAATGTTATTTGAAATCTGTCAGTATAACCACCAATATAATTTTTAATGTGTTTTCAAGTAGAAGAAAATTGTTAAAGATGCCATTGGTGTCATTCAATTGACAGTTTTCACATCGAGTTCAGTCAAGTTACTCTTTTTGATGTTTGGGCTTGCTAATGGAGTTGTTGGCAGGAAACTCCACTTGTGTACATTACATTACCCTATTATGAATAAGCAAGAGCAGCACTTGCTGTGGCTCTTTGTTGATATACTTTTAGTATGCTCATCTTACATTTTAAAATAATGAAAATGTTTCTTAAGTAAAATGACAACATTATGTTGTTATTAGTTATAAATGCTAATAGTGTTTAGTGACATGTAGGACCATTTTTGCAAGTCCACAATGTAAACACCTTGCATATTTCAAAGTTACATAAGCACAAGTATTAGAAATTAATTAGGAAAGATAATATTTGTATTACACAAAGCCTTCATAAGATCAATTTGAAAAATTATTTTTAGTGTTATACTCTCACTTTAAGAAGTACAGTGATTCAAATTCTTCAAATGGTCTGAAGAATAACTGCAAGGTTTAACAGAATTAGGAGGTTTGCTTTATAAGGAATGGTTTCAGGAAACAAACATGTTTTAAGAAAAATATGATGAACATATTAAATCATGAAAAGGAAAATTTAGGTGAAATATAAAGAAAAAGAAAAATTTAGGTAAAAATTTCCACAAAAGGAAATTTAGGTGAAATAGAAAAAAGTATCTAAAAGAGAATAAGATGTTCTGGTTAATGTTTAGTACATCACAAAAAAATTCTAAAAATATTGCAAGTTCCCATTGTGTATGTCTACAAAAGTTTATATTTATTTTTCAAAAGATTTTATGTCACTTTTACTGTAGGAATTACACAAACTATAACAGCTTTAAATTTGTAATAATATAAAATGAAACGATTATACAAAATACTATTAATTTATGAAGAAAAAATGTTTAATTAACTCACAGGTCCACAGGCTATACAGGAAGCATGAATAGGAGGCCTCAGTAAACCTACAACCACTGTGGAAGGCAAAGGGAAAGCAAGCATGCCTTATTCTACTGAAGCAAGAGAGAGTCAGAAGGGTGGGGGGAAGAGCTACATGCTTTTAAGCCATTAGATCTTATGAGAACTTACTCACTATCACAATAACAGCCTGGGAGAAATGCACCCCCGTGATCCAATCACCCCCCACTAGGTCTCTTGCCAGCACCTGGAATTACAATTTAAAATGAGATTTAGGTGGGGACACAAAGCCCAAACACATTATTTCACCCCTGGCTCCTCCAAAATCTCACATCTTTCTCATATTTCAAAATACAATTATGCCTTCCCAACAGTCCCCCAAAGTTGTAGCTCATTCCAGCATTGACCCAAAAGTTTAAGTCCAAAATCTCATCTGAGACAAGGCAAATCCCTTTAGCCTATGTGCTGGTAATATCAAAGACATGTTAGTTATTTCCAAGATACAATCAAAGTATAAGCACTGGGTAAATGCTCCTATCCCAAGTGGGAGGAATTGGCCAAATCACAGGGGCTACAGATCACATGCAGGGCAGTCATTAAATTTTAAAGCTCCAAAATCTCCTATGACTCTGTGTCTCACACGCAGGGCATACTGATGCAAGGGATGGGCTCCCAAGGCCTTGAGTAGCTCTGCCTCTGTGGCTCTGCAGGATACCACCCCTGTGGCTGCTTTCATGAGCTGGTGTTGAGTAGTGCAGCTTTTCCAGGCACATGGTGCAAGCCAATGGTGGATCTCTCTTTCTGGGTTCTAGAGGACAGTGGCACTCTTCTCACAGCTACACTATGCAGTGCCCCAGTGGGGTCTCTGTGTGGGGGCTCTAACCCCACATTTACCCTCTGCACTGTCCCAAAAGAGGTTCTCTGTGAGAGCTCCACCTCTGCAGCAGACTTCTGCCTGGACATACAGTTCTTTCCACGCATCCTCTGAAATCTAGGCAGAGATTCTGTGCACATGCAGGCCCAACACCACATGGAAGCTGCCAAGACTTGGGTCTTACACTCTCTGTAGCCATGGCTCAAGCTGTACTTTGGCCCCTTTAGTCATGGCTGGAGCTGGAGCAGCCAGGATGCAGGGTGTCATGTTCCAAGGCTGCACAGAGCAGGTGGGCCCTTGGCCTGGCCCACAAAACCATTTTTTTTTTTCTCCTAGGCCTCTGGGCCTGTCATGGAAGGGGCTGATGTGAAGGTCTCTGAAATGTCCTGGAGGCATTTTCTCCATTGTTGTGGCTATTAACTATTGCCTCTCTTTACTTATGTAAATTTATAAAGTAGGCTTGAATTTCTCCCCAGAATATTGGTTTTTCTCTTTTACCACATGGCCAGGCTCCCAATGTTCCAAACTTTTATGCTGTGCTTCTCTTTTAAATATAAGTTCCAGGTTCAGATAATCTCTTTGTTCACACATACGAATACTTTAGAAACAATCCGGTCATGGCTGGGCGTGGTGGCTCATGCCTATAATCCCAGCACTTTGGGAGGCTGAGGCTGGTGGATCACCTGAGGTCAGGAGTTCAAGACCAGCTTAGCCAACATAGTGAAACCCCGTCTCTACTAAAGAAACAAACAAACAAAAAATTAGCCGGGTGTCGGCAAGCACCTGTAATCTCAGCTACTTGGGAGGCTGAGGCAGGAGAATTGCTTGAACCTGGGAGGTGGAGGTTGCAGTGAGCTGAGATCATACCACTGCACTCCAGCCTGGGCGACAGAGTGTGACTCTATCTCAAAAAAAAAAAAAAAAATCTGGTCACATCTTGAATGCTTTACCACTTAGAAATTTCTTCCCCCAGGCACCCTAAATTATCTCTCTCAAGTTTAAAGTTTCACAGAACTCTAGAGCAGGGCCAAAATGCCACCAGTCTTTTTTGCTAAGCATTGCAAGAGTGACCTCTTGCAATGGGAACTGCTCAGAACACCAGTTCCCAATATGTTCCTCATCTCTATTGGAGGCCACCTCAGCCTGGACTTCATTGTCCATGTCACTATCAGCATTTTGGAAAAAATTGTTACACGAGTCTCTATGAAGTTCCAAACTTTTCCACATCTTTCTGTCTTCTTCTGAGCTCTCCAAATCTTCTTCTGAGCCCTCCAAATTGTTCCAAACTCTGCCCATTACCCATTTCCAAAGTCACCTCCACGTTTCAGGTATATTTATAGCAGTACACCACTCTTGGTACCAATTTTCTGTATTAGTCCCTTCTCACACTGCTATATAAAACTGCCTGAGACTAGGCAATTTATGAAAAAAAAGAGTTTAATTGACTCACATTTCAGCAGGCTGTACAGGAAGCATGGTTGAGAGGCCTCAGGAAACTTACAATCATGGTGGAAGGTGAAGGGGAAGTAAGCATGTCTTACCATGGCAGAGTAAGAGAGAGAGAGAGGAGAAGGGGAAAATTCCACACACTTTTAAACCATTAGATCCCATGAGAACTTATTCACTGTCACAAGAACAGCAAGGGGGAACTCTGCTGCCATGGTCCAGTCACCTCCTACCAGGTCTCTCCCCAAACATTGAGAATTACAATTTGCAGTGACATTTGGGTGGGGACACAGAGCCAAACCATATCACTGACCTACCTACACTGAACTCATTTTCAACAAAGATGCCAAAAACATACGCTGGGAAGAAGACCATCTCTTGAATAACTGGTACTGGGAAAACTGAGTATACATCAGCAGAAGAATGAAACTAGACCCCTATCTGTCATTATATACAAAAATCCAATCAAAATGGATTAAAGATTTAATTCTAAGACCTCCAACTATGAAACTGCTACAAGAAAAGTTTGGGGAAAATCTCCAGGATATTGGTCTGGGCAAAAATTTATTCAGCAATACCTCACAAGTACAGACAACCAAAGCAAAAATGGCCAAATGGGATCACATCAAGTTAAAAAGTTTTTGCACTGCAAAGGTTACAATCAACATTGAAGAGACAGCCTGCAGAATGGAAGAAGATATTTGCAAACTACCCATCTGACAAGGGATTAATAACCAGAATATATAGGTAGTTCAAACCATTCTATAGGAAAAAAATCTAATAATTATATTAAAAATGTGCAAAAACTTGAATAGATATTTCTCAGAAGACATACAAATGGCAGACAGGTATATGAAAAGGTGTTCAACATCACTGATCATCAGAGAAATGCAAATCAAAACTAAAATGAGATATCATCTCACCCGAGTTAAAATAACTTATATCCAAAAGACAGGCAATAACAAATACTGGCAAGGATGTGGAGAAAAGTGAACCCTAGTTTCCTGTTGGTAGGAATATAAATTATTAAATAGTACAATCACTATGGAGAACAGTTTGGAGGTGCCTCAAAAAACTAAAAATTACAGCCACTCACAGGAGTAGTTCCATAGATATATTAATTCTATCTATTACTATTTTCATATCTATGTATATCTATATCTCTTTATGTATATCTATATCTCTTTATATATATATCTTTCTCTATATTAATTATTTCCATATATATGTTAATGACTACCAGTTAGAGTCAAACTGCATCCCAGAAAAGGATAGATTTCAATATATAAGTCATATCTGGAAACTCATAACATATTAGCCATGTAATATAATCTCAGACATTCATTAATATTACAATAACGTGACTCTGCATTTTATGCATTTATGTAGGGATACCTAATTCAGTGTTGATGAAGCAACACTAAATTTTTACTTTATACTTTCAAAAAATTTTACTTTATGCTTTCTCTTATTATTTCTTCATTAATGGAAGTAACATGAGTTATATAATTTATTTGTGAAACAAATTTAAATTTTAAAACATTATTTTGTTGTCTATTTCTAAGTCTAACATCTCATTTTGATGAGATAACATAATCTGAGTAATGTTGATCAATGGGAAATTTATTGAGGTTTTCTTTGTGGACTGGATTATGTAAATGTTTGGCACTTTCTGGGTGTGCTAGGGAAAACTGTTTACTGTGCTCTTTGGATATAAAATTTATCTCTAAATATGTTAGTTCAAATTAATTAATTATAATATAATGAATATTTGTTCACATTATTTATCATTAATGTTGACAAAGTTTCCAGCTATATTTGTCATTTATTTTGCCCCATAATTACATTATTTGTTGCTTTATATATTTTGAGTCTACACTGTTAAGAGCATAAAGATTTATAAGGTATTTATATTCTCTTGATCTTTGTTCCTTAACAGCATTTATCATTTTATGATGTTTTTCTACTATAAACATATCGTTAGCCTTTTCTGTATCTTTATTTTAAATATAAGGACATACACTTTGGGGTGCATTGTTAATTTATCTTAACCCCATATTTTATATTTACCATTTTAATCATTTTGTGGCTTTTCCTTTCCTACCTTGAATAAAACAATTATGTTTTTCCTTTGATTTATCTAGTATTCACTACATTCTTTATTCAAAATTGTCAGACCATATCAGTTCTACCTTTATAGCAAGGCTGATTCTATCAGCAGAAGGTTGATAATGGTATGGAGCTCCTAAAGTTAGTAGAATTTCACTGAAACTAAATTCTTGTTCATTCTCCCATCTTGACTTAGTTATCTATGTAAATTATTAAAAGACATTTTTGTTATCAGTCCTTTATGTGCTGTAACAATGGTTCTCAATTCTAACTGCTCATTAGAGTCACATTGATGCTTTTAAACATAACTGATAACCAGGATGCACCCCAAACCAATTAAATCAGAATGCCTGGGGATGGCCTATTGGCATCTGTATTTTGTAAAAGTTCGAAGATAGTTTTAATGTGTAGTCAAATGTTGAGAACCACAGGTCTAATCAAAAGCAAGTAGAGAATGCAGTATAGATCTGATCTCGATTTTATATTTTTCACTTATGCTTATTTCATCTCATATTTCCAGCATGTGTTGCTTTATATATTTTGAGTCTATATTTTTAGAAGTGTATATATATTTATGATATTTATATTCTCTTTATTTCTGTTCCTTAATAGCATTTATCATTTTATGATATTTTTCTACTATAAACATATCTGTTGTTAAATTATTTTGAGCCTATTTTAGTTTATATGTCTTGTTATATATTTCAATGTCTTTATTGTTATCATGTTTCATAATATTTAATGTATCTGACGCAGTTCAATTATAATGATATTCATTATCTTCATACATCTAAAAATGAATAGGAAATATTGTCCGTAGGAATATATATATATATACCATGGGGGAAAAAGGCAAAGCAAATGCTTTATAATTGCAAGTACATTAACAAAGAATGTTTTATATCTATCACTCCCAGGAATTACCAACGCAATGACTATCTCATAATAGAAATTAATAAAGTATTTGTCAAGTAAATAAATCCCCACAAGTAGCCATATTTAAAATGTGTTTGCCTATTCAGTTTGTTTCCATGTTCTTTCCTTTCCCATATATCCAGTCTTGTGTTATATTTGAGAAAAGAGTTTATTAAATACTTGAATACAAAATACTAATGCCAAGATTTATTGAATGTTTACTAGTGCCAGATAACGCTCTCATTATAATACAAATATTAAGTTATTTAATCACCACAATAGTATGTAATGTTATTGTGAAAAAGGTTAATCTACTTTCCCAATGCCCACATAGCTAGTAAGAGGAAGTGCCAGCATTTAAATTTAGACAGTTCATGGCCTTTGACTTTAGGCAATACCCTAACAACCTCCTTAAAAATATTTTAATAGCATATCAAATGTTTATTCATTCAAAATCTTGGCCCTGATATCTAATTTTATTTGTATTTGTATTTATTTATTTATTTTTGAGGCAAGATCTGACTCTGTCGCTCAGCGTGGAGTGCCGTGGTGTGATCATAGCTCACTGAAGCTTTGAACTCCTGGACTCAAAAGATCCTCCCACCTCAGCCTTCCTTTCAAGTAGCATCACACTAGGACTTTTTGTTTTGTTTTTGGAAAGATGGGGTTTCACCATGTTGCCTAGGCTGGTCTCCATTAATCCTTCCACCTCGAACTTCCAAATTGTTGGGATTATAGGCATGAGCCACCGTGCCTGGCCCAATTTTAGTTGTACACAATACCTTATCTCTAAATCATCTTCTGGCTATAAAAGTTTGTAAGATTTTCCATCCCGCTTCGCGATACTGATTTATTAATTTATATTTTTATTTGTTTCAGTATATTTAAACAGCAACAATTAAAACTGAGTTAAGGACACTGCTCACTTCCTCCACATCTATACTTTTACATGCCATGTAAATCCAAAAGCAGGAGAGCTATTTATGCTGATAAAAGATCAGTCTATACAAGCATGATCTTGAATGTAATGGGATTGTGAGAAAGTGGTAGGTCATAGAATATAAGGAGTCAAACGCTCACAATACCTCACGCTAAGAGCATTCTAGATGTGAACCAATACTCTACAGACTCTAGAGTCAGTCTGTGCGGTCCAATTCTGGCACCCCAATTGTTTTGTGGCCTTGAAGTATATGTTCCTATTCCATCCAATTCAGCTTTCTTAGCTGTAAGATGGGGATAGTAATATCACTGGTTGCATAGAGCTTTTGTTAGAGTTAACAAACCAGCACACACAATGAAGTTAGAACAGTACCTAACAATTAGCATGCATTGCTTCATTATTTGTTATTCTTCTTTAGACATGTATCCTTTGGACTCTTCTTTAACAGATATTTAAGTTAATAGCCTTTTCATTTAACTGAGTGTTGGTGCTTGAAAACAATGTCATGTGTTTTCACATGTGCAGCTCCCCACTCCTGCACTACCATCTACTCCAGCACCACAAAACTCAATCGAATTCATGTGTGAGTGAATGAATACATGTTTATCATTGTGCTTGGTCCCTTATTACTTATTTTACTCTTAAATATGTCTAATTTTTACCTCCTGACAATTTTAGAGAAAAGAAGGGAAACATTTTGCTATCAAATAAAAGAATGGGGCATGGGGTTACCATCTTTTCAGTTATGAATTAAAGAATTGAGCTGACTTTATTCTGTGATTTAGCACAGAAACACTCTGGAACAATGGTATGACAGGACAGTAGAAATAAAGCAAAACTTCCATTTATTATTTAACTTCCTTCTACTGTGAAATAGGATAAGGTTCCTTATTATTTGGAGATAAATCTCTCGAGGGCGGCTGAACTTAAAAGAAGCATTGCTTTGATTTGTTATAAAAGTGAATGTTCCTAATACAATATTAAAAATTACCTAGCCAAGACCTTGGATGATTCTTTACAAGCTGATGGTAATAGTGAGAGTCAACTTTATCCTGGTTCATTTCAGTTTCTACCATTTTTTCTAAAGTTATACAGTTCATATCTCTCTCAAGAAGCACTAGCTTGAGGCAAGAGCCTAAAGGCAATCAGATGGTAATTTCAGCCTCTAATTCTACCCTTTAAGAAATTCTATTTCATAAAGAAATTTAAGTTATTCCCACAGACACCTGGTGCAATAAAAATGTGTATGCTATAGGTTAGACTGTAGGGAGGATGGCTCATAACAAAGAACCACTGAGCGGGAGATTACGACTTACAGTGGATTTTTTAAATTGGAATCACAAATTTTTATTGACCAAATGTCTTTTAGAAAAAACATTTTATTTCAGAGTTACCAGTGATACACTCTGTAAAAACTTATTGATTATTTGTATGACACACCTCCAGTTTTGCTTTCAAATGATTTTAATAAAATATCCATTATACGTGTGTAAGTATTTCTTCTGAAATAATCATAGTATGCGTGAGTGCTGATAATGTAATGCTTCTGGCCCAAGTTTTATTTGTAAGAAATTTCCCAAGCAAATCCATTTAACCATTTGTTCAGTCAGTCAGTCAGTCAGTCAGTCAGTCAATTATTGAGTAGTTGCTATATGCCAGGCAGGTACTGACTGCTGGGATTCAATGTGGATCAGAAACAGACATGCTTTCTGCCATATTAGAACTAGGGAGAGAGAAAGATATTGAACAGATAATGGAACAAACAAGAATATATTTGCAATAGAAAATTATTTTAAAAAGAGAGAAATATGGAACTCAGAAAGTGTAAAATAAGTACAGTAGTTCCTCCTTATCCACAGCTTCACTTTCTGCAGTTTCAGTGACCTGAGGTCAACTGTGGCCTAAATATATAAACAGAAATTCCAGAAATAATTCATAAGTTTTAAATTGCATGGTGTTCTGAGTAGCATGATGAAATCTTATGTTATCCCACTCAGTCCCATGGGAACATGACTCATCCCTTTATCAAGTGTAGGCACGCTGTCTGTGCTAATTGCCTGATAGTCACTTAGCAGCCATCTTGGTTATTAGATTAAAAAAAAAAAAACATAGTGTGCATAAATTTTGGTACTCTTAGAAGTTTCAGACATCCATTGTGGGGGTCTTGGAACTATTCCTTGAAAAGAAGAGGGGACTACTTTATATCTTCCAAACCCAAATTCATTTAAACCTTTCCCAAGGGATTATAAGAAGTCTTGAATTGGCCTGGCGCAGTGGCTCATGCCTATAATCCCAGCACTTTGGGAGGCCGAGGTGGGCGGATCAGGAAGTCAGGAGTTTGAGACCAGCTTGGCCAACATAGTGAAATCCCATCTCTACTAAAAATACAAAAAATTAGCTGGGCGTGGTGGCGGGCGCCTGTAATCCCAGCTACTTGGGAGGCGGAGGCAAGAGAACCGCTTGAAGCCAGGAGGCAGAGGTTGCAATGAGCTAAGATTATACCACTGCACTCCAACCGGGGTGACAGTGTGAAGCTCCATCTCAAAAAAAAAAAAAAAGTATTGAATTAAAAAGAAAAAGCTCCTGTCATATTTGTTAACCATCTTAATCTAAAATTAAGAATGTTCTATGGTAAATCTATGGAAGATTATTATTATATTTCTGAAAAGCACTTACCATTATAGATTATTTAATTAACAGTCTATTTTTACTCATCTGTAAGATATATTCAATATCTCCCTCTATGTATATCTGTAAAACTAATATATATCTCTATAAAACTTATGCTGATCTTATTTTTTAACTTTTTATGGATACATAATAGTTGTAATAATGCTGATCTTATTATTGATTTGACTAGGTATAGCCATCTACATAAATTAAAAGCCTAAGATTAGAGAGTTAAGTATATTTGAAAATACCAAGGGTCACTACTATTTCATGAATAATTAGGTAGATTAAAAGACTTTAGAGAAATTTATAAGGTTTCTTTCCTAATCAATATCAACAGAAATTGCAAAATCAATTTTGACTACTCCCACATGTGACAACACAGATACAAGCCACTATATCTACTGGCTCTGGAAAGCTGACTGCAAACTATAAATACATAAATGAATAAATAAATAAGAAGACAAACAATTACAAGATAACCCAGTATACTTAACTTGTTTTTTTAAAGTATACATAATTTTATGAGTTAGATTTTTTTAATAGAGTGAAAATACTTACTTTCTATACAAAATTTTAGGATCAGTTTTTAGAATTAAAAAATAAGAGACTTTTCACATATACTATAACTTTTGCAAACTAAAATCTTGGAAACATTATTTTGATGATAAAAATACTGATTTTGGTTAAATGTATAGTTTCTAGAAAAATCTCTCAAAATTATTGAAAGATGAGACCATAATATATTATTTTCATTTAAATGATCAATTACTACATTCAAAAATATTATTGACAAATATGCTGTTTTTTAATGTTGTTTAGATCACATCCATAGTAGCATACACCAAATTTGCCTCTAATTCATTTTAGGCATATTTTGCCAATGTTAAAATCAGCTGTCTCTTTGAACGTGCTATAGAGAAATGACCTATATCTCTAGAAATAAAAACATGTTGGATTTCTCTGTGTATCGTCATAATTTTACAAAAATAATAGTACTATTAACATTTATTGAGCAATCCTTAAGCTTTAAGTATGCACTTATTTTAACTTTTTATACGTAGTAAATTATCTAAACTCCAAAATAAACATAGGAAATAGATAATCATTTTAATCCTAATTTTAAAATGAACAAATTGAAGAACAGGAAGTTTAAGTCATTTGCTTAAGACCACACAGATCATAATGGTGGAGTAAGTGTTGGCACTAAAAGGTCCTGAATCCAGAGTTTGCACTTTTACATACTGAATGACTCATTTTCTGTATTGGTCTAATTAAATTGCAATAATTATTTTCAATACCTTAGGGAGCATGCACACACAAGTTTTTACTGGTAAACACTAAATTTATATGATTAAGAAAAAAAAAGGAATGTAATTTATACTTATAGATTTTTTAGACCATAATTGGCAACTGTCTATCCAACAATAGTTATATTATCATAATCAATCTAGGTTTATAATATTTCTTCAAAGCATTTACAATGTTATTGTGACCACTAAAAGATGAAGAATATTTTAATAGTGAAAATTATTATTTCTATTTTATGCTTCAGTTTTAAATTTATATCTAAATACTTTGACTTTTAGATGAAGTGAATGCAAGCCAATCTGTCAAAGATGTAAAAAGTCCTAATTGTCTGTTTCTGTAACATGGCTAAAATAATTTAGGGATTGTCAAACACAGCATTATCAATGCTAAAGCTGAAGGACTGAAGTTGTCACTTGTCATTGCCCTTAGTTGATTCAATAAAAACATTTTTAATTAAAACTATTTTTTTAATAAAAAAGCTTTCAGTTAAAAAAAAAAAAAGCTTTGGATTAAGCATTTGAGAGAGATATATGTGTCTGGGCATGGTGGCTTATAAGCCTGTGATCTCGGAACTTTAGGAAGCCGAGATGGGTAGATTGCTTGAGCCCAGGAGTTCGAGACCAGCCTAGAAAATATGATGAAACACCATCTCTAAAAAACACAAAAATTACCCATGTGAGGTGGTGTGCGCTTGTAGTTCCACCCATTCAGGAGGCTGAGGTAGGAGGATTATCTGAGCCTGGGAATATTGAGGCTGCAGTGGGCTGTGATTATGCCACTGTACTGTAGTCTGGGCAACAGGGGAGACGCTGTCTCAGAAACAACAACAAAAAAAAAAAATAAGAAAAAAAAAGAAAGATATATATGATTCAGATAAATGTTACATAAAAAGTTTTAAAACGAGTAGGGCACATAAAATGTGGACACAAATAATGCTATAATTATAAAGGAAAAGTGGAATAAAAAATGTAAACAATGATATATTAATATATATTCATATATATCAGTTCATTTTCAAATTTAAGTATGCTTTTGCAAACAAATATATCAGTGTAGTATGAACCAATACATATTTTATTTTATTTTTAATTGTGGTAAGTTATAAATTTGATTTTATGTTGAATAAAGTAAAAAGATAATGTGAATACAAGTAAAATAGATCAAAATATTACGATAGATCATAAGATATGTATTGATTATGCTATTTAACAGGACACTATTAAAGAATGTATGAGAGAGAATAAGATTTAAAATACATTCCCATTGGTGAGTTTTCACGACACTTACCTGAAATACCTTCTTGCCTTCCTGCCATTCCATTTCACAAGGTAAAATTTCAAACATATTTCATAGCCTCAAATGTCATACTGTCATTTTAATTACGACCCTCTCTCTGACACACTTTACTTTCATGTTTCATATTCCCTTCTGTGTACCTGTGAGAAATAGACCCCAGAGTGACCCTCAACAATTCTCACTTCCTGTATTTATGCCTTGAATAATCTCCTCTTTTGAATGTTTTAAGGACCTGTGACTTGTTCTGACCAATGGAATATGACAAAGATGATGTGCTGTCACTCCTGTTTTACTAATGCCATATAAACAAGCTAGAGCTAGAGACTCTACTTGTGGGTATGAGGAAGTAAACAGCCATATTGAAGAAGCCCCTGGGCCAAGAAACAACAAAATCCATGGTACTCGGTTATGCAGTTGTAAGAAAATGAGTTCTGTTAACAACCTAAATGAATTTAGAAGTAGATTCTTTCCCAGATGAGCCTCTGGATGAGAATTCAGCCTGCCTAGCACATTGACTACAGCCTTATGAAATCCTCAGCAGAAGATTCACCTAAGTCATGCCTGTAGTCCTACCCCACTGAAACCGTAAGACAGTATATATATATATATATATATGTGTGTGTGTGTGTGTGTGTGTGTGTATATATATGTATATATGTATATATGTGTATATGTATATATATGTATATATGTATATATGTGTATGTATATGTGTATATATGTATGTATATGTATATATGTGTATATATGTATATATATGTGTATATATGTATATATATGTATATATATGTGTATATATGTATATATATGTGTATATATGTGTGTATATATGTATGTATATGTGTATATATATGTATGTATATGTGTATATATATGTATATATATGTGTATATATATATGTACATTAGTTAAGACAGTAAGTTTTTGGTAATTTGGTATACAGCAATTAAAAATATATATATTATCCATACCACTTTTTTGGTCACTCAATTATCTGTCTAGTTATCTTTGTTTCTACACTGTGAGCTACCTCTAAGTTTGCTTATTATTCCAGTGTTTAGAAGAAGAATAAAAAATTCCTGGCACATTTGTTTATGTTGAATTTGCTTTATTACAAACACACACACGAGTTATTTCTTAATTATTTTTCATAATATAGTGTGTATTCAAATATGTTAACTGCACAAAAGAATAAATAAATATGTTATTTATTACTTCCATTACAATGATGAGGAAATCGAGGCCTGAAAATATTACATGGCTTTTTAATGGCAAAGCCAGGATATGAACTAAATATCTTGTATTAAACCTGTATTTCTTCTACTACCAATAAGATATACAGCCTTATGTATTTCTGTCATAGGATTATTGTGTTGTATATTAAGTGAAATAAAATAGATAATATGCTTAAATAGGTGCCTAATATATAGGAGGATCTTAATAAGTTCCTAATATTTTTCATTATGCCTGAACTTTGAGCAAGCTTAATGCTCAAATTTGTACTCAATTATAGCAATCATGTCATCCTATAACCAGAAAATTTTTATTATTTTTCTCCTTTTAAATTATGTTTGTTTCACTTTCACATATATATTTCAATAATCCTGTTTTATGATTTTAATATCACAAATGTCTTATTTTATTTAAATAGGGTTTTAAACACACAGATACATGTTTATATATAAGTAAATATAGAACTGTACTCAACCGTATGTATGTTGAAGGACGCATCTTTTCTTTATCTACCAGACATTTAGAAAATTTAAATCCTTCTGACTAATTCAAGTCTATCGAATGGCTCGTTAAATTCTAACTTCTACATGATAAAGAACAGGAATACTGGTATTCTGCTTTCTCAGATGTTTTCGTTCAACAAAAACTGAATCTATTTTCTCTTGCTGGACTTGTCATTTCAAAACTCCCAACAATTCTAACAGGTTCAACCCATTTAGAATGGAATGTCTATATAGGTAAGACACAAATGGGAGGCTGACAATTGCTTTCTTTTAGTTGCTATAATAAGACAACACCTGGGATGTAATAATTTTTGTAAATTATGAGCTAAATCTTATTGCATTGTTTGAGTTATACAGTGACATTTTAAACACAATGAATAATTCTCATGTCATTGCATTTGTATATAAACTCTCCCAGATATTAGTTTCTAGGTAATGCTTCTAGATGGGATAAACCTCTTTCTACCAAACCTTTTTGCTTACCCCAACATTTCAATTCTGGGAAAGACTAAAATACCGATTATTCTTATCTCTGAGTCATGCTAGGAATTATAAGCAATAATAAATTACTACAGAATGCGTATTCAAGCACTATGTTTCTGTATTTTTCACAGAGGAAGAGAGAATTTCTGAATGACATTTCTTTCTACCACTGATATTCACTATTTCCCTGAAATGGAGTTTCTGGATATGTGTTACTTTTTTAAAAAACCATATGGCTCACCAGCTATATTACTTAGCTATTATTGTATAACAACCATCCCAAAGCTTAAGATGGAAAAACCCAGGTATTATTGTCATGGACCATTTGGGCACATATGCTGATAAGAGTTTAGTCTTTTAAAGTTAGGCTTACTCTTGCATCTGCTATCGGCTGTGGGTTTCAGTGGAAGCTTCCTGGTCTAGGACAGTCACCCTCAAGTGGTTCTCAGTTGTCTGGCTGTGAGGTAGAGCAGACTAGCCTGGACTTATATACACAGGAACTGTGAGATCCAAGATAAAATTAGAAGAGCACAAGCTCTCTGAAAATAAAAAAGTAATGAAGAGTACATTATTACTTTGTATGCATTTTATTAAACAAAGAAAGCTATACAGTCAGTTTTTATTGAATAGGTGAATAAACAGATCCTAATTCCTGGTACTTCTAGTTCCTGAAGAATAGCATTGAAAAGAATGCAGATACAGGGGTGGGTGAAGATTTGTAGTCATTTTTGCAAGTAGTATGCCATAATGGCTTTCTAAGAATTTCACTAAATGTTCTAGCTTTGGTTTTTAAAAAACTTTTAGTCTCACTACATTTTGTGTTGAAAGCTCAATCCTGTGCCAAAATGAACTTACTTAACATCCTGCCTCTATATACAGACTGAATGTTGCAAGAAGACAGAAAAAAGCGATACAATCTATTCCAGATGACCGCTATTACTCTCCTGCTGCCAGCTTCTTCTCTCAAGTGTTCATATTTGATCTGCTCCATTTCCCACTTCCCTGAGAATCTAGAGGCCACATAGTCATTGTTGGCTACACAGGTAGTAAGATCATTGAACTTTGGATTTAGTAAGACCTGGATGTGAAACCCAGTTACTGTCCAACTGCGTGACCCTAGGCTGATAATTTATCCTCTCAGTGTCTGTTTCCTTATCCTGAAATATGAGTTTAATGGTCCACATATTATAGGTCTGTTGTGAGAACTTGGTGATTGTCAAAAGTCCAAGAGTACTATTATATAGTAAATGCTTAATACTTACTGATTCCCCCTACTACCAGGGCTTTCTTGGAATGCATTTTTTAAATTATGGAATTTCTTGAGTCATAAGCAAAACAATGTAAAATTTTTTCACAAAGGAATAAGCTTACAATTTTTGTATGGAAATACTTGGGTTGCAGATTAAAAGAGTAAACTCAAAACAATATATTATCCTAAGGTTTATAATTTTCTTGAGGATATTTTCATGAGTCCTTTCCAATCATATATATGCCAAAGGTGCATATTTCCAAGGTGAATAATAAAACTAAAGAGGTATTATTTAGGTGGTATTTATTCTTTGAAAATACAGAGAATATCAAGGACTCAATCATAATCAACGTACACTGGATTGGCATTATTAATCTTCGATATATTTAGGGTTACCTTTAGTAAAAGGATATTGAAGTCATTAATACAAACGAAAAAGAAAAGACATAAAAAGTGGCATTGATTTGTAGGACATCAGAATATATTACTTGGTGCAACATAATTATTTAAATGGTCTCCACTTAAACTGATGAGGTTAGAACCTCCTCATTTCCACAGGTATGTCTCCTTAGCCAGGCTTTTCAAAAGCCAGAAATGGAGTAGAGAATTTATATTCCCTTCCACACAAATAACCAAGGAAAGCATTCAATCTCAGTAATGAGACAAAAAGTCTAATTTCATTTCATGTGGGGGTGAGAAGAAGCAGATTGTTGCAAAGTCATAGAGAAATGCTTATGAAATTCTTTTCAAATGTATCTTTGTTCATTCAGATAAACCACCTCACATCATGACACCTCTGAAGAGTCTTCAAATCGAATGTGACTAGTAAACATCAAATTTAGACAAGCTATATGGCTGGCTATACATTATGGATGCAACTTGACTCTCTATTGCCCCATGTAATGGTCCATAAATTTGTGCCTGTGCATTTCCTGTCAAAAACTACTCTCTGCAACAGGTTCCCCAATCCAACCAGGTTGTTATACTCCTACAGTTATGCATTGCCTTTGTATTCAAGACCAATGGAGAGTACAAAAAGATTGGGGAATCTTTTTGACACCAGAAACCAGTTTTGCAAAAGATTATTTTTTCGTGGACTGAAAGTGGAGGATGGTTTCAGGATAACTCACGCACTTTACATTTATTGTGCACTTTATTACTATTATTATTACATTGTGATATACAATGAAATTATTATACCATTTACCATAATGTAGAATCAGTGGGAGCCTTGAGCTTGTGTTCCTGGAACTAGATGGTCCCATCTGGGGGTGATGGGAGACAGTGACAGATCATTAGGCATTAGATTCTCACAAGGAACATGCAGCCTACATCCTTCACATGCATAGTTCACACAGGGTTTGAGCTCCTATGAGAATCTAGTGCCCCTGCTGATCTGACAGGAGGTGGAGCTCAGGCAGTAATGTGAGCGATGGGGAGCACTGTAAATACAGATGAAGGTTTGCTAGCTTGCCCTCAGCTCACCTCCTGCTGTGTGGCTTAGTTCCTAAAAGGCCACCGACTGATACTGGTCCACGGCCCAGGAGTTGGGGACCCCTGCCCAAGACCACGCCAGGCCATTTCCTAGGACTGGCTTTTGTTAACACAGGAAGTCTTTGCAAGTTTCCTGTCTGAGGTAAGCATCACTGCTTTTTCAACATTTCAGTGTCATTGCTGACCGCTTTCTGCTTTCCTAACTGCTTGTCTTGTTTCTAATACTCATCTTATGTGACTCTCCAGTATTATGTATGGCCTGGTTCCATAAATTCTTGTAGAGCTTGTTTTCCATGTCTTTCTCATTTATTTTGACATTCATATGAGCACTACATAGTAACTTCTTATCTAACTTAGCCTTGACATGAGATCATAGCTGCCTCTTGATCTTTCATTGCCCACTTGACCTGTACTCTTTTGATCTCTCAAGCTACTATCTTCCCCGGAACAACACTCTCTCCTACATCTCTCTGAGAAATTATATTCAATATCCTGTAGATCAAAAGTGAGTTGTTTGCTTAATCACATAATGTACATGCACTATTGTTAGTGTTCTCAAATGTGAAAGTTAGTCTGGTTTGTATATCCAAAAGTAGAGGAAGCATTTATTTTATAAAAATTAACAAGGTTTTTAAACTTCATAACTTTATTTATATAATGATATCCAATATATAAGCCATTTAGTTTTTTCTCCTCCCTCCATCCCAGTTATTTCCATAATTATATTTTGAAAATCAATTTATTTTTAGAATATATTTTTATTATAAACACTATATACAACAAATTTAAAGATGTACATTGAAATCATTGGACAGGAAATTTCCTAAGAGAAATCCTATTTTGTATACTGAAAATAGCATTGGTAACATTTTTCTCTTTGCAAAGTCTGAATAAAGTAATGAAGTTGTTTCTGTCTCTTATGCTGGCATTAAACAAGTCAACTTTGAAGAAGTGAAAATAATTCAGGATCATAAAAAAAGACTGTCGGAACTCCAGTCTCTCACTTTAAAGGCAAAGCAGTTCAAAGACCTAAAACATTTTTTGGAGATTTAACAGTGTTATGTTATCTACAGGAGCCTGGCAGTGACCATTTCATTTTTCTAAAGAAATCAAAATGCCACACAGGTCTCCAGCTGTTTCTCACATCTGCTTCTTTCTCAATCGCTTTTTGTTGCTTTTCCCTACACACTTGCATACTATTGTCCAAAATAGTCACATACTTTGCTGTTTCACTTCATTCATTGAGGTTTTTGCTTAAAAAATGTCAACTTCCCAGAGAAGTTTTTGTTGATTACCTTATTCATGGTAGCAACCCCAATTCACTCTTTCCTTCCTCAATCCAGTAATTTTTCTTCAAGGATTTGCTATTACTACACATTTTTATATACATGCACAGACATGCATATTCCTGTGTGTATAAAGTTATTGCCTGTAATTCACACTAGAATGTATGCTCCAGAGTGCCAGAAAGTCTCAGATGAAAGAGAAGAAATTGAGCAGGTATATTAGTAAATACACACACACACACACACACATGCATGCACGCACGTGCAATAGCATAATGAAATCATTTTCCAGTGTAGAGTCATTGATACATTCTAACAGCAGCAGCCATCTTAACCAAAAAGGTAATTAGGATTACTAGACAAAACATAGCTGTATAAGCAGCTTGGGAAAGATGTCAGCTACACTACAGGTCACAGCTATGCTAATTCCATAAATAACTTGGCAGGCCAGTCAGAATTGTTTTCTATCATAGAAAGAGGTTCTCAATGAGTAGAAAGTTATTAATACTTTGTAGTTAAAGAACTGTGCAAAATTGTCATTGATTCTTAAACTTTTATGGGAAAAAGTCACAAAGAGATGGTTAAATACTGAAGAAAGTATTTTTTAATTTTTTAAAAATGACATAATAATTGTACATATTTAGGAGGTTCATGGTGATGGTGTGATACATATAGTTCATGGTGATCAGATCAGGGTCATTAACATATCATCCTTTCAATTATTTATCATGACTTTGTGATGGGAACATTTGATATCTACCTTCTAGCTATTTGAAACTGACGTGGTTTGGCTCTGTGTCCCCATCCAAATCTCATCCTGTAGCTTTCATAATTCCCATGTGTTGTGTGAGGGGCCTGGTGGGAGATGATTGCATCATGGAGTTGGGTCTTTTCCATGTTGTTCTCATGATAGTGAGTGGATCTCACGAGATCTGATGGATTTTAGGAGATTTTAGGGGAATTGGCTTATGCCATTATAGAGGCTGAGAAGTTTCAGGATAAACTATATGCCAGCTGGAGAATCAGGGAGGCCTGTAGTGTGGCTTATTCTAATCTGTGTGCTCAGAACCAGAAAAGCCAATGGTGTAACTCTTAGTCTGAGTCTGATGGCCTGAGAACCCTGCGGCTGGGGGAGAGATGGGAGCATGTTGGGGGACACTAGTGTGCCCTGATTTCAAAGACCAATGAACCTGAAGTTCTAATATCTGAGGGCAGAAGAAGAAGGATGCCCCATATCCAGGAGGGAGAGGTAATTCAACTTTCTTCTGCCTGTTTGGTCTGTTTTGAGCCTTCAGCCAATTGGATGAGGCCTACCAACTCTGAGAATGGATCTTCTTTACTCATTAAACAATTCAGATGCCAATCTCTACTGAAAAAAACTCTCACAGATATACCCAGAAACAGTGCTTTCCCAGCTATTTGTATATCCCTTAATCTGGTCACATTGACAATTAAAATTAACCATCTCAGTATAAGAAATGCTAACAATGAGGCATGCTATAATAAATAACACTCTTATAAGGCACTTTCAGATTTTTAAATTGCTTTAAGTAATTCAGTCTAATAGTAGTGATTCAAAAGTAATAATTATATTTAAATTTTATCTATTCTAAAATCTGTTTAAATTTTATAACACAGCTTGTAGCACAAAGTATGTAATGTTAATATATATTATTCTACTCATATTTGCATGGTACAAATAAATAGAACTCTGACACACACAAAAATACCATTTAAATCAGTCCTTACATTTTGGAATTCACATCTGTGTACTCTTCCTCAATCTTCCATAAACACCATAAAATATGAATTTGCTTTCGAGCCCTCATTATCTTCAAATAGACCTGAGCGAAGTCTGAACAAATTCTGTCCGATAATAAGTGTATTAAATCATTGTGAGAGAATAGACCTACTTTGAATCAGGTTGTTTCATTTTTCTTGTTCAGTTCTAGTTTTCTACATATTTTGGATATAAATTCCTTTTAGGATATATGGTTTGCAAATAAGTTTTTTATTATATGGGTTGCCTTTGTACTCTATTGATACTGTTTTCTGATGCACAATTTTTAAAATTTTTATGAAGTCCAATTTGTCTATTTGTTCTTTTGTTGCCTGTGCCTTTGATGTCATATCCAAGACATCATTGCCAAATCCAATGTCACGAAGCTTTTGCCATATGTTTTCTTCTAAGTTTTTTATTGTTTTAGGTTGTCCAATAATTCTATGATCTATTGTGAGTTAATTTTTGTATAGGCTGTTAGGTAAGATTCTGACTTAATTCTTTGCGTGCAGATAATCAGTTTTTCTAGCACCATTTGTTGAAAAGACTGTCCTTTCTCTTTTGAAAGATCTTAGAACCCTTGCCAAAAATAATTTTACCATATACGTGGAGATCTGTTTCTGGGCTTTATATTCTACTTTGTCTTCTATATGTCTGTCTTTATGCCACTACCAAACTGTTTTGATTACTATAGCTTTATAGTAAGTTTTAAAATAAGCAAGTAAGTCCTTCAACTTTGATCTTTTTCAAGATTGTTTTAGCTATTTTAGGTCTATTGAGATTCCATATGAATTTTATAAGATAATTTCAACTTTTATTTTAGCTTTAGGGGGCACCTGTGCCAGTTTGTTACCTGGGTACATTGCATCATGCTGAAGTTTTTGAGATACAATAGATCCTATCATCCAGGTTGTGAGTATAGTGCTCAGTAGTTTTCCACCCCTTGACACCCTCTTTCCCTCTTTCTCCTAGTAGTCTGCAGTGTCTATTTTTGCCATCTTTGTGTTCATGAGTAACCCCAATGTTTAAAACCTACTTATAAGTGAGAAGATGCAGTATTTGGTTTTCTGTTCCTGCATTAATTTGCTTAGGATAATGGCTCCAGTCCTGGGAGCATTTTGGCGGAGTCTTTAGGGTTTATTAGGTATAGTATTATATCATCCACAAAGATGGTTTGAACTCTTTTCCTATTTGAATGTTTTTTATTTCTTGTTATCTGATGGTTGTAGCTAGCAGTTCCATCACTATGTTGAATAGGACTAGTGAGAGTGGGCATTCTTTATTGTTCCAAGTCTCAAGGGGAATGCTTCTAGTTTTTGCCTGTACAGTATGATGTTGTCTGTGACTTTGTCATAGCTGGTTCTTATTATTTTGAGCCATATTGCTTCTATGCCTACTTTTTTGAGGATTTTTATGATAAATCCATGTTGGATTTATCAAAACATTTTTCATCTACTGAAATGTCATATGGTTTTTGTTTTTAATTATGTTTGTGTAGTGAATCACATTTATTGATTTATGTATGTTGAAACAAACTTGCACCCCAGAAATAAAGCCTACTTGATGGTAAATTCAATTTTTGATGTGCCTTTTTATTCAATTTGCTAATCTTTTGTTGAGGAATTTTTGTGTCTATGTTCATTAGGGATGTTGGCCTGCAGTTTTCTTTTTTGTTGGGTCCTTGCCAGGTTTTAGTATCAATGCAATGCTGACTTTACAGAATGAGTTATGGAGGATTCCCTTCTCCTCAATTTTTCGGAATAGTTTCAGTAGAATTGGTACCAGCTCTTCTTTCTATGTTTAGTAGAATTCAGCCATGACTTTATCTTATCTGGGGCTTTTTGTGGTTGGTAGGTGTATTTACCCGTTCTCACGCTGCTTATAAATACATGCTTGAGACTGGGTAATTTATAAAGGAAAGAGGTTTAATTGACTCACATAGTTCTGCGTGGCTGGGGGGCAGGCTCAGAAAAGTTAGGATCATGGCAGAAGGTGAGAGAGAAGAAAGATACCTTCTTCACAAAGTGGCAGGAAGGAGAAGTGCTGAGAGAAGGGGGAAGATACCCTTATAAAACCATCAGATTTCATTAGAACTCACTCACTATCACGATAACAGCATGGGGAACCTGCCCCCATGATTCAATTACCTCTCCCTGGTCTCTCTCTTGACACGTGGGACTTATAGGGATTGTAACTCAAGATTTGGGTGGGGACACAAAGCCTAACCATATTAGTAAGCTTTTTATTACTGACTTAATGTTGAAACTCACTGTTGGTCTATTCAGAGTGTCCACGTTTTCCTGATTTAATCTTGGGAGATTGTGTATTTTCAAGAATTTATTCATTTCCTCTAGATTTTCTAGTTTGCGTGTACAGGGGTGTTCATAATAGTCTGTAAGGATCTTTTATAAATCTGTAGAAATGGTTGTAATATTGCCCTTTTTGTTTCTAATTGTCTTATTTGGATCTTCTCTCTTTTCGTTTCTGTAGCTAGTGGTATATTGCTCCTGTTTGTGTTTTCAAAGAACAAACTTTTAATTTCATTGATCCTTTGTATGTATTTTTGGATCCCAATTTCAGGCAATTCTGCTCTGATTTTACTGCTTTCTTTTTCTCTGCTAGCTTTGGGGTTAGTTTTTAGTTCCTCTAAGTATAATGTTAGATTGTTAATTTGAAATCTTTCTATCTTCTTGATGTAGATGTTTAATGCTATAAACTTTTCTCTTATCACGTCTTTTGCTGCATTTCAGAGATTTTGGTTGATTGTGTCTCTGTTTTCATTTATTTCAAAGATTATTTTTAATTCCAGACTTAATTTGATTGTCTGCCCAAAAGTCATTCATGAGCCAGTTGTTTAATTTACATGTAATTGTGTGGCTTGAGAGATTTTGGTTTTGATTTCTATTTTTATTCCACTGTAGTACAAGAATATGGTTGGTATAATTTTAATTTATTGAAACTTACTTTATGGCTGAGCAAGTGGTCCATCTTGAAATATATTCCATGTGCAGATGAGAAGAATGTACATTCTGTGTTTGTTGGGTAGTATTCTGTAGATGCTCATTAGGTCCAATTGGTCAAGCATCAATTATGTTTTTCTTTTTTTTTCTCTTTTTTTTTTGAGACGGAGTCTAGCTCCATCACCCAGGCTGGAGTGCAGTGGCACGATCTCTGCTTTCTGCAACCTCCGCCTCCCAGGTTCAAGCAATTCTCCCGTCTCAGCCTCCTGAGTAGCTGGGACTTCAGGTGCCTGCCACCATGCCTGGCTACTTTTTGTATTTTTAGTAGAGATGGGCTGGGCGAGGGGGTTCACGCCTGTAATCCCAGCACTTCGGGAGGCAAGTCAGGTGGGTCGCCTGAAGTCGGGAGTTTGAGACCAGCCTAAGCAACAAAGTGTCAAATTTAATCCAGAATTTCTTTTATTAGTTTTCTACCTCAATGACCTGTCTAATTGTGTCGTGGAATATTGAAGTCTTCCACTATCACTCTGTGGCTATCTAAATCTTTGCATAGGTCTAGAAGTACTTGTTTCATGAATCTGGGTGCTCCAATGTTTTGTGTGTATATATTTAGGCCCATTAAGTCTTTTTGTTGAATTGAAATTTTTATCATTATGCAATGCCCTTCTTTGTATTTTTTAAAACTGTTGTTGGTTTAAAGTCTGTTTTATCTGTCTTATTCTGACATAAGAATAGCAAATCTTTCTCTTTTTGGTTTTCCATTTGCATGATTAGGTATTTCTTCAACTGTTTCCTTTGAGACTATGGGTGACACGATGTGTGAGATGGGTCTCTTGAAGACAGTAGACAGATGGGTCTTGCTTTTTATCCAACTTGCCACTCTATAACTTTTAAGAGTGGCATCTTAGCATTGACATTCAAGGTTAATAATTATATATAAAATTTTGAACCTGTAGTGAAATTGTTATCTGTTTGCTTTGTGATTTCTATTGTGTGGTTGCTTTATAGGGTTTCTAGGCTATGTACTTAAGTGTGTTCTTTTGGTAGTAGGTATTGTTCTTTCATTTCCATGTTTAGAACTCCCTTAAGCATGTATTCTAATGCTGGTCTTACAGTAACAAATTCTTTTGGAACTTGCTTGTCTGAAAAATATTTTATTTCTCCTTCACTTATGAAGCTTAGTTTGGCAGGATATAAAATTGTTGGCTGAAATTCCTTTCTTTTTAAGGATTCTGAACATAGGCTCTCAATCTCTTGCATTGTAAAGTTTCTGCTGAGAAGTTCATTGTTAGACTAATGGGATTCCCTTTAAATATAATCTGACCTTTTTCTCCTGGTACCTTTAAGATATTTTCTTTTAGTGTTGACTTTGGAGAGTCTCATAACTATATGCCTTGGGGATGTTCTTTTTGTATAGTGTCTTGCAGGTGTTCTCTGGCTTCTTATATCTGGATATCTCCCTCTCTAGCAAGATTAGAGAAATATTCTTAAATTATTCCCCCAAATATGTTACCCAGGTTGTTTACTTTTTTTCCTTCTCTCTTAGAAATGCCAGGAATTTGTAGATTTAGTTGCTTTCCACAATCTCATATTTCTAGAAGATTTGTTCATTTTTTAAAATTATTTTTTACTTATTTTTGTCTGACTGAGTCAGTTCAAAAGACCGGTCTACAAGCTTTGAAAATTTTTATTCTGTTTGGTGGTGCAGTCTGTGGATAAAGCTGTCAGTTGTGTTTTGAAATGTGTTTAAGTGAGTTTTTTAATCCTAGAACCTCTAATGGATTTTTAAAATATGTTTATCTCTTCCTTCATTTTCTGGATTGCTTTAGAAGTTTCTTTGTTTTTTCAACCTTGTCTTGAATCTCATTGAGCTGTCTTGCAAATCATGGTTTGAATTCTTTATCTTTTATATCTGAGTTTCTACTTTTGGTGAAGGACTGTTGCTGGAGAGCTAGTGCTATCCTCTGGTGGTGCCACTACTTTAGATATTTTATAGTGCCAGAATTCTTGTACAGGTTCCTTCTCATCTGGAAACACTAGCACTTCTAACTTTTGTAATTATTTTTGTGCAGGTAGGGTTTTTTTTCTTTTACTTTATTTCCCTGTAATAGTATTATTATTTTTTATTTCAATTTCCCTTTACCCCATACCTAAGTGGTACAACTGTACAGAATGCTAGGTAGGGTCTTTTGGTTTTGCTTCTATAGCCCTATGCACTTCTGCTGCTGGGTTAGATTGTGCTGTGTAGTTTGACTTACAAGCCAGTAGATGACCCTTATAGATAAGAGCTGGCTACCCAATTTAGCTGGGTATATGCTGTAATCGTTGTTTGTTTACCTGGAGAAATTATCTGTTGCCTCACGCAATGAATTGATTTGTGGGGTGCATACTGGTCTTAGCTCCCTGCTCAGAGGGGTGGAGTCCAAAATGGGTGGGGCCGGACCAGGTAGGTCTAGCTACAGGTACCCCAATGGCAGGCGCATGCACCAGCACCAAAGGCGAATCCAGTGAATGGCAACCAAGCACACAAAGATGTGCACAGGCATGGAGCTGGGAAACTTCCTTGGCCCCAAATTTTCTGCATGATTATGGGAGGTGACCTACACTTGTAATCAGGAGGGTGAGTTCTCCAGATGCCTAGAGATCTGCCTGGGAGTGGGGCAAAGAGGGCTCCCCTGCTCCAGGATCTCTGCACAGGAAGGATGGGGTGGCTCAGGATGCTGCTCTAGGCAAGTGGGTGCTCCATCTGCCTGGAGATTCAGCTGTGTGTGTAGTAGAGAGGGCCCCACTGCACCAAGACCTATGCACAGGAAGGGTGGGTTGGCTTAGGCTGCTGATCCAGGCAAAGAAATACTCTGAAAACCTGGATTTCTTCCTTGGGGTATAGGAGAGAGGGCTCTGCTGCACAACAGTCTCAGGGGAGGAGGCTGGGACACCCAGGAATGGCACACACAGACTTGTTCTAGGTTGCCAAGCTGGCCTTAGCTGTAAGTCTCATCACCCAAGAGAACTGCAACTGTAGCAGCTATTCTGCCCCAGGCCTGAACCATGGAAGAGCACAATTCCAGTGCCTATTGCTGAGACACTTTCCACACATCTGGCTGTGGAGGCCCCTACCCCAAACCAGAGCAGGCAATCCAGTCTCCATCCTGACTAAAATGCCTGTGTGGCCATGCTGCCAGGCAACCAAAGAATGGCTGATTTTGTGTGCACCTGGATTAAAGGTGGCATCCTGCTCTCAGTCTCGTGTCTGGGAAAATGGGGCTTTTCCTGGTGTCTTTTTATCACAGTGTCTTCAAGACTCTCCCCAAGTAAGCTCAAGGGCTTGGGAGAAACAAAGCCTTCTCTCTCAGCCTGGCTTGCTTAGATCCCCAGAGGAAAGGAGAGTCACAGACGGAAGCTTTTTGCCTTTCTTGTACACTAGGGCTTCATTCACTGTTATAAGCCACACGCCATCAAGGGCTGTTTGTCACTCTTCCTTCAAAGAATCTGGAATTTCCTTCATGATTCTGTGATTCTGGTGGATTTCTATTTCCCTATTGAATTAAAGTTCACAGAGTTATTCTTTATGCATTATCTTGCTATATCCAAGTAGCTGAGGCATGCAAAAAGCCTCTAATCTTACATCTTAAAAAAAGCATACATTTTTAGATGAGTTCTTCCATTTTCATAAAAGTTGACAGAGCGCATTGAATCTGTAGAGCATTTTGAAATTTTTATTATTTGTCTTATTTTATCAAATATTAATTTTATTTATTTTTTATTTTTACTGTTGACAATAGTTTATTAGCAAGCTGTGATTATATGAATCTGAGGTCTGTCTGTGGGTGGGGGGGGGTCCAGGTATCCATGATATTGAGAACCTGTGAAAGTAGCTACAGTTGGTGACCAAATATAGGTGGTATTCATAATTTGTTAGAATCAGAGTGTGGTCTTTATTTTTGTTCCACAAATGAACTCAGAATTAGAGGTCTTCACAATGTTGGGATGAAGTGAAAAATGGAGACAGTTTTGACATAACTATTTGTTTTGAGTAGAGTCCTTCATCAAAGTATGTGTGGTACATGACTCTTTGTGAAATCATATTCCTCATATTACTCGAAGACAGGATATAAAAATAGGTATCCTGTGATGCAGTAGTTTCACTGAGATGAAATGTTTGGGTTTGGAAAGAAATTTTGTTGGTCAAATAAAGATAAGGAATCAAGTTAAACATAATGAAATTGGCTATTTTATTTCAGGAATTTTCAGAAAAAAAATTATGCTAGTATTGATCATAATTAGGCCACAAAACCCTTTTTCTGAAAGCATCATTTACAATTAAATTTTACAAAACACATTTTGCAGAGCTCATGTTTCAAACAAATGGAGAAGAAATAATGCTTTACTTCAAAGTACAAGTAGACTTTAAAATAACAGTCAAAGTCTTTCAGGAAAGCAAAATAATACAATGATAAATGGATAAATGATAAAGTCACAGAGATTTGCTTTCAGCATGGGCCTCGTGTGTGTGTGTGTGTGTGTGTGTCTGTGTGTCTGTGTGCATGCTTAGCTATGGTTCAGTATGCTGATTCTCAAAGGAGAACAAATCCAGATGTTTAGAAAGGAAGCAAGTCACAGTGTTATGAAAAGATAAGTCATTCATAAAGGCCTTCATTTAGCTATAAAACAAATATTTATCCGGCATCTGATATATGTCAGATGCTGCTTTAGGTGCTTGAAATAAAGAGGAAGGCATGATGGGCAGGGTCTATAACATTTAAATTCACAAATCTAAATAAAAGTTGGGAAAGACCAAGTAGCTATTTCTTCATGTTTCTGGGACTAAATAATTCTACAAGTGAGTCTTGCCTTTTGTGCTACATTTTATGTTCTTGTAATTACCAGCAACAAACCCACTTAAAAATACAAAAGAGTGTGTTTCTGTTTTTCAGAGATAGCCATTAGGAAAGAAGTAGATATCCTGCTTCTTATTCGTAAACAGTTTGCCAGCCTATAGGCAGGAATAAGTGACTCAAGAACAGAAAAGGAAAGTGGTAACTTGGAAAGAAGGCAAATTGAGATTTTTAGCTTATATATATATATATATATATATATATATATATATATATATATATATGTGCATTTAGACTTAGTGGTTATAGACATACATGTATATAATATATATACATTTTTTTGCTTTTAAAGAAAAGGCAGCTGCAACATGAAGTTGACCAAGAATTGTTCCTGGAGCAGATAATCAAGAGCAAGAACCTCATCATCTTCCACAGGCACACTCGCCATCTGTAACAATTTCTAGGATGTGTCCTCAATTAAATCTGTTATCATTTTTTCAGGTTGTAAATAAATTATTTGGTTAGTATTAGATTAACTGTGTAGAATACTGGAAAGTTATCTCAAGTATAAACCTAGAACTTGTGAGTCAAACTGACAATTATATGATCACTAACTCTTTGATGAATTTTAGATGATTTTCAATCCCTTGGTGGTTTGTAAATTAGACATTACAGTGTCTAGCCCTCAAAATACAAGCTGTCAATACAAGAAATGACCGTTGAAAATGTATGTCTTTTCTGTTTAATGTACTAAAGATCACCTGTGGGCAAATTATATATCTATAATCAGTTCAACAAGAAATCAGTAAAGGATTTTTTGGGTAGGTCAAACTGTACAGTTTCTCGCTTTCTCAAAAGACAGTTGGAAGCTGTACCTGAATTTCTAGAATAAGAGAATCCCAAACTTCCATTTAAATCCACTTACTCAAGACATAAATGTACTTACTAACAAAACATGAACAGAGATCAGAACTCTAGAACTTTGTTAGTATGTTGTCAGGCAGACTTTAAAGTATGGAAAACATAATTACTTGAAAACCTAATTATTTGACACCATCTTCCAATGGGCCTGTAACAATACTTAAGGATTTTTAAATTTTTTTGCAAAGGCTGTGGCCTATATAATGCCAAGAATTCAAAAATATGAAGGTCCATATGTCAATTAAGATGTACTGTTTAATACTGTGAAGCTCTACTTATAATGAGAGAAAAGAGTAGGTCCTATATTTCCTGTTTTTCTGTTATTTATAATTTGATCCTCTCATTTTTCTTTGGTTATCAAGCATATATACCTGCATCTAGATTCAGACGTCTACAAATTGGAATTCAGTCCATGTAGATAGCTCACTTACAGGCTGACACTGACATTTCTTTTGGCTACCAATATTTGCTACTGATTGATGATGATAAAAATCAATCACTAAATAAAATCACATTATTTTGTGTATCACCCATAGACAGCTTATCTTTAATGCAGTGGATTCTAATTACTGCAGTGGCTCATATGTCTTACTATAGATAATACAAGGCAACTATAATTTTATTAAAATATTTTCATTTTCTAAAAATATAAGTTTTTGAAGTTGAAAAGAAGGCCAAATAAGTTTTCTTAATGCCACAAAGACTTAATTTTTTCCTTCAATTTGTTTTTCATTTTTTAACCTAAAAATGTGTTGCAGTAGAAAAATATAGTAAAGGAAAAAAGCATTATATACAGCAATTCTAACTTCTGTGAGAGATATTTTAATTGACTATATTACTCATGCTGGAAGAATTTTGTTATTAGATTCATCAAACCCATTATGTTTTGTGGAGGTTTTTTTTTTTCTGGTAAATTGGAGAACATATACTTGGCAAAATGCACATATTTACAGCTCTTTCTATCATTGTTCACTTCTCGATGCCTAGATGTCAGAAGATATATTTAGACTTAGTGGTTATATATTAAAACTATGCAGTTCCCTCTTTTGTACCTCAGGGATCTGAACAGAGCCTAATGCCACAAAGCAAAAGTCAACAACATCTATCCCCTCATTCATTTATCGTGTATTCATTGAAGTCTGCAATGTGCCTTAACACCATGCTAATTAGAATTTGGAAATATTTTATGTGTGGTGAAACCAGATAGCAAGATACACAGTTGTTGGAAATGAAAACCAATAGAAAACAATTGGTACAATTTCTGCATTACATGTGTATTCAGAAGTACATAGTCCAGTTTTAAAGCTCTGTGTGTTTAAATATTTTTATTTGGAATTAGGCATCATGATGCATAAAGCTGAGTGTCCAGCTTTATACTTATTAACTGATTTTTTTTACAAATTTGACTAAATTATATTTTTCCTAATAATCAACAAAATCTAAATTCTTTTAGAGAATACTCACCATAACTTACTCATTTTTTACACTCTGTGAGGATATCAGAAATTTTAAAGTTATTCTTTCTCTCTAGCCACAAAGTTACCTATCAAATTTGAATGGTTTTATATTATTTATATAATTATTAGGTTTAATTTTCACCTTGCTACCACTTCTCACTAACCTGGCATGACTTACATTACATGGCACTTTTTCCTTCTCTTAATGTGTTGCTTCTTAGGCTGAATGGTGAAATCATCACATGTATTAGAACCATGTATAAAACAAGGTAGATCAAAACAATACACAGAAGGTACCCCTTGTAAAAAGGAGTAGGTAATTTCATTAATTGACTCTGTAATATCAATAGCTTTTTTTTTTTTTTTTAACCTAGATACTTACATTTTCTTTCTTGGTTGGCATTTAATTGCATTCCTAAGGGAGTAATGCAGATTCATACATTTCATATAGATAAGGTGTTATAAGGTGTGTTACAGAAATAAGGCTGCTATATTTATAAATAAATGAAAGTGATCATGTCAGAAGCAGCATAAAGTGCTCACATAAAGAGATATCTTGGCTGGGCGCGGTGACTCACGCCTGTAATCCCAGCCCTTTGGGAGGCCGAGATGGGCGTATCACAAGGTCAGGAGATCGAGACCATCCTGGCTAACACGGTGAAACCCTGTCTCTATTAAACAAAATACACAAAATGAGCCGGGCGTGGTGGCGGGCGCCTGTAGTCCCAGCTACTCGGGAGGCTGAGGCAGGAGAATGGCGTGAACCCAGAAGGAGGAGCTTGCAGTGAGCAGAGATTGCGCCACTGCACTCCAGCCTGGGCGACAGAGCGAGACTCCGTCTCAAAAAAAAAAAAAAAAAAAAGATATCTTAACAGTGTGTGTAAAATTAAAATTACACAAGTGTGTGTTTTGAAAAAGCCTACTGGATGGAACAAGAAAAAGTATACGCATAGTCAAGATAGGTACCTGTAGTACCTTAAATCAAACTGTCTTCTAAGAAAAAAAAAATAAAGTCTAAATTAATATACAAGATAGACTCTCCGTATTTCTGCATACACCCATTTTTACATATAGTTATCTGATCTCAAATACATCTTTTGCCATGTATCTCTTTGTATTATCACTTCACCATGCCTTCCAGCTTATAAAAGTCACACCATTCAACACTTCTGTCTCTTCTGTGTCTTTTATTTGCCTTTATTTTGCCTTTGTTCACATCATTTTTATTATAACAAGCATTTCCTTCTTGTTTTTACCAGTTTAATCCTTACTCATCCTTTAAGGTGTATTCCAATGTAGACTCCTAAATGAATCATTCTAAAATGTCTTTATTCATCATTAATCTCAATTCCTTCTGCGTTACAGAACACTTTGTTAGTATTTTTAGTGCCAGATACATCACGATATGTCTAATATTTAGAATTTGTGTTCATGCCTATTTTATCTGATGGGTCATAAAAATTTTAAGATCAAAGACCACGTCTTGTTTATTTCTGTATATACAATACTGCCAAGAATAGTCCTTTGCCAAAGTAGATGCTCAATAAATATTTGTGGAGTTACATTGAATTGAGACAAACTGAATTATCTCAAGATTGCTGTGCATTGAGTTTGTCTACTGTTAGGTATACAATGCTCTTAAATTGCACCATTTGTCTCAGTTTTTTGTATAGTTGAAAGCTGATGTACTCTTAACTTAGTGCCATTTAAGTGAATTGGAAAGTGACATTTAATAATATTTGCATAACTCAAAAGCAGTTTACACTGTGCGAAATAGTAAAAATTGGAAGTGCTACTAAAAATAGGATGAATAGTGTAGTAAAGTGCATCGACTTGGCACAATCAATATATGTCTTGAATTTTAAATATTAAAATTAAAATAAAGAAGCACCTGTTATACATCTCCTGAAACAATGGGACACAACTTCATTAGCAAATAGTGACATTGGCTTTCTAAAAGAAAAATCTGAGAACAGTTGCTAGGGATATTGTAAGCATTCATAGTGTCTATGGAAACTGAGCCTGCACAAAACGTGTAATGAGTAATAAAGAGATACCTGGAGGAGTGCCCAGTGTCAGAAAGACAATTAGCGTATAATTTTTCAAAAATTTTAAAGAGTAAAATAGAATAAAACATATATTTACCTTTTGCCTTTGAGTACAGTCGAAGGTTTTAATTCCAGACAAAATATAAAGAACAGAAAAACAAATAAAATAATTTAAACTTGCTTTGATTTATTAACAAATTACCAAGATTTAAAACATAATAGGACACTACTTACAAGGCATTACCCCTAGAATTGCCCCACCCACGTAAGTACTATCTGTAAGTCATGCAAGAATATCCTCATGCTTTGTAATTGCATTTGTACTTCAAAGATAAGGGAATATAATTTATTTTCTTTTTGAAATGTTGCGCCCTGGCACATCCAATAATTCTGAACTTCATTAATTAAAATAGACTGCCATATCCTCGACCAAGCTTCTAGACTCTTACTTTGGCTGATACACATGAACCTTTGTCTGAAAGAATGGCTATCATTTAAAAAATAGATTTATCCCCTGCCCTTATTTAACTCCGGATATAGTGTTTTCTCAGAATTTCATGTCTCTAATGATGATATGGATACAATAAAAGCTTTATGTTAATGAAAAAAGATCTACCAGCAATTGGTTTGTATGTAGTAAAGAGTATTAAAGAATGCATTATTCATTTTTAATTGAATTTTTAAAAATACGAGTCAGAAATAAGTAACAGAAATCAGTGCTGGAAATCCAGAAAGTATCAGAAGTAAGTACCAGATAGTCAGGGCTCACTATAAATAGACACAATTCCTATACTCCTGGAATTTACAGGTAAATGAAGAAGCGAGATTTTAATCAAACCATCAGGAATATACATGTAAAATATGTAGCAAAAAAAGTTATTTTAAAAGTAATACATTAAGATGAATTTTCATTTAAATGAGGTAATCTTAGGGATTATAATGGTAGGGAATATATGTTTTGTGTTTATGTGTTAATATGATCATTATGTTTCCACTGTGGATTGATTAGAAAAATATTTTAAAATAATCATCCACAGTGAGTTTCTTTAGTTTTATATGATGTTTCAATAAAAGAGCACTACTCCTGATCATGAAGGTTTATTTATAACTTTCTATTTTGAGTGGTAATGCTATTGTTCTCTACTCACTGAGTACTATGTACTGTGAGGCATACATAATACTTTAAAAAAATTCTGAATTAATAAGCAGTTTTTTTAAGTTCAAGAATTAAGAATAGATGTGCTGTTAATAAACAATCAGCCAACTGAATAACTCAACTGATCAGAACATTGAGGTATTATAAACAAGAAAAGGGGAAAAAATGCTACCCAGAGTAACCAGAATTAGAGAAAATAGGAACCAAAATCTCCAGGGCAGTTTGGGTCCTGTTGAAGTCCATTAGTTCAAAAAGAACTACTGGAGTTCAAAACAATCAATCATTTCTCACTCAACCTCATGGGGTCAAATTCCATCCTCAATTACACGCACCTAACTTTCATTCAAGTCTCAGGGAGTTATACACACATTCAAGAGGGCAGGCTCTCGCCCTGTGCATTGAGTGGGGAGTAATTGATGACTTTCTCCTTGCTGTGCTTGGCTCAGTAAGCACAGCTAGCAGCAGAGGCCTACACTCCTAAGCAGAGTGGGAGGGTGCTATAAAAAATACACAGCCTTGAGTGCTGTACCAAAGCCTTGGCAGCTGTTCTTCATTTTAAATCTAGGAACGCCAACTTCACTAAGCGTTAAGATGTATTTTCTCCCATATTCTCCTTAGTTTATTTCTACTTTCTTTTCCCATCTTGATTATACTTTCTTCTCTTAAAAAGTGTTTATTTTCATCTTCTGCATCTTATCCTCCTATCATTTTTTATTTTCTGTATTTTAATATATTAATGAGATAAAATGCTGGAGACAATCTGACATGTGGTAAGAGTTCAGCAATTGCTAGTTTTACTGTGATGATTATTGTTATTCTGCATTATCATTGTGGCTGCTCGCATTACATTTTCCTTCATTTAAGGAGGTTTTGGATAGATATAGAAAGACAATTCTTTAATCTTGACAAGATTTTATTTAGGAAATTTTATTTTTAGTATGTTTGTCTAAAATTACTTATTTCATGTCAAATTTATAATCACATAATGATTTTCTCTTTGAAGAAAAATTTAATGCTATAGCATACATGTTATTCTTACTTGAGAAAAGTGATAGAAAAACATGAATCAACATGGAAAATATTCCCAAGAATGTCACTAGAAGAGTCAAGTTTTATAACTTGACCTAATAAAATGTTAGATTCCTGGGGTGAATAAATGAGTTGGTTTACTTTAGAGATAAAAATAGTATATTTCAATAACTGTGCTATTTTATTATAAGATATAAGGCAACTTAAAATAAGTTAACTATTTTGGATAGTATGAAGCTTAAAAATATCTAGCAAAAAAGTATTATAATTTTAATCAATGCATATTTAAATAGTATGTATATAAAATATGTGTTTAATTTTAATATGTATAGTAAAATTTTACATATATATATGTTTCCATTCTATTTGCTAGATTTCTTATTCTGCTATACCAGCACTCTCAGAAATATTTATTTTAAAAACCATAATTAATGAATTTTAGAATAAACTAAAGCATTTTAACAAAATACAATGTATTTGAAAATATTTAAAGTATAGGTAGGCCTTTAAAATAAGGTTCTAAGATCTTATGTACCCCCATTACTCAAATGGACATGTTTTTCCCCATGTTTAGCTCTTCAGATTCCAAGTGCAAAATCTCTGGTGTATGTTGCTCTTTGGTTCAGTTCTCAGTTTTTCAGCCTTCTCGTAAATCCTTGGAGCATGCTGATTTTGGATTCACCTAAGGACTTCAATGAAAACAATCAACAACATTTTCAACAAATATGTATTGAATGGCTACTACAAGCCAGGCCCTGTTCCTGTGGTTTATTAGTTATTAAGAGCCTGCCCCTGCACAAACCACCCAGACAATCATCAAAGCAAGTTGAATCAACCTGCTCCCGCTCGATCTCTCAGGTTCTCTGACTTCTATCTAGTCCATGTTCTAGTATAATATGAGAAGACTATTTTAATTGGTGGTCTACTATGCTACTAAATTTTATCGAGAAGAAAATAATCCCACTATGTACCAGTGGTGCTATTTTAACCCCTCCCCGCCATTAACAATCATTTGTCATGCATATATACTGCTAGAACTTGCTTTCCTTTTCCTTAAAAGAAAAGGAATTTACTTTCCAGTCAATTCAGACTTCTTCTCTGAAAAGACTTCTTCTTCATTGTCCACAAGGATTAGAAATCTATATATATATTTCTATATATATTTCTATATATATTTCTATATATATATTTCTATATACATTTCTATATATATATTTCTATATATATTTCTATATATGTATTTCTACATATATTTCTATATATATTTCTATACATATATTTCTATATATATTTCTATATATATTTATATATATTTATATATATATTTATATATATTTATATATATATTTCTATACATATATATATTTCTATATTTATATTTCTATACATATATATATTTTTCTATATTTATTTATTTATTTATTTTTGAGATGAAGTCTTGCTCTGTTGCCAGGCTGGAGTGCAGTGGCGCGATCTCGGCTCACCGCAACCTCTGCCTTCTGGGTTCAAGCAATTCTCTGCCTCAGCCTCCGAAGTAACTGGGATTACAGGCGCCCGCCACCAGGCCTGGCTAATTTTTTGTATTTTTAGTAGAGACAGGGTTTCACCATCTTGACCAGGCTGGTCTTAAACTCTGACCTCGTGATCCACTCGCCTCGGCCTCCCAAAGTGCTGAGATTACAGGAGTGCGCCACAGCGCTCGGCCAATATATTCATTTTTAATGTTTGTGCTAAAGCCCTTGTTGAGTAGTTTTATTAATAAAGCACCTGTAGTTAAAGATTATATTGAAAAATAATATAATCAGTGATAAAGAAAATGGGCACTTGAGATAGATCCCCTTGAAATTTGTTTCCGCAGTTTTCTACCTGAATATTTATCCTCTTTTTTTTTCTGATTCTTACCTGTAACTGAAGATATTTAAAAACTCCTCTACAGGATTATGAACTTTAAATATGCTAGTTAAGCTGAATGCATTTAAAGGCATTTTAGAGTAATACACAAAGTTAGTATTTAATGAAATCAAGTATAAACGAGAGGATCAGTGTTTCATAAAAAAGCTCACCTAGAAAAATTAAGTAAATTACCAAACAGAATTAAATATCCAATCAATATAAAATGCCCCTTCCTAAACATTGTGGGCTCTATAAAAGCCCTAGCTTTATAGGATGTTAACTAACATTATTTCAAAATAGACTTATATCATCGAATGAATTGGGAAACTCAAGGTTAAAAGAAGAAATCTTTAAGTTTATATTTTGATATATGTTTTAATCATGACAAGCCATAAAATTCACTTCACTGGACTGAAACAGAAGAAATTCATTAGGTGAAATTTAAATGTAAGAGGTGTTAGGGGTAAAATTTCAGTTAAATAGAGTAGTAAATATAGGTGATTTATAAGATAAATCCCTCCTTGCTTGTTCAAGAAAAGGTAATAAATGGATGGACAGTTAAAAGACAGACAGACAGAAAGCTAGATAATGAGATAAGGTATACAACAGAGTGAACTATGACTAACATTTAGTGAGATTGTGTTTTATTGATTTAGTTTGTGTTTATAGATTTAGTTATTATTTGTATTTACATGTTCAAAGAAGTAGAGACTTATAATTACAAGATGTACTTTTTAGCTTAAGAATATTCTATGGCAGAACTAGCTATGTTTGCCCATTAGTGAAGCATACCCTACAGATTATTTTATTGATTTTCTTTCAGCTAATGAATTCAGTAAAAATTCAGTAAAAGTGATGTTCAGAGCCATGATTTCTTAGATGCGTGAAAGGGAAGTCTGATAAGAGCTGAATACTACTCAGAATAAAATTGGAGGTTATAAGAAAACAGCTGATATTCTGCGACTTAAATAAGATGTTAGAAGAACCTATTTGTTGCCCTATAATAAACCACGGAAGACATTATTTATTGCTCTGAATTCGATGTGTGTGGTAGAGGGAATAACAGCCCCAAAGATGTTCACATTATAAGCCTCATAACATGTAAATATGTTAGTTTATATGGCAAAGAAAGAGTTTGCAGATGTGTATAAATTAAAGAACTTAACATGAGGAATTTATCCTGAATTACCCTGGTTGGTCCAATTCATAAGGATCTTTATAAGAGAAAAGAAAAAAGGGGAGAAAGCACAGAGTAGGCCGTATGACAACAAAAGCAAAAGGAGAAAAGGCCACGTAATGGGAGGCCAAGACTGAAGAAATAAGGACAACACTCATCCTGGAAAAAGCCAGAAAAGAGATTCTGTATCTTTAAGAGACAGCCAGCCTGCCAATACTGTGACTTTAGTCCGTCGAGACTAATTATGGACTTTTGATGTCCCAAACTATAAAATAATAAATATATGTTGTTTTAAGCCACTAATTTGTGGTTATTTGTTATAGCAACAATAGGAAATTAATACAGTTGGTATGCTAACCTTGCAATTCTTCAGTATAATCAACAGACAGTCTAGTACTTCATTAAAAGGTTTTTCTTTTTATGCCAAACTTACTAATAACATAGTGGCAATCATTGAGCTGTTTTTCCAACTGCCAACAAACAGTGGCTACCTTCACAGTCTTAATATAAACCCCAGCACCTGTCGCTGTGATTTGAGCTCTGAATAGCACCTTTATTAAGGCCTCAAAAAGGGCATCTGGAAGGCATCATTAATGCCTAAAAGCAGCTTAGTCATAGGGAAGGGGGTTGATTCTCAAATCTGTGTTAATAAATTCTGAACTAGACATTCTCTGAATCTTTAAAGAAAGCTTTGTCTCAAACAATATACAAAATATTATTATCATTTAAAATTTATGTACAAGAGTTCAGCATAGCCTTTCTTAGACCCCAAAGTCAAATGAACGTCTCTTCTAAAACTATTTTAAAACCAAAAGCAAGGAAGAAAACACACACACACACACACACACACACACACACACACACACACACTAGAAGTAATAAAATTTTCAGAAACTCTCCCTTCTTCCCATTCTGTTATACGGAGCCAATACGAATACATTTGCACCTGTAAGTCTTTGGACAGCAACTCTGACTAATTACACTTTGGAGTAGAACTCATGACTTATTCATCTTTATGTCCCTTGCATAATCCAATGCATAGTAGAAGCTCAAAAGTAGCATGATATATGAATAAATTCTATTTGACCCAAAAACATTCATGATTAAATGTATTACCACCAATTATATTACATTGCGAATACAGATAAAGAGGTTACTTTGACAAAAAAATATAGATGAGGTACAGTGTATACCCGTTTCCTAAACAATGAGTCTGGAGCTAATGTGTTGTTGGAGTTTCATATCTGATTTATTCATGTTTCTAGGTTTGCTCTTAGCTCTATGGAGTGCTCTACATCTATAACGAGAACTCTCTCTATAGATACAGGGAGAGAGAGAGAGAGAGATGTTTAGAGCCACCATTTTTAGAAGTGTGAAAGGGAAGTCTGATAAGAGCTAACTATTATGAAAAATATAAGCAGAAGTTATGGGAAAATAGCTGATATTCTGCAACTTAAATAAAGTATGAGAAGAGCTGTGTGTGGTGTGTGTGTGTGTGTGTGTGTGTGTGTGGAGAGAGAGAAAAAAAATAGATAGGAGAGAAAGTGAGAGAGAGAGACAGATCGAACTCCAAGTAAAGGATTTATCTGGGAATAACATACTAAAAGTAGAATTGCAATTCAGAATATACATATAGACCAGGGAAGCCTCTGGTACGCCTGAAGAACAAAGAAAACACTAGAGTTTTTTGGGAAAAGAATAAAGCTAAGTATGCCGTTTTGAAAGAAATTTATTGGCGTGCTTGTGGTGCTATGCTGGGGCTGGTAAGCTCTTACTGGAGAGTGGTGGCAGTCATTAGGTAAAACTTGTCTTTAAAGTCATAGCAAGCCATTTTGGCCTTGGATTGGGTTTGTTAGACAGTTCCTGGAGCAGGTCTTTGTGACCTGAATGCTTTCTCCGCATGGATTCTTGACTCCATTTCAGTTGGGTATAACAACAATAATTTCAGTTTGTATAATCAACTTTCACAGGGCTCTGACCCTTTTCTTCACTTCTGGGCCCAGAGAAAGCATCATGTTTTGTATTAAACCTGTGGCTGTTTACAGGTATGTTTGACTATAAGGCAGTATGCAGGAATTAATTTATCTTGGAGTAATATTTGACCAAGAAGAGATAGGAGATGGCAAGTATTTTGTAAATAAATCTCTTGCCCTTCCTTTTAGAAGATATCCCATATGAATAAGCAACACATTTTCTGTTGTTTCTGTTGAAGCTTGGGAGAGACTTGTAATGTACTGTATTGTATTTGTTTCTTCTCCTTCCCAGACTTCCTTTCTTTTTTTCTCCCCTTCTAATTTCCCTGGGATTACATTCCCCAGGAGAGAGCTGGTAATTGACTTTTGCTTTAAACTCTGTTATTTAGGTATCTTTGGCCAAGACAGTTTCATTCTAGGGGCTAGGGCTTGGAAAAATGACAGAATCAATAAAAGTTGAAAATTTCAAACATCTTTCCCAAAGAAATAAGCATAAAAATAATATACATTATTTTTTCATTTGAATTTTAAAAATCAGAAATAGTGAGACCTGTAGCTCATTATGGATGTTGGAGATATGCAGATTATTGGCTCTATGTTTCAATAGTCATTAGAATTTTTCATGTTGAGCACCCTTTGCTTGAATCTTCATCAGTTGTCTACTTCTTGTACATCTTCAAAACAATCACGTCTCTTTCTGGGCTTGTCTAGCTTCTAAATATTGTTCAGGCATCATCTAACCCTGTCTCTTGCTAAGCATGTTCTACATATGATGTATTTTCTTTTAAGTAATTACAAACTGCTCATCTACAGTTACAAAAAGTCTTTCAGAAGTACTTTCTTTATGTACTATATAGATTGAGAATAAAATAGCTATGTTTTGTGCTGATTTCATAATATTAATATTTCATTTATACTCAAAAACCCAGTAATATAGGTAACAAATAACACATTAAAGTTTTCCTTTTTGTTGCATTTTAAAATATTTTAATTTCTTAATTTTCTCAGCTATTCTAATGGACTGTCATATCTTGAATTTTGGTCTTACAATTTTATAATGACAAATTGTCTACTTTTTGTCCTATGTAATGAAGTATCAAATTGAAGGTCTAGGTACAAAAATTTCTATCATGATAAATCATTTGGTATATCTTAGACTATAACTATATGTCTGCTATTTGTAATTTTGTATCCCCTATCCCCTTTTATTCTTCATACTCATCTTAAACAACATTAGTTTAATATCATTTACCTATGAATGCCTACCAAAAGTTTGTTTGGGATACCAAAGGTTTGTTTTAATAAGTAAAAGGCAATGTCTTTGCTCACTTTCTCAGAAGAATATTTTCTGAGAAAAAATAAGTAAACCACTATTTAAATAAAATAGTTTGTACTGTAAAAAGAAGTGTGTATACCTTTCTAAAATGAAGGTCAAAAAGTATATGCACAAAACTTTTACAAAGGAAAGGAGCATAATTTTACAGAAAACATTATTAAATGAAGCCTTTCTCCATAATATTTGGAAATTGTTTTATTAAGATAAAAATAACTTTTCAATAGCAAATTGTTTCAGAAGCAAAAGAAAAAAACATTGTTTAGGTGAAAAAAATAACCTCTCATGGAACTTACAAACAACAAGCAGCTGTGTGTTTTTAACCTCTGTCATATTTTTTGCTTATGTTTTGCCTCTTTTTAAGAAAAAGCATCTTGGCTTCTCTCCTCAATTTCTAGCATTTGGTCATTTTTTAAAAAATCACAGATGCTCACTTGCTTAAGTAATTGTATTCAAATGATTTTTATTGCATAAAAATGATCTCACTGCTGGATATTGTCTATGGTTTGAGTATACAGCACAAGCCATTTAAATAATAAGGTAGTTGCTTCCAACTTTAATCTTGCCTATAGAGACTAACAGGCAATGTCTAGCTTCATTACCCTTTAGGCAGTTAAAGTACAATATTAATTAGTATTTCTGCTTTCTCAGTGTCCATAACAATTCTTCTATCTCATAGTAGCTGTTTGTGGTAAATGTTCCTGCATACCTGTGGTTTCGTAGATTTCTACCATTGGCCACAATGTGGAATTGTAGAAGAAGAAGGTCTATGTAAAGTTTCCAGAAATTTCACTCTATTATATTATAGGACATATATGTTGGAATGTATATGTATTTCTTAGTAAACTAAGACTGTTTTATTCTATACCTAGAAATTAATTGCATGTAATCAGTACACAGTATTGGGTAATATCAAAATCCTTGATTGAAATTGCCATTAACTTCAGATTATGTTTGCAAATCAGATTAGTGTATTGACTAATTGCACAATACTAAAATATGAACTGGGTTCTAGGTCCTACTCAGTCCTTTATACCTGATCATGCAGTCAAGTAACTTAATTTTTATTCACGCCTCAGTTTTCATATTTATGAAATGGAGTAATAAGCTATTTTGTGATAAAAATATTTTCTTCTATATTCTATAGCTTAGCAGGGTGCTCCTAGCTAAGAGTCAATAAATATTTGTTTATCGGAGAGACTAAAACAAGTGATTTTATCAGATGATCTTTTAAAGGCCGTTCCTGTTCAGAGACCGTTAGTTATTTACAATGCCTATTTGTCCCATGCTACACGTAAGTAGCAGAAAAGTGCAAAATATTTGTAAAAAGGAAGAAATTTTGACGAATAATAATGTCTTCTATGTGTAATGGCTTAGCCACTTTATAAGGACTGAGGCCTCAATTCATTCTGAAGTAGTTTTTAATAAATAGTGATATTTATTTTCAGGTGTCTAGGCCCACAAGTTGTGGACAATTGAATAAAGTGCATCTATGGTAAACCACCTTGAGAAAAATATATCATAATATGATGCACTCAATAAATGCTACAATCTGATAAGGTCACATGTCTTTTAATCCTCAAGACTGGAGCTATTGCTAATGGGCCAGAAGAGCTGAAATTCTAATATCAATCTCTTTGCATTTCACCCTCCTCTTTCCAAAATGTGGAAATACATGAAGTTCTGAGGAAGAGGTTGGTGCTGCAGGCTTTAATGGGGGATATTCTAAAGCCTGTTCAGTGGCATTGTTGTTGCTTCTCCAAGCTACATAAAATTACAGCTCAGAAAAATTGATCTGGGAGTTGTAGAAATCTGCTGAATCATGTTTTTTAGATCTATGGCTCCTTCTCTCTTAAACTCTGTCCACAGTTTTACTCACTTGTTCAATTCTCAACGTGTTATTTTTTAGCACATTTAATCCTTCCTTCAGATCCTCAAGATGCTAGCAGTCCCAGGAATGTTCTGTTCATGTGATTTTGGCATGAGTCTTTTACCCAAAATCATTTTTACCTTTCCAACCAGAAGATTCACTTCTAAGCCTAAAGCAGCATCAATAATCCTTTATTCTGCCAAATATAACCAATATAACTTTTTTGCTACTTTTGTGCTCTAGTATTAAAAATTCCAAACAACAACAACAACAAAAAAGTAAGTCCTTGGTAGGACATCTTACTATACACAATCACACATATATGTGTACACACACATGTATATACGTATATATAAACACACACATTCAAATACACACACATATAACAAGAAATAAAATTTTTGTAAAGACTTTTGTTTCCTTGGTGTGCCCATTATACAACTTTGAAACACTTCCTTTCTGTAAATTGCACATTGAGAACATTTATTTCAAATGTTATTTGTACTCTAGATTCTGTGTAAGTGATTTGTGTGTATTATTTTAGTGCATACTTAAAAATGTTATGAACTAATAATTTTCATTAACTACATTTTACAGATGAGAAAACTGAGGCTGAAGGTGATTAATTTAGGAGCAAATTCTCAGAGCTATTATTGGCAGGTCAGTATTCTTTCAGAAATTTTTCTGAATCTAGAATCGGTGCTAATAACCTTTACGCTGCTTTCTATCACTTTGCAGTTGGTCCTATGTTGCTTCAGATTTTATGATTTTTCATCCTTCCAAATGAAAAAAGTTATTTTTGGTTTCCTTTTAACTAAAGAGAAAATTTGCCGGGCAAGGTAGCTCACATGTGTAATCCCAGCACTTTAGGAAGCTGAGGCAGGCGGATCCCCTGAGGTCAAGAGTTCAAGTCCAGCTTGGCCAACATGATGAAACCCTGTCTCTACAAAAAATACAAAAATTATCTGGGTGTGGTTGTGCATGCCTGTAATCCCAGCTACTCGGGAGGCTGAGGAAGGAGAATCACTTCAACTTGGGAGGCGGAGGCTGTAGAGAGCAGGGATTGTGCCACTGTACTCCATCCTCGGTGACAGAGTGAGACCCTGTCTCATGAATAAATAAACAAATAAATAAATAAATAAAATTAAATAAAGAGAAAATTTTCTTTGCTTTTTCTTGTTTTTGGATTCCGCCATACCAACCAAAGTAGTTCAATCACTTGTTACGTAGATACATTTTATTATCTTATTATGTATTAGCCTGATAGTATGGTTCTGAGTTGTGAACCCATCTTTTGAAAGGCAAAATAAATAAGTAGAGGCCTGTTTTTACAATTAATTGCTTGTGTAACTTTGGACATGTACTAATCCATTGAAATTATTTAGCACTCAGATTCCATATCTCTAAATGTCTAAGATGAAGGTATTATGTTCCCAGTATCTTTTTATTCCAAAATTCTGTGTTTTTATGCAGTGTTTCATATATAAAAATTACTTGTTTAATTAAGAACCAGCATCCTCACAAAACGAATTGAGTTTATTTTTATTTTTATTTTTGCCAAACATTTACCAATGTGCTTAGAAATACTGGGAATCAAGTTAATTTTGTATGTTCTTTTATTTGTAATGGGTTTTTTAAAATCATTTAAATCCAATCTTTCACTTATCCTTACTTTATCTGGGAGACAACTATGCAACTTGAAATTTTAAAATAATTTTAAGCATGATTTGTTTAGGATATGCTTAAATATTAAGGCAGTTGATTTGTAAAATAGCAAAGTGGTAGGGAATAATTAATGTTTTTAAATAACATTTTAATTGATAAAACAGTGTTTAGAAGTGCATTTTTTGAAGTTCAGGAATTTGAAGTTCTTTTCAAATATTTTATTACCATGATATTATGAATTTTTGATATAAAAACATATTACGGAACATATTAGCAGGAAACTTTACCTTTATAGAAAAAACAATTGCTTGTATTGTATTTTTAGTATAGAATAACAAATAGATGTATAACAGAGAAAAGAGAACAGTTTGCAGAAAACTATTTTAGAAAACAGATTTGCATGTGTCCATGATAATACATATTGTTTTTCATTTTACTGTATTTAAGCTCAAGATAGTTGATGTGATGTAGAGTGTGTAAAAGGTTATGTTCAAACAAACAAGCCTAAATTTCACGTAATTCGGACTTACTGGTTAATTCAACAACTTTTTATTGATTTTGTTTATTGTGATAGGCTTTGAGTAAGCGAAATTAGAACAGAACTGTTCCCAGCCTAATAGACATATTTACCACTTAGTGGATGCAGTTGCTTTACTAAATTTTACATGCATTTTCTCAACTAAACCTTTTATCAATGTGATTACAATTATTATCCTAATTTTATGAATATTAAAACTAAGGGACATATCCAGAATATGCAAGAACTCTTAAAGTTCAACAAAACTTAAAGAAAATTGGAAAATATTTAAAATGAGAAAAAGATATGAACAAAGAGCGCACCAATGAACATAAAAACGGCAAGTACGTGAAAATATGCTTAACATAATTTATGACTAGGGAAATACAAGTGCCTGTATCAAAACTCCTCATGTACTACATAATTATATACACCTACTATGTACCCACAAAAATTAAAAATTAAAGAATTTAAAAATGCAATAAATTACTATTACGCACATAACAGAATGAGTAAGATCCAAAATAAAACAAACATATAACAATACCAATTGCTGATGAGGAAGTGGAACAACAGGAATTCTCACTGCTGGTGAGAATTAAACCTGGTATGGCCACTTTGGAAAATTGTTTAACGGTTTCTTACAAAACTAAATGTAATGGTACCATAGATCGTGCAGTCACACGCCTAGATATTTGCCAAACTGATTTAAAATTTAACAACTACGGAAAACCCTGCAATGAGTATTTACAGCAACTTTATTCAAAATCACCAAAAACAGGTAGGGACCACAATGTCTTTCAAGGTGAATCGATAAACTGTGGTACATCCATATAATTAAATACAATTCAGTGATAAAAACAAATGCGCTATAAAGCCACAAAAAGACATAGATGCACTTAAATGCATATTGCTAAATAAAATACTGAAAAGGCAATATGTTGTTTATATAAAAGTTTTTTTTAAAAAACAAGGCTATAAAAATAGTAAACAGATTAGCGGTAGTCAGGGGTTTGGGGTAGGGGAAGTGAGGAAACAGAAATAAACAACTGAAGAAAAACAGATTTTATAAGGACAATGAAATTATTCTGTATGATAATTCAATGTTGAATACATGAGTCTGCATTTGTCAAAACTCATGTAAATTAACAGTGTTGTGAGTAAATCATAATATTATATATTTTCCTTTAATTAGGAGACAAAATGGCTTTATTGGTGAATTCTATCAAATATTTACCATGATTATTTAAATATTCTCCTAAGAAACAGAAGAGGAGGAAATACATTCCAACCCATTCCCATATCCAGTATTACCATAATACCAAAACCTGACAAAGATATCACAAGATAACTACAGACCAATACCCCAATGAATATTAATGCAGAAGTCCTCAATAAAAACTACCAATATGAATTCAACAGCATGTAATAAATATTATAAACCTCGACCAAGTGGGATTTATCAAAGGGATGACAGCTTGGTTCAAAATAAGAAAATGAATCGCTGAAAACACCATATTCACAGAATCAAGGTTGGTGTCAGGGGTGGGAATCGATCATCTCAATAGATGCAGAAAAATAACTGACGAAATCCAATACATTTTCATGACTGAAAAAACACTGTGAAAAGTGGAAATAGAAGAATTTTCTGAAAAGCAAGGTCATGCTTATTTCTGAAAGAATGAAAACCTTTTCTCTGAAAATCAAAAAGAAGACAAGGATTAGAAGACTACCTTTATCATTGCTTTCAAATAATGTATTGTAACTTCTAACTAGAACAATAAGGCAAGGAAAAGAAATAAAAGAAATTTAGATTTTAAAGGAAGAAGCAAAACTATCTCTATTTGCAGATGATACTCTCTTATATACAGAAACCTCCCAAAATTCACAAAATCTATCAGAACTAATAAATCTGTTCTACAAAGTTGCAAGTTATAAGCTCAATATTTTTAAATGGTGTATTTTGATACATTAGCAATAAATGATGTGAAAATAAAACTAAGAAAACAAACAATTTTATTTCCATTGGCATCAACAAGAATAAAGTATTTAGAAATAAATTTAACCGAAGAAGTGCAAGATGTACGGTGAAGGCTTACGCAGTGACAAAAAAATGTTGAGATAAATAATACCTACCTAAATGAAAGGCATATTTTATTTATTGTTAAGATGAAAATACTTCAAAAACTGATCTGCAGATTTAATGTAATTCCTATCAAAATTCCAACTACCTTCTATTTTCTCAGAAATAAAAAAACTTAACTTGAAATTCATAATGAAATTCAAGGAGCCCAGCATCAGCAAAACAATCTTGCAAAGGAACGAAGTTGAAGAACTTACACTTCTCAATTTAAAAACTTCCTACTAAACAAGAGTAATCAAGAAAAGATAGTAGTGACATAAGAATAGACATATAGAGCAATGAAATAGAATTATTTCAGAGATAAATCTTTATGTATCTATAGTGAATTGATTTCAACAAGGGTGCCAAAAATAGTTTATATTCTTTTCAACAAATGCTTCTAAGGGAGGAGACCACCCCTCATATTGTCTTATGCCCAATTTCTGCCTCCAAAGAAAGAAGAAGTAAAAACTAAAGGGTAGAAATGAAATCCACAGGCAGACAGGCCGGCACCACGCCCTGGGCCTGGTAGTTAAAGATCCACCCCTGACCTAACTGGTTATGTTATCTATAGATTCCAGACATTGTATGGAAACTCATTGTGAACATCCCTGTCCTCTTCTGTTCCATTCTAATTACCGGTGCATGCAGCCCCCATTTGATCACGACCCTCTCATGCAGACTCCTTTAGAGTTGTAAGCCCTTAAAAGGAACAGAAATTCGGATTTTGGAGACGTGAACCCGCCGATGCTTCCAGCTGAATAAAGCCCTTTCCTTCTACAGCTCGGCATCTGAGGGGTTCTTGTCTGCGGCTTGTCCTGCTACATTTCTAGGACATCTGAATATCCATATGCAATAAAAGGAAGTTGGGCTTCTACTTCACAACATATGTGAAAATTAAGTCAAAGTGGGTCAAAACCTAAAAATTATTATTTAAACTATAAAACTCTTATAAAATAATATAGCTGTCAATCTTTGTAATGTTGGATTTGTCACTGGTCTTAGATTTGACTCTGAATGTATAAGCAACAACAACATGTAAACAGATAAACAGGACTTGTCAAAAAAAAAAACTTTTGGCATCAAAGGACACTTTCAAGAAAAGACAATCTACAGAATGGGAGAAAATATTTTCAAATATATATCTGCTAAGGGCCTACTATCCAGAATATATAAACACCTCACACATCTCACCATAAAAAGACAAATAATCCATTTAAAAGCAGGCAAAGGATTTGATGGATATTTCTACAGAGAAAGTATCTTAGTGGCCAGTAAGCATATGAACAAATAATGAAACACAGTCAATAAAGAAATGCAAATCAAAATTACAATGAGATATCACTTTATAACCACTATATAGTCAAATAAGTGGAAAATAACAAGTGTTGACAGGGAAGTGAAAAAACTGAAACCCTGATCTATTGCTCATGGAAACAAACTCAGGTGTTCAATAAATTATCATGTCAAAATAACTTAATTTCCATACTTTTCTAAAATAACTTAATTGCCATACTTCTCCACGTATGGTGTTACTTTTATTACAGCCCATTCTCCTTGTTAACTTACATGGACTCTGATTTCCCTGAGAGTTTAATTCAAGTTCTGGAAGGTTTGCATCCTGATGAGGAGTTAGGAATGAACATCTGGTTCTCTGGTTCTTTTTTTTTTTTTTTTTTTTTTTTTGACAGGGTCACTCTGTCACCTAGGCTGGAACAGTGGCACCATCACAGCTCACTGCAGTCTGGAACTCCTGGGCTCTAGCCATCCTCCCACCTCAGCCTCCTGACTAGTTGGGACTGCAGGCACTACAGGCACACACCGCCATGCCTGGCTAATTTTTTTTTTTTTTTTTTTTGAGATGAGTTTTTGCCATGCTTCCCAGAGTGGTCTTGAACTCCTGGGCTCAGGTGATCTGCCCACTGTGGCCTCCCAAAGTGCAGGGATTACAGGGGTGAGCCACCTCACCTGGCCAATATTTGGTTCTTAATACCACCCAGCTGTCATTAGATTGTAATTTTTGCAAAAGCAGAGACTTTGTGTGCATTGTTCACTGCTGAGTCTCACTGTTTATGAAAATGGCACGTAACAGATGTTCACTAGATGATTGTCTAATTAATTAAATCTATGCTAGCATATCCTGAGATGGCCAGTGCTCTTACCGATTCTCTGTCATATTTTTCGGTGAACTAATTATTACTTTAGGGATCTTCCAGCAAAGAATTTGGAAAGTCTCTACATCTTTTTAGGTCATATATGCCCAGAAATGTCATGCATTCTTTCCTGATCTGTGCATTCCTACTATCTCCCAAGGGCGCTTCACAGGAAATGAGAAACAGGTCTCCTTTATGCTCAAATATCAAAAATTTACCTGAGATTTGACCAAGGAACAGGGTACAGAGCCCCTTTCTCTCACACTCAATACCCCTTCCTCTCTTTATTTAGCTTACTGTTCAGAGAATCTTATTCTCTACTAGGGTATGTGGGAAGAGGTGTGGGGAGAAGACTGCTTTCCAGGAGTAAAAGGATTTTTGCTCCTAATATTTTTCTTTTTTTTTTTTAAACTGTAGTTGAACAGTTTTATTTAAAAAGTACATTAATGAACATTAGCTATATTCTGTTGCTAATGGATATAAAGGTAAGAGAAACAAGAGTCTTGTCCTCAGGAAGCCCAGAGTCTAAATAAAATGTTTGTCTATATCTTGTACGGTATGAATATCTGTGATAATTTCATCTAACATTTTTGCTAAAAATCAAACATTGAGAATTAAAAGCCACATTGTTTCCCTCTCTTGCTTTGGCTGTGAGGAAGCATAGAACTCAATGTTATATCAGTAATCATGCTCATTACGATATTTGTGGTAGTTCTTTGTTTTGATAAATTTTTTTTATTATTAAAATTTATTTCCCTTTTATTCTTTTATGGGTACAGACTTTTGAAATCTAAAGTTTTAAATGTGAATCATGTTTTAACTTCTTTTTATTCTTTTGTGCCTTTCTTCAACTAGTGATTAAGCTATGCCTGAATATTTGAATGGGGAAAAGGCAAAGATGAAGGTAATATTAATACTATAAATGAGAAATCGTAAATAAGTAAATTTGAATAAAGGTGTAAGTAACTAATTATATATTTGTATAAACTACCACATACAGGTATGTTACTGTATATGTTTGAGCTACAGGCAAAATAAGTAACACAATAATATTAAAAACTGATGTAAAATCCCCTGTTGAATGATAAAAATCTGTTATTTAATTTCTTTTGCAATATTATTAAGAAAAAATTTAGTTAGAATGCAAAATAAAAGGAAGATAATTTCTGTACCTATCCTCATACATATGTATCTACTACTACAACAGGGATTAACTCCTCTCCAATTGAGAGAGTAATGTCAAAAATAAGGTTAAGATATAGATTCCTTGGCTGCCTTCTACTAATAGAGAGCCAGAAAGAATGGTATCCCTGAAGGCCCTGTGTTCCCTCTTAAGGAGCTTGAACTGTGTTCTATATCAGGTAGTAAACAAAAAGTCATCTTGCTTAGTCAACATTGACTTTTCATTCATTAAAGCTACCAACAAAGACCTCATTCTATTTTCTATTTATGCTAGGTATTTTACTGAAATATCTTCCTTCCCTATATTCAAGAAATTTTCAATTGCCATCAATGTCAGGTTTTTAGCCCAATAATCTGATTACTTATACCTGTTTATTCAAGAATGAAATTTAAGAAATTAATGTATAAACCTGTATTATCATACCTTCAGTTTCCAAAGTCTCTTTCGGTAGATTGCACTTCAAGCCAAACAAATAACTAAGGGTAGTGATTTCTGGCACATCAATGAGGATGATACTTTGACACATTTGAGAAATTTCCTATTTACTCAATCAACATCCTGTATTTGGCTATACATTTTAATCTCATATGAAACTAGCCTTACTTTGGACTAAAGTTAGTAGCCTAGAAAATGCAGAATAAGATAAATGTGATACTCCAAAAAGTGACTAAAGCAAAGCATTAATTTATTTGTTAAAACACTTTAAATGATTGACTAACAAAGTATTGTGTGTGTGTGTGTGTGTGTGTGTGTGTGTGTGTGTGTGTGTATTTTCTCTTCCTGAAGCAAATGTGAAATATTGCTGGGTCTATAGAGTTTGTTGATGTGAATGTTATTTATTTTTAAATTTTTATTTTTAAACAGAATTTTATTTTAAAAAAATATGATCAGCCTGATAAGAAATAGGTGCAAAAGCCAGTACAAATTAAAAACCCAAAATTACTTTAATTAGAATGATCAGTGTCTCATTTATTGATATTTAAATAATATAGTATCATTTATTCATAATTGTCCTTATATAGCTCTAGATTTCTAGGAATAGACTAATCTTTGAAAAAGCACAAGGAGCCTGAAAATTGTAATTGGTATAATTTCACATAGTATTCTGTTAAGAAAATATATCAGTGAATTGTAATTCACTTTAATATATGTGTGTGCATATATATGAATGTTAAAATTCCATATTAATCTTCAGGTCAACTAACATCTTGTCTCATGATATATTCCAGGTGAGTGTATTAACAGTAAACTCCTAGAAGTATGAGTATAGCAACCTCAATCATCTCTGAAAAAAAACATTTAGTGAGCTCAGATCTCAGTGAGGATATTACTAGAATGTCAAAACTGGGAGTAGGCATCACCTCTCTTCTAAGCAAATATTTTGAAAACAAGCCCCAAGGAAAACAGCATTTGGATGTCAATTTAGAACAGGTGGAGGAGACGACAGGGGAGCGCCACCAGGCAAGAATCAACATACAGGAAATAACCGACAGGGCCGCTCTCTAGTCTATTTAGTGCCCAGCAATTAATCCCTGAAAAAAAAAAACACTAATATGTAACACATATTTATTTGAAAATAAGTAGTACCAGAATAAGTGGATATTAGGGCTTATATATTCGGAAATTGCAAAATAAAACTCTTACTGGACTTTTGAAGTTGAAACTCCTTGGAACCAGACTTCTGATTTTAGCAACTTTTTTCTCATCCATTTTCCCCACTTCTTCAAGGGATTTAAGAAAATTTTAGAAGCATGATGGCAGTGTCAATCTTTAAATGTCACTGTTTAATTTTAGCCATCTTTTAAATTACTAACTTTTCTAATCTAATTATATAAATGGTAATTACCTATAAAAATAGCAATTAATTCTGAGAAGCACCTGTAAAGATAAAATTGTGCTTATGAAGCCTGAAACCTTGTACTCAGTAGGAATTAAATTCAATGAAATCAATGGGAAGCAATGCCTGAAGTAAGCTTCATACCAAGGCCTAAGATTATGAATTTGCTCAACATTGTATAATTATTTTCCCCACTTTACTTGAGTTTCTCAACTACAGTGATGAAGGACATAAACTAATTACTGAATTGACTTTGATCCTTGTGGTAGCTTACGTGATTAGGCTTTGTGATGTTTAATGTCTGTATTCTAAATATGCAAAAAAATAAGCTTAATGATTACAACAAAGGTATGCAAATCAGAAATAGTCGTCCCTCCTTTCATTTGGTACTATCGCCTCAGTGCCAAAAATTTTCAAAGTATTTTATGTGCATAGACTGTGTGACCATTGAGTTAGTTGTTCCATCAGTATAGGAAAAGGAGAAAAATGATACACACCAGAACAATCCTGAAAATCCTTGTATATCAGTGTTTCTCACCATGAATATGTTGTCCCCTCCTCCTCACCGGCCCACAGGAGTGATGTGGCAATGTCTCAAAACAATTTTGTTCACCACAACTGAGGGAGAATGCTACAGGCATCTAGTTAGTAGAGACCAAAAATGCTACTAACCACCTGTAATGCACAAGAAATCTCCGTGCAACAAGAGCCATCTGTCCATGTTGTCAATAGTACCATCATTGTGTGCCTTGTGCTACATATAAACAGAAAATATAAAGTCAAATAAGTACTATCAGAGAAGAAATAGGGGCACTGTAGAACAAAGCTTGAATATATATTGACAATGGAATGCTGACATTTAAAAAATAATGTAAAAATATTGAAATTCATATTGTGAACAAAAGCTGAGAAAATTATCATTTTTGTGATGATTAGATTGACATAACTACTATAGAACAGGTTTACTTCGATTATTTTTCTCAAGGGGTATTTGTTAGAATTACAGGTAAATTACCTCTAATTCTTCCTTTCTCCTTATAATTTTATGGTATTCTCAATAAGGGACGTTTTACAGAAATCAGCAGTTCCTATAAAAAATCTTGGCAATAATATAGAGACAAAGCCAAGAACTTGAATAGACCATAGATAATTAATTTGCCAATTAAAAAGAAGTTATTGTCTTAGCTACTAGGTGACTAGTGGGTTTTTTTTGTGTGTGTTTTTGTTCGTTTGCTTGTATGTTTTCAAAAAATCCTAAATTAGGATTTGAATTCTAAAATCTTCAACTAAAACCTCCAATTCTTCAGATGTGGAAATCTTGATCTATAGCTTGTTCTGAATGAGAGTAGTCTTTTATTCCAAGAAAAAAGAATACATCTCCATTATACATTATTTTCTACATGGAGGAATTTTATGGATTAAAAATTCCCTTTGTGAGGTTGTTTGTTCCTCTTAAATCTATTTTGTTTGTGTCATCACCATTCCCAAATGAATTTCCTCCATTAGAGATATTTACCCAGTATCTGAGAATTTCTGTGTATGATGCGTGAAAAATCATTCACCTCCTGAGAAAAGCAGGTGCATATCACTTCCCATCTTTCTTTCTTTTCTTTCTTTCTTTCCTTCCAACTCCCAGAAAGAATTACTTCCTTATTATAACTCTGGACCATTTCAAATTCCTGGTAGGATGAAGACTTAGAGAAATAAAAAGGCATGGCATCCCTGATAAAAATATATAATTATACACAAAATACTATAACAATTGAGAAAGATGAAAATAATAAATATTTTATTTTTCACTATTATAAAACAATTATAAGGTTATTTGATTATAGTATCTGATATATCAATGTTTTATTAAGGGAATTCTGATACAACAAATAATTAAGAGTAAGTTGCTTAATTAACTTAGTAGAAGCATGAATGTGAATAAGTAGGCAATTCTTTAGTATTCATCATAAAATGCCAAGCAAGGAATACTGATGGAGATTGTTTTATATTTGTCTGCCTGAAAATCTTGTATTTACTTTTCATATTTTTGCCTGAAAATCTTGTATTTACTTTTCGTATTGTGTTGTAAAAAATCTCTTTGAACAGTGCAAACTTCAGAATGACATTTGAAAGGAATTCATAATTTTTTCTATAATATAGTAAGCATAATGACTTTTATGTAGTCATTTAATTGGCTTGGGCAGAGTGATCTTCTAAGTAGATATATCATATGGTATATATGTATCTATAAGAGCTAGAGGTTGAAATGAAAACTGAAATTTTTAGCAAGATATTATGAGAAGTTTATCACAAAATTCACCAAAAATTCACCTACTTGCAAAAGGGACCACATATATTATCTTTTCCTATTGTTTTTAAAAACACCTTGAAAACTAAAAATAGATGTACACAAAGGCCCTGTTGCAATGGAACTATTTCATTAGGATTTCAATGGAGTCATATGCAAGTGAGTATGTGAAAATCATGTGTTTTATATGTCTATTTCCTCCTACAATGTTTATTTAACCAAATGTATCTAAAACAGTAAAATATAATGTCTTTATAATACTATTGAAAAAATCTTAGCACAGATTACAGATAACAAAAAAGTGTTATGTCTTTTGTCAATTTCTTCTGCCTCTAAGTATATGGACTCATAGTTGATCATGCTAGGATCTGTGAAGAATGTTCCTGGAGAAAATGATTTTCTTGTTACTGATCTTTAGAGTTCCTTTATTATTGTTCATTGTCATGCTTTACTGTGGGACAACATGTAGCTTTTTCTATCACACCTATGCTTGCTTAAGAAAAGGTTCCTTAACCCTTCTCTGTCACTATAATTCCCATGTGGTGAGGACACTGACAAATGGAAAGGAATGGAAGTGTCCTGAGGAAGATCAAACCCTCTGACTATGCTTAGCCATATGAAGTGACAGAAGAGATTCTGTAGATGAAAGAGCACAGGAGAATAACAGGTCAAGATACTGAAATTGTTAAATTTAGCCTAAATGTGTCTCTGTACATAGTGAACTGTAATCTAGCTTTGTATATAAACAAACTTTAACCTAACTTAAGAGTAATGTGTTACTTAATGATGGTGGTAAATTCTGAGAAATGCCAGATGAGAAATGAGATTTTGTCATTGTGTGACCATCGTAGAGTGTACTTACACAAACCTAGATGGTATAGCCTACTATATGCCTAGGCTATACGATATTGCCTATTGCTCCTATGCTACTATGTTACTGTACTGAATACTGCAGGCAATTGTAACACAGTGTTAAGTACCCCTAGATCTAAGCATATCTAAACATAGAAAAGGCAATGTGCTGCCTTAAAACATTATGATGGCTATGGCGTCACATGATAGGAATTTTTCAGATCCACTATATTCGTATGGGACCATTACGATACATGTGGTTCATCTTGACCAAAAGCATCATTTTTAGGGCATGACTAGATATCCTTGCAATAAATATGTGAGCCTCAGCCAATCACAGGCTGCTAACTGATCAGACCATGTAAATATAAACTAGCATATGTTTTATCACACCATGCCTAAATAAAGCATATGCTGAGCTATAAGCAATTGAGCTGTTTCTCTATATCACTTTCTTTTTTTTTTTGAGACGGAGTCTCGCTCTGTCGCCCAGGCTGGAGTGCAGTGGCGCGATCTCAGCTCACTGCAAGCTCCGCCTCCCGGGTTCACGCCATTCTCCTGCCTCAGCCTCCCGAGTAGCTGGGACTACAGGCGCCCGCCACCACACCCAGCTAATTTTTTGTATTTTGAGTAGAGACGGGGTTTCACTGTGTTAGCCAGGATGGTCTCGATCTCTTGACCTTGTGATTCACTCACCTTGGCCTCCCAAAGTGCTGGGATTACAGGCGTGAGCCACTGTGCCCTGCCCCGTCACTTTCTTTTTGTCTCTCTAAATTCTGCCTGTCAACATTGCTAACTGGATCTCTGTGACACTCTAGCAGTTCATAGTGCTGCCCAATTCATGAATCTTTCTTTGTTTAAATAAATTCAGTTAAACTTAATTTGTCTGAAGTTTTTCTTTTAATAGAACTGAGCAGCCACATTTTTTAACCTAATAATTTTTATATAAGGATAAATGACTAAGTTAAAACTAATCTTAAATAGCAGAATTGCAAGTTATTAACTCAGATACTGTGTGTGCATAATATATAATTCATTTTTCATGGTTGCTGTTATTCAAAACATACATGAGAAAGGAAGTTAAGTGTCCATGTGTCTTACACTTGGAAGTCAATAGATGCTATATAAATTTTTAATGTTGATTGTATAGTTGTACAAATATTTTAGTTACATTCATGACAGAAAACAAATATGAACAAAATTCAGCGTTTTCTTCATCAAAGTGGGGATCTGGGTGTTCATTTTATAACATTTTGAGGATTTTTAAGGGTTTTTTGTACAAACATGTATTTCACTAATGAAAATTATAAAAATAAGTATAATGAAATGGAAATAAGCCATTGAGTTTAAGACATAGTAACTAATATATAATATGCTAGTAGTTCATGTGGATTTTATTATTATACAAATGTTCACTCTTTCCTAGCCCTTTATTAACCACCAAAAAAGCCCCCACCCCATTGATGAGTGTATCAAAGCGACATGGCTTGGACAATTGAATGCACCAGTGTGACGTTTCTCAGTGGAGGCTTTAAGAGGCATGATGGGTTCCTTGCAGACCTTGTGCTCCACCATCTGCCATGAGAAGAGCATGCATATCTCAGGTATCTATTAGCCCCAGAAAGTGAGACATGCAGAGCACACCTAAATCCAACCTGCAGGCAAGAACAGACCTATTCCAGACAATCCACAGGCTTTTAAATTTAAAAACACTAGTGTGAGCAAGAAATAAACCTTTGTTATTAGTAATCCACTGAAATGTTGGGGTTTGTGTGTTTTGCAATATAATTGCAGCAAAATATATATAACATAATCATGTTATCATTTTTGCCACAGTAAAATAGTGCACTTTATTTCCCCAAACAGGTAATGGAAAAACATTTATTAACACCAAAATAGTTAATGAGAATTCCAGACGGCAACTAACTTGAGTTTATCTCAGCATATGCATCTTTCTTTATTTCACTAAATTAAAGATAATGAGGAATTTTTAAGGGCTTTAGAATGAGTCATACCTGTGCTCAAATCCTGGCTCTTTCATTTAATAATCTGATTAACTCTTCCATGAGTTTCAGCTCCTCATTTGCATACAGAAATAATGCCAACTTTATTGTTTTTTAGAGTCAAATACAAATAGCATGAAAAGTATCTAGCACAGTTTATGGAGCGTTGTAAGGTCAATAATTAGTAGCTATTATTATAGAGCTCTATACTGCTGTTTTTCAAAGAGAAAAAACACTTCTGGATAGTGTTGGATTCCATATTAATTTCAATTTTAGTACTCTATAATACCAAAAAGACACTGTTGACTTTGGAAGTGAATGTATAAGGCATTTGGAAAACATGAAGTAAACAGAAAAAAAGTGTGATGAAATAAGTAGTAATATAAAACATGTAGTTATCCATGCAAGATAATTTTAGCTATACATAGCAGACAAATCAAACTAGCTTTATTATAAGGAAACATATTACCTCATACACTCTGAAAATATGGTGAACTTAATGGCTAATTGGTCTTTCTGTCTCTCCCATTTGCCATACCCTGTACTGGCTTAATCTTTGGGATTATTCCAAAATAGCTAAAACTGTTCCAGGATCACCATCTATGGTGAGAAGGGGTGAGAGACCATTTCTGTCTGTGGTTTTCTCTAGAGAAAAAGGAAACTTTTTTTCCAAGACTCCTAGCAGAATTCCCCTTATGTTTTAATGCCATAATTTGATCGCACTCAAATATTATCAAGGCAAATGAGTTTACATTTAAAATACTGGAACCCCACCTGGAGATGGGCATGGTGGCTCAGCTGCCTCTGTTGCACAAAGCATTCTGATGGTGTGATGGTTACCTGAGCCAAACAAGGGCTCTGGTAGAAAAGGAGCCAAATATGAGGCAACCAACCACGCCTCCCACAAGATAAAAATGCACATTACCTGATAAACTGTTGCTCATATGATATAGGTTTTTTCTTATAATAGATATGTTTTAAATATCAACCAATCTGAAAGAACAAACAGAACTTTTGAAAATGGCATACAACATGTTTTAGCCTAGTTGACCATTAAACCTATAATTGATTTGGAGTACAGCCACCACAAGCTGTTCCAAGAAAGAAAAAGTAAAGAGCTTTTATGAAACACTCATCTAAGAATAGAAGTATGAATTTTTCCTCTACGTGGGCATTGCACATTATAGTACTTTCTTTAAGAACTCTGCAAGAAGTTTAAATGCAGTTGTAAAAGTACATCCCAACACAATAGTCCTCTGTTAGTCATTTGCACAGGTTCTTGAATATAAAAATAGTTGGCTTTTGGGTAACCTACAGATAAGAAATTTCTGGTCTTCAGAATAAAAGCCTGATTATTTTTACATTCTATCCTAGTGTAACCACTTATAAAGACAATTTCAATTGCATGTTCAACATTTCTATATATTTAAATTCAACAAATGGAAAAATATTTTCTATCTTCAAAAAAGGCACTTAACTCTTGAATTCACAGACTTCGTATTTTCACTTCAACAGCAGTTAAAAATAATGCCTGCAAATAGAAACTTCATTATTACTCTGTAACTCATAAAAAAAGTACATAGAGCCATTTTAATTTTCATTCCACAACTATAGAACTGTCAGATCTTGTTAATAGTCAATTAAATGACTACCTGACACATATGATTTAAAAATTAAGAATCAGTACTTAGTCATATAATGGTGCCATTCTGCCTCAGATGCGCCACTACTAGTTTTCTATCTTGGCCAAAGAGTAGTTTCAGTAGTTTCCATTTGGACATTTCTACCATTATTAATATTCCTAGACAGCTCAGGAAACAAATTTGGGGGTTCTGAAAGCTGTTGTGTATATGTATCCCATAATGCTTTCAAGGACCAGGTAAATGAACATAGGATGGGTCCTTGGACCCTTTTTAGCCACTTTGAGACAGACTTGGGTTAAGACTTTATTTATGTACTGTACTCCACATATTCCCACTTTGTGTGGAGAAGGCATGATTGTACTTTGGATTTCCTTTGAGAGAGTTGCTACTCTACATACATTCTTTTGCATCACAGAGTCCATCCCAGGGTTCTAGCCACCCCTTCACACAATGGTTTAAATATGAGAACTGGCTCAGGTATAAAACATTAATATGTGGCCATCACCACAGATCAGTGATAGCACCCCTGGGTCACAATTCTGATTTTGCTTCCAAAATTCAGAGGTAATTATGGTAATTATGTCTATCTTGACTTTGGAGATGAAGAAATACTAATCCTTGCATCAAAGATCAGCCACCGTAGACCTTCTCAATAATGACAGTGAAGACATTACTAACACTTTTGTTTTGGTTTAGTAAAGAAAGAGTTTTCTGAAGTCTCATAGGGAAGGTGGATTCTCTAAACTTTTGAAATAAATTCATTGTAGCACACTCCACTCTCAGAGTTCTTTGAATTTTTCCTTATTCTCCCAAGGCATTTCTTCAAAACTTCATTTGCTGTTCGTTGTCATTTTTTCTAAACTTCATGTAGACATTGCGGAAGTGGCAAAAACCTCATTACTTTCGCACTAACCTATAGTAAAACCTCCATTATCTAGCCTGATATTCTGTCACACTCACTTTCACTTCCCAATCAGGTTCAGCAATCTCAAGATCCATTCCAAAACATGTTCTGATAGTTCTTGCCAATATTTATTACTTAGGCCCTGCAGTTCTTTTCATGAATAATATCTTTTCTCCCAAAATGTGAAGAGTACTTGCATAATTAGCTTTGTTGTCTCTTCAGGGTTTGTTGACCTAAAAGCCATGAGAAGTACAGACAATCTTGAAGAGATTGTATAACATGGTGTAGTCTTTCTCTTTGAATGAAATTCTGCATGTTCTGTAACCGAATGAAGGCTGTTGTCTTCTAGCAAAGAGGAGAATGACCACTTCCAAAGGCCCAGTGGTTTCAGACAAATCGGACCATTTAAACTCCTTAAGTGCATCTACCCAGATGTCCCTGAAACAGGCCTAAGAATTCCACTCTATCTCTGGTAGTGGCCTGATTTTAAGATTATAGTTATGTTACAACTGTGAATTAAACCTTCTCTTGATGTTGCCACAAATGCTCAAACTAAGCTCCAGTTTCGAAAATAAAAGTCTTAAAATTCCATCTCTTAGGCTTTCTGACTCTTACCATACTTCTGAGTTGGTAACTGGTTAACTTAATCATCTTTTTTTAATTCCTTCAGCACACTGATAATTCTGAACAGAGTACAACAAACTCTTCAGACCTCCTACTTACTATTGCCACCATATTTATCCAATGCTGGAGAAATAGGCATGTCAGTTCATCTCCTATATGTAGCACTTCCCAAGTCTTCACGAATGAGAGTCTTAGGAAGTGAGATGCTATGATATGCCAGGGCTGATACAGAATAACCACCACCACTTAACATCAACATTATAGTCCTGGCCATATGGTCAGCCAAGGACCCAATTTGAGAAGCTTAGGGTTCTCTTTTTTTCTTTTTTTTATTATACTTTAAGTTTTAGGGTACATGTGCACAACGTGCAGGTTTGTTACATATGTATACATGTGCCACGTTGGTGTGCTGAACCCATTAACTCGTCATTTAGCATTAGGTATATCTCCTAATGCTATCCCTCTCCTCTCCCTCCACCCCACAACAGGCCCCAGTGTGTGACGTTCCCCTTCCTGTGTCCATGTGTTCTCATTGTTCAATTCCCACCTATGAGTGATAACATGCAGTGTTTGGTTTTTTGTCCTTGCGATAGTTTGCTGAGAATGATGGTTTCCAGCTTCATCCATGTCCCTACAAAGGACATGAACTCATCCTTTTTTATAGCTGCATAGTATTCCATGGTGTATATGTGCCACATTTTCTTAATCCAGTCTATCATTGTTGGACATTTGGGTTGGTTCCAAGTCTTTGCTATTGTGAATAGTGCTGCAATAAACATACATGTGCATGTGTCTTTATAGCAGCATGATTTACAATCCTTTGGATATATATCTAGTCATGGGATGGCTGGGTCAAATGGTATTTCTAGTTCTAGATCCCTGAGGAATCGCCACACTGACTTCCACAATGGTTGAACTAGTTTACAGTCCCACCTACAGTGTAAAAATGTTCCTATTTCTCCACACCCTCTCCAGCACCTATTGTTTCCTGATTTTTTAATGATCACCATTCTAATTGGTGTGAGGTGGTATCTCATTGTGGTTTTGATTTGCATTTCTCTGATGGCCAGTGATGATGAGCATTTTTTCATGTGTCTTCTGGCTGCATAAGTGTCTTCTTTTGAGAAGTGTCTATTCATATCCTTCGCCCACTTGTTGATGGGGTTGTTTGTTTTTTTCTTGTAAATTTGTTTGAGTTCATTGTAGATTCTGGATATTAGCCCTTTGTCAGATGAGTAGATTGCAAAACTTTTCTCCCATTCTGCAGGTTGCCTGTTCACTCTGATGGTAGTTTCTTTTGCTGTGCAGAAGCTCTTGAGTTTAATTAGATCCCATTTGTCAATTTTGGCTTTTGTTGCCATTGCTTTTGGTGTTTTAGACATGAAGTCCTTGCCCATGCCTATGTCCTGAATGGTATTGCCTAGGTTTTCCTCCAGGGTTTTTATGGTTTTAGGTCTAACGTTTAAGTCCTTAATCCATCTTGAATTAATTTTTGTATAAGGTGTAAGGAAGGGATCCAGTTTCAGCTTTCTACATATGGCTAGCCAGTTTTCCCAGTGCCATTTATTAAATAAGGAATCCTTTCCCCATTTCTTGTTTTTGTCAGATTTGTCAAAGATCAGATAGTTGTAGATATACGGTGTTATTTCTGAGGGCTCTGTTCTGTTGCATTGGTCTGTATCTCTGTTTTGGTACCAGTACCATGCTGTTTTGTTTACTGTAGCCTTGTAGTATAGTTTGAAGTCAGGTAGTGTGATGCCTTCAGCTTTGTTCTTTTGGCTTAGGATTGACTTGGCAATACGGGCTATTTTTTGGTTCCATGTGAACTTTAAAGTAGTTTTTTCCAATTCTGTGAAGAAAGTCAGTGGTAGCTTGATGGGGATGGCATTTGAATCTATAAATTACCTTGGGCAGTATGGCCGTTTTCACGATATTGATTCTTCCTACCCATGAGCATGGAATGTTCTTCCATTTCTTTGTATCCTCTTTTATTTCATTGAGCAGTGGTTTGTAGTTCTGCTTGAAGAGGTTCTTCACATCCCTTGTAAGTTGGATTCCTAGGTATTTTATTCTCTTTGAAGCAATTGTGAATGGCAGTTCACTCATGATTTGGCTCTCTGTTTGTCTGTTATTGGTGTATAAGAATGCTTGTGATTTTTGCACATTGATTTTGTATCCTGAGACTTCGCTGAAATTGCCTATCAGCTTAAGGAGATTTTGGGCTGAGACTATGGGGTTTTCAAGATATACAATCATGTCATCTGCAAACAGGGACAATTTGACTTCCTCTTTTCCTAATTGAATACCCTTTATTTCCTTCTCCTGCCTGATTTCCCTGGCCAGAACTTCCAACACTATGTTGAATAGGAGTGGTGAGAGAGGGCATCCCTGTCTTGTGCCAGTTTTCAAAGGGAATGCTTCCAGTTTTTGCCCATTCAGTATGATATTGGCTGTGGGTTTGTCATAGATAGCTCTTATTATTTTGAGATATGTCCCATCAATACCTAATTTATTGAGAGTTTTTAGCATGAAGCGTTGTTGAATTTTGTCAAAGACCTCTTCTGCATCTGTTGAGATAATCATGTGATTTTTGTCTTTGGTTCTGTTTATATGCTGGATTACGTTTATTGGTTTGCATATGTTGAACCAGTCTTGCATCCCAAGGATGAAGCCCACTTGATCATGATGGATAAGCTTTTTGATGTGCTGCTGGATTCGGTTTGCCAGTATTTTATTGAGGATTTTTGCATCAATGTTCATCAGGGATATTGGTCTAAAATTCTCTTTTTGTTGTGTCTCTGCCAGGCTTTGGTATCAGGATGATGCTGGCCTCATAAAATGAATTAGGGAGGATTCCCTCTTTTTCTATTGATTGGAACAGTTTCAGAAGGAACGGTACCAGCTCCTCCTTGTACCTCTGGTAGAATTCGGCTGTGAATCCATCTGGTCCTGGACTTTCTTTGGTTGGTAAGCTATTAATTCTTGTCTCAATTTCAGAGCCTGTTATTGGTCTATTCAGAGATTCAACTTCTTCCTGGTTTAGTCTTGGGAGGGTGTATGTGTCGAGGAATTTATCCATTTATTCTAGATTTTCTAGTTTCCTTGCGTAGAGGTGTTTATAGTATTCTCTGATGGTAATTTGTATTTCTGTGGGATAGGTCGTTATGTCCCCTTTAACATTTTTTATTGCATCTATTTGATTCTTCTCTCTTTTCGTCTTTATTAGTCTTGCTAGCCGTCTAACAATTTTGTTGATCTTTTCAAAAAACCAGCTCCTGGATTCATTGATTTTTTTGAAGTGCTTTTTGTTTTAGGACCAATTCTAGTACAAAAACTCTTCTTGTGGGTTTCTACGGATTCAGAACTGGAGAAAATGATTCAAGTGCAATCTTTGAAGGGAAGTGAGGATTAATAATACAAAATGAAAGACAATAAAGAGGATATTATTAAGCCAATTATTACAGTGAGCAACTGAAGTCTGCAGAGAGAATCTGGGAAATGATACATAAAACATACAGCATTACTCCTCTTGAAGATCAAGGGAATTAGACTATTAACATTAATTTTCATCATTCTTATTTTAAAGGGTGCTCAAAGGACTTGTTAATTCCCTAGGACTTCTGATCTGCTTCCTGTACAGTCAGAGAAACCCCTTCTGGAAAAAGCTATCGTCTACAAAAAATACAAATACAATTAGAACTTCTTTAGAGCACATTGAAACTGTAAGGTCTCAGGGTCCTGTTTTGAGTGCTACAGTTGTTTTCATTACCATATTTGACCTAGAAAATCAGTCACAAATCTAGAAATTCTCCCCTCACTAGATTTTGCTATTTTCTTCAATTTTGGTATGATAATTTCCTTACTCTCTAATCAATGTTTTTAATAAAATGATTTTGCATTTTAAAATATTTTTCATGCATCTCATATCATTATTAATGAAGACATTGTCCACCATATGCCCCAAACATATTCAAATTTGGTTAATTGTCCCCAAAACATCTTTTATAATTTGTTTGCTAAAATCAGGTGTTTTGCCGAATTAATATTAACTTGGTCATCTTTTAATCTTTCATTTGCTTCTCTATCCTCTATATTGTCTCCAAATTAAACATTGGAGAATTTGATGAAATTGATTAATTGGCCAGGTATGGTGACTTGTGCCTGTAATCTCAGCACTTTGGGAGGCTTAGGCAGGTGGATCATGTGAGGTCAGGAGTTTGAGACTAGCCTGGACAACATGGTGAAACTCTGCCTCTACTAAAAATACAAAAATTAGCTCGGCGTGGTGGCACATGCCTGTAGTCCCAGCTACTCAGGAGGCAGAGGTGAGAGAATTGCTTGAACCTGGGAGGCAGAGGTTGCAGTGAGCCTCGATCACTCCAGTGCACTCCAGCCTGGGAAAAAGAGTGAGACTCTGTCTCAAAATAAAAGAAAGAAAGAAATCGATTAAATTTGGGTTAAATATTTTTGGTAAAAAGAGTACATAGGTGATGCTGTTTATTTTATGTTGTGTAACCATAGAAGGCCTATACATTTAAATGATGTATCAGTACTTTGTAAAAAGTGAAATACATACATATTAGGAAACTTTATAAATACGCAGTAAAAAAAATTGTTTACCAAGTCACTTTATCACAGTGCAATATGTATCATTAGACATTTTAGGGTTTCTTTTGTTTTGTTTGGTTTTGCTTTGCTTTGTTTTTCTTGAGACAGGTTCTGTCTTCCAGATTGAAGTACAGTGGTGAGATCTCAGCTCACTGCCACCTCCACCTCCTGGGCTCGAACAATCCTTTCACCTCAGCCACCTAAGCAGCTGGGATTATAGAAATGCACCACCAAGCCAAGCTAACTTTGATATTTTTTGTGGAGACAGGATTTCACCATGTTACTCATGCTGGTCTCGAACTCCTGGGCTCAAAGTTTCTCCCTCCTCAGCCTCCAAAAGTGCTGGGGTTAGTGTGCCTGCACCTGGCCAATTTTAGTGTTAATTTACTTCATTTTCTGTGCAGTATCTTCCAGTGTTTTTGTGATTAGAAAATTCTGCTCCCTAATAGATAAATGATAAATGTTCATCGATATTGTTACTAGCATTTTTTTCAAATTTAACAAAATTACATATATATATATAATGTTCTAAATTACTATTTTTCAAAGTACATATTTTTAAATACTGCTTTAAACTGATTATTTGTTAACTATTATAATTATTTTAAATTAAACCACTATTGTACTCCTGGTCATTTTCAAAATTTTATTATGCTTGCATTTTTTTCAAAATAAGAAAATTTATTCTTATACAATTATATAACCCTTGCTTCAGTTTTTCAGAATCTCCTATAGTTTCTAGGACACTTAGCCACAGCTGACTTCAGACATCTTTTCTACTTAATAGTGCTGGCAGAGCCCATATTTTGGGACTGATTATGCCTATTCTGAATAGGCTTTGGGCTTGTCTCATTTTTCCTCTGGCATCAGACCATTAATTGTTTTCTTATTATTATCTAACCAAGTTATGTGAAGCAGTCTTCTAATTGCAGCACTGTGTTCGGCTGAGGCAAGTTAAGGTCTATTCTTGGATATATTTTTTAAAAATAAATTTTATTGTGTATATTCGTGATTTGCAACATGATATTATGGGATACACATAGGTAGTACAATGGTTACTATATTGAAGCCAATTAACATAACTATCATCTTTTTTGTGTGTATGACAAGAGTAGCTACAATCAACTTAACAAAAATCCCTAATACAATGCAATTTTATTTTTAGTTTTCAAATTGTACATCAGATGTCTTGACTTGTTTATCTTATATATCTGCTATTTTGTATTCTTTGATTTATACCTCCCCATTTCCTCTCACCCACATCTGTAATTTTAAAAAAAGTTTCAATCTCTATGTCTATGTATTTTAAAATTTCACATATGTGAAATCATGCAATAATTTTCTTTCTGTGCCTGTTTTATTTCATGTAGCATAATGTTTCCCAGGTGCATCTATGTTGTGGAAAATCTTAGGATTTATTTTAGGCTGAATAATATTCCATTGTATATATGTATGTCATGTTTTCTTTATCCATTTGTCCACCAGTGTGCGTTTAAGTAGTTTCCACTTCTACATTTCCACCAACCGTATACTAGGGTTTTCTTTTCTCTACACTTTTACAAACATTTATCTCCTGTCTTTTTAATAGGCATTCTTGCTATGGGGATGACGTATTTATCATAGTGGTTTAAATTAGCAATTCCCTTATGATTAGTGATTGTGAGCACCTTTTATAAACCGTTTGTTAACCTTTTTTGTGTCTTCTTTACAGAAATGTCTATTCAGGTATTTTGTCCATCTTTTAATCTATGTATTTGTTTTTCTGTTATTGAGATTGTAAGTGTGTTTAATAAAATTTTATATATTAACTCATCAGATATAAGGCTTGCAATTTTTTTTTCTTAATCAGTAGGTTGCCTTTTTATTTTGTTGACTATTTTATTTGTTGTGCAGGTTTTTAGTTTGATATAGTCCCTTTTATTTATTGTATGTTTTATAGCCTGAACTAAAAATGTGATATCAAAAATATTATTGCCAAAGACAATGTCAAGGAGATTTTCCTTTGTCATCTCTTCTAGGAGTTTTGTGGCTTCAGATTTTACAATTATGTCTTCTTTTCATTTTAAATTGATTTTTGTGTATGATATAAGAGAATGGTCCAGTTTTACTCTTTTGCATGTGGCAATAATTTTCACAGCACCATTTACTGAGGAGATTTTTATTTTCCATTGTGTCTTCTTGATCCCCTTGTCAAGATTCATTGACTATACATATTTGGATGTATTTCTCAGCTATGTATTCTGTTCCATTGATCCATGTTTCTGTTTTTATTCTAGAACCACACTGTTTTGATTGCTGTAGCTTTGTAACATAATTTTAAATCAGGAAGTATAATACCTTTAACATCTTTTCTCACTATTGCTTTGGCTATTTGGTATTTGTGTGTGTGTGTGTGTGTGTGTGTGTGTGTGTGTGTGTGTGTGTGAGATTCCATACCAATTTTAGGGCTTTTTTTTTCTATCTAGATGAAGAATGCCCTAAGACTTTTGAGAGGAACTGTGTTAAATCTGTATATCACTTTCAGAGTATGGACATTTTAACAATATTAATTCATTGAATCAATGAAGATGGACTATCTTTTCATTTTCTTGTGTCTTCTTCTATTTCTTTTTCAATATTTTATACATTTTGGTGTACAAATCTTTCATACCATTAGTTATATTTACTCCTAGATTTTTTTAATGCTTTCATAAATGAGATTATTTCATGACATTTTTCAGACAGGCCTTTAGTAATAAATAAAAACACTACTGATTTTTGTATGTTGATTTTGTATCCTGCAACTTTACTGAATTCATTTATTAGTTATAACAGTTTATTTGTGGAATCTTTGAGGGTTTTACTCATAGGATTATGTAATTTGCAAATGGAGACAATTTTACTTTCCCCTTTTGGTTTGAATGTCATTTACTTTTCTTTTTTTTTGTCTGCTTTTGTTGGTACTTTCAGACCTATGTTGAATAGAAGTGATGAAAGTGGGAATCACTACCTTTTTCTAGATATTAGCAGAAAAGTTTTTAATATTCTTCATTAATCATAATGTTAGCTGTGGGGTTTTTTTTATAAATGGCCTATATTGTGTTGAGGGACATTTCTTCTAAACCTACACTATTAAGAGTTTTATTAAAAAGAAAGATGCTGAACTTTGTCAAATGATTTCTCTGTGTCACTTAGGATGATCATGTAGTTTTTATCTTCTATTCTGTTAATGTAATATAGAACATTGTTTGGTTCATATATGTAAAACCATCCTTGCATTCCAGAGACAAATCCAACTTTGTCATAATTTAAATGTTTTCTGTGTTGTTGAATTCAGTTTGCTAATATTTTATTGAAAATTTTTTCACTGATGTGGACTAGAGGTATCAGTTAGTAGTTTTCTTTTCTTGAAGTGTTTTTGTCTGGCTTAGGTATCCAGGTTATGCTAGCCTTATAAAATGTGTTTGGATGTATTGCAATAGCTCTATTTTTTGGAAGAATTTTAGAAGTATTAGTAGTAAATGTTTCTCTGAACATTTAGTAGAATTAATCTGTGAAACCATGTGGTCATTGGCTTTTCTTTGTTTGAGGTTTTTAGTTATTACTTTAATATCTTTAATTTGTTATCCATCTGTTAAAGCTTTATATTTTGAGCTTCTTGATTTATGTTTTTAAGGTTTCATTTTTTTCTAGGAATTTATTCTTTTTCTTTAGGTTATCAAGTTGGTTGGAATATTATAATGAATTTATTCATATTTGTTCATCATAATTATTTTTACTTCTGAGGCATTTCTTGTCTCCACTTTCATTTCTGATTTTATTTCTTTGACTTCTGTCTCTTTTTGCTTAGTCCAGCTAAGAGTGTGTCAATGTTTTTTATTTTTTCAAAGAACCAAATCTAAGTTTAATTTACTTTTTAATATAATTTTATTTTCTCTACTTGATTCATGTCTGTTCTGACCTTTATTATTTTCTTTCTTCTGCTAACTTTGGGTTCAGACTGTTCTTTTATTTCTAACTCTGTTGCGTAACTTTTGTCCATTTATTTTTGAAGTCTTTCTTCTTTTTTAATATAGTCACTTACTGTTAAAAACTTCCTTCTTACAACTGCTTTTGCTGCATATCATATGTTTTGATATGCTATGTTTTAATAGTCATTTTTCTCAAGATATTTTCCAAATTTTCCTTTAAATTTCTCCTTTGGTTCCAAGTCATTGTTATTGTGAATAGTGCTGCAATAAACATACATCATGTGTCTTTAAAGCAGCATGATTTATAATCCTTTGGGTATATGCCTAGTAATGGGATGACTGGGTCAAATGGTATTTCTAGTTCTAGATCCCTGAGGAATCGCCACACTGACTTCCACAATGGTTGAACTAGTTTACAGTCCCACCTACAGTGTAAAAATGTTCCTGTTTCTCCACATCCTCTCCAGCACCTGTTGTTTCCTGACTTTTTAATGATCACCATTCTAACTGGTGTGAGATGGTATTTCATTGTGGTTTTGATTTGCATTTCTCTGATGGCCAGTGATGATGAGCATTTTTTCATGTGTCTTTTGGCTGCATAAATGTCTTCTTTTGAGAAGTGTCTGTTCATATCCTTTGCCCACTTGTTGATGGGGTTGTTTTTTTCTTGTAAATTTGTTGGAGTTCATTGTAGAATCTGGATATTAGCCCTTTGTCAGATGAGTAGATTGCAAAACTTTTCTCCCATTCTGCAGGTTGCCTGTTCACTGTGATGGTAGTTTCTTTTGCTGTGCAGAAGCTCTTGAGTTTAATTAGATCCCATTTGTCAATTTTGGCTTTTGTTGCCATTGCTTTTGGTGTTTTAGACATGAAGTCCTTGCCTACGCCTACGTTCTGAATGGTATTGCCTAGGTTTTCTTCCAGGGTTTTTATGGTTTTAGGTCTCACATTTAAGTCTTTCATCCATCTTGAATTAATTTTTGTATAAGGTGTAAGGAAGGGATCCAGTTTCAGCTTTCTACATATGGCTAACCAATTTTCCCAGCACCGTTTATTAAATAGGGAATCTTTTCCCCATTTCTTGTTTTTGTCAGGTTTGTCAAAGATCACATGGTTGTAGATATGCACCATTATTTCTGAGGGCTCTGGCAAGGTCTTGGAGCCAAGCCAAATGTCCAACAATGGTAGACTGGATTAAGAAAATGTGGCACATATACACCACGGAAGACTATGCCGCCATAAAAAATGATGAGTTAATGTCCTTTGTAGGGACATGGATGAAGCTGGAAACCATCATTCTCAGCAAACTATCGCAAGGACAAAAAACCAAACACCGCATGTTCTCACTCATAGGTGGGAATTGAACAATGAGAACACATGGACACAGGAAGGGGAACATTACACACCAGGGCCTGTTGTGGGGTGGGGGGAGTGGGGAGGGATAGCATTAGGAGATATACCGAATGTTAAATGACGAGTTAATGGGTGCAGCACACCAACGTGGCACATGTATACATATGTAACAAACCTGCACGTTGTGCACATGTACCCTAAAACTTAAAGTATAATAAAATAAATAAATAAATAAATAAATACATTTCTCCTTTGGCCTGTTAGTTTTTCAGGAGCACATTCTTTAATTTTCACATATTTGTGAATGCTCTAAGATTCTAATGTTATTGTTTTCTAGGCCACTGTGTGGTCAGAAACAGTATTAAGTATGATTTCAAACCTTTTAAATTTGTTAAGACTTGTTTTATGGGCTAATATGTTCTATACTGTAGAGTGTCCCACATACATTAAAAATCTGTGCGTGTGTATGTGTGTGTGTATATATCTATACTGCTGCTCTTGAGTTAAAGTTTATATATGTCTGTTCTAACTTTCTGGTCTGAAGTGCAATTCAGGTCAGTATTTAGTACTTGTCTGTCTAGTTAATATATTCATTGCAGAAAGAAGAGTATTGAAGTCTTCTACTATTATTGTGTTGCTGCCTCTTTCTTCTTTTATGTCCATTAATATTAGCTTTATATATGTGAATGCTATAATGTTGGGTACATATATATGTAAATTTTTTATGTCCTCTTGATGAATTGGCCCATTTATTATTTAGTAATGGTCATCTTTGCCTTTTGTAGCAGTTTTTGACTTCAAGTGTATTTTATCTCTTATAAATATAGCCACTCCTTTCTCTTTTGGCTGCTATTTGCATGGAATATCTTATTACATCTCTTCACTTTCAGACTATGTGTCCTTAAAGCTAAAATGAGTATCTCATAGGCAAGCTATAGATGGATTGTTTTTATTTATACGTTCAGCCACTCTATGTCTTTTTATTGGAGAGTCTAATCCTTCTACATTCAAAATTATTATTGAAAGTTTAGAACTTATTTCTTCCATTTTGTTGATTGATTTCTGGTTTTTTTGTACATCAATTTTTTCTTTCTTTCTCTCTTGTTTGCATATGTGTTTTGATAATTTTCTGTAATACTAAATTTTTATTTCGTTCTCTTTCTTGTTTGCATATCTGCTGTAATTTTTGCTTTGTAACTACCTTGGGGCTTATATACTCAAAAATTTTAGTTGTAATATATTTTTTTAAGCTGATAACAATTTAAATTTGATCGCATACAAATATTCTAGACATTTAGCCTCACCACCATGATTTATATTTTTGTTGTACAATTTACATATTTTATATTGTGTATTCTTTAACCTCTTAGTGTAGCTAAAGTTATTTTTGACCATTTTGGCTTTTAACATTTATATTAGAGATTTGAAAGATTTATACATCACCATTACATTAATTACAGTAATCAAGTATTCTGAATTTTATTATGCATTTACCTCTACCAGTGAGTTGTATACTTTATTTTATTGCACAAATCAAGATTTTATTTCCAATAAGTGCAAAAGTGGTTTATTTTTCAAATGATGCTTGTGCAATTGATATAATTTAGAAATGAAAACTTTAGGCCCCTATTATAGCATACACCAAAGGTAACTTTAAGTGAATTAAAATGTAAATATAAAAATGAAATTACAAAATACTAGAGAAAACTTTATACAAATGTTCATATAGCATTGGAGTGAAAAATGCTTTGAAGTTCTAACCATAAAGGAAAGGCATAGCAGAATAAGACTAAAATATCATAACATTTAATGGTTGTTCTTAAATAGCTAGAAACACACTTCAAGAGCTATACACTTTCATATGTTTTTGTGATAGTAATAATTGTCCTTTCATTTCTGGTTGAAGCACTATCTTAAACATTTTTTTGTAAGGCTGGTCTAGTGGTGATGAATTCTCTCATCTTTAACTTATCTAAGACAGACTTTGTTTATCTTTCATTTCTGAAGGACAGCCTTGCTGAGTGTAGTATTCTTGACTGACAGTATTCTTTTTCTTTTCCTTTTAAACTTTGAATATATAATCCCATTTTCTTCTGACCTGCAATTTTTCTGCTGGATATTCATTGCTAGACTAATCAGGATTCCCTTATATGTGACTTGACATTTTTTCTTGCTGCTTTTAGAATTTTCTGTCTTTGACTTTTGGCAGTTTGCCTAGAATTTTTGGATTGAATCTGTTTGGAGATTTTTGAGTGTCATGGATCTGGATGTTCATATTTTTCCCAATATTTGGGAAGTTTTCAGCAATTATTTTATTAAGTAGGTTTTCTGTGGCTTTCTTCATCTATTCTTCCTCTAAAAATTCCATAATGAAAAAAAATTGGTCCCTTATAGATGCCCTGTAAGTCCCACATAGATTTTCTTCACTCTTTGACATTTTTTTCCAGAGTTATTCAAAAGGCCTGTCACGGCCGGGCGCGGTGGCTCACGCCTATAATCCCAGCACTTTGGGAGGCCGAGGCGGGCGGATCACGAGGTCAGGAGATCGAGACCATCCCGGCTAAAACGGTGAAACCCCGTCTCTACTAAAAATACAAAAAATTAGCCAGGCGTAGTGGCGGGCGCCTGTAGTCCCAGCTACTTGGGAGGCTGAGGCAGGAGAATGGCGTGAACCCGGGAGGCGGAGCTTGCAGTGAGCCGAGATCCCTCCACTGCACTCCAGCCTGGGCGACAGAGCGAGACTCCGTCTCAAAAAAAAAAAAAAAAAAAAAAAAAGGCCTGTCACAAAATTAAGAAATTCTCTTTTTCTGCTAGATGTATTCTTCTATTGAAACTCCCAACTGTATTTTTTACTTTATTTATTGAATTCTTCAGCTATAGGATTCCAATTTGGTTTGTTTTTATAATATCTGTTTCCTTGTTAAATTTCTCATTTAGATAATAGATTGTTGTATTGATTTCATTATATGTCTGCTTGCATTCTTTTAACTTACCAAGTTTCTTTAAGATCATTATTTTGAATTCCTTTTAGGCAATTAGTAAATTTTCATATTGGAAGCCTAAGTTGCTGGAGAAAGATTGTGTTCCTTTGGTGGTGGTGTGTTTTCCGCTTTTTTACATTTCTTCTATCACTGCATTGATACATGAGCATTTGATGGAACAGTCACCTCTCTCAATTTTATAGAATGGTTTTTATAGGGAAAGCCGGCAGATGGTTCCTAGATCAACTGGATATAGTGTATTGGCTATGGTTCCAGATGGGTGAAGTATTATTGTCTCCATGTCACTTCTTTAGCTGTAGACAACATCAGCTATGACTGTGTGTGCCTTAATAGTCTTTGCTACAGGAGTTTCTGGCAGTGGTGATAGCAAGGTAGATTTTTCCTGAGCAGCTTGGACACAGCTTCCCTAGCGGTGCTGGACTGGTTTCAGTGCCAAAGGGACAAACCCATTCTCTCTCTTGGGTGTGGCTTATATTGGAGTAGGACATTGGGCTCATTTTTACATTGAGGAGCTTCAGTGACCCATGGGTACAGCACTCCACCTTCTTGAATGTGGCTTTCCTCGGGGCTTGGTACCAGATTGGTTTACATGCTGATAGGATATAGCTGCTCTGTTTGGTCAGGTGTGGCTTTCCTGGGTGCAGGACACCAGGCTGATTTGTGTGTGGAAGTGGTGTGGCTACTCCTATAACTCAGGGTCAACCACCCTACTCGGTCATACTGCATGTTCCTTAGAGGACAGAGTGCCATAAGGGATTGGGCATCAGCATCATGGCTATTCTACTGGGCTTAGGCTGTAAGTAGTAGGAGTGGGCACAGCAGCCACTGGGATGGGGATAATGGAATGCCCCCTCGACAGCTTGTACTGTGGGTTAATGAGCTGTGGCAACTTATATGGGAATGGCACCCTACCATATTAGAGCATGGTGCAATGACAGTGGAGGATCAGGGATGGTGAGATGCAGTAGCTACTGGCCATCAGAACAGGATGTACTCTAGCAGCGGCTCTGGTTTTAAGATGATGAATCACAATAGCAGCTTGGGTCATGGGGCAGTAGGGCACAATGTGGGTTCCTTCTCCAGAGTAATGCAGCCATGTGAATTCCTGGCAGCTCACTAAACTAGGCTCAGGAACTGTGAAGTACTTCAGCAATCTCCAGTAGCAAAGATTGTAGCTGTCTGCAGTGGTAATGGGAACTGCTGGGGTCCTCTAGTTTACTTTTTCCTCATAGGGAGAATGCCTTCCTTACTTTAAGTTGATCCCAACTGGAGAAGCAAAGTGGCAGTGGAAGGGTGTTTTGTTCCATTCTCCATGTGGCCATACTGAATTTCTTTGCTCCACAGATTTTCTGTTACTCGCTTGCTGTAGTCCAACAATCTATTTGAGTCACTCTGGTCAAAATTTTCATTTTTTTTGTCCTTTTTTGGGGGGAGGTGGATGAGCATTAGTTACCTCTAGTCATCCGTCTTTCTAGTATCTTAATTATTTCTTTATCTTTTTTCTTCTTTCACATTAGAACAGAAAAGAAAAAAAAATTACAAGCTAACTCTTCTTGCCCCAATTTGCTATTTTCCTTGCAAAGCCTATAAGCAACCTTCTATTTTATTCTTCTTAACCCTTCTGGTATGCCTCTTCCCCTGCACATGAATGACTTTCTATTAAAATCATAGTTTTACATCTAATATACTCACAATTTAAACCTCTTTATTTTAAAATAAGAAAATTTAATCCTGGAATAAAATATCCTCTAAGTATATTTTTATACTCTTCTCTATATTATTTCCAATTAATTTCAAGTCATACACATTTTGCATTATCTGCATTCTGTCATTAAATTTCTTTAATAAATTTTTCAAAATTTTTAATCTAAAACATAATATGAAAACAACATTGCTCTTTCATCTACTTAAAATGTTTGTAACAAAAATTTATTCTATTTTAAATTTTACATTATACTTCATAGCATGTTCTAGTTATAATGAGAGATGTTCCTTTGCCCATTTTTCTTTCTCTGAACTACTTAAAATTGAGTTAAGACAAGCAAATTTAGTTAACTGTCCTTAACATCTAAATAAGAAATCCCTATTCTAATTCAATGTTGCTGGTTGGCACAGTATTTGTTTAGTGACTGACAGCTCCAAATCATATTACTCTGTAAAACTTTTACTTTGAAATGTTTCTCAAGATGGTTTATGTTAATCCCATTATAATGGACTACAATCAAGCAACTGCAATGGTAGTAATTTTCACTGCTTTTATTGAAATTGTAGATAGATGAACTGAATCCAAAACCTACTCCAAATAAAACAGCTCTCTACTCCTATGTTCTTGATAACAATAAATGTTAAATTATCTTCTATAAAAGGCTAACATAGTAAAATTATACTTTTTTCTTAGAAAATATACATTTTTTAAATTTCCAATTTTTGTAGGGTTATTTTATGCATGAATATAATTTTAAGATTGGAGACATGCAGTCCAAATTGCTATATAGAGTTTTTATAAAGATCTCGTCTCCATATAGCTGTGCACAGTGTTTAATAAAACTTCTATAGTAAGCTTACCTCTGATAAAATGCAAATCAATTATAAAGGTTAAAATGATAATTAGAAAATGTCCATAAAAGTGCCTTTAAGTATAAATTTCACCACATATAGGCCATATTAAATTGAATAATAATTTCTAAAAATATGCTTGATTAAAATAAATTTTAAGAGGTATACACGTAGTGCTAGTCTTTATCGTATGCATTTACTTCTTTAACTTTTTAACAATTGTATATAGGGATTTACTATGTGCCAAGTCCTGTGCTAAGTGCCAAGGTTAAATTGATGCATAAGACATATATAGACATACCTCATTTTATTGTACCTCATATATACTGCATTTTCTACAAATTGCAGGTTCATGGCAACCCCACATAGAGCAAGCCCATGAGCACCACTTTTCTAATAGCGTGAGTTTACTTCATGTCTCTGCATCACACTTTGGTAATTCTCACAATATTGAAAACTTTTTCATTATCATATCCCTTAATGTGTTCTGTGATTACCTATCTTTAATGTTATTATTATAATTTTGAGGGAGCACCACAAACTGTGCCCATATAAGATGGTAAACTCAGTTGGTAAGTGTTCTATGTACTCACTGCTCTACTAACTGGCTGTTCCCTCATCTTTTTCCTCCTTCTTAAGCCGCTTTATTCCCTGAGACACAACAATAATGAAATTTGGCCAATTATTAAGCCTACAATGGTCGGTAATTGTTCAAATGAAAGAAAGAGTCACCTCTCACTTTATATCAAAAGCTATCAATAATTAAACAGAGTAAGAAAGGCCTGTTGAAAGTCAAGATAGAAGAAAACTAGGCCTCTTGTGCCAAACAGTTATCTAAGTTATGAATATGAGAAAATGTTCTTGAAATAAATTAAAAATACTACTCCAGTGAACACACAAATGATAAGAAAATGAAATAACTGTATTACTAATATGGAGAAAGTTGTAGTTGTATAGATATAAGATCAAGTAAGCCATGGTATTTGCTTAAGACAAAGTCTGATCTAGAACAATGTTCTAATGCTCTTTAATTCTATGAAGGCTGAGAGAGATGAAGAAGGTACAGAAAACAAGTTTGAAACTAGTAGAAGTTAGTTCATAAAATTTAAGGAAAGAAGACATTTCCCATAACATGCAAGTGTAAAGGGAGGCAACATATATCAATATAAACCTGCTTCAAGTTATCCAGAAAATCAAGCTAAGATCATTGATGAAGGTGGCTACACTAAACTATAGATTTTCAATGTACTTAACCTTACTGGAAAAAGAGAGCATTTAAGACTTTCATAGCTAGAGAGGAAAAGTCAATGCCTGGGTCCAGTGCTTCAAAAGACAGGCTGATTCTCTTATTAGGGGCTATTGCAGTTGATGATTTTAAGATGAAGTCAATGTCATTTATTATACTGAAAATCCCATGGCCCTAAAAGAATCATGTTAACTCTAATAAATCTAATAATCTGCCTGCTCTCTATAAATGGAAAAACAAAGCCTGAATGGCAGCACATCTGTTTACAACATGGCTTATTGAATATTGTAAGCCCACTATTTTGTCCAACTGCTTAGAGAAAAAGATTTCTTTTAAAATATTATTGTTGATTGACAACACATGTGGTCACCCAAGAGCTCTAATGGAGTTATACAAGCAAATTCATGTCATTTTCATGTTCACTATCACAATATCTATTCTGCAGCTTATAGATCAAGTAATAATTTAAACTTTTAAGTCTTATTATTTAAGAAATACATTTTGTAAGACTACAGCTGCTATAAATAGTAATCCCTCTGATGGATCTGGGCAAAGTAACTTGAAAACTTTCTGGAAAAAACATTTATCATTCTAGATGTCATTAAGAACACTCATAATTCATAAGATGAGGCCAAAATATCAACATCAATAGGAATTTAAAAGAAATTTATTCAAACCCACATTGATCACTTTGAGGGGTTCAAGAATAGTGGAGGAAGTAACTGCAAATGTGATGGAAATAGCAAGAGAACTAGAATTAGATGTGGAGCCTGAAGATGTGCCTGAATCACTCCACTGTCATGACTGAACTTGAATAGTAGGGAAATTACTTCTTATGGATGAACAAAGAAAGTGGTTTCTTGAGGTGGAATATAATCTCAGTGAAGATGCTGTGAACATTGTTGAAATGATGACAAAGGATTCATATTACATATTACATAAACTTAATTGATAAAGCACTGACAGGATTGGAGAAAATTGATTCTAATTTTGAATGAAGTTCTACTGTGGGTAAAATGCTATCAAACATCATCACATGCCAAAGAGAAATATTTTGAGAAAGGAAGAGTCACGCAATGTGGTAAACTTCATTGTTGTATTATTTGAAGATATTTCCACAGCCAGTCCAACCTTCAGTAACCACCACCTTGATCAGTCAGCAGCCATCAACTTTGAGGCAAGACCCTCCACCAGCAAAACTTATGAATTCCTAAAACTCATGTGACCATTAGCATTTTTTAGAAATAAAGTATTTTTAATTGAGATGAGTAAATTTTTTAGACGAAATGCTATTAAACACATAATAGGCTACAGTCTAATAGAAACATAACATTTACATTCACTGGGAAACCAAAAACTTTGTGGGACTCAGTTTCATGCAGTATTTGCTTTATTGAGGCAACCTGAAAATGAATCCACAATTTCTCTGAGGTATGCCTGTATGTTAAATGTTCTTAATGTGTTAGAAGCCAAACTAACTGATAAGCAACTATATATATATAGAGAGAGGATTTCGCAGAATCTGTAAATTACTTTGGGCGGTATGGCCTTTTTCATGATATTGATTCTGCCTATTTATGAGCATGGAATGTTCTTCCATTTGTTTATCTCCTCTCTTATTTCCTTGAGCAGTGGTTTGTAGTTCTTGAAGAGATCCTTCACATCCCTTGTAACTAGTATTCCTAGGTATTTTATTTTCTTTGTAGCAGTTGTGAATGGGAGTTCACTCATGATTTAGCTCTCTGATTGTCTATTATTGGTGTATAGGAATGCCTGTGATTTTGCACATTGATTTTGTACCTGAGACTTTGCTGAGTTGCTTATCAGCCTAAGGAGTTTTTGGGCTGAGACGATGGGGTTTTCTAAAAATACAATCAGATCATCTGCAAACAGAGACAATTTGACTTACTCTCTTCCTATTTGAAAGCCCTTTATTTCTTTCTCTTGCCTGATTGCCCTGCCCAGACTTCCAATACTATGTTGAATAGGAGTGGTGAGAGAGGGCATCCTTGTCTTCTGCCAGTTTTCAAAGGGAATGCTTCCAGCTTTTGCCCCTTCAGTATGATATTGGGTATGGGTTTTTCATAAATAGCTCTTATTATTTTGAGATATGTTTCATCAACATCTAGTTTATTGAGTGTTTTTAGCATGAAGCGGTGTTGAATTTCATCAAAGGCCTTTTCTGCATCTATTGAGATAATCACGTGGTTTTTGTCACTGGTTCTGTTTATGTGGTGGATTACATTTGTTCATTTGAATATGCTGAACCAGCCTTGCATCCCAGGGATGAAGCTGACTTGATCGTGGTGGATAAGTTGTGTTTGATGTGCTGAGAGATTCGGTTTGCCAGTATCTAATTGAGGATTTTCACATTGACGTTCATCAAGGATATTGGCCTGAAATTTTCTCTTTTTGCTGTGTCTCTGCTAGAGTTTGGTATCAGGATGATGATGCTGGCCTCATACAATGAGTTAGGGAGGAGTCCTTCTTTTTCTATTGTTTGCAATAGTTTCAGAAGGAATGGTACAAGTTCCTCTTTGTACCTCTGGTTGAATTTGATGTTAATCCATCTGGTCCGAGGCTTTTTTTTGTTGTTGTTGTTGGTTAGCAGGCAATTAATTACTGCCTGTATTTCAGAACTTGTTATTGGTCTATTCAGGGATTTGACTTTTTCATGGTCAAATGGAATGCTATGCAGCCATAGAAAGGATGAGTTTATGTCCTTTGCAGGGACATGGATGAAGCTGGAAACCATCATTCTCAGCAAACCAACACAAGAACAGAAAACCAAACACTGCATGTTCTCACTCATAAGTGGGAGTTGAACAATAAGAACACGTGGATGGACACAGGGAGGGGAACATCACACACCGGGGCCTGTCAGAAGGTGGGAGGCAGTGGGAGGGAGAACATTAGAACAAATACCTAATGCATGCTGGGCTTAAAACCTAGATGACGGGTTGATAGGTGCAGTTAACCACCATGACACATGTATACCTATGTAACAAACCTGCAAGTTCTGCGCATGTATCCTGGAACTAAAAGTGTAATAACAATAATAATAATAATAAAGTCTAGAAAGCAGTAAGTTAAAATGCATAAAGGGTTATAGAGGTTTCTTGCATATATGGCACACACAATGTCACTTCTAGCAACCACTGCAAAGAAATAATTTAAAGAATGGTCAAGACAGCATATGTGTATAGATATTTTGCAGGGTATTATTTATAAAGTGAGACATTGCCTAACGTTCAATAGTTAATGGTTATTAACTTTGGTTTATCTATCCAGAACATGATATCATTAAAATAATTTTAAATGACAAGTATGAGAATAGACATATAGATAATATTATGTAGTAGAGATAAGCATAGTAAAAGATTTTATATTTTAGAATTCCATCTATTTATAATTGATACATATTTATATGTAGGACTGAAAGTAAGAAAATAAAAACATGTCATGTGTTAAATAAGAATAATAATGATTAAATTTATGTCTAATTTTTGTTTTAAATAAATAAACTGTCTTAAAATTGTTCTTAGAAGCTTACATTTTAAGGACTTTTTTAACTACCAGAAGTATATTTTGATATACTTACTTAAAATAAGATGTATAATTCATATTTTTCAAAGTAGTAATCTCCACAGATTTTTTCTATTTCAATATTCTTATTATTATAGACACATTTATGTTTGTTATATGATACTATGCAATTAACTTCCTAAGGCAGTAATATCATCATCTTTGTACAAGCTACGGGAAAGTAAGATTTTATATTTTTTGTTAGATATTCAAAAAACTCAAATGACTTAGTACCATTTTTTTCTTTCTGTTTGGGCAAAGAAAACAACTTATTACTTTTGCCAAGACGTCATTTTATGCAAGGAATTTATCGATTTTTATTTTCCACTTATAGTAAAATGACTTCATACATTTATGGAAAGATGTACAGAAAAAATTAAGACAAAATTCAAGATGATTTTCTCCCACGGTAGGAGGCATATTTGAAATGTTTCCAGGCAACTAAATTGGAAGTTTTTGCATCACCAACAAAGAGAAATATCTCATCAGGAACTAGTGTATAAAAACAAAATCTCTGGGTGTTGCTTTGGATTTGTTTGTCGATTGAAACTTGCTTCACTTGCCTGGGCAATATGGTGAAACCCCATCTCTACAAAAAATTTTAAAAAAATTTAGCCATGTATGGAGGTGCACACCTGTAGTCCCACGTACTTGGGAGGCTGAGGTGGGAGAATTGCTAGAGTCTGGGAGCTTTTGGCTGCTATGAGTCATGAATGCACCTCTCCACTCCAACTTGAGTGACAGAGAGAGACTATGTATCCAAAAATAAATAAATAAATAAATACAATTTGCTTCTGCAGTTTAGCAGGTTGGCTTTAATGGTGAAAGTATAACTTGGTCTCTGAGCATGTTAGATTTTCTTGACATATATATTGGATTATTTAGGAAATAAGATTTCTATTAATTTCAACACAACATTTTCTTTGAAGGCAAAGCCTAAACAAAATTAAAATGCCTGAAAAAATCAAGGAAATACAAAAGAAAAATAGAGCAATGTTTTATTATTCTAGATTAATCCATGATTTCTTGAGTTATAAAGAAAAATATACTATCTTCTCTTTGATTTAAACTTTGGATCTAAACTAACAAGCTGCTGAAAATTTTATTTCAACCAATTTCCTTTTACTGGCAATAACTTTTGTTCCAGTTTCCATTATTGTACAACATATCTCTCTTAGTGGTTTACAACAACAACCATTTTTTTATGTTCAGAGTTTCTGTGTGTTATGAATGCAGAATAGACAAAATCAGAGCTGCTTTCCTCTCATCTACAAAGTCTGATACCTTAGCTGAGAAAACTCAAAGACCAAAAGTGAATTGATATAGCTAGGAGCCAGAATTACCTGAAGGGCCCTTCATTATCTTATTTGGTAGGGAGGAATAGAAGACTAAGTCTTCAGATCACTGTACTTACATGTGTACTTACATGTGTAAACACGTCCTCTTTATGTGGTAGGGCTTTCACATAGCTTTGTGACCTTAGTGTAACAGAACTTTTTTCTTTTTTTTTTTTGAGACAGAGTGTCACTCTGTCGCCAGGCTGGAGTGTAGTGGCGTGATCTCGGCTCACTGCAACCTCCGCCTCCCGGGTTCAGGTGATTCCCCTGCCTCAGCCTCCCAAGAGGCTGGGACTACAGGCACGTGCCACCATGCCCTGCCAATTTTATGTATTTTAGTAGAGGCGGGGTTTCACCATGTTGGTCAGGCTGTTCTCGATCTCCTGACCTTGTGATCTGCCCACCTCGGCCTCCCAAAGTGCTGGGATTACAGGCGTGAGCTACCGTGCCCAGCCAACAGAACATTTTATATGGTAACACTCCGAGAATGGGTGTTTCAGGGAGCAAGGCAGAGGCTGCCTCATCTTTAAGTCACACAGAGAGGAGGCATAGACCACACTTCTTGATGACAGAAGGTCTACAGTCACATTGTAAAAGAGTACATGAAATGGAAGGTATTATTGTAACAAACTTATTCATTTGTAACAATGAGCAAATAAGAAACTACAGTACTTGCTAGTAGTACTGTTAAAAGATATATCTAAATCTATATCTATATACACACATACATATATATAAATATGAAGAAATTAGGTATAGGAAATATGATGGAGACTATTTTTTTAAAGTCTGAAATGACTAGTAGAAATTTGCTAAGAGAAAAAACGAAACTGTTAGAAAGTGTTTCACACAGAAGTACTTTTTTAAAGTTCTAGAAACCTGAGGATATGATCTAGTTGGGAGATGGGAAGTAGTTCAGAATGACAGGAGTTTAGAATATTAGAAAGCAGTCGTAAGAATTTAGACTGGAAGGATAAATTGAGTCAGATAATAAACATTTTTGGAAGATGCACTAAAGAAACATATTGAAGCTCTTTAAAATCATGTATGGGTTTCAGTCAGGGGAATAAAGAATCCAATTTGAAAGATCAAATAGAATTACAGAGCAGAGAAAGAATTGGAAGTAGGCAAGTACAGAAACAGGAAGATGAATTAGCACACTAGAGATTATGAGAACTTCAGTGATAATGATGTTGAGAATTATACGAAGTAGACTTGATTCGTGTGGGAAGTGGAATCAATAGAACTTCCTGATTGATTAGACTTCAGAGATAAAGGAGGTGACTGTCACTAGCATTTGCTTTGGGTTTCTGACTTTGGATACTAGGCCGTGTTATTTCTTTTAATTGGGATGATGAATATAGGAGGTGGAGGATGTTAGGAATTGAGGACAGAGTTGGTCAGTTGTGAATATAGGGAGAGTGGCTTAAATGAAGATGTACATACAGTGAAGATTAGTCTTACAATATAAATCAGTTCCCAGTAGTGTATACATGATAGATAAAGGAATGGATGCTGATGAAATCTTCTGATGAGACTCAGTGGTGTAAGAATGAGACAAAACTAAACACAGAATATGAGGAAATGCTAATTATCAATTGAGATAATAATTCAGTCAAAAATTCTGAGAAGTGACAGATAGAAAATAAGAGGGAAACAGGGGAGTATCAAAAATAATCATTGAAAAAAGAATTTGAAGAACAATGAACAGTGAGCTCTTCTAAAAAAAGACAATAGTATTCATTAATTGTTTTAACAGGAAGAATTAAGCACAAAATTTCAGTCAAAGAGTTATCAATGGCTTCATATGTCAATACAAAATGAGCAAGTGGAGCAAAGAATGGAGGTAATTATTTCACTATGTGCTGTAATGGGAGCAAGTGAGAACAGTATGGTTCTTTGGTTATGAGATGAGAAAATCTGAAGTGGTCTAAATGGGAATTCAAACAGCAAATACAGAGAAACTGTTCTTAATACAAATACACACAAACTATAGCCATGTGATGTGATAGATATTTTAATCAGCTTGGTTGTGGTAAACATTTCACAATACATGGATATATCAAAACATCATACTGTATACCTTAAATATACAGATGCTTCTTGACTTATGATAGAGTTATATCTGGATAAATCCATCAGAGCTTGAAAAATACTGTGAGCCAGAAGTCACAATATTTTCAATTTGTGATGAGTTTATCCAGACATAGCCCATCATAAATTGAGGAACATACTGAGGGTTTGTAGCTTTTGCATTATTGTAAAGTCAAAAATGGTTAAATCAAACCACCATAAGTTGGGGACCATGTGAATACAATTTTAAAAAAAAGACTGGAGAAAATTCAAATAACTACCGTTTTCTTTTCTTATTCTCTTTGGGGACCTGTGAGTTCCCTGGGCACTGGATGCAGACTAAAGTAAGATTCCAAGAAATATCAGTTGTCTCTTGGGTAATTTGAATTTAACTAGTAACCTGCAGTGCATTATTGTTAAATGGGTATTCTAAGACTCATTATCCATAATTAAAATAAAAACAAGCCATGGAAATAGTCCAATTTTCTAACAATTAGAATGACAGAGATTATGAGATCATGAAGCAGAGATGAAATTCAGGTATAAGCCAATAGGATGGACATTAGATAAAGCATACTGGAATGGAAAGAAAGAATGTGTGTGGTAAAATCCGGAGTTATAGCTTGAACTAAATGGATATAAATAATCTTAGGGTTTTTTTTTTTCCAGAAAGCTCATCATCACTGATCATTAGGGAAATGCAAATCAAAGCCATAATGAGATACCATCTCACACTAGTCAGAATGGCTATTATTAAAAAGTCAAAAAATAACAAATGCTGGAGAGATTGCACAGAAAAAGAACACTTAGACACTGTTGGTGAGAATGTAAATTAGTTCAACCATTGTGGAAGACAGTATCACAATTCCTCAAAGACTTAAAAACAAATACTATTTGATCCTGCAATCCCATTACTGGGTATATACCCAAATACTCAAAGGAATATATATATATATGCATATTTATATGTATATATAATTTTATTATAAAGACACATGCACATGTATGTTCATTGCAGCACTATTCATGATAGCAACGACATGGAATCAACCTAAATGCTCATCAATGATAGACTGCATAAAGAAAATATGGTACATATACACTATGGAATATCATGTAACCATTAAAAAAATGAGATTATGGGCCGAGATTATGTCCTTTGCAGAAACATGGGTGGAGCTGGAAGCCATTATCTTTAGCAAACTAATGCAGGAACAGAAAACCAAATACTGCATGCTCTCACTTATAAGTGGGAGCTAAATGATGAGAATACATGGATTAATAGAAGGGAAAAACACACAATGGGGCCTGTCAGAGGGTACAAGGTGGGAGGAGGAAGAAGACGAGGAAAATAATTAATGGGTACTAGGCTTAATACCTGAGTGATGAAATCATCTGTACAACAAACCCCCATGACACAAGTTTGCCTATGTACCCCTGAACTTAAAATAAAAGTTAAAACAAAATAATACAGCTGAAAAATTCAGCCAGTTCTCAGATGAAAAAGGCACAGTCCGATCACTATAGATTGAATTATGTTCCCCTCCACACAATACATATGTTGAATCTCTAATCCTAAATATAACTATATTTGACTTTAGGAGGTAATTAAAGTTAAATTAGGTCATACGTCTGAGGTCTGGATTGGACAAGATTACTGTCTTTATAAAAAGCAATCCAAGAGAGCTCACTCACTCCCTCCACGCCCATGCACCAAGGAAAGACCATGTTAGAACACAACAGGAAAGTGAACATCTGCCAGCTGTGAAGAGAGCCCTCACTTGTAACTTAATCCTACTGGACCCAGATCTTGAACTTCCTAGCCTCCAGAACTGTGAGAAAATAATTTATATTGTTTAAACTATGCAGTCTGTGGTATTTTGTTATGGCAGCCCTAGCAAACTAATACAATGGTGGAGATTTACGTTTGAAGAGGTAAAGCAGCCCATTATGCCATGTAGAAAGCAGACCACTACCATGGTCAGAGAAACCATATCAGATTTATTGTCTCAGTGTCTGCTTTAGTCAGTTTTGCATTTCTATAAAGAAATAACTGGGTAATTTATTAATAAAAGTGGTTTGTTTGGCTCGTGTACAGCCAAACAAACTGGTTTGTTTGGCTCTGCAGGCTGTACAAGAAGCATGGCACAAGGATCTGCTTCTGGTGAGGACTTTAAGAAGCTCTCAATCATGGTGGAATGGGAAAGGAGAGCCACCGTATCACATGGCAAAAGATGATGAAAGAGAAAGAAGGAGGAAGGTGCCAGGTTATTTTTAAATGACTAGCTTTCACATGAACTAATAGAGGGAGAACTCATTCATTACCTCAGGGAGGGCACCAAGCCATTCATGAGACATCCAACCCCTTGACCAAAACACCTCCCACTAGGCCTCACCTCTAACATTGGGGATGACATTTCAACATGAGATTTGGAGGGACAAATATCTAGACTATTTAAGCAATTTTTAATAAATTTTACACATGCTAAGAAAATTCGAGTGATTCACAAGATAATGGGGAAAGATAGATGGATAGTCAAGGGATTTATCTCAGCTGGGTGAAAATTATGGTTATTAAGAAATAGGATAAATTAAGCAGATTATATTGATGGAATCAAAATATAGGTCTTAATGCAGCATTATCGGAGTTTGTGTGGACCCATGGGAGCCTCTGGTGGTTGCCAACCTTGAAGGACCCAAAGAAATCCTCCTCTATTTACCCCAGTTTGGAGGAATTTAAGAAGCCAGAAGCCAAAGATGACAATGATAAATCTTACCTTGAATTGTTGGAATACATTGTCTAGCAAATTAATAAGAATTAGGATTGAATAAGAATCATAGGTCTCTTGGTATGAGCTGTGGCTGAGGACTCAAGGCCATAGAAACTTGTGAAGGTAAAATAGAGAATGTGAAAAATAAAGCTTTCTCGGGCTGTTTGACATAGGACCTCAATGCACTGTGATCTGAAAATGTTCAGTGAACTAATACGGACTATCATTAGTCGAGGATGAGATGAGGATGCAACAGTGGATGAAACTAAAGTTTGTATAAAAATTGGAATTTTTGAATTGACTTTATGGTAAGGATTTGCCTCTATTTTTCTTTTCTTTTTTTTTTTTTTTTTTTTTTTTTGAGACAGGGTCTCACTCTGTTGCCCATGCTGGAGTTCAGGGACTCAAACACAGCTCATAGCCTTGACCTCCTGTGTTCAAGTGATCCTCCCACCTCAGCCTCCCAAGTAGCTGAGATGATAAGCATGTGCCACCAGGCCTGGCTAATTTTTTTTCAAATTTTGTAGAGGTGGGGTCTTGCCATGTTGCCCAGGCTGGTCTCAAACTCCTGGGCTCAAGCAATCTTCCTGTCTTGGTCTCCCAAAGTGCTGGAATTACAGGCATGAGCCACTCCTGACCTGCCTCTTCTTTACATGAATGTATTACTGAGACGAATAGTATGTCTCACTAGTAAACCCTTCCTTTGCCTAGTATTGTAAAGCAGAAGACATACAAATTTTCACATTGGCCAGTATCAATTAAACATACTAAGTGGCAACCTAGAGATTTGCCGTAGTCCACTGATTGTTAATTTGAAATAGTATCAAATACCTAGGTACAAAAGGAAAACATCACTTTAATTAAGGACATGTTAGAAGTTGAAGTGTTCGTACAAACAAATCAACTGTGCAATAACCATGTGTGGTCTGTGAGAAAAGAAGATGACTCATGGAAATTAACCTATTATTGAGGCTTAAATAAAGTAGAATTGCCTATAGCATCACCAGTCCTTGACTTGATATTATCAATAAAAAAATTTAAAAAGATAAAGGAGATGGGTACTCATTGATTGCTCTTGCAAATGCTTTTTTATTGATTTTAGTCTCAGGAAAAACAACAACAACAACAACAATGAAAACTCCAGTCTGCTTTCATGTGGGAAGGATGTCATTTACATTTATTGGATTATGACAGCATTATTTGAATCACCAGCTTACAGTCATAGATCTGTTAGGAAAAATTCAGACTTCATGCAGATTCAGAATGGGATAATACACCACAGTGAGGAGCTCATGATAATATTAGAACTGAAGAACAAGATAGGACTGAAATACAGGGGTAACACTCATGACTAACAGAGACTAGTCGATTTATCCAGCAAATATCCAAAGGTCTGCCCAAATGATGAAATTCTTAGTAATAACCTGGAGAGGAGCCACTCATGACATTCCACAACAACTGAAAATAAAATGCTGCCATTAATTTTCCTTGAAATCAAGCAAAAAGTATACCACATGGTTGGGTTGTTTGGATTTTCAATGATGCGTATTTCATATCTTGCTATATTGCTAGCTCTTATTTGTAGAAATACTCAAAGGAAGGGTATGTTTGAATGAGGACCTAAACAACAACATACTATGTTTGATTTGAAAAAATAAGTGTCTCAATCAATGCCTTTGGACCCTTGTTATCTACACCCAAATATGATTTTGGAAGTGTCTGTAACTCACACTTATTCAGACTACAGCTAATGGCAAAAGCACATGAGTGTTGCATAGCAGTAAGTGCTGTATTTTTTTTTTTTAACCAGGCATGGTGATATCTTACAGCCTTTTTGAGGGACAATTATTGGTCTGCCACTGAGCATTAATTTTAATGACTCCTATGACTGAAGGTCATAAAATAATCTTGAAATCTGAAATGACCCTAATTTCTTATGTAATGTCAGACAAACATGCTAATATGGAAGGCGGTATCCAGAAGAGTTCCATAATAAAATAAAAATGATTTATACAGAAACATCATACTGTATGATGTTTGACTTTAGGAGGTAATTAAGGATAAATTAGGTCATACATCTGAGGTCTGGATTGGATAAGATTACTGTCTTTTCCAACAAAGGAAAACAAAGAGGCACTTGCTGTATCAATGAGCAAGCAGTCTCCTTTCCTCTAGGGATGACTTTGGATCTACTTAAGGAACTGCTGGAATCCTGTTGCCCTATGAACAGCTGAGACTGGGTAATTTGTAAATAATTGAGGTTTATTTGGCTCATGGTTCTTCAGGTCATACAAGAATCATGGTACCAGCACGTGCTTCTGGTGAGGACTTCAAGAAGCTTCCAATCGTGGTGCAATGGGGAAAGGGAGTGAGCGTATGACATGGCAAGAGATGAAAAAAGAGAAGGAAAGAGAAAGGTGCCAGGCTTCTTATAAATGACCAACTCTCATGTGAACTAATATAGTGAGAACTCACTCATTACCTTGGGAAGGGCATCAAGATCTCATTTTTGATTGTTCTTACAATCAGCAGTCAAACTACAGGGGCCAGGAAGTGTAGATTCCTCCCCCTTGATAGATTACTTGGCTTTTCTAGAGAATGTTAGGAAGTAAAGATGGGTGAGAATATTGGTATGACTGTGAATCTTCCTCAGATCACTTCAACTTTCATTTTTTTTTAATGTTATGCAGAGGTCATAGAACTAGGGATGCAACTTTGGGTGCCAGAAACAAGGATGACCTCTCAGCAAGAAACTGTGTGACTGTAATCACTGTATAACTATAAATTGTGATGACTGAATGCTTAGAAGGGTCACTGGTTATAATAGACAAAATATAGCAGTTGCCTGCCAGACAGTCCATAGTGTGCTGTGCACAAATACATATCACTCTTGATTTTGCTGGTGGGAAGATATTAAACAAACTAGGAAATAAAGTAGGTTTCTGATAGGAATAAATTAGAAGACTTCATAAGGTGGGTCAAAATTTCTCTGGGGAATGGTCCTACCCTGAAATGTAGAGGTCATACTCAGACTCCTCTTGGTATGACAAGCATTCATCTAACCCTAAAATGGGAGACCCAGGATTTTTGGGTATAAAGCATGTATCCTAACTTTACTCAGGCCATTAGTACACAATGGCATAAACATGTATGATAGAATAAAAAAGTTGTGCATAAGACATGGGAGAACTTTAGGGAAGATAGATTCCTTCTAGACATCATGGGACAAGCTGAATTTGCTTTTAATGATGAGAAGCAGTCAGAAGGAAAAGATTTATTAACTAGAATAAGCATATTGTAGGGAATAAATAATCTTTCAGAAAGAAGTTCAGGGAAGGGAGTCAGTCTGGAGAGAGGATGAGGCTTTAGTGAAGTGGGTCGAGCAGTCTCAACAAATAATACATATTGCAAGGACCTGGCATCGAGAAGTGCTTATACACTGACTCAGTGAAGGGGATGAAGTGAGTATTTTAATACAGATGGGGGCTGAAATAGCCAACGTACCATGGCCCTCCATCCTAGCTGCAGGAGTTCAAGGGGCACGCTTGTGGGAAACTTACGGGACTCCAAACTAGTAAAATTTATCTGGGGGTGGGGATGCTTGTAATTAACATTGATGCACCCTACCTTCCCCTTTCCCAGGAATAGATCAGATGAGATATATCCTATACCATAGTAGGGATAGGAAATATTCTGGACTCTTATATCTTCCCTATAGGAAGGAGTTGGGCCCTGCTATATAACAGCAAGCAATAAAAACCAGTCTAAGTAAAAGCCTCTGAACTAAGAATGAATGACTGACATTGTTCCCAATTGACTTAAAATCCAGAAGGGAGTCATATGAAAATATTAATACTGATTATCAAATATATTGAAAGGTAAAATTAAAGCCTCCTTGGGACATAACACTGATGGGAAATGAGTGCTTTGAGGACTAAGTGGATTTAGGTCCCCATCAGCTAGTTTCAATGCTGAGTTGTTTTGCACAAGTTTATCATGAGATACAAATAGTTGTGTCTACCAAGAAGGAAATTGAATAAATTAGTACAAAATATGAAAATGTGTGAAAATGTATGTCATAGATTAATAGGTTGGATGAGTTGTTTCTTTTTTCTTTTCTGTTTTTTTGAGACTGAGTTTTGCTCTTGTTGCCCAGGCTAGAGTGCAGTGGTGCGATCTCAGCTCACTGCAACCTCCACCTCCTGGGTTCAAGCAATTATCCTGCCTCAGCCTTCCTAAGTAGCTGGAATTACAGGCATGTGCCATCATGCCCAGCTAATTTTGTATTTTTAGTAGACACGGGGATTTCTCCATGTTGGTCAGGCTGGTCTCGAACTCCTGACCTCAGATGATCTGCCTGCCTTGGCCTCCCAAAGTGCTGGGATTACAGGCGTGAGCCATCGTGCCTGGCCGGATTAATTGTTTCTTTAAGTCTATCCCTTCTCCACACTGATCTTCTAAATGTTAGGCATATTCGTAATTACACTGTTGTATCTGTTATATAAATGCTATACTAAATGTAGATGCTCAGGAAAATATAATCTTTTTGTTCTAAGATAGCCTAGGTCAAGAGCCAGGAGAAAGGACTATGCAAGCAAGAGTTAACTCAACTGGCCTGTGTTGCTCAAACCCTAGAAATTGCAAAGAAAGAGTTGTCTTTAAGACTAATGTTGATCACCGGAGAGATAAATTCTAAGCCCTCAGAATATTTTGCTTGATAAAAGTGTTTTGTATGCCTGAGCCCTTGGGCCATGTGATACCAGTTTTATTAGATAGTTTAAGATAATAATGTAATTTATGGTGAATGCCTGTTTTTACTCTAGAGGGCTAGAGTCTAAGTAGCTGAGGTGTCATGCAGGTTACAGATGCCTACTGGGTGAGGACACCTGGAAAGTTGTACCTGAATTTTGATGCATGCTCCTTTGTTCTTTGTTGATGTTTATCTGCATCTGTTCGTTGTAATAAACTATAAACATGACTATAACAGTTTATCTGGGTTTTAAGAGTCCTTATACAAAATCATCAGGTCTGAGAATGGCCTTTGCAACCCTGACACAAGATAAACATATAGAGGAATTGAGTAGAATTGATAGTCTAGAAATAAGTGCTTACACATATGGCCAATTGATTTTTAACATGTGTGTAGTGACAAATTAACAGGGAAATTACAGTCCTATTAACAAATGGTGCTAGGACAACTGAATATCTGCATGAAAAAATAATGAATTTGGACTCCTCCCTCACATTATATAAAAATTAACTCAAAATGGATCATAGACCCAAATATATGAACTGAATCTAAAACTCCTAACAAAATGCAGGAAAAAGTCTTTGTGAATTTGACTTGAGGAAAGATATTTTAGCTATGCTACCAAAATCCTTAGTGGCAATAAAATTAAATAAATAAATAAGTTGGACTTCATCAAAATTAATTTTTTTTGTTTCAAATATGCCACCAAGGAAGTGAAGACAACCCACAGATTAGGAGAAAATATTTTCAAGTGATAATACTTGATAAAGGGTTTGTATCTATAATATATAAAGAACTCATACAATTCAATAACAAAAAGACAAATAATTTAATACTAGACAAATAAATTGAACAGACATTCCTCCAAAGAAAATATATAGTCATTGAACACATCCAAAGATGCTCAACGTAATTAGCCAATGAGGAAATATTAATGAAAGCAACAGATAGCACTTCACACTCACTAAGGTGGCTATAATCAAAAATACATCTAATACCGGTTTTGCTCTAGAGGGCTAGAGTCTAAGTAGCTGAGGTGTTACACAGGTGACAGATGCAACTGTTGACCAAAATGTGGAAAAGTTGTCACTCACATTAAATTGTTATTGAAAATATTAAATGATGCAGCAACTTTGGAAAATCATATGGCAGTATCCTAAAAATTTAAACACTGAGTTACCATATGATCTAGAATTCTACTCCCAGGATTATATTCTAGAGAAATAAAAACATACATCTATACAAACAAACTTGTACTTGAAGGTTCACAGCAGCATTATTCATAATATCCAAAAGGTAGGAACAACACAAATGCCCATTAACTGATGAATGGATAAATAAAATGTGATACATTTATACAATGTTGTATTATCCAACAATAAAAAGGAGTTTCAACATCGATGTATCATGAAAACATTATGCCAAGTGAAAGAAGTCATTCAAAAGACCCATACTGTATGATTCCATTTACATGAAAGATCTAGAATAGGCAAGATTATAGAGACAAAAAAATAGATTAGTGTTTGCCTAAGACTCGGGTTGTTGGGAGGAAGTGAGAAGTGACTATTAATAGTTATAAGGCTTCTTCTCAAGGTGATTAAAATGTTCTAAAATGGATTACAGTAATGGTTGGAGAACTCTGTAAATACAATAAAACCTTTAAATTTTACACTTCTATGGATGAATTGTAGGGGATATAAATTATATGCCAAGGAGCTGTTATTTATACAAAAGCAATGCACCAGAACTGATTGGGTTCATTTCTAAACTTTTCTAAATTATACATTCAATAGTTCCCCCTTTTCTTTTGGGAGATGTGTTCCAGGACCCCTAGTGGATGTCTGAAACTGTAGGTAGTACCAAAACTCACATATGTTTCCTATACATACAAACTTATGAAAAAATCCATAAATTGGGCAAAGAAAGAGATTAGCAACAAAAAATAATAATAAAATAGAACAATTAAACAATATACTGTAAAAAAAGTTATGTGAATGTGGTCTCTCTTTCTCTTTCAAAATATCTCATTGCACTGTATTCACCTATTTTTAGACTGTAACCAACCATGGGTAACTAAAATCAAGGAAAGCAAAACTATAGATAAGGAAGGGCTACTGTAATAAAATGTGTTTGTTAATATTTGTAACTTTAAAATATGTTAATTAGTTAGTGTTTCTTGAAAAATAATCAGAAAAATCAAAGATGAACTGACTATGTACCAAGAGCTGGATTTCTAGTAGGGGTAATTTACCATCCAAACCTGACCATTTTTAAATGTTAAATAGGAGTGCAAGTGATAATTATGCTGGGAGAATAAGCATTAACTGGGACTTTCTCAGACCAATCAAGACATCTTTACACAATGCTAGTGACTTTGGACTTTATACTAAATTCAATGAACATCCATCAGTTAAAATAATTGAAAGAAAATAACCTAATTTATATTTTGAAATCATTAAAATTTCAAGAAATGTAGTATAAAGAATGGAGTGCTTTTAGGGAGCTGGCAAGACTGGGAACTGGAGGCTAGTTAGGAGGATGTTAGAGTAATTCAGGCAAAAGAGAACAGTTGTCTACAGTGAGACAGTTTTAGTGGGAATGGATAAAGTGAAAGTATTTAAAAGATAAGAGCAGATGTGTTAGATAATAGTTGTTGATTGATAGACACATTGACCAATAGAAAGTTCTGGCAACAACAACAACAAAAAAGAAAATGACTAGTGACGTGAAATACCGAACATAGAGTATACATCAAATGAGCTATTTTACAGTAATATTACAGTTCTTACAGTTATTCTGGGTGCAGAAGTTGGATTTGCCATTGAGATTGTGAGAAATTTCTGGAGTTTCAGTATGATGACATTTGACAACTCTGAGAAAGGAGTTAAGGTCATCTCCTAAAAGTAAAAGTTAGGTAAGAGGTGGAAAGAGAATAAGGAAGGTTTGAAGTTATTCTTGAGATGAATGGTAAGAGTTGAGTGGAAATAAAAGAAGGATGGAGATTTAGAATTTGATAAAGATCTAGTACTACTGGAGACTATAAATTTGTACAGGTAACATATTTGTAGATACATACTTTTTTGGGGGCAGCACTGAACAGTTCAGATATAGAAGGAGAGAAGAAAATCCAAAAACTTGGGAATAAAACTTAATGTTTTATGCAATACAATGACAGTAGCAAAGCAGCTGAAGTTGAAAAAATGAATGCCATTGCCTAAGATGGATGGGGAGTCACTGAAGACAGGAGAATTGAATGAAAGTATAGAAATGTGTCAAAAGGCTAGTGTTCCCAATGGATCAAAGCATATATAAGGTAATAAGCTTTCAAGCATAAGAATATTTTAATTGTGTATGAGATTATTAATTTTAATATATGTGGGATTTATCAGTTCTTAGTGTTGTATAATACAAGTTGTGGTTTTGGAATTAGATGCCAGAGCCAGAGTTCTCGTTGTGAGGACTGTGAAGGAAATATCTGGTCCAGGCCCCTCCCCTTGACTTGTAGATGGCTGTCTTCTTACTGTTTTTTCACATGGTCTTCCTTCTATGCATATCTGTATCTGTGCCTAAATTACCCCTTATCTCAAAATAAGGTAATATTCTGAGGTCCTGGTGGTAAGAACTCTAACATATCTTTCAGTGGGGGGACACTATTCAACCCACAATATATAGGAATTAGGGGCTTAATGAATTAAGAGGAAATGGTAATATCTCAGGTTTTCCTTATAAAGTTGACATTACCTAGGATACTAGAAGTTCTCAGGGTACGGAAGAGGCAAATCTTCCAAAACTGAGAAGTACTTTCTAGAATAGGAAGGCAGAGACATTCAGTGTAATCTTCCTAGATAACATGGCTCTCATCTATAACAGTTTCTACTCTATAAAGGTAGGCAGATGGTATTTTTAAGTAGGTTGGAGAAGGAGAATGCTGAAATGATTTTCCAAATCTAAAAAGAGGGTAAAGAAGCATATCCAGAATAATGAAAACACTGCTAAGGCAGTGGTCTCAGGAATGACTGGCTTCTATTCAGACTAGGAGGCACAGAAGTATTTTACGAAAGACATTTAAAATAAAGGTGATTTTTTAAAACACAGAATGTAGATTTCATATTGCAGAATGGCACATTTAGCAAGGAAGGAAAAGAAAACTATTTGGATCAGAGAATTAGTGCTAAAATGGAGGTGGAGGGAAGAGATTAAATATTCATTAGTGACCAAAAACAACAAGAAAGGAGACAAGATGGGCCTTCACAATTTCTAAAGTATTAGTGCTCAAATTCCATTTTGAATTCACTGGGCTTCTAAGGCACTCAGTGTTTTGGCAGGAGCACCTGAGTCTGAAACAAGGTTAGTGGATGTAAGATAACAAGCGTCCCCTAAAAAGTTTCAATTCATTTTGCTGCTAAAGAAATCCAACCATTCATAATAATAAGCAGCTGAAATAATTAGCTGTATTTCCTTTTGTCAAAGTCATTTTTAATTGTAAAAAGTATCATTTAGATAAGAGGTTTTCAGGGAGATGGGATGCAGTGGAAGTTTGGTGAGGACTCCACTGAATTAAATAAAGTGAAAAAATATTTTTTTTCTTTTTCTAGTTGCTGAAATATAGACATTTTAAGGGTCCTTTTGTGAAATACTAACAGCCACTGAATCAGGTTGAATAACTTAGAAATGATGACCTCTTTATAAGGAGGTAACTGAAACAGGAGAATCTCTGTGTTAAAATTTTCTCTTTGAAGATAACTCTTTTGTCCTAGGTCTTTGTTATTCTTTTTTTTTCAGTTGGAAATACTAAAGTAGTGCTTTCTTCATAAAATAAAATTTTAGAGGTCTTACAAATAATTGGTAGCATGATGTCTTGAAAAATGGATCTTCAATTTTTATTTTCATTGGGAAAGAAATTATAAATATATACTGCTCTGGAGTCTGATTGGAGGATAAAAAATGAAATGTTTTATACTGACAAATAAGACTGCAAATGACACCACTCAGAGTAGTAAAAACTTGCACTTGTACTTATAAATGGAATTATACTATATATTATATATATACTTATTCCTATATTTAATATATAGTATATATATAGTCTGACATTTGGAGGGTGAGAAGCTAGTTGACATCATCTTCAAGCTCTGAGACTCTTGTGTATATAAAAATATGGAGAACTAATTGAAAGTTCCCATGAAGAATAATGCCTCTAGAAGAAATCTAGTTTTGATCTATACAAGGTAAGAAATCATTTTATTAAAAGCCCTGAAATACAGAAAGACAGTGAGTCCTGAAGATTTACATTTTCTTGGAAATTGATAGACCTGGGAACATCGTTCTGCCACCTCTATCAGGTCAGGTGATAGAAGCGTAATTTAGATGTAAAAATCCATTTGCATGTTAAGAAAAGAGACTATGTAATTAAAATGAAATATGGTAATGTTGGGAACATAGTCTCCACATAAGAGTACAATATTGTATTAGTCCTTTCTCATGCTGCTACGAAGAAAATACCCAAGATTAGGTAATTTATTAAAAAAAAGAGGTGTAATTGATTCACACTTCCACATGACTGGAGAAGGACTCTGGAAACTTATATTCATGGTGGAAAGGGAAGCAAAAATGTCCATCTTCACATGGCAACAAGAGAGAGAATTGCAAAGCATTGGGAGCAATGCCCTTCCTAAAATCATCAGATCTTATGAGAACTTACTCACTATCATGAGAATATCATGGGGGAACTGTCCTTCTGATTCAATTATCTCCACCTGGTCCCGTCCTTGACACATGGGGATTATTACAATTCAAGGTAATATTTGGGTGGGGACACTTAACCAAACCATATCATTCCAACCCTGGCACCTCCCAAATCTCATGTCCTCACATTTAAAAACAAAATATTGCCTTTTCAACAGTCTCCCAAAGTCTTAACTCATTCCAGCATTAACTCAAAAATCGAAGTCCAAAGTCTCATCCAAGACAAGGCAAGTCCCTTTCATCTATGAGCCTGTAAAATCAAAAGAAAGTTAGTTACTTCCTAGATGAAATGGGATAAGGCATTGGTTAAATGCACCCATTTAAAATGGGAGAAATTGGCCAAAATGAAGGGGCTACAGACCCCATGCAACTCTGAAATCCAACGGGGCAGTCAAATTTTAAAGATCCAGAATGATTTCCTTTGACTCCATGTCTCACATTCAGGTCACTCTGATTCAAGAAGTGGGTTCCCATGGCCTTGGGAAGCTACACCCCTGTGGCTTTGAAGGGTACAGCCCCCTCCCGGCTGTTTTCACAGCTAGAGTTGAGTGTCTGCAGCTTTTCCAGGTGCACAGTGAAAGCTGTCAGTGGATCTACCACTCTGGGGTCTCAGGATGATGGCCCTCTTCTCACAACTTCACTAGGCAGTGCCCCAGTGGAGACTCGATGTTGGTGCTCCAACCCCACATTTCCCGTCTGCACTGCCCAAGCAGAGGTTCCCCATGAGGGCTTCACCTCTGTAGCAGACTTCTGCCTGGACATCCAGATGTTTTCATACATCCTCTGAAATGTAGGCAGAGGTTTTCAAACCTTAATTCTTGTCTTCTGTGTACCACAGTACCACATGGAAGCTGCTAAGGCTTGGGGTTTGCACCCTCTGAAGCCATGGCCTGAGCTGTACCTTGGCCCCTTTTAGCCATGGCTGGAGTGGCTTGGACATTGTCCTGAGGCTGCACACACCAAGGGCCAGTGGGCCCTGGACCCAGCTCAGAAAGCCTTTTTTCCCTCCTAGGCCTCCAGGTCTGTGATAGAAGGAAATGCCTTGAAGGTCTCTGACATGCCCTGGAGACATTTTCCCCATTGTTTTGGGGATTAATATTTGGCTCATTCTTATTTATGATAATTTCTACCACAGGCTGAAATTTCTTACCAGAAAATGGATTTTTCTTTCTATCACATTGCCAGGCTGCAAATTTTCCAAACTTTTATGCTTTGCTTCCTCTTGAATGCCTTGCCACTTAGAAATTCCTTTCCCCACATACCCTAAATCATCTCTCTCAAGTTCAAAGTTCCACAGATCTCTAGGGAAGGGTCAAAATGTCACCAGTCTCTTTGCTAAAGCATAGCAAGAGCCACCTTTGCTCCAGTTCCCAACAAGTTCCTCATCTCCCTCTGAGACCACCTCAGCCTGGACTTCATTGTCCATATAACTATCAGCATTTTGATCAAAGCCATTCAATAAGTCTCTAGGAAGTTCCAAAAGTTCCCACATTTTCCTGTCTTTTTCTGAGTCCTCTAAACTGTTCCATCCTCTGCCTGTTAACTAGTTCCTAAGTTGCTTCCACGTTTTCAGGTATCATCTGTATAACCCCGCCCCACTCCCTTGGTACCAATTCACTATATTAGTCCCTTCTTACGCTGCTACAAAGAAAATACCCAAGACTGGGTAATTTACAAAGGAAAGAGGTTTAATTGACTCATAGTTCCACATGGCTGGGAAGGCCTCAAGAAACTTACAATCATGGTGGAAGAGGAAGCAAACACCTCTTTCTTCACAAGGTGGCAGAAGCGAGAAGTGCCAAGCAAAGGGGGAAAAGACCCTTATAAAACTATCAGATCTCATGAGAACTCACTCACTCTTATGAGAACATCATGGGGGAAGCGCCCCCATAATTCTCCACCTGGTTCCACCCTTGACATGTGGGGATTATTACAATTCAAGGTGAGATTTGAGTGGAGACACAGAGCCAAACCATGTCAAATATTCTTACCAGAGAACAAGAACTAGGAATGGTGATTAAAGGGGTTCATTCTCCCCACTGATCTTTGAAGATCTCTGAGTATAGAACAGAATTTAGTCTTACCAGCAAAGGTGAAGGTTATTAACCATAGCAGGGTCTATATTTACAGTACGCAAAATTATCTGAATTTACCAGATATTCTTTTGGGCACCAGGTTACTTACTTTGTAGCACCAGAAGCATCTTCTACGAAGGGGTTACTCATAACTTTTGGCTCCATCATCGACGCATACATGACTAAGGAGCCTTTGGACAAACATATGCATGGGGATGGTTTAGGATTGTTACTGGCAAAATGACATAGAAAAATGTCATTCTCTTAATGGGAAATAAAATGACTTATGCCCTTTGACTGTAACATTAAAAACAATAAGACTTTTTTATGCCCTTTGACTGTAACATTAAAAACAATAAGACTTTTCCTGTGTTGCAACCTTCTCACAAGGAGACAATTATTATATATGATTTTGAACAGTTTTTAACAATTTATGAAGATATTAGTGATATAAAATTTAGTAAAAAATAAGAGATAATTGTATTTTTAATATATTACCAAAGTTTTTGAAATTTTTTGTTTACAAGCAAAGATAAGGGATAGAGGCAAATGCATAATATAATGATAGTATATAACTCTGGAAAAATGTACTAACCTCTACTTTCATAAATACCTTTGTAAATGTAACTCAAAATGTCTGAAAAATGTGAGATTATTTCTCCCAGCTTATGTGTTTTTCTAATTTTTAAAATATCCCCAACAATACCTTTTTACCAGAACTTGCAAATAAATGAATCTCTATTATTAGAAAGATAAAACTGAAGTACTTTAAATTGCAGAGGTTCACAGAACAAAATATATAAAAAAAGACAAATGCAAAATAACACTTTCAACACTGCCCTCTAAAGAAAGGCCAGTGTTTCTGAAATAAAATTTCTAAATTTAAAACATATTCTCCATATTCAGAATTTTGCATGTGATTAAAATGAAAAAGAAATCTAAAGAGAACAAAACATGAAGTAAAATGTGGACATTTGAGCAATTATCAGAGGAGACAAAAGGCCTTGAACCTAAGAACATTTTCTCAAAAGTAATTTTTCATCTGTTAGATATCAAAAGAATCCAGGCTCATTCCATGTAATGCAAGACTGCAGAATCCTCCTTTAAAAGCTATTCCAATATGGAAATAATTCTTTATATTTTATAGCTTATGAAGTCTTTCATGTAAGAATCTCAAAAAGGAAATGAAATAAGTGTAATAATTGAATTTTTTGAATATTAATGACTTCAAGAAAGATGGAAGCAATTAAAAAGAAATAGAACTCTACTATAATGAAAGCTACTTTTTAATGTCATACATAAGGTTAGTTGGATAGTTACAGAAAAGTGATAGCTGATACTTATTATTTTGTTTCTGAGTTTCTTTCTAAGCAGTATAATTACGCTACACGAGCAGGGTGGATATGTCTCAAAAGGAAGCATGTGTTTTACTCCAGCAGGAAGCTGTCTCTTTCATTTCTATCAGAACACTTCTATTCATGAACTGTTTCCATATTAAAACATATAGCCACTGCATTGAGGGCTGTTTACAACTCAAGGCCTCAAACAGGAAAAAAAAAAATTCTAAATCTTAAAATGCTGAACTACTCTTTACAGTCAAGGCCACTACTCCATAGTAACATAGTGGCCTGTGAGATATGATTTACATGCCTCTAAAAGTCCCATCTGCTCCAAAATGATAGCCATATATTTAAAACAGTTTCTTAGATGGCCATCTTTATTTAACCCCCTTTGTCAAGCAGGGCCTCCACTATGCTATTTAGAGTCTATTCAAATTGCAAAACAAGCAGCAGTTTTAAGCATATTTATATAAAATAACCCTCCATCCAGGCTGGCTCAGCCTCAAAACAGAGCAAAGGGTTGGCCAAGCCAAAAAAGCTAGATTTTACTACTGTCTTGGCTGGATGCCATTGTGCGCTGCAAGTACACCGAAGTACCTACAGCACCCTGGTTAAACTATGGATAAGACATCTTTGTAAAAAAGTCGTATTAAAATTAAAAATTTTGTTACCTCAGAATGCATAACATGTATGTCTTAAGTCATACTAGGGCTTAAGTAAAATCAGTATCATTTTAAACTTTAATTGCATTCCTAAAGTTATTATTTTTAAAATACATTATTGCTTACTCCTCCATTGTTCATGGAAGAGACAGAGATTGTTCGAAGTCCCCAAGAGGAAAAGTAGAGAAATAATTTTTTTTCTCTACATTTGAGAAGAACTGAGGTACATAATCAAATTTGGGGGAATAAACTTCATAATGTGTAGTTCAACCCTTGGCATTTATCTCTGAATCTTTCAGGGCCACATATCCCCAGCACGTGTGTATTTTTTTTCCTCTTGAATTAATTAAGCTCCCTATCCCTCTGGGCAGGCAAAGTTTTCCAACAGTTCTGCCTCTTACTGGGTAGAATAATGTAATTTAGGAAGGCAAAATGTGAGGGAGATATATAGTAGTAAACTTTTGACTATGGATTTATGCCATGTTTTCTAATTATTTTATCACTAGAACTTTGACTCTTGTCTTATTTATGAATTGATTCAGAAGTTGAAGTTAAGTGGGAAATATAAGATAATATTTTTATACATGATCTAATCTCCAATAATATTTCTGAACAGTAACCACTAGTGTTGCTTTCTCTAATAATAAACTTTTAAAAAATATTTTGTTTTATATCAAAGAAATTATTTGGGTATTGCTAATATCACAGTGTTAATTACTTTGTAGTTTTTATATTTTCAATATCAATTTGTGAAAAAAATACTGGATTTGCTCTTCTAAAACAAGTATAAAATTATTTGTACAACATATTGTAAGCAGCTGTTAATTGGGGGAATTCAATTCTACTGATTTTCCTACAGTTAAATGCAAAAGAAGACGATTTAGAGTATTAAATGGGAAAATATAACAAATAGAAACAGAAGAGTGAAAGAGATAACCCCCAATTTTCTCCCCATTTTAGAACCTTGCCAAGGCATTCCTATTCAGTGGCTCATGGGTAAACAGTTCATACTGAAACACCAATTCATTTGAAAGAAAGTGTTGCTAATAATAATATAATTAGAATGGAATGTCCAATAATGCTATTACCTCCAGATGCTATCTATTTTCAAAAGAAAACAAACACATGAGGTAAGGTTAGAAAAGCTATATCACAGAAAGGCACGATGTAGATTTCTGCTCTGTCAAAACAGAATGAAATAAAACTAAATGAGCTTTACAAAAGACAGTCCGTCCAGACCATACTTGGTTTTAATGAGAAGAGAGAAATTCATTCAATAAATTTATCAAGTCCAGCACAATTTATTAATAGTTTACACAGTTTTTAGTCTGATAATTGAAATATGGCCACAAATTACCAAAGAGAAGGTAAATGAAGTCTAAGCAGACAACTGAAAGAAAATGTATTGGTGCCCATTTGAAGAGATTCTCTGCACACTAGACCTTCTCACCCAGAGAAAGATAAGTACTTCTTAATTTCAAATGAATCACTGAACAGAGGAAGATCAATTTAAAATGTAGCTTCAAGAGAAGTTAAAGGGAAAAAAGTGTATGATTCTCCTGGAATTCCAGACAGATTAGATGACTTTAATTCAAAGTGAAAATATCTAATCCAGTATCCATCACTGCGGATATCATCAATTTTCCATATAATACATCTGAAAAATTTACTAAAACAAATAACGTGCTTTTGGCCAGGCGCAGTGGCTCACGCCTGTAATCCCAGCACTTTGGGAGGCAGAGGCGGGCGGATCACGAGGTCAGGAGATTGAGACCATCCTGGCTAAGACAGTGAAACCCCATCTCTACTAAAAATTAAAAAAAAAAAAATTAGCCGGGCGTGGTGGTGGGCGCCTGTAGTCCCAGCTACTCGGGAGGCTGAGGCAGGAGAATGGCCTGAACCCAGGAGGCGGAGCTTGCAGTGAGCCGAGATTGTGCCACTGCACTCCAGCCTGGGCGACAGAGCGAGACTCCGTCTCAAAAAAAAAAAAAAAGTGCTTTTATTTATTTATTTATTTATGTATTTATTTATTTATTATTTTTTGAGATGGAGCCTCACTCTTGTCACCCAGGCTGGAGTGCAGTGGTGCGATCTTGGCTCACTGCAACCTCTGCCTCCCAGATTCAAGCGATTCTCCTGCCTCAGCCTCCTGAGTAACTGGGATTACAGGTGCCCACCACCACACTTAGCTAATTTTTTTGTATTTTTAGTGGAGACGGGGTTTACCACGTTGGCCAGGCTGGTCTCGAACTCTTGACCTCAGATGATCTGCCTGCCTTGAAGTCCCAAAGTGTTGGGATTACAAGTGTGAGCTGCCACACCCAGCCAACAAATACTTTATTTTCTATCCTACTATTTAAAAAAGTAAGTTACATATCTGTGTACAAACATATAGTACACATTTGTATAACCATATCTATATATTTTCTAATGAAATAATGAAGTTTATTTTTACTAAATACATTTGTTGTTGTTGTTGTTGTTGTTGTTGTTGTTGTTGTTGTTGTTTTGAGATGGAGTCTTGCTCTGTCGCCCAGGCTAGAGTGCAGTGGTGAGATCTCTGCTCACTGCAAGCTCTGCCTCCTGGGTTCACACCATTCTCCTTCCTCAGCCTCCAGGGTAGCTGGGACTACAGGCACCCACCACCACGCCCGGCTAATTTTTTGTATATTTAGTAGAGATGGGGTTTCACTGTGTTAGCCCAGGATGGTCTCGCTGTCCTGACCTCATGATCCACCCGCCTCGGCCTCCCAAAGTGCTGGGATTACAGGCGTGAACCACCATTCCCGGCCAACATGTTTTTGTTTTTGTTTTTTAAAAAAACAAACAAACAAACTACCTATACTCAATGTGGAGGATTCATAAACTAGTCACGAACTACTTGATGAAAATTGGGAAGCAAATGATAATCCAAATACATGAAAGCTAGTAATAATGTTTCATCAAAATAAAACATAATTCAAGAACATTAATATAAAAATAAAACTAGAAGCTCTATATTCAGAACTTTCAAAAATGATCACAACTCAGACAATGCAAGAAAATATTTAGAATACAAAAAAATCAAGGTCAAATGTTAATAAAAGGTAATTAAAACAGCCATATACCACAATATAAGAGAATTTTGGAAGAAATTACTTAAATCACAGTTTTAGTTTCTTCATATACAATACTATACATGCATTTAGGAGTTGTAAAGGTTAAATGGCATAACTTGTCTAACAAGTCCTCTGTAAGTGATGAGGGAATGCCAAACTGAACGGAACCATAAACCTGATTCCCTTCCCAAATTACAGAAAGAAATTTCTATCACAGTGAAACACAACAATAAATGCCGTAAGTGGATTTTAATGTTATTTACCAAATAGTATTTTACGCATGTCTTAATGATAAATCTAAACAGTAGTTTGTGTTCTACAGTTCTTATCTCTAGCAGCAGGCATTTAAGAGGAAGTAATATTTGAGTACATCCAGAACAGTAAGCTGATCTGATACATTTTTTTTATTTTTTAAACTTAAATTTAGCATTTTACAACTGCTTTATTAGAGGGTTAAATTAAATATGAACACATATTTGAAATGAAATGGTCACCTTATAATAAGCATTTATTTTTAAATCCCCCTTTCATCATATATTATAAAAGTCTTATGTGTTGTATTTTCAAATGTTGTATTTTAAATGTAGCAAATGAATTCACCCTTTTAAGATATATTGAAGGATAACTCTGGCATACAGTCCATCCTAATTTAAACTACAAGTGGATATAAAAGTTAAATATTTGTGAATGGAGTTCTAAATCTTCAGGCTCAGTTCAACTATTCATTTGATAACTACTGATGCTTTTTAAAAAAATACTCAGCACTGTCACGGAGAAAACTGCAGTTAAGAGATGATACAGTTTAAAAACATAGAAACATTCCAAAAGTCATGAATATAGCTAGAAAAAATGATGCTTGAAACATTTTCATTTATTTCAAGGTTTTTAAATGAAAGCATAGAAGCACAATCCCCCTAAGGAATGTGTTTAAACCACATAGTCTGAATCATTTCAATTCCCATAAGGTCTATTTCTTGAATGGTTTTTACATGTAAGCAGAACAACCTTCTGCAATTGACTTCAAATATGTTTCTGTATACTTTATAGGAACAAAGATGAGAAAAAAAATGTTACAGCTCATGAATACTGGTGACTGGAATACACATAAAGTTACTTTTAAAGACTGTCTACAAAGTACAGCATGAATTGCTAATTTGGCAACCCTCTAGTCAATGTAATCAAAAACAAAGACAAAATTCAGAATAAAATGCCAGCTCAGAAATTTGTGTGTGGTAATTGCCAAGCTGCTTCTTGACCTTGCAAAACACAAATCATCTCTCAGATTAAATAATTGGAAAATTTATTTCTGGAGCGTCTGCTTTCGGGAAGACGGAGAAGACACTTTCTCCTATGCCTCCCATTAAATACACCACAAACCTGGACATCTTCTATAAAACAAACATAGCTTTTCAAAGGTGGAGAGAAAAAAGCAGATAGGAAACTTGAGACTCAAGTAAATGACATAGCCATAAGTTCCCCAGTTTTCTTTTTGCCTCCTATACCTCAGACTTGGAGCTGAAGGTGCAGCCACCTGGAAATACCAACAGGCACACACAATAAAAACCCCGGAGTAGTCTGCTTTCTCTAGCCAAAGGAACAGGCAAGGAGCAGCTTAGCAGGACAGAAAAACTTTAAAACACTAAATGCTTTTCTATAGCCAAATGACTCAGACATTTAAAAGACAAAGTGGAAAGCTAAGCCTTCCGCTCCTGGCAGGTTATAGCAAGGCACCAGTGATAGTTAATTTCATGTGTCACCTTAATTGAGTCATAGGGTCCCCAGGCATTTGGTCAAACATTATTCTGTGTTTCTGGATGAAATTTATATTTAAATCAATAGACTGAGTAAAGTACATTGTTCTTCTCAATGTGGGTGGGCCTCATTCAATCGGTTGAAGGCCTAATGGAACAAAAAGGATGACTCTCCCACGAGTAAGAAGGAACTCCTGACTGACTGTCATCAAGCTGGAACATTTGTTTTTCCCTCCCTTCAGATTTAAACGGAAACATCGGCTCTTCCTAGATCTCAAAGCTGCCTGCCCTCAGACTTGAACTACACCGTCATTGGCTTTCCTGGGTCTCCAGCCTGCTGGCTGTAAATCTTGAAACTTATACACAGTTGTCTCTTTGTACCCACAGGGGATTTGTTCCAGGAGCCCCATGTATACCCAAATTCCTGCATACTCAATGCCCACAGTTGGCCCTATGGATCCTGCATATATGAAAATCGGCCCTGCATATCTGTGGGTTTCATATCCTGCATATACTGTATTTTCTATGTCATTTGTCTGTGGATGCAGAACATGCAGCTACAGAAGGCCATCTGCATTTGCTGAAAAGAATATGCATGTAAGTGAACCTGTGCAGTTCAAATCAGTGTCGTTCAAGGGTCCACTGTATGTATCTATTTGTGTATATATATGCATGTATGTATACATGTTCATCCTATTGGTTTTGTTTCTCTGGAGAAATCTGACTAATAAAGCATTTCTACCTCTCCTTCTTCCAGCAAGGTGGTGTCAGAAAAGGCCAATTAGGGAGTCAGAACATTCATGCACACCAGGCAAATAATGGCCTCCTTCTTTATGGTGTCTGTCAGTGTCAGATCATGAGGGAGCCCGACTTCTACCATCACCAGATAGTAATCAGTTGTCCCTCCTACTCCCCCTGTGGTGATGTCTCAGAAAATCTGCTGGAGAGTCAGGCCTTTCACTACCTCCAGCCAGTAAGTTTTTCTACCACTGTAGTGTCAGTGGAGACCCGTGGGGATTAGTAAGGAGGCCTGATGGAGGCCCAGTGTGAACCAGAATTCTTACACATGTCCAGCAGTAATGAAAAGCTCTCCCTTGTGTGTGGATCATGAGTGAGGGACCTAGATTTCCACACCCATCTGACGACAACAAGGCAGTGCCCCATCTCCACACACATACATTTTGTGTCAGAATGGTTTCATAGAAACTATGAAACTATGGTTTCATAAAAAGCCAGCTAAAATGAAAGTAAGCTCTTCAGCCTCATAACATAACAACCAAAATGTTTAAGCTTCAATAAGAAACACTTGTTGTATCAAGAACCATAAAGATCTTCAACAGAATTTTAAGACAGTCAATAGATGTCAACACCAAGATAACAGAGGTGTTAGAATTATCTGACAAAGATTTTAAAGCAGTTGCCATAAAAATGCTTCAAAGAAAAATTACAAACACAACTGAAACAAAATAAATATAAAACATCTTAGAAAAGGGTTGACAAAAAAATTCAAAATATAAAGAAGAAACAAATAAAAATGTTTGACTTAAAAATGCAGCAATTGAACATTTAAAAACTCAACATATGGGCTCAAGAGGATCATGAAGGAGACAGAGGAAAGGATCAGTGAACGTGAATAAATGATGATTAAAAATTATCATCTGAAAAAGAGAAAGAAAATAGGCTGAAAAATAAATAAATAAAAAGAGCATCCAGAACCTGTGAGGATATAACTGAACTGAAAATTCATGTAATTGAAGTAGTGGAAGAGGAGATAGAAGGTGAGAACTAATTTCTTATCAAAACCACTGAAGCCAAAAGGAAATGGCCTACCATTTTTCAAATGCAGAAGAAAAGAATGCCCAGGCCATTATTTAATATTCAGTATAAACATCATTTATGAATAAAAAAGGAAGTAAAGAAATCTCAAATGTATTGAAACTCAGAGAGTTTGTTGCCATCAGAGCCACCTTAAAAGAACAGCTATAATACAAGTTCTCTAAACAGAAAATAAACAGCAAATAAAAGAACCTTGTGGTATCAAGATGGAAGAGAGAACACATTAACAAAAAACAAAAAAATAGATAAATACTATAAACTTTTCTTATTTTATCAAGTCTTGTAAATTATGTTTGCAGGTAAAGAAAAAAAGCTATGAACTGTCTGATGAGGTTCTAAATGTATTTAGAGAAAATATTTATTAAGGGTATTGCATATGGAAGGTCAGGAGACATAAAGGGAGATAAGCTATCTACAGTTCACTTGAACTAACTGGAAAAATATTGACCCCAGAAGACTATGATAAGTTATGTTTATACAATACAATACCTAGTGCAACAATTAACAAAGTTGTGCAAAGAGATACAATGTGGTATAAACTGAATGATAGTATTCTTTTGTAATTTCTATGTTGAAATCCTAACCCCCAATGTGATGGTACTGGAAGATGAGGAATTTGATAGCATACTAGTTCATGAAGGAAGAGAGCTCTCGTGAATAGGATTTAATGTCCTTATAAAAGAGATCCTGGAGAGCTTCTTTAGTTCTTGTACCATGAGAGAATATAGGAAGAAGAAAGCCATATATGAATGAGGAAGCAGGCCCTTATTAGAAACCAAATCTTACAGCACCTCAATAGTGGACTTCCCAGCCTCTAAAACTGTGAGAAATAAATTTCTGTTCCTTATAAGCCACCTTGTCTACTCTATTACAGCAGCCCAGACAGACTAAGCCAACTTGAAAACACGATAGATAAATCAAAATGGAATTTTTAAAATGTTTTCTGTATTTTCCAGAGAGGCAGGAAAAAATAGATAACCAAAAAAAATCAAAAGACAAAAACAGAAAACAAATAAGCAAAACAAAACAAAAAACAAGAACCAAAATAATAGACATAATCGCTAACATATCAAGAATTATATTAAATATAAATGAACTATATACACTAAAACAGAAATTGGCAGAGTAAATTTAAAACCTGACTCAATTGTATGCTGTCTGCAAGAAACTCAACTTAAATACAGTCATGCATTGCTTAGAGATAGAGATGCAAGTCTTTGCTATTGTAAATAGTGCCACAATAAACATAAATGTGCGTTTCTTTATAGTAGAATGATTTATAATCCTTTGGTTATATACCCAGTAATGGGATTGCTGGGTCAAATGGTATTTCTTGTTCTAGATAGACTGGATAAAGAAAATGTGGCACATATACATAATGGAATACTATGAAGTCATAAATAAGAATGAGATTGGCTGGGCATGGTGGCTCACGCCTGTAATCCCAGCACTTTGGGAGGCCGAGGCGGGTGGATCACAAGGTCAGGAGATCGAGACCATCCTGGCTAACATGGTGAAAACTCGTCTCTACTAAAAAATACAAAAAATTAGCCAGTCATCGTGGAGGTCACCTGTAGTCCCAGCTACTCGGGAGGCTGAGGCAGGAGAATGGCGTGAACCCAGGAGGCAGAGCTTGCAGTGAGCCAAGATCATGCCACTGCACTCCAGCCTGGGCAACAAAGTGAGACTCCATCTAAAAAAAAAAAAAAAAAAAAAAAAAAAAGAATGAGAGCATGTCCTTTGCAGGGACATGGATAGATGAAACTGGAAGCCACCATTCTCAGCAAACTAATACAAGAACGGAAAACCAACCAACGCATGTTCTCATTCATAAGTGGGAGTTGAACAATGAGATAACACATGGACACAGAGAGGGGAACATCACACACCAGGGCCTGTCGGAGGGGTGGGAAGAATGGGGAGGGAGAGCATTAGGACAAATACCTAATGCATGCGGGGCTTAAAACTTAAATGACTGGTTGACAGGTGCAGCAAACCACCATGGCACTTGTATACCTATGTAACAAACCTGCACATTCTGCACATGTACCCTGGGGCGTGAAGTAAAATTAAAAAAAAAAAAAAAGATGCGGATACATTTTGAAAAATACATCATTAGATGATTCTGTTGTTGTATGAATATATGTACATCTTAGAGTATACATATATAAGCCTGGATAATATAGCCTAACTAGGATATATAGTATGCCTTATCACTCCTAAGCTGTAAACTAGCATAGCATGTTACTATACTGAGCACCCTTGGCAATTATAACACAATGATAAGTATTTCTATATCTACACATATCTAAACAAAGAAAAGCTACAATAAAAATATGATGTAAAAGATAAAAAGTGGTACACCTCTATAAGGTGCTTGCTATTAATGGAGCTTGTAGGACTAGAAGTTGTTCTGAATGAGTCATTGAGTGAGTGATAAGTGCATGTGAAGCCCTAGGACATTATTGTACACTACTGCAGACTATAAACTGTACACTTAGACTACACTGAAGGTATTAAAAATATTGTTAATCTTAGCTTACTGCAACTTTATACACTTTTTTTGCTTTTTTAACTTTGATTCTTTTATAACAACACTTTAAACACAAATTTTATTGCTATAAAAATATTGTCTTTATATCCTTATTCTATTTTTTCTATTTTAAAACTTATTGTTTTTGTTTTTGTTTTTTAATTTTTTTCATGAATTACTAAGATACACACTATCCTAGGCCTAAACAAGGTCAAGATCATCAATATCACTGTCTTCCACCTTCACACCTTCTCCCACTGGATGCAATAACACATAAGGAGCTGTTATCTCCTATGATAACAATGGCTTATTTTGAAATATTTCCTGAAGGACATGCCAAAGGCTATCTTACAGTTAGCTTTATTTTTGGTAGTAGGAGTATACTGTAAAAGAATAATTAAAAGTATTGCATAGTAAATACATAGACCAATAACATAGTCATTTATTATCATTATGAAGTATTACAGACTGTACATAATTGTACATGCTATACTTTTATATTTGAAGTGCAGTAGGTTTGTTTACACCAGCATCACTATAAATACATGAGTAATCATTATACTAGGACATTATGATGACTATGATGTCTCTAGGGAATAAAAATTTTTCAGCTGCATTATAGTATAATCTTATGGGACCACTAGCATGTATGTGGTCTGTTATTGATCAAAATGTCATTACACAGTGTATGACACTTTGACAATATCAGCCTGCTGAAAGTAAAAAGATAGGAAAAGATACATCAGAAAAAAATAATCAAAATAAAGCAATAGTGGCTATATAAATATCAAATAAAGTGGATTTCAGAGCCAGAAAAAGTGCCAGGCAGAGAGGAGCAATATATAATGGTGAAAGTGTCAATCTATAAGGAAATGTAGCACTATTACATCATGCGTATTTGCTGAATGTAGCACTGCAGAATATGTGAAACAAAGATTGATAGTACCTGTTGGAGAAATAGTCAAATTAGAATTGGAAACTTCAACAACCCATTCTCAACAAGTGAAAAAAAGAGCAATGAAGTAGATCTCTATACCATCAAAAAGCATGATATAATTGATATTTATAGAGCACTCCACCACAAAACATCAGAGTACACATACTTTTCAAGTGTCTGTAAAATATACACCACAGAGACAATACCTGGGTCATAAAACAAACTTCCACAAATTTAATAGAAATCATACAGAATGTGTTCTCTGACTAAGTTGGAATCACACTGAAAATCAACAATATACCAAAATTTTTTTAAAAATCTGAAAACTTGGAAACTAAACAAAACACATAGGTTATAAAAAATCCATTAGTCAAAGAGGAAGTCTCATGGGAAATTTGAAAATACGTGAAGCTGAATGAAAATGAACATACAACATATCAAAATCTGTGTGACACAATTAATGCAGTGCTCACAGAGAAATATTTTTTTCAACTTTTATTATAGATTCAGGGAGTACATAAGCAGGATTGTTACAAGGACATGTGTGATGCTGAGGTTTGGAGTAGGAATTAATTTATCTCTCAGGTAGAGAAACTAAGAATACTAAATACACATATTAGAAAAAATCCTCAAAACAATAATCTAAAGTACCTTCTTAAGAAACTAGAAAAAGAACAAAATGGGTCCAAAACAAGGAAAAGAAAGAATATAATAAAGATAATAGCAGAAAATATAATTGAAAATAAAAAATTAGAGAAAAATTATTGAAACAAATAGCTGGTCCATTGAAAAGATTTCCCTACACACACACACACACACACACACACACACACACACGACAAAGCTCTAACAAGACTTACAAAGAAAAAAGGAAAGAAGTTTCAAATTACCAATATGATAAATAAAATAAAATATTATTACAGATCCAGCAGGCATCAAAAAGATAATTCAATTTTATAAGCAACTCTGCCTAATTTTCACAAAATACATAAAATAGACCATTTCTTGTAAAAACACAAACTACCACAACTCACCTAATATGAAAAAAGATAATTTTGGATAGCACTATACCTATTAAGGTAATTTAATTTGTAATTAAAGAAAAAGATGAAAGATAAATCTTTAGGCTGAGATGTTTTACTGGAGAATTCTATAAACATTGAAGATGAATTCAACACAAATTCTTCACAAACTCTCCTCTGACAAAATAAAAGAGGACAGAATACTTCCCTACTTACTCTCTGAAGTCAGAATTACACTGATATCAAAATAAGAACTTACACAAGAAAAAAAGGTACAAGCCAATATGCTTCATGAATATAGACACAAACATCCTTAATAGCATGTTAGAAACAGAACTCAGCAATATCAAAAAATAAGACAAACTATGACCAAATGGGGTTTCCTCCAGGGATGCAAGGATGCTTCAATATTGAACAAAACAATCAATGTGATCCACCATATTACCAAGCTACAGAAGAAAAATCACATGATCCTGTCAGTCAAGATACACACACATAAAAAGACATTTGAAAAAGTCAACATTTGTTCTTTATAAAACTCTCAGAAAACACAAGGATAAAGGCAACTTGGTCAACACAACAGCCAACATTGTACTTAATGGTGCATGAATGGATGCCTTCCCCTTAAAATCAAGCACAAGTCCAGGATATCCATACTCAACCACCTTTACTGTATTAGTTTGCTTCCACACTGCTATAAAGATGCCGTCTGCGACTGGGTAAATAAAGAAAAGAAAGTTAATTAACCCAAAGTTCCACATGGCTGTGGAGGCATCAGGAAACTTACAATCATGGTGGAAGGTGAAGGAGAGGCAAGTACCTCTGCACAAGGCAGCAGGAAAGACAGGAACAAAGGGTGAACCTCCAAATACTTATTAAACCATCAGATCTCATGAGAACTCATTCACTATTATGAGAACAGCACAAGGGAAACCGCCCCTATAATCAAATTACTTACCTCCCTCAATACATGGGGATTACAGGACCCTCCCTGGACAGATGGGAATTACAATTTGAGATGAGATTTGGGTGGGGACACAGACCCAAACCATATCATTTACTCAGAGTAGTGCTGGAAATTCTAGCCAGTGCAATAAGTGACTTTATGCAATTGACCCTTGAACAACACAGGAGTTAGAGGCAACAACCCTCCTTGCAGTAGAAAATCAGCATAATCTGTGACTCCTCAAAACTTTACTAATAGGCTATTGTTGAATCTTTGCCAACTACTTTACCAGTCGATTAATACATATTTCATATGTAATATATATTATATATTATTACCTTGAAATAAGCTAAAGAGAGAAAAAAAAGTGTCATAAAGAAAATCATGTTGTTGGGGTACCTGGCTAAGCATACGTAGAAGACTGAAGCTAGACCTGTTTATTAAACCATATACAAAAATCTACTCAAGATGGATTAAAAACTTAATTATAAAACAAAAAAACTATAAAAACCCTGGAAGGCAACCTAGGAGATACCATCCTGGACATAGGAACGAGTAAAGATTTCATGACAAAGACATCAAAAACAATATAATTAGATGCCATTTGTCCATTTTGTCAACGAAAGCAAAAATGGACAAGTGGGATCTAAATAAACATAAGAGTTTATGCACAGTAAAGGAAACTATCGAGGGTAAACAGACAACCTACAGAATGGGAGAAAATACTTGCAAGCTATGCATCTGACAACGGTCTAATATCCAGCATCTATAAGAAACAAACAAATTGACCAGAGAAAAACAATTCCATTAAAAAGTAGGCAGAGACTTGAACACACATTTTTCAAAAGAAGATATACACGCGGTCAATAATCATATGGAAAAAAGCTCAACATCACAGATCATTAGAGAAATGCAAATCAAAACCTCAATGAGATACCATCTCACACCATTCAGAATGGCTATTTTTAAAAAGTCAAAAAATATCAGATGCTGGAGAGGTTGTAGAAGCATAGATGTCTTTGAAAACAACTAGGCACAAAATCTTTAGAATTAACACTAGTGGTAAAATCCATGCAAGGAAAATAAAAGTATAAATTAGGCATCAAATCTTCTGCTCTTTGAAAGCTCTTGTTAAGAGGATAAAAACAAGCTATAGACTGGCAGAAAATATTTGAAAAACACATATTCAACAAAAGGCTATTATCTTGAATATATATAAAAAACTGTAATATATAAAAAAAACTCTCAAAACTCACAAAAAAAAATATCCAATTAGGAAATGGTCAAAAGACAAAACAAACATATAACCAAAGAGGATACACAAGTATGATACAAATACTTGGAAGATTGTTCGACATCATTAGGCTTTAGGGAAATGCAAATTAAAACCACAGTGTGATACCTATCTAAATGGCTAAAATAAAAATGATGGTGAAGAAACCAGATAAATCAAATATTTCTGGTGAGAATGTAAAATGGTACAGCTACTATGGATACAGTTTGCTAGTGTCAAAAAAAAAAAAAAACTATTCAACTGCATTTATCCCAGAGAAATGAAAACTTTCGACTAGACACACCTTGTACATGATTATTCATAGCAGCTTTACTTGTAATAGTCAAAAATTGAAGGCAATTAGATGTCCTCCCATGAGTGATTAAACAAACTAAAGTACATTAATCCCATGGAATATTATTAATAATAGTAATAAAAAGAAGTAGGCTATGTCAGTCTATTTAGTCTGTTATAACAAAAGACCATCAACTTTGTGGCTGTTAAAACAAGAGAAGCCTAGTTCTCACAGTTCTGGAGGCTGAGAAGTCCAAGATGAAGGCACAAGATTTGGTGTCTGGTGGAAGCTTGTTTTGTAGGTTATAGACGGTGCCCTCCAGCTGTGTCCTCACTTAGTGGAAAGGGCAAAATGTCTCTCTTGCACCTCTTTTATAAGGGCACAAATTCTATACATGAGGACACTGCCCTTAGATCTATTCACCTCCCAAAGTAACTGCTTGCTAATATGAGCATCATATTGGGGGCTGGAATTTCAACATACGAATTTTGAGGGACAAAAACCTTTAGATGATAGCATAAACTACTCATACATGCAACAACCTGGTTGAATCTCCAGCAGGATATACTGTGTTCAAAAATGGCAATTCCAAATGTTATCTAGTGTATGATTTGCATAACATGCATGCAATAACACCATCGTAGAAATGGAGAAGAGATTAGCAGTTTCTAGCGGTTGGTGGAGGGGTTGGTATGCCTATATAAGAACAGTGTGAAAAATCCTTTTGATTATGGAAATGTGCTGTATCTTGATTGTATCAACATCAACACCCTGATTATAATATTGTAGCATAGTTTTACAAGATGTTATCATTGAAATATATGCAATTATGTCAAGTAAAATATTTAATTATAAATAACATGTGTTATAATTATATCTTAAATGTAATATTTTAGTAATTAAAAGTTTTAAGGTTGTAATATACTAACCACTGAAAATTTTAAGATTGTGTGACTGATATCCAACAATTAAGTTTTAGTCTCCAAGATTTTTCATATTACAAGCTTTCAGAAAAAAAAGTTCTTAAAACATGATGACATGATAATTAATCTAAACTGGAAGATAAAGTGTGGTTAATATTGACACAAAGATGTCTACCAAAAAAAAAAAAAAACTCAAACAAATAGAGCAGGTTTCTTCAGTATACTGTTTTTATAGTATATGAGCCTGATTCTTGGACCAAGTCATTACAAGGTTTTGCTTTTTTGAATAGGATTGTATTACTGCTTTAACACTTTAAAAAGGATTCTAATTTAACCATTTTAGTGATGGATTCAAAGTACAGGAACATAATTTCTCAGTAGTCTAAGGATTAGCTTGGGACTCCTGCTTCAAAACTCCAGTGTGTCACTGACTAATCATTACCTATTAATAAATGTCTTACTACATATAGATCATAATGTTAATGGAAATTGAAGCAAAATATGGAATTTACTTTCTGGTTTTTTGCAGTAATAATAATAATAGTTTTAACTGTAGCTAGCATTTCTGGGCAAAACTAGATGCTATTCTAAGCATTTTACCCAACATCAAAAGAGGGTTATCATTTTACATATTTATTATATAATACTTTATGTATACTTGGTCGAACATAAAACTTAGGAATATATCTTAGCTGATGTTAGAAGAGGCAAGAATTCATGATCATCTACTAAATTTTACTCAATACATGTTTATTATTAGCATATAATACACTGATTAGAAACAAGGTAACTACTGTACCAATCAAGTAAGTACTTGGCCAAGTTTAGAAATCCTACCACTCATTTGCCTCTACTGGCAGTATATTTTTATAATTCATTTTGGCTTCAATTCATCATGTTTAAAATATACATATTTCTTTACATTGAAAAAACAAAATTGCATGTTTTCCTGTCACGAAATAGTTTTAGTAAAGAAGTAGACTGTAGCAACTTGAAAATGATAAATGTTACAACAACATAGTTCTGAGAATAACAATACATTTTGTTATACATACTTTATCTTGAACCAGTGTTTTTTTTTACTGCATTTTCATAGACTTACCACAAAATAATTGTAATTGGAAGAAAATTGTGGTAACATTGTACTTCTCGTTTTTTTCTTTTTTAGATGGGGACTTAACTGTAACAATTTGTTTTGAAAGAAATGTTTAATGTGCAAGAAATATGAAAAGGTTATCAAAATTCTTGCTCAATAAAATTAAATTATAGTTAAGTAATTTACTACCTGTCCTGGATTCCTAATTCCGGACAATCTAAAATTATTAATGAAATACATATGCAAAAGACAGAATATATGTATATTAAACACAATTTGAGTATACAATAATCCTATGTATATAAATTCTTATCTTTACCAAACATGTCAATTTATTGAGATAACTTCATTTAGCTAGAGTAATATATATACACACACATACTAAAATACACACGTGTGTATATTGTGTGTATGTTATATACATATATATGGAGACATATATATGGAGACATATATGTTTGTCACCTACTCTGATTATTTATACATATATATAAACTTCCTATATTTGAAAATAAGAAGTTCAAAATGATTCACATTTTCAGTAGGTATGTGCAGCTAATATCTAGTACTATGATTAACTAATCCATTCATAAAGAAATAACGTGAGATAAAAATTAACTACCTAGTGCAAAATTGTTTAATCCAATTATAAAGAACAAAGAAGCAATTTTCCAAATAAAATATAATTAATCAGAGTAGGTGACATAACACATATGGGTATTATATTTGACAAACCTTTTTGCCCTTCCCTCTCTCTGTTACAGGAAGCACAAAGAATGAAAACGTACTAAGCTTTAGAATATGACACACTGAAAATAGGACAAGAATTCACAAAATAGAAATGACTGACCAAAGATATTTTTTTCATTTCATGTCCCTTTTTTATTATCACCTTTATTTCTATTTATTTTAAAGTATACCTGCTTGTTTTTTGTCCTTGTTACTTGGCTAACTGAATCATCAAGGAGGATTAATGTGACTTTCAAGGACCTTGGACTTTTTCCTTTTTCTTAGCACCCTGCCTACCTACCCAGGCTGAAGATCCTTTGAAGTCAATGGGAAGTCCACATCAGATGTGAGGAGTAGGGTACAGGGCAAACAAGAATAGTTTCCTAACAAAGCCATTATAGCTTCCTAACAAAGCCCTTATCCTTTCCACAAATATCCAGTCTGGAGTGTCACAACTCTTTTTTAAAAATCTGAGTAGCTTACCTATTCAATCATTTTAGTCCCTGTGCCTTAGATCCGAGTAAGGCTGTTTGTTTGACAGCTTGGGACAAATCTCTCTTTGGGTCACATATTGAACCATGAACTTTTTGTCTCAGGACTTCTCTCATATTGTGAAACTGTCTCTCTGCGTCATGCTTCATATAATACTGTAAAGGACCTGAAAAGTTATGACAGAGTGAAATGGAAAAGGTAGCTGCTGACAAGCACAAAAATGATGAGACAGATACATTTTGAGATGGCTGCTGAACCCTGACAGCTGACTGAAAGCTAATCAGCCAAAGCACCTCTCCCAATGCCAAAGAGAAGTCTGGCAGAGGAGAGGAGCATGCTCTCATAATTATGGGAAATTGAGTAGCATGTTCTAATGGAACGAGGACAGCCTTATGTTCTGGATCGGCCTCTGCTGCTAACCCCTGCATACCTCTGGGCAAGACAATTTAAATATTTGGGCCTATTTCTTAATAAAAGAAGGCTAGAGAAGAAAATATGTAAGTTTCCTTCCAGCATTCTTTGATAAGAAATCTCATCAATTTCTCATTCAAATGTTTTTATCATTGTCACTGGTATGGAGACTAGTTGGGATTTAAAGAATAAGAAGCAAAAATAATCGACAAAGGACCATTAAGAATAAAGAGGAAAACAGGAAACAAGACAAAAATAAATCAAGTATCACTTCTTGAGAAATGTCATTGACATGGAAATGAAAACTGAAAAGCGGAATGGCTACAGCTAGCATAATGTTGCACAAGAAGGTACTGATTTTGGATGGAAATGTCTTCTTATACCTCACATATCATCCTGTCATCTGTAGCTACTTTTATTTTGAACTCAGTAAAAATATTAAAGAAAAAAATCTTGCTGCCAACCTTGTCATGATGTTTTGATATTATTCTTTTCTTAGTAAAGCAGACACAGGATTCTTGAATAATTTTCTTCTTATCAGCCTTTTAAACTATTTATATTTTTAATGACTTATGATAAGAAACTCATAATTGCTAAGTTTCTGCCTATCTAGTGTACCTCTGGATAGCTTAGAAAGTAAGCATAATATATTAAAATCAGAAAGCTGCAAATCTTAGAAACTCCACTGCAAATTTTTTGCTAGTATATGTATAAACAGAAACCTTGGCAGCCACATGATTTTCATAGCAACCAGCCAAGAATTAAGTAGTGGAAAGGAAACCCGCTTCCCACAGAAGCTAAACAGTAAGAGTAAATGAAGTTTATTTTGATTATGAAGAAACCATTTTATTCACTGCAAGACACAGCCCAGGGATGTTTTATTGCATGAACAACATTAATTCAAGGAAAACCCACAAATATGAGCCAATTCTCTAGAAAATAAAAATATATGCAAAACTATTTGTGAAAAAATTGACAAGAGAGAAGAAAAATCCATCAACTCTGACACAAAGTAGAATTTTTCATAACCAAATTAACTCAGTGTTTTTAAGAAATATCAGTTATTTGATAATGAGTATGACATGAAGAATAGTTCTCAGCAAATAAGATATTACTTTCTGGCTGGTAATTTTTTTTTCTCCAGTAAAATAATTGGTTTCTGAGTCAATGTCTTTCCAAACAGTAATTAATGAGAACTACTGACATTGGTGTCAAAAAGGAACCATATTTGCAGTTCAACTATGAAAAAAGATTTGTTCACTACCTCTGCTTATGGGATCAATTGTTAGCTACATAAAAGAAAAAAGTAATGTAAAGAAAAGAAAGCATGTCTTTCTTAGTATAATGCCATAATTACATTGGCTTATCTAAATAAGAGGTGAAGTCGGATATGAGCACATTTAATTATTACAGTGTCAATGGTATGAGTTATATAATGATAAAAAGATAAATTCAACATCAGAATAGTTTGCTGTTTCTAAGTAATTGTTAGGGAAATTAGAATTACCTTCAAAATTTATTTCTAAACCTTTGCCACTTTCTTGCTATACTCTTATGTACTGAGAAACATTGTTGAGGATCCTGAAAAATTTATTCTTCTTTTTCAAGTGAGTCATCTGTTTCAATAAGTTACCAATATATAGCATATTAATAGAGTCCAAAGATATATTTGAAGTTTCAGAAAGATATTTAAACCTTCATTTTGTCTATTATTTTTGAAAATATAAATGCTTAAGAAATAAAAATGCAAAATATCCTTGCAACTTATTGATTTATTAAATGTCTGTGTTCTATGAGTTAAAGATAAGTAGGAAGAGCTGGAATGAATAACAAATGGCTGTTTCTAACTTGTTGAGTGCTTTGCTCACAAGTCCATCAGCACACCTCAATGATAATTGTTTTTTACAAGTCAGTCAGAAAAATCACAGAAAGCTGTAAATAAGCTGTTGTTATCTTAAGGCTGCAGTATAATGCAGAATAATCATTCCACTTACTTTTCATTCACTATTTATGTAGTGCCAGTTTCCTAGGTATTTTTAAGTGTATCACCAAATTTTATCCCCATGTTGTAAATGAGGAAACTAATACACAAATATATTTACTGAAAAGAAAGACACTAATTATTATACTGAATTATAGATTGGCATGCTCTGCCAAACATACAACAGCTAATACTTTATTTTGAGGGTTAAAATAATTATCTGAGTATATTTCCATAAGAAAGCTAATTGTATGGTTGAAGAAAGTTTGATGGAATCAAGAAATTTATCATTAAAGTTGGTTTGAGCAAGAGTCTTTGAGCTGAAAATGAAAAGCAAAAGAAGTTTCTTATAGGGAAAAAATGATAAACAAGCTTCTTTTCTTACAAAGTAAAAAGAAGAAATTAGGGAAGGAAGGAAGGAAGGAAAGAAGGAAGGCAGGCAGGCAAGAAGGGAGGGAGGGAGGGAAGGACCGAGCGAGGGAGGGATGGAGGGAGGAAGGGAGGAAGGAGGGTGGGACAGAAAGAGGAAGAAAGGAATCATTATTTTGTTGTAATTCTTTTAATAGGTTTAATTTAAATAGCAATCATGAATTTCCCGCTGGTAAATTTGTGTAACACTGACCTCTGGGACACATTTTGCAAATGAGAAAAAAATCATAAGAAGGTAAGATATTAGGAAAGACCAATATTAAATATTATTTCTCTATCATGAGAGGATAATTAAATATAGATAGGATGAATAAATAAATATAAAATGTGTAATAACTATAAGGGAGGTCCAAAGAAGTTAGGTGTCCTAATATTAGAAAATGTTTCCATGTAATATGCACCCTGTCACAGAGCACCTTTGTTAAGAAAGAAACTAAAGATCTTCAAGGAAGATTACAATTGCACCTTCAACAAATGTAAGTGCAGAGCCATCATGTACGGAATATCCAGCATTGAGGGATACCTTTCCTAAGGCATTCATGGGCTGTCAGCTGTCAGCTTGATTTGCAAACATAAGCAAAAGTAACTTGGGCTATTTTTTATAAATGGCTATATTAAAGAAAACAAAACCTAAACGTAACCAATCAGAAGCTTCCAACTACTTTATACAACTAGGGAAGTCCCAGTAGAATAAATCAAATAAAGCACCTACATAATTGTAACCAATCGAGTTTGACTGGCTTCCATGTTGACTCTGTCAAACCCTTATCTTTGTATTCCCTCAGCAGAGCCTAAAACCACCTTTGGTTTGGTGCTTCCTGACTCATGAATTACTGCTAGTTTAAATAAACAATTGTTAAAAAAACAATTTCATTGTTCCTCAATTTACTTTTTAACAATAGATATGCACAATTTTGAATTATCTATTCTTTTCTGTAGTTGAGGATATACCAATACACTCAGCCATGGAAATGTGGAGCCTCTGAGTTCGAAGTGACACTCTAAACCTGAGGCATTATTGAATTCTTGTTCTGTAAGCTCAACTAGCCTTCAACTCATCTTCAAAATAGAGCTCCTCTTATTGCTGATCCAAAATTTTTATTCTCTTCACATTTAGGATTCTAGATTCCCATCAGACCTTTAATTTAGCAAGAAACAAGTGAAAAGTTTATATAATAGTGGGAAAAACAAATCCATTTCAGTTTCAAGAAACTGAAGAGAATAGAAATTGTTTTGTTTTGTTTGAAGAAAATAAAAATATTGCCACTACTGATCCCATGCAGTTGTAAATAAATATTTATTAAATTTCTACTTTATATTATGCATTTCAGGGAACCAAGTACTTGCTAACTTATGAAATAATAAATTCTAATGCAATAAATACTACATATGAGTTGACTTCGTATACTGAAGGAAAATCTCTATGTGTTGAAAACAATATCAAATACTTGTCTGAATAACATGCAATTATGTGTTTGGCTATTATTACAAGCCAAGATGGAGATGAGTAAATAACTTTACAATATATACCTTTCATTTATCTCTAATTGCTATGCTTTGTTCAAAACAAATCCTTGGGCATTTAGCAGTGTGCTCCTCTCGGAGGCTAAACAGGATGTTATAATTTACACTCTAACATGATACTCCAAGGGCATTCACTTGATGATTGCATAAGTGCCTTATAGCATGATGGGAAAGCTACTGAGGAGTTAAAGTGGGCTACTGCATACTAAAATGTGGAAATAAACTAAGCAAGAAATGAAAAAAGTGAAAAGAGAAATAAGAGAAAGAGGAAAATGTAGCATTCATTTGTTGACTAGTCACCAAGGGATAGTGCTATGCTAAGTAGATTCCTTTCTCTCTCCCAGTTCTCTCTCTCGCTCTCTCTCTCTCACACACACACACACACACACACACATAAACACACTCAAAAGTATTTGTTGAGCTCTGCTAGAAGATCTGTAAACACAATAATGATTAAGACACAAGGTACAGAGAGCTTAATTGATACAGCTTCTAGCCCACTGTGTTGTCATCCCACCAGAATCACAGTTCACTCAACTTCTAACAAGTAATAATCCATTGTCATGGATAAACTTGGTATCTTTTTTTGAAACTTTTCTTAACCCTACCAAATAAGCCTTCCCAATTTAGTGTGGCCTAATTTATTATTTTCAATAATTTAAAATAATCACTGTGGTTATTAGTAATAATTACTATAGCAATACTTTATTAAGGAAAGATCTTATAAGAAGTACAATAGTTTGGGGCATGTTGAGTTTGAGAATGTCTAGGAAAATGTGTCTGTAGGCAGTTGTAGCTTGATCTACAACTATGCGCCTTGAGCTTGGAAATTTTGTTAACTTTAATGATAAATCTTCAAAACAAATGTCTTTTTACCTTTGTTAAAGATAAGACATTTGAAACCTATAGAGATGTTTTTAATTTAATTTTATTTTATTTTATTTTTTGAAAAGTTTTTATTATTATTATTATTATTATACTTTACGTTTTAGGGTACATGTGCACCATGTGCAGGTTAGTTACTTAATTTTATTTTATAAAATAAATTTTATTTACTAAAAAGTCTGATAAATAATGAGTAAAAAAATAAGATTGACTTCAGGTGTTCATAATGCTAATATCTATTTATCACTAAATTGCAATAATCTATATAATGATTATATTCTCTGTTTGTCTTCAAGCACCCAGCAGAGGATCCCACTCATATAAATGCTCAATAAATATTCTTTATGCATCCAAAGTCAATATAGATTTGGTTATTTTGATTGTATTTGGTTGTTGCCTGTTCTGATTGTTCAGTTCAAGCACCTTACCAGTTGTAAAATTTGAATTCAATTCTGGCTGCACTGTTTACTTACCCTACATTGGTATCACATTAAAAAACAATAATAAAGAAAAATATCAATAACACCGCAGGGTACTCTTAAATGTGCTAGTGAAAGTCAGAAAAATCCTCATCAGTAAAAAAAGATAAATAACATACAATTTTATCGAATGTATACTTATTGGGTTGTTTTAAAAGTATCGGTTACAAAGTTTGATACCTTTAATAGACAAAGTTTTGTTACATCTGTGGGTCAATAAACATTTCTATATGTAAAATAAAATATTAATACTTACAAGTACCTGTTAGTTAAAATAAGCATATCCAAATTATTAGACCCCAGAAGTGAGGGTTTTATTTCATTACAACTTTAAGTATCATAGTGGAAGGAGATCTTATGGCTCAGTGTCCTGACTCATTAAAAAAAAAAAAAAAAAGATTTAAAAGAGCAGGTAACTGTGAGTTTAATGTTAGTAATATGGTTTGGCTCTGTGTTCCCACCCAAATGTCAACTTGAATTGTAATCCCTATAATCTCCACGTGTCAAGGGTGGGACCAGATGGAGGTAATTGAATCATTTGGAGCAGTTTCCCCCATTATGTTCTAGCAATAGTGAGTGAGTCTCATGAGATCTGATGGTTTTATAAGCTTCTGGCATTTCCCCTGCTTGCACTCATTCTCTCTTTGCTTGCCCTGTGAAGAGATGTCTTCCTTCATGATTGTAAGTTTCCTGAGGTCTCTCCTGCCATGCAGAATCGTGAATCAATTAAGCCTCCTTCCTTTATAAATTACCCAGTCTCGAGTATTTTCTTATGGCAACGTGAGACTGGGATAATATAGTAAACTGGTACTGAGAGAGTGGGACGTTGCTATAAGAATACCTGAAAATGTGGAAGCAACTCTGGAACTAGGTAATAGGTGAACGTTGGAACAATTTGGAGGGCTCAGAAGAAGACAGGAAAATGTGAGAAAGTTTGGAACTTAGAGACTTGGAGGTCTCATAACACAGAAAGATGTGGGAAACTTTGGAACTTCCTAGAGATGTGTTGAATGGCTTTGACCAAAATGCTGATAGTGATATGAACAATGAAGTCCAGGTTGAGGTAGTCCCAAATGGAGATGAGGAACTTCTTGGGAAGTGAAATAAAGGTGGCTCTTCCTATGTTTTAGCAAAGAGACTGATGACATTTTGCTCTTGCCCTGGAGATCTGTGGAACTTTGAACTTGAGAGAGATGATTTAGGGTAACTAGCAGGAGGAATTTCTAAGGTGCTAAGTGTTCAAGAGGAAGCAGAGCACTAAAGTTTGGAAAATTTGTAGGATGACAATATGAAAGAAAAGAAAAACCCATTTTCTGGGGAGAAATTCAAGCCTGATGCAGAAATTTTGCATAAATAACAAGTAGCTGAAAGTTAGTCACCAAGACAATGGGGAAATGTCTCCAGGACATGTCAGAGACCTTCAGGAAAGTTCCTCCCATCACAAGCCTTCAGGCCTAGGAGGGAAAATTAGTTTCCTGAATTGGGCCCAGGTCCTTGCTGCTTTGTGCCATCTGGAGACTTGGTGCCCTGCATCCCATCTGCATCAGCTCCAGCAGTGGCTAAAAGGGGCCAACGTATAGTTCAGGATGTTGCTTCAGAGGGTGCAAGCCCCAAACCTTGGCAGCTTTCACTTTATATTGGGCCTGCTGGTACACAGAAGTCAAGAACTGAGGTTTAGAAACCTCTGCCTAGATTTCAGAGGATGTATGGAAATGCCTGGATGGCCAGGCAGAAGTTTGATTCAGGGGTGGAGCCCTCATGCAGAAATTCTGCTTGGGTAGTGCAGAAGGAAAATGTGGGGTCAGAGACCTCACACAGAGTCTTCACTGGGACACTATTTATGGGAGTTATGAGAAAAGGGCCACCATCCTCCAGACCCCAGAAGGGTAGATCCACTAGCATCTTGCGCTGTGTGCCTGGAAAAGCTGCAGACACTCAGTGCCAACCCAAGCAGCCAGGAGTGGTCCTGTACTCTTCAAAGTCACAGAGTCGGAGCTGCCCAAGGTTGTAGGAGCCCACCTCTTCCATCAGTGTGACCTGAATGTGAGACATAGAATCAAAAGAGATCATTTTGGAGCTTTAAGGTTTCATGACTGCCCTATTGCATTTTGGACTTGCAGAGGGACTGTAGCCCCTTTCCTTTGACCAATTTCTCCTATTTGGAATGGGTATATTTACCCAATGCCTGTATCCTCATTGTATCTAGAAAGTAACTAATTTGCTTTTGATTTTATAGAGTCATAGGTGGAAGAGACTTGCCTTGTCTCAGATGAGACTTTGGACTTGGACTTTGAGTTATTACTGGAATGATTTAAAACATTGAAATACTGTTGGAAGGGCATGATTATGTTTTGAAATGTGAGAAAATGAGATTTGGTAAGGACCAGGGCAGAATGATATGTTTTGGCTCTGTGTCCCAACCCAAATATCACCTTGAATTGCAATCCCCATAATCCGCTTGTGTCAAGGTCAGAACCAGGTGAGGTAGTAGAATCATGGGGGCAGTTTTCCCCATGCTGTTCTTGTGACAATGAGTGAGTCTTATAAGATCTGATGATTTTATAAGCTTCTGGCATTTTCCCTGCTGGCACTCATTCTCTCTCCTGCCACTCTGTGAAGAGATGCCTTCCACCATGGTTGTAAGTTTCCTGAGGCCTCCCCAGCTATGCAGAACTGGGAGTAAATTAAACCCCTTTTCTTTATAAATTACCCAGTATTTCTTCATAGCAGCATGAGAACAGACTAATACAGTTGGTCACAAAAAAAGAATGAGTGGAGGAGAAAAATACTATGGGATAGATACAATTGATTTGTGTATCCTCTAGATCAAAATTTAAGGTTTGGTAACCTTCCATTATATTGACAGGAATCCTGTTGTTCAGCAATTCCCAAATTTCCTTGATAATAATAACAAACAAGTGTATTGATATTCAGAATTAGTCAATGTCTTTAGTAAAGGAATCTGAGAATATTCATTTTAACAAATGTATGAGGCAATTATTGTGATCATGCACATTTTCAGAGCACAAGTTGGACTTTAGAATATAAATATATAATTTAGAGTCTTAACTTTCATGTTACTCACATAACTTCTTACATAAGTTTTATTTAATTAATCCTAGCAGAATTTAAAGGAGTGTCTATTAGCTTAGAAAGGATTGTATGCTTGGTATTACAGTTCATTATTTTATTTTATAAAGCGATAGGTTCAAAAGAGATACATTCTAATGTCTTTTCCAGCTGCAAAATGTGGAGACCATGAAACGGCTCCATTTGTGTTTTTTTATCTATTGGTTTGTGTTATTTTTAAGAGATTTATGGGAACATAGTTTAAATTGGAAATGCAGAGATGAAAGGGATACATTAGCAGTTTAAGCACATTGAGATTATCTCAATAGCTTTCCTATATAAGCAATTTCAGAAAGTCTATTAACCTAATCAGATAAGAAACAGCTATGATTATATGAGTCACCTGTATTCAGAGATTTTTTTTTCAGACTGTTAAAACAGGATAAAGAAAAATAAAATATATGTATTTGATGTTGCCAGTTGTGTGACAATCAGTTTTGTGGCAATCTGGATGAATACTTCATAGAATACGATTAAACTAATTTGTATAGAAAACCCATAATAATATACTTATAAAAATATATGGCCTAAATTTGAAGATCAGAAAATATTTACATTGCCTCCAATATATAAGTTTATTAATCTATATAAATATACATATATATGTTTTGAGTGTGCTAAAACATATCCTCAATGTAAATTGGTTGTTGAGATATACCCATATTAGAATAATCAGTAATTCACTCAAGAAACAACTGTGTATCAGCATTATGGGAGGAATTTCAAATTTAGGAACAGGTGTATTCCATCTTTAGAAGAAGACGGAATGGAATATGGGTATATTCCATTTTTAGCTCTGAAAAGAAAGATATGCCTAATTTTATTAATCAGAGAGGATCCAATGATCAACACAGTAATCATTTCTGTGCTATTGGTGAACTGAGTGGCACAGAAGTAATAATACTATGGAGAAATGGTAAGTTTCATAAATTACCTGAAAATTATAAATATTATGCAACAAAATTGAAATAATCCTATAAATATAGCATAATAATACCAAGATAATTATTTACTGTTCAAGGAAGTAAATATGTTCTATTTTTGCCAATAGAAACTGCACTGTACAATACACTTATATGTACATATATAAATATATAAATGTATATATTTGCATGAGAAATTTTATTTTTATGGCCTGAAATCTCAAATTTTCATATAATGAAAAGGTTATGCATATTTTTAATGTTGATAAATATTATGAGTCTTCAAATATGGCATAGCAATTCGGAAATATTCAGCAACATATGAGAGTGCCCATATTCTCATCATTCATAGAAGACATTCCTTTTGTCAACCTCATATGTTATTTTAATTTGCATTTTATTTATCAATTCTAAAGATATTATTAACTTTCATGGTGACCTTTCTGTTCATATTCCTTTCATACTTTTCTCCAGAATGCATTTCTTTCATTTATTTCTTGGGCTATTTTAAAAATCAGAATCATTAATAATTTTTTTCATATAGCCTGCAAATATTTTTTAACAATGTTTCATTTGTTCTTTGGCTGTGTTTATTGTAAATTTCACCATTTTTAAACATTTTTATATTGCCAAATATAGATATATTTATTGGTCATGGGCTTTCTTTCTGGCTAGAGAGGATGGTCTATATCTTGTGTTTTTTTAAAGGATTTTTTTCTTTCTAATATTTTTCTTATTTCTGTGTGATATAATTTGTCTTTAAATTACTGATGTGTTAGGAGTTATTCCTTCACAGCAGAGAAATAAAAACACAGAAAATATATTCTTGCTTTCAGATGGATGATCAATTAAGATCATTAAAGCTGGGCACGGTGGCTCATGCCAGTAATCTCAGAACATCGGGAGGCTGAGGCAGGTGGGTCATCTGAGGTCAGGAGTTTGAGACCTGCCTAGCAAACATGGCAAAACCTTGTCTTTACAAAAAATACAAAAATTAGCTGGGTGTGGTGGCAGGCACCTGTAATCCTAGCTACTACGGAGGCTGAGGTGAAAGAATCACTTGAACCCGGGAGGCCAAGGTCGCAGTGAGCCGAGATTGTGCCATTGCACTCCAACCTGGACAACAGAGCAAGACTCTGTCTCAAAAAAAAAAAAAAAACAAAAACAAAAAGAAAGGTAAGATTATTAATAATCCTCCCCTTTCCCCACTGAATTGAAATGTAAACTTATTTTTGTGTTAATTTTAATGGACTATGTATTGTGTTACATTAATCTAATTCACTATTCCTAAGACAATATTATGTTATAATTACAATGGTTTTATAAACAAATTCAATATCTGGTAAACTGGGTCCTTTATAATTCTTTGTTTTCCTTTCATATTTTTTCATTTACGGAATTTTGGCCTTGACCAATTAATATTAGAATCTAGGAAACTATCCTTGGGGACAGTAACTGGAATTTCTTTACAGTTATACATTATTTTGGGGGAATTATTTCTTTTTGAAATTAAATCTTCCCAGTAAGAACATAACTCTCTATTTCTTCTTATAGTTTTAATGTCCTTAAAAATTGGTTGTTTCCTTCCTGTAATTCTTATTTTAGGGCTACATTTCTCATTACATTTTTTTCCTCACGTTCTTACTTCTTTGGCCACTCTTTTAAATATATGCATCTGTGTATGTGTATGTTTTTATTTCGATTTGTATGTAGCTTTTTCTTGATTTGGAGAACTTTTTTTTATTTATCTTATATCAAACTATGAAAATCTTTCACTTATTCAAGTTTTTTTAACCAAAGACTCTTAGTTTTTCTTTTTTTTCTTTTTACTTCTCTCTCTCTCTTTTTTTTTTTTTTTTTTTTTTTTTGAGACAGAGTCTCGCTCTGTCGCTCAGGCTGGAGTGCAGTGGTGCGATCTCGGCTCCCTGCAAGCTCCGCCTCCCGGGTTCACGCCATTCTCCTGCCTCAGCCTCCCGAGTAGCTGGGACTACAGGCACCTGCCACCACAGCCGGCTAATTTTTTTTTTTTTTTTTTTTTTTTGTATTTTTAGTAGAGACGGGGTTTCACTGTGCTAGCCAGGATGGTCTCGATCTCCTGACCTCGTGATCCGTCCTCCTCAGCCTCCCAAAGTTCTGGGATTACAGGCATGAGCCAGCACGCCTGGCCTTAGTTTTTCTTAAGTTAGAAATCCAATTATCTTCCCCCCCAAAAATAAAATAAAATAATCTGGCAATGCTTTCCAAAATGTATGGAAACTTTCCCTAACCATGAAGAATAGCAAGAAAAAATAACTCATTTTTTCCTCCTGAATTTAATGCAGAAAAGGCTTTAGTACTTCAACATGTTGTCTGATGTTTTCTATTGTGCTTGTAAAAATTAACTGTATCCTGTTTAGTTTCCCTCTATTTATATTTTACTTAGAATTTTACTATGGACTACTGATGCATTTTATCAATTTGCTTTTTGGAATCTATTGTTAAATAAATTCACTTTTTAAAAATTATTTTTTCTTTGCAATGAATTTCTTGGAATAAAAAATAACTAATTATATTATACTGTTTTTATGAATTGCTAGCTTCACTATGCTAATATTTTATTTTGCATGTTTTATTTGTATTTATGTGACTCTACATTTGTATTATCTTTATTTGTTACAACATTAAGTTTAAGCTGAATTCTAAGTTTTTTTTTTTTTTTCTTGAGGCAGAGTCTTGCTCTGTCGCCCAGGCTGGAGTGCAGTGGTGCGATCTCAGCTCACTGCAACCTCTGCTTCCCAGGTTCAAGTGATTATTCTGCCTCAGCCTCCCGAGTAGCTGGGACTACAGGCATGTGCCACCACGCCCAGCTAATTTTTGTATTTTTAGTAGAGATGGGGTTTCAGCATAATGGCCAGGATGGTCTCGAACTCCTGACCTCATGATCCGCCCACCTCTGCATTCTAACTATTATTATAGTTGAAAATATAAAGAAGTTACCTTTATGTAATAGAATCCACTGTTAATCCGTTAAGGTTCAGTGTCTCCCTTTGAAAGGTGAAGCTTTTATTGCCTTTCTGATCACTTCACTGATATTCTATTTTTAAATCCTCTTGTATTTATTTGTTAGATTATATTTTCTTAGAAAATAATCAATTTACTCTAGATTTCTCTAATGTATAGCCATTGTATTGCATGTAATTTTTTCTTATAATTTTAATTTTCCATTGCTAGCTTTTTCTTTTTTTTTGTATTTCTGAGTTATAAGTCAAGATGCATCGGACAACAAGTCAACAAAAATTAAAAAGGAATCTGGATATAAGACAGACCTAAGTCTGGTTAAATCAACAGCTCAACAACATCACTGATGGCCAGTTTTCTCGAACACCTCCCCTCAACCATTCTTAGCATAGCACTTTTCCTCTTAAAGCAGTGGTTCTCAAACTTTATCCTGCATCAAAATCAGAGACTTGTTACAAGACAGAGTTTCTGCTTAGTAGTTCTGGGCTGGAGTAGGCCCTAGATTTTGTATTTCTAACATGTTTCCAGGTGATGTTGATACTATGGGATACAGCACAATTTGAAGAAGCAATCTCAGACTGACTCCTCTCATTACCTAAAAACAACTGAAAATTTTTCAGAGTTTTTGGATATATTACAGCATCTTTAGGCAGAAAATGTAATAATCTTATCTATTTTCCCATTTTGAAGGAATTTCTTTTTTCAAAATCCATGTAGTTGCCTTTCCCTCAATTCTTATGTCCAAGAATTTTGCCACGTCTGTAACTAAACCAAGGTCTTTGCAAGATGATTGAGTTTATTTCTATTCGCTTAAACTGTGCATCAAGATTCACCACCTATGGCTCTCCTGAAGACCATCATCACTCAAAGGACAGTAAACAAAACCAAAGTTTTATTACTTAAAAAAAATAGAATGACTGTAGATAATAACAATGCTTAAACAATAACAAAAACCATCGTAAATTTTGCCTCTTTCTTTTGATGTCAGTCAAGCAGGCAAAGATTTGTTGGCCTTTTAAAAATAATTTGATTTTATTGTTTCTTTCTGTTTTTTCGTATTTCCTTTGTAATAGTTTAATTTCTCAATTACTTTGATTTGCCTTGTGGTCTTTTGTTCAGTTTCTCAATGTAAATTTTTAATTTATATACTTTTAACTTGACTCTTTTAATGAATACGTTTACAGTGACAACTATTTATCTAAATCCATTCTTACTTGATTTCCCTAGGTTTACTGAATTGCTTTGCGTTTTATTATTTTCTGGTTTATTTTCAGTTGGTTTCTGTTTTAGATATCTTGTAATATTCTATGGTTATTTTAGAGAATAATTCTTAATTTTTAAATCCAAAACTTTTTAGACCATATTTCTACTCTTGATTTATAGGCTTCATTTAATTATATCTTATAAAATATTTACCCTTTTGGAAATAAATAAAAGTATATTTATACCTTATACATTATAGGATACATTTTTGTAAGTGAGGTATGTATATTTTAAAAAGTGTGTATTCTCTTTAGACAACAAAATTATATATATGTAATGTTTGTAAACACATAAATATTTAAGCTTTTTGATTATATATGTTTAAATCTTCTGTTATAGCTATATATTTAGTTTTCTGTATATTTGTCTTGTTACAGTCTGAAAAGAGTATATTAAATCACCCATTACTCTTGTTTTATGAGTTGTTCTTGTATTTTTAAGTGGTTTTCATTCATATATTTCACTTCTTGTCTTTGGTTCATAAATGTTTACTGTGTTCATCAATTTTAAATTTTATAATTACACATGGCACTCTTTCTCCTATATAATGCTTTTGGGCCCTCAACTTCAATTTGTCTAACATTTATAGTAACTATGATTTCTTTATTTGTATTTGCTTAGCCTATATTTGTTTGACCCTGAATTTTCTCTTTTTAGTGTTTTATTTATTTTTATTTTTTTAGTTTGTTTCTTGTGAACAATATCTAGCTGACTGCCTTTTTTTCTATATACTAACCTTACTGTGGGCTAGTTTTATAATTCTAGAGTTGGGACTGAAATTGTTTCTTTTCTTTCTACAGAGAATCTACCTCATAATATACAGGCCAAACATGAGCAATCCATCCTTCACTGTGCTGAGTGCCAGTGGAAGGGAAGTTCAATAGCCAAAGATGAAGTAGAGTAAGATACTGCCATCCCTCAGGCTGTTAAAACACATGCTGAGAGTTTATTTAATCTCAGAGATTCCTAAGTGAATTATCTTTTTCCTCACAGTTCAAAAAGGGCATTGAAGACTAAAGTCAGGCTGATAAAATTATAATATATTCAAGTTCCAATAGCCAGGTCATTTTAAGCCTTTAGGACTCAAAACATTTAGAGAACAACCAGCTGGCCAACATGATCAGGTCTGTTTATGGGGCTTACAAAAACTTAGGAACTCCTGTGGGAAGGCCTGTTCACATTCTGTCTGGCTCTATCTCTATCACAGTGGTTCTTTCACAGTTTGCTTACAGTCCACAAGGGGACTTTAACCAATACACCCAATCTGATAATGTCCGAATTTTAATAAGGGATTAAATGAATCCACGTTTAATATAATAACTAACTGGCATTCAATTTGATTCTTCTTATTTATATCTGTTACTTTGTTACAATTTTGTTCATCCATCCTTTATCCTTCCTAGTTTCAAAATTCTGTTCTGCATTTTACTTTTGCCAAATCCAAGTTGTACTTCTTTATGATTTCAAATTTAGTTATCCAGATGATTTATTCACTAACAGCTTTTACATCAAAATGAAATGAAATGTTCTGACTACCCCAGAGGTTGAGAGGTTGAGGCAGGAGTATCACTTGGACCAGGAGGTTGCAGTAAGCCATGGTTATGCCAAAGTACAACAGCCTGGGCAACAGGGCAAGACCCTGTCTCTAGAAAAAAAAAAAAATTGCTTTGAGTAATTTACTTTTCTGTTTCATTCTCCTCCAACATGAAATCTTCAATTAGAATTACTTTACTCTCCTGATTAGCTCTGTCTTTATCCTCTTAGTTCTGGGTCAGTATATATTTTTCCATACATTTTATCTTCTACTTCAGTAACAATTATTTAATTATTTATATTTTTAACTACAGTTACAATATTATCATTTATCTGAAGTTAGTCATAAGTAGTGTAAGACTTCTTGCTAACCACTGTTTGCTTATTGTAACTTTCATATCTTGAAATATCCATACTGATGCAACTGATACTTGGGTGAGAGTGCATGTGAGTAAATATTTTCTGAATTCTTGCATGCACGTCTAACTGTAGCATTTTTATGTTGACAGAGAAAAGATATACTGGCTGGATCGAGATTTCTTGAATTGCTATCATTATCTCTCAATAGTTTGCAGATGTCCTTTCATTGTCATTAGTATCCAGTACAGCAGATAAAATGTTTGTCAGTAAAGTTTTCTTCTGCTATGAAGGTTGCTAAGATATCTGGTTATCCTGGAAATTCAAAAATATCATTGCTATGTCTAAGAGCAACTCTTTAAAAATAAATTCTTCTTAAATTATTGAGTTTCTTTAATTCAGATTTATTTTAGCTTAAGGAATTTCTTTTATGTTCAATTATGGTCTCTGCAAATGTTTTCTGTTATATTATTCCCATAATTTGCATTCACAATTTTCTTCTTCTGTTCTCTGTATGCATTATATTTTTCTTATGAATTCAATTTCCATATATATTGAAAGCAGAAAGAAAAACACCATTTATATATATTGACTTGATCTTTCTCAATAATATTTTTTCTGAATAGTAACTATTATTTTTCAGTTGATCTACTGACTTTAAAATTTTTAAATTATGGGATGCTTTTGGTTCAGTAAACATTTTTTTCATATGTGTGAGCTTTCTCATTACTTTTTGTTGTTGCTGTTAGTTTTTTCCCAATGAAATTCTCTCTCTTTCATTTAATAAACTTTAAAGAGAGGCTTTCGTTTTGAATGTCCACCTTGAACATACATCTTCATTGCTTGTTAACATGTTTCCTTAATTGAGTTGTAATTATTTTCTTTTCTTAATTATACTTTGAGTTCGGTAAGCCCTGATGCTTTCTGTTAGGATTCCTTTCTCAGTGGCAAAGTGAATGACAAATAAAAGAAATGGTAGGTTCTTCTCTAGGAAGAAGGTAGAGAAAAAGCTGGTGGATATTTACTGTATTGCTGATGCACAGCAGGAATCTCCCTTCCCAAGCTTTCCTTGTGCATGTCAAAAGTTCTCCTCCAAGCAGTGAGACTATAGGCAATCAGCTCACAAGAGCAGTTACCTAGGAGTTCACTGAAGACAGCAAGATATTATAGACCCTCACAAGATAACACTCAACCAATACACGTAGTCCATCTCTGATGGAATTTACTGGTTTCCTGAAGAGCCTTTCAGGCAATCTTGAGATCCTCATTATTTTCCTTGAGTCTAGAAGAAAAACACAATTTCTCATCTGCTGTAGACCCTACTCTTTCACTCCATATAGAGAAAAATGAAGTACCATGTCTGTTCTTTCTCATAAAGATATTGGGAGAAACCCTGAGGTCAAATAAATGTTCTAGGCTCTGCCAAATTTTATCACCTATCAAAGACTTTGGGAAGAAGAAAGGATACATATGGCAGTAAATAAAATTTACTATATGTCCAGGCATTTCTATAAAGATTTTTTCTTTGTTTTGTTTTGTTTTTTTGAGATAGGGTCTCACTCTGTTGCCCAGGCTAGAGTGTAGTGGCCTGATCAGGGCTCACAGCGTCTTAACCTTCTGGGCTCATAGAATTCTCTAACCTCAGCCTTTTGAGTAGCTGGGACTACAGGTGCATACTAGCACACTGAGCTAAGTTTTGTACTTTTTTGTAGAGAAGAGGTTTCACCATGTTTCCTACACTGTTCTCGAACTCTTGAACTCAAGAAATCTGCCCGCCTAGGCCTCCCAAAGTGCTGGGATTACAGGCATGAACTACTGTGCCCAGCAGAGTTTTTTATTTTTTATTTATTTTTATTTTTTTAAATATATATACTCATGTAATTCTTATAACAACCTTGTACAATATTATTATCCTCATGTTATATGTAAGCAAATCAGTGCATTGAGGCATTACTTACACTGAGGCCAATGTCACACTGCTGGTAAAGTAGAGAATATAAAATTAAACAAAGTCTCAAGCATGATACCAACTGTCATACTATATTGCTTATTTTGTTATTTTCCTGTCAGTTTATTTTCATCAGAACACAACATAAACAAGACACAAACCTTCTTCACTTATTTGCACATACGTTGTCTTAGACCAGAGGAAAAATAAAAAGGACTTTTGTTAGGACTTGGAAATATAAGCAAGACATAATTCAATCTTTAAGACCTTTAGTCTAATTGGCTTCATAGAAAGTGAAATCCATATTCAAACATTAATTTCAATGTATACATGTATACACACACAGAGACAGATTTATAAATTGACAGGAGACATTTCCAAAAGGTTTACAATAGCAGTTTTGTTTACCAAGTTAGCTATTTATTAACTTCAAGTGTGCCAATAGATACTTAAAAATAAGCTGGATCATAGCAGTAGTGACTCATATAAATATTATAAACTTTGCTTTGTGCAGTTTCTCAAGCTTGATCGTATTAGCATGTGGGTGGGGCTGAATAATGTTGTTGTTGGAAACTCTGCTCTGTACTGTGGGATGCTTAACAGCATCACTGGATGTTAGTAGCACCCACTGTCCCACATTTTGGTGACAACCAAAAATGTCTCCAGACATTGCCTAATTTCCCCTGAGGAAAAAAAAAAAATGGCCCTAGTTAAGAACGACTGCTCTAGCATTTTTCCTCTTGGATAACATTCTTTACAGTGACAAAAAAGAAGTTATACACTCATAGATTTTATAGGGGAAAAATGGTAATTTTAAATTTTAAAGAATCCAATTGTTAACCTGCCATTGCCAATTCTTATCTCAGACTGCCTTAATGATCATTCTTTAGTGGAAATATCATTTCTGAGAGCTTTTAATTCATGATCCCTACAGGATCATTTATAAGTCTCTCTGTCCCAAGCCACATCAGTCTTGTCTTCTGTTCAATTTCTTGAAATAATATCTGTAATTCATCATGAGAATAATTGCATTCATCCTAGTTCTAGTCTTTCCTCCAGCTGGGATTGAGATGTCTAAGATTCTCTAATTGATGGGGCTTCCAACAGTGGTTAGACACACTATCCAGGCAAGAAGTCTAGTAGAAAACTTACTCTATAATATTTAATAAGTCACTGGATCTGAGAAGCTGAGCATCTACTGAAATGTAGGCAAAGAAAAACAAAGACTAAGGTCTATGATCCAGTTTTTCTCAAAACTCTTACTTTGACATTGATATTTTCTTTGTTGAATATTAACTTGGAACCCTCACTTGGCTCCCTAAGCCTGGCAAATAGCCATATCCCTTTGTTCACTACTGACAAAGAGATTTTCATATGTAAGACAGGCATTATCAAAGTAGTCACATTTTCGGCACAAATATGCAGAATTTTTACTTCTAGAGTTTGCATTAAGGTAGATCGTGCTTTGAGTAGTAACTGGCACTTCATAAAATATGTAAGTGAAACATCATCATTAAATCTTTCAACTTTTTAATTCTATGCCAACCCCCAGCCTTGTATAAGTTAGCCATTTATCAAAGTTACATAGTGTAAACATCGGTATAAACATCTCCTGAGTTTTGGGAGTGCCATGTATATATACACAAACAGCTTTCTAATTCAGAATGGGCCCTCTCCTCTGTTTTACATATTGCAACAGTTCTCTCTGCAGATTTCTAGCACTTGAACCTTACCCTTGCAGGATAGTTTCACATATTGCTTTGTGATGTGATACCTAAGCTCACCCCTGAATGTTCCTACACTTAATATAGGGGAAAGTACTCTGATTTTGCACTAGGGATTATGATATATCTCAAATTCCTAATAAAATATTTAAAATAAAAATAACACCCATAACATCCTAACATTCCACAAGTTCTTCTTTTTTGATAAGAGGAGTTACTGCTGCTCTTAATATTTCTACTTATTTTACAATAGCCCAAGTATTACAGTTCTCTTGAGCAATAAATCCTCCTCAAAATCTTTATATCCAATGCCAGACAGCATATTTCAAGCTGTGAGCTTTAGTTGTCAAAACCTTGAAAGTAACTTCAGGTCTAAGGTAAGAAAAGCATGTACAATCTCCTTCCATTGCTGGAAAACCAAACATAAAGTTTTTGAATGAGAAAAAAGAAAAGGCATGTTTCTTGTCAGCTACAAGCACTTAGTGTCCAAAATGATATATGTGCACTTACAATTAGTTCATGTTGCTAATACATATTAAATTATTTTATAATTTTATAACTATATGGTACTTTTTTATTTTAGTAAAAACTTTACAATTAGAAACTGTTGGCAGGTAGAACTGGTTTTCATTCATGTCTAGTTAAGGCAGAAATGTCTCTGATTTTCTCTAATGAAGCTAAATAGTGCCTATTGCCCTTGGATCTAGAGTTTTAGTTCTGGGTGCCTCACATATTAGTTATATTATCTTGGTTAAATTGTTTCTTTTCTCCAGGCTTTAGTTTTCCTATTCATGAAAGAAGGATTATATTTGAAATCTTCTTAAGTTTGTTGTGAAGATTAGATGAGATAATGTATGCCAGTACATTTGCATAATGTCAACACATTTGCATAATGTTGAGCAAAATTCAAAGTGTTTACTACATTAGCTGCTAATAGCATTTCAATATATCTCATCATTCAACTCTAGTAGGAATAGAGGTTCCTCCTGAGGACAAATGCATAAGACTCTGATAATGATCATACCACTTCACACTGTGCCTACACACCTGCCCCCAGACAGATTATAAGAATAGATTCATGGACCACTTAAAGATAAATGTACACTACTAGATACATTCATTTAGGAGGTTGATAGTCTAGACACTGTATTTTTATCAATTTACTACAGAGTCCCGAATTGTCAAATAAATAAAGTAATCCTGGAAGAGCATATACCTAGCTTTAGAACCAAATGCAGCCCAACTACTTTCATTCTCCAGGGGAGCTAGAGAGGAATGGTTCTCTGTGTGAACTCGAGGATTTATTTCCCTAGTGCTATACATTTTGACATCTCCCAGGAAGTTTTATGAAGTACCCCTGATTAAATGTAGTTAGAGAAAAGAAGCTTCCTCTTTTAATCCTCCAGGAATCAGCTCTGTAATGGTATAGGGAGAAGTATTTGTACCCTTTTCAATATCCTCACACTGCAATTCTGGCCCAGGAATGAGTTTATTGTCATACCCAAGACTTGCGGGGAGCTCTCTTTCTGCCTTCTGTTCATCCTTCCCCATTGGGTGACTTTGTTAATATTAGTGGTGAAAGCCTTTACTGGGCCTGATTTCACTAATAGACAAGAACCCTATCAACAGGTAAAATGACAGTGAGGCTTACATATAGTGTATCATTTTACTGTCTTTAATTTCTCGCTTTCATGGGACAAAACACACCCGCCATGGCTTGTTTTGCCAGTTTTGGATGGGCCAAGTACTTTCTTTTTTTTTCCGAAGTAAGGTAAGTGATGTAGCCACCCGGGCAGCTCACTAGCCTTGGAGTATGCCCAATAGGATTAGTCTTATCTCACAGTATATAGGGGGACCTGAGCAGATGAATCTAAATTTTCATTTTAAAGTAAAAATTGGGGAGATGGCATTTTAATACCAAGTAAAAGCCATGTTTTCCAAACTAGCTTTGATTATGCTATACCTTTGTACCGGGGAATCCAAACTTAACACATTTTTTTTTCCTTCTATTAGTCCTTCTTTTACTGGGCATTACATATTTATTAATACAACAAAGTTTTCCCATTTAGCTATTTTCTTTGAGTGCATATCCTGTATTGGAAGAACACTGAAGTAGAGGAGAATTAAGGAACACCTCAAATTTATTATAGAGAGATAATACTCTGATATCTGAATGGCAGTGATGTAAAGATTTTTCTTCTAGAGAGAGCAGGAGCAAGCAGAGTATCAACTCAATTGCCAAAGTTTTAGCAGGCTGTGTTAGCAACACATAAGCTCATCAAAAATCCGTAAGACAAACATAGCAGGCAAAACATGTCTTGAATTAGGATTTTCTGTTTGCAAAACTCTGCATCAAGAGTACACCAAGATTCAGGTCATCCTGCAGGAAGAGTCCATGGTAGATAGATTTAAGAAATCCATGAGTTTGTCAGAGAAATTGGGAGAAGGAATTCACGAAGATTACTAGAAGTTTTCCTACTAAACTAGAATGTGAGCACTTAGAGAGTTTTTAATGACCTTATTCTGCATTCATAGTTTAGATATTTATATTCCTTAGAGTATTGAAATAAAACTTATAATACAACAGTGACAAAAGGACATTTGTCCTAAAAATTATTTTATTGGCCATTTGTTTCACCCAACTTTGGGAATGAATGAGGAGAGGCAGTATCACCCCGCTAATAAAAAGTCATTCATTCAACAAGAGGCATAGCTAGAAGAACCTCACAATATAGTTTCCTTTTGCCTTATGCCATATTGACCCTGAAAAATTTCAAGTTGCTTTTTACTCCCAATATTTAAAATGCTAGAGGTCTGCTACATTTATAGCTGGACACAAGCCTTGAATTGTTAACCAGGCATCCCATTCTTATAATTTTCTCATTATACTGTAATTTGTTGTGCACTTGGGAAAATTGTCAGAAATACCACATTAAATGACACTAAACATCTCTCAATGAGGTGAATTATTACATACAGGATGATAGCAAAATATGTATGTGCACATAAGAATTTGCCCAGCAATGAACTTAAAGTATATGGTAAAAAATGTGTGGTTTTATTTGCAAAAGTTGGTTGTTTAATTATTCAAATTTTGTACAGGAGAAATATATTGACTGAGACTAAGTATCTTTTGAGTCAGACAAACCTTCATTTAAATTCCACTCTGCTTTCTACTGGGTGTTTGACTCAGAAAATTTCTTAATATTTCTGAATTTTTTCTCTTGTACATATAGTTTAAATAAGAGCTCACTGAATTAATTTCAGTGTAAAGAGAAGCTCTATGTAAAATATTGATCACTGTGCATTGTGAAGTATTCAATAAGAGTTTTATGTTATATATATATGTGTAATTGCACAAAGGTGACAACTAAGTTGTATAATTCAATCATCACTTATTTTAGAGATGGCAACACACTATGTTGCCCATGCTGGAGTTTAGTAGCTATTCATAGACACAATCATAGAGCACTCTAGCCTGGAACTCTTGAGCTCAAGCCAACCCACTGCCTCATCCCGCTGAGTAGCAGGTATTACAGGCACACACCATAGCACCAAACAATCACGTTTTTATTTCTAAAATATGTCAAGCACTGTGGAAACTTTAGGGATTAGAAGATAAATGAACATATTGTTTATAAGCTGACGGGAGAGACATGCATTAGGCAAATAATCATATTAGTCAATGTAAAATTACGGTTGCAATTAGTGATAAGAAAGAAATATATCAGGAGTTTTTATACTAAAGGTAATAAAATTAAATTAATTTTTAAAATAGGCATATTGCTAAAATAGGTCTCTAGTATTTTAATATTTTCCTAAGAGCATAAGAAGTTAATAACATGTTTTAAAAAAGGTGATAATAGGATCAGTTGTTTGTTTCAAAATTACCTGTAATCACAGTCTGAGCAGCAGTTGTTGGGAAGACAAGAATAGATTAGGTGAGGCTAAATATCAAACAATTACAATATTCTAGCATGAAGATGATGGCCGAATGTGGTTGTGAAAAATGAGAGGAGTCAAAATATTTCAGAAAAATTTATGACATAAATTGACTAAACGTGGTAATAAATGAATAAGGATGATGAAGGACAGGAATGTCAATGGCTCCCAGTTTTTTGACAAGCATAAGGAGATGGATAGTGGTGCCATTTCAACAGCATCAATAATAATTAAAAATGATAACAATGTATTTGGAAAAGTTAAAGGCTGAGCAATCAGTTTTATTCATCCTATCAAGACTAAACGTCTTTCAGAAATGTAACTTATGATTCAAAATGTGTTAGAACATGAAACAGTTGAATGTTGAGGAGGTGAGGAAAATGTTATTGTTTTCAATATTTTCTGATTCTGGAAATTGCAAAGGTCAAAAAGCTGTGGATAGTAGTTCTACTTCAAGATTTTGATGATCAAGATGTAGTTATAGGGATCAGATTTACCTCCCTTCTGAAAAAAATTAAAAATGTCAGGTAATGAGAAGCAATGGCTTTCAAGTCACTGGACTTCAGCCAAGATTAGTGATCCCTGAGAAGTGAGAAACAAACAAAATAAGTTTTGTCAGTATTCAAGCTTATAGGCTTTATAGGGTTTCCAGATGTGGTCCAGGGAAAGTGAACCTAGGCAGAGTCAAATGGGCATCCTGAGTTGAAGAGGCAGACCTGAAAGTACAGAGACCAAGGTAGGTAAACTTTGGAGGAAAGAATACAGAAATGAGAAAAGAGGATAAGGAGAAAATTTCAGAAATCTAGAGAGAGTACCCCTCGAGCGTTCAGCTGTCTATTAGTAAGTCTGTAAGGGTAAGGAATTAAGCCTAAGGAAAGAAGCGCACAAACACATTTGGGGTAAAAGTAATCAGTAAGCATTCTGGGCTGGGAATAATGCCTTTTTCCATCGGTTAGACTGGAAAACTTCATAATACAGTGGCAGGTGGTATTACACAGCAGGACCCGAAAGAATAAAACTGTTTCCAAGAAACAACATCCCAAAACAAAGCTCTAAATTTGTATAATGATTTTAAGTTACCCAGCACTGAACAAGGCAAAAAAAATCACAAAGTCTAGTATACAAGAAAGACTTACAAAGAATACAAATAAATGAGAAAATGCAACTCATAATAATAAAAAATGATCAATTAAAAATTACCCAGAAATGATAAAGATTTTCAAATTAGCAGATAATGACATTAAAGCAGTTATCATAACTCTATTCACAGCTCAAAAAGTTAAGCAGAGACATAGAAGATATTAAACAAATAAATAAATAAAAATTCCAGTGATGAAATTAGAATGTGCAAGAGGAAAAATTCTCTGGGAGAGATTAATTAATTACCTATTAGACATTATAGAAGATATGATTAGTAAACTTAAAGACATCACAATAAAATTTTAAAAATAAAACAGAAATTAGAAAGAAATTTAAAATAAAAATAGAGATCAGTAACTGTGGTACATCTTCAAGTGCTCTAATATGTACATAATGGGAGACTTGAAAGAACAGGAAGAAGTAGAAATGGAAATATATATATGAATAAAAATTCGCTGAAAATTTTGAAATTTAAAAATATATAAATCTATATGTCCAAGGAGCTCAGTAGATGCTGGGCCCAAGGAACATATAAATAATACACCATGAAATATCATAATCAAATTGATCTAAGTTAGTGATAGTGAAAAAAAATCTCAAAATCAATCAGATCACATAGGGAAAATATATGGATGACTGAAAATCTGTAGTCAAAAACAATGCAAGATATCAACTTAGCAGGATCTTTAAAGAACTGAAGGAAAATATGTCCACTAAGAGGGGTATATTGATGAAAAATTCCCTAAAATATTGTGGATGAAAAAATTTTTTTCCAATCATGCCAAAGATGCAATAATTTTCACTAGCATGACCTAACTATATGCTTCTTAAAAGAAGTATTAAGCAACATTTTTTAAAATTATTTAAACCTGTTTAAAAGATAATTGTCTTTTCAAACAAAAATTAATGTATTTGGGGGTTATATCATATGTAAAATTAAAATGTCTGAACATATTACAAAGGAGGGAAGAAATAAAAGTATAGTATTATACAATACTTATACAATATAAAAAATATATCACAACCATCAAATGTAAGATGTTAATGTTACACATATTATATGCATATATAAAATTATACATTATATAATCTTAATTTCATTTATAAAATGTAATAGGTATGCAATTTTTTTTTCTTCTTAAAACTTATTTTAATATCCTTCTTCCTTCCCCCACCCCATTGGGAAAAGCCTAAAACAATCTGGATGGGTTTAATTACAAATTAATACCTACTGTCATTGTGTAAAGCAAATCAACATTGGGGCAACAAGGGACTATTCTTGGAAAAAGTGAAACCCATATTAACAAAATATGTCATGGAAAAACCCCACTTAGTGATTTCACTGGCTGCTTGAAAGACAGTCAATGGAAGAGTCAATGTTCTGCATGTTCTCTGGGGTTTGTCCATGCAACGGAAGAAGGTCTTGCCCAGACTCAGCCAAGCCTAGTTAGCTCCAACCAGGCCCTAGACCAAAAGCTAGGGAAGAGGGCATCCTTTCAATAGGATAAGGGCAGAAAGGGCAGATTAACAGATAAAATCCTGCAGCTTCACTTAAAAGCCCACAGGGAAAAAGAAGGCAAGAAGTAGCTGGGAAGGCTTAAAGAAAGATGCAGCATTTTTTTCAACGTTTAAAACAAACTGTTAAAAAATTAAAAAACAAACAGAAATCAACTGCAAGATCATTGGAGGGGAAGAAAAAAGGAATAGAACTTCATTGTTTTCAGTGAGTTTGAACATAGTCTCGGCTTCATCCATGTCTTCATTATGCAGACACCATCCTCTCAGCACTGCTCAACCTCTGAGAACCTTTACTTAGCAGCTTGAAGGAAATGTTTTTTTAGAAAAGGTACTATATACACACATACATAAATGTGCACATGTTTATATGTGCATGTGTATATACATATAAATTGTAATAATGTAGTTTTAGAAAGCTGGGGGCACCAAGGCCTTTGGGGCTGACTTCCTTGCATTCAGAATTCCACAGGACGATACCTACCCATGAACTTCTCTCCAATTTGAAACACTCCATCTTCCCTTAAGATTGCCTGATACTGAGGAGACTGAGGCAGGTCCACAAAACAAATGAAGGTCCTAGAAAATGTGTCACCAGTGACATTGTTCACATGTGAAAGTCATGGGTTATTTGAGAGTTCTCTACCCTTTCTGACTCCACTTCCCTGCCCAGACAACTCGCAGGCCGGAATACTACATCTTTAAATATTTCTGGCTAAGCCCTCTCGTCACATATGTCAGTAACATTCCAAGCTGACGACCACTTGTTCAGGCTCTGGCTTCCTCCCTCTCTACTGAGGAGTGCTCCGCTGTTTCAAGGGCACAGTGGGGCCACCTGTCTCCCATTTCAGCTCCATCTTCAGTTGATCATACATCTCGGAAATGACCAAATTAAAAAAGAAAATAGGTGCCAAAAGAATGTTCATATTTGAAACAACTATTTCTCTTTTTTTCTTTTTTTCTGAGACAGAGTCTCACTCTGTCACCCAGTCTGGAGTGCAGTGGTGCCATCTCGGCTCACTGCAACCTCCACCTCCTGGGTTCCAGAAATTCTCCTGCCTCAGCCTCCCGGGTAGCTGGGACTAAAGGTGCATGCCACCATGCCGGGCTAATTTTTGTATTTTTAGTAGAGATGGGGTTTCACCATGTTGACCAGATTGGTCTCGAACTACTGACCTCATGATCCATCCACCTGGGCCTCCCAAAGTGCTGGGATTATAGGCGTGAGCCACCACGCCCAGCCTGAAATATCTATTTCTTTTGAGATTATTTTTAAAATCCCATTCGATGAATCTTTTAAAGTGAGCTAGACAAAGTGTGTGTGTACATGCATACACAGACACACAGCACCGCACACCCACAAAATTCAGAGGCTTGGGGGGGAATGTTGTTTGCTGCCAAAAGATCTAACAGAAGAAAGCTTATGTGCTGATCAAGTTTTAATAACATGGTTAACAAGAAATGTACGCCATTTAGCAAGCACACAAAGACTGTGGGTAGGAACTACTGATCCCCGGAATGTCTGGCTCCCAAGCCCATTTTCTGTCTACCTTTGGCATAGCTTCATAGTTACTACATTCAGAGAATCCAAGAGGACTGCATGGACAGATGAACCTTTATTTAAAAAAATAGCACTTCAAATAGATTAAAAGGGACAACCGTCAAGTGTTCAAATTGTGAAGAAATAGTTGAAAACCTAGAGAGACTTCCAGTTGCAGTCTTCTAACCTCATTCTTTGTCCAATAGCAAAAATCCACACATCTCAGTACTCCCACTCAAATTTTTTCCTACTGAGACGAAGGAAGCAATTGCAAACAGGAGACCAGACAGGGGAGAAAGCTGCATCTGATTGGAATGAGCATTGCCAAGTACTTGCTAATATGGGTTTCACTTTATGACCAAAGGTATTCTTTCAAAAATAAAAAGGGGAGAGGGAAGCTGCATGCTTTTAAAAATTGAAATTATTTAGGGATAAAACACTAACTCCAGTGCCTTTAACGGGCAATAGCAACTTTTTTCCTCCAAAGTCAAACAGTATCCCCAGCTGAGCCTTTGTGCTACAAGCTTTTCAGGAGATGTTACCTAAACTTTATTAAAATAAAATAATAAGTTTAAATATAGACACCGGACTAGCCCAGTCTGTATTTTCAAGTCCACATTCTTCATCTGAAGCACTGCATCAGGGACCCCCCTGAGTCTGCATGTTTTCAAGTTCACAGTACATGGAACCAGTTTTTCTTTTAAATTTTTTCCTCACTCAGAGCAGCCACACACAGTGGCCGTTGATGCCGGAACCTCGGGTGTGGCCTTTTCCTACAAGGCGTGGCAGGAGCTGCCCAGGGTTTCTCCTCAATGAGAATCGATGTTGTCATGCTCTATGGATGGGAAAAAAGCAAGATAATACATTATATCTTTAAGTGACATATCTCCTCGAAAGCAAACTCTAAAATAACATAACAAAAAGTGATATCTAATAAACCAACACGAGAAAAATAAAATTTAAAAGATTTTATTCAATTTTATTTTAATTTAAAATATGAGGACAACGTAGAAAAAGAAAACAACAGATTGGATAAGTAAGAAGTGAAACGTAGATGGTGCATTTAAAATGAAATATAGATAACAAGCACCACGTGATTATCTCAATAGATGCAGAAAAGGCCTTCGACAAAATTCAGTGGCCCTTCATGCTAAAAACTCTCAATAAACTAGGTATTGATGGGCTGTATCTCAAAATAATAAGAGCTATCTATGACAAACCCACAGCCAATATCAGACTGAATGGGCAAAAACTGGAAGCATTCCCTTTGAAAACCGGCACAAAAGAGGGATGCCCTCTCTCACCACTCCTATTCAACATAGTGTTGGAAGTTCTGGCCAGGGCAATCAGGCAGGAGAAAGAAATAAAGAGTATTCAATTAGGAAAAGTGGAAGTCAAATTGTCCCTGTTTGCAGATGACATGATTGTATATTCAGAAAACCCCATCGTCTCAGCCTAAAATCTCTTTAAGCTGATGAACAACTTAAGTGAAGTCTCAGGATACAAAATCAATGTGAAAAAATCACAAGCATTCCTATACAACAATAGCAGACAAACAGAGAGCCAAATCATGAGGGAACTGCCATTCACAATTGCTTCAAAGAGAATAAAATACCTAGGAATCCAACTTACAAGGGATATGAAGGACCTCATCAAGAACTACAAACCATTGCACAATGAAATAAAAGAGAACAACAACAAATGGAAGAACATTCCATGCTCATGGATAGGAAGAATCAATATCATGAAAACGGCCATACTGCCCAAGGTAATTTACAGATTCAATGCCATCCCCATCAAGCTACCAATGACTTTCTTCACACAATTGGAGAAAAAACTACTTTAAAGCTTTAAAGTTCATATGGAACCAAAAAAGAGCCCACATTGCCAAGACAATCCTAAGCCAAAAGAACAAAGATGGAGGCATCACACTACCTGACTTCAAACTATACTACAAGGCTACAGTAACCAAAACAGCATGGTACTGCTACCAAAACAGAGATATAGACCAATGCAACAGAACAGAGCCCTCAGAAATAATATCACACATCTACAACCACTTGATCTTTGACAAACCTGACAAAAACAAGCAATGGGGAAAGGATTCCCTATTTAATAAATGGTGCTGGGAAAACTGGCTAGCCATATGTAGAAAGCTGAAACTGGATTCCTTCCTTACACCTTATACAAAAATTAATTCAAGATGGATTAAAGACTTAAATGTTAGACCTAAAACCATAAAAACCTTAGAAGAAAACCTAGGCAATACCATTCAGGACATAGGCATGGGCAAGGACTTCATGACTAAAACACCAAAAGCAATGGCAACAGAAGCCAAAATTGACAAATGGGATCTAATTAAACTCAAGAGCTTCTGCACAGCAAAAGAAACTACCATCAGAATGAACAGGCAAACTACAGAATGGGAGAAAATTTTTACACTCTACCCATCTGACAAAGGGCTAATATCCAGAATCTACAAAGAACTTAAACAAATTTACAAGAAAAAATCAAACAACTCCATCAAAAAGTGAGCTAAGGATATGAACAGACACTTCTCAAAAGAAGACATCTATGCAGTGAACAGACACATGAAAAAATGCTCATCATCACTAGCTATCAGAGAAATGCAAATCAAAAAATCAGGAAACAACAGGTGCTGGAGATGATATGGAGAAATAGGAACACTTTTACACTGTTGGTGGGACTATAAACTAGTTCAACCATTGTGGAAGACAGTGTGGCTATTCCTCAAGGATCTAGAACTAGAAATGCCATTTGACCCAGCCATCCCATTACTGGGTATATACCCAAAGGATTATAAATCATGCTGCTACAAAGACACAGGCACATGTATGTTTATTGTGGCACTATTCACAATAGCAAAGACCTGGAGCCAACCCAAATGTCCATCAATGATAGACTGGATTAAGAAAATGTGGCTCATATACACCATGGAACACTATGCAGCCATAAAATAGGATGAGTTCATGTCCTTTGCAGGGACATGGAAGAAGCTGGAAACCATCATTCTGAGCAAACTATTTCAAGGACAGAAAACCAAACACCGCATGTTCTCACTCATAGCTAGGAATTGAACAATGAGAATACTTGGACACAGGATGGGGAACATCACACACCGGGGCCTGTTGTAGGGTGCAGGGCGGGATAGCATTAGGAGATATACCTAATGTAAATGACAAGTTAATAGGTGCAGCACACCAACATGGCACATGTATACATATGTAACAAACCTGCATGTTGTGCACATGTACCCTAGAACTTAAAGTATAATAAAATAAATAAATAAATAAATAAAGTAAAACATAAGTGGTCCAAACCAAAAGGCAGAAATGTTTAGACTGGATGCAAAAAAACAAAACCAAATTACATCCTACTAAAATGAAGAAACTTTAAATATAAAGGTACAAATAGGTTAAATGTAAGAAAATGAAAGAAGATATATCATATTAATATGAGTCTAAAGAAAGCAGGAGTATCTTATTAAAATAAGAAAATGTTGATTTTATTTTACCTTTTAATTTTGTTTTGTTTTTGTTTTGTGGTTTTTGTTTTTGTTTTTATAAGGCAGGGTCTTGCTGTGTCGCCCAGGCTCAAGCACAGTGGTACAATCACAGCTCACTGGACCTCCCAGACTCAAACAATCCTCCCACCTCAGCCTCCTGAGTAGCTGGTACTACAGGTGCACACCAACACACTCAGCTAATTTTCTTTTATTTTTTCTTTTCTTTTCTTTTCTTTCTTCTTTCTTTCTTTCTTCTTTTTCTTTTCTTTCTCTTTCTTTTTTTCTTCTCTCTCTCTTTCTTTCCTTCCTTCCTTCCTTCTTTCTCTCTCTCTCTTTCCTTTTCTTTCTTTCTTTCATAGAGAAACTTAGCAAACGGACCCAATGAAGTCTACAATAATGCAAGGTTGGTTTAAAATTTAAAAATCTACCAATGCAATTAACCATGTTAACACATTAATAAAAAAAATCATCAATTTAATACAGAAAAATCCATTTGGAAAAATCCGTATTTGATTCTTTTCCACAAATTTTGCTATTGTGGAAAAGCAATATCACTTCAAAATTAACTGCAATCCATGCTGCATTTCATATGAAAAATTAACAATATGATAATTGACACAATTGTAAAATCTAAAACTATAATTATTTTAGAAAAACTGTAGGAGAAACCTTTTGTGACTTTGAGTTAGAGAAAGAATTCTGTGATTTAACACAAGAATTGTAATATATAGATTAATTTGCCCTCCTAAAAATTTTAAATGTCTGCTTTTCTGAAATGATGGTTAAAATCATGAAAGACAAGCCATAGACTGGGAGAAACTATTTGTTACGCATGTAATTGATTGAGTCACCATAATACATAAAAGAATTTCAAAAGTAAATTTTAAAAAACAACAATATGAAAATCAACAAAAGTAGCCAGGTGTGGTGGCTTACGCCTGTAATCCCAGCACTTTGGGAGGCTGAGGCAGGTGGATCACTTAGGTCAGGAGTTTGAGACCAGCCTGGTCAACATGGTGAAACCCTATGTCTACTAAAAATACAAAAAGTAGTCAGGTATGGTGGCATGCGCCTGTAATCCCAGCTACTCGGAAGGCTGAGGCAGAAGAATCACTTGAACCTGGGAGATGGAGGTTGCAGTGAGCCAAGATCACACCACTGCACTCCAGGCCGGGTGACAGAGAGAGACTCTATGTCCAAAAAAAAAAAAAAAAGAAAGGAAAAGAAAAAAGAAAAGTTGACAGAAGTTTTGAGCAGATTCTTTACCAAAGAAGATATATTAAAATACTTATAATCATTCATTAGTTATTAGAGAACTATAAATTAAAACCACAGTTACATACCACTATCCATGTATTAGAGTGGCTAAGCTAAAAAATACCAATTATACAAAATGCTGGCAGATCTGTTTGTATTAGCCAAAAGTGAAAACAATCTGATTATCCACCAACAGGTGAATGGATAACAAAACTGTGGTATATCCATGCAATAGGAAACTACGCAGAAGTAGAAGAGAATGACCTCTTTACACATGCTATGACATAGATGAATTTTAAAATAATTCTACTGATTAAAGAAACTAGGCCAAAAAAAAAAAAAACAGAAAAGTACACATTCTGCAAGTCACTTTAAATATATTTCTAAAATATGAAATCTAATCTCTAGTGAGAGAAAGCAGATCAGCAATTGCTTAGGGATATCATGAGCAGAGAACAACAAGCAAGAGGTATTACAAGGGCATAAAGAAAATTTAGGGTAATGGACATGATAATTATGTTGATTTTGTTGATAGTTTTTCATGTATGCATATGTCAAAAATTATCAAACTTTACATTTTAAATATGAGCACTTTATTGCCTGACAAAAAGGCTCTTAAATTTAAGAAACTCTATTTATCAAGAGACATCACAAAGTCAATAAAAAGTTGAAGGAAAGAAAACAACAAAAAGCTATGGGCCTTTTTAATTAGTACATTCATCATTAACATAAAAGGTTCCAGCTGGAGGTGCAGAGGTTCATTGTGTCCCACGAGCAAATGGCTCAATCAGCTCTGGGGACTTCTAACCATGTTGTTTTAAGGACTGTCATAAACACCAATGTTTAATAATGGGCAACTAGAGAAAAGAATGACGGATAAGGAAAATGTCCAGTTAGATATAATAATCTCATTAACTTTTTCTTCTGTGTTCTCACTCCAGAGAATTTATGCTGAAGGTTTAAATCTGCATGTGATGTTCAGAGCTAAAGGAATATTACAATCATGTGTTTGCCAGATGTTGTTCCACCCAGAATATATATGATGCCCTTTATTTCTCTCAATATCATATGCCATTTTAAATTAAAATATTTATTTAAAGCATAAAATAATATTCTCCTATTAGGAATCATGTAATTCGTAACTAGCAATTAGAATAACAGTTATTATGTGGATTAAAAAGGTATTGAGGATTTAAATTATCGTGAATGTATCTCAAATGCTACCTTGATCACATCAGTGATAATAACCAAGTTACGCGCAACTAAGTAGATCAGAAAAAATTTTAGCTGCTTTTTAAGAATATTTATCATTAAGAGATACATCATATGCTACCTAATTGTTCTCATATATTTTTATTTTATAATTTTGATACAATACACAGTTATACTAATGGTAATAAAAATATTTCAGCCAAACAAATAGCAGGATAAGACTATGGATTTGTACATTATCTTGCCAACATTTATATGGAAGATTTTCTCTGTAGACCTTGAATTTACATAATAAATATTCAAACTCTGTGGACTGAGTGTACGTCTAGAAAACATTATAAAAGTCCAAGGCACTTTCTTTTATCTGACAAGTTATGTTAGGCTTCCCCACTGACCTAATTATCCTTTTCCTTTGAATCACAACAGGTCTTATGTAGCAATGTAAGAAAATAGCCAAAGGTTCTTGACCCCTCTTCTGAAACTAATCAGCAAAGTACCTCCACAAGCAAGACCATTTCAATAGTCATCTTTAATCTTTCATGAGGCTTCTGACATTCAGTTATGTCTGGATAGCTACTTCTAGATGGCATTGTTCTTTAAAGCAATCATTTTAGCAAACTTTGTCTATGTACATATCAACTCCCTTTTTACACACCAGAAAAAACAAACACGATCTCAGAATTTCATTCTTTGAGAGGAAAAGAATCCTCAAAGAAAGCAATAATTTCAGTATCAAAAACCACAATTACTTCTGCACTAATCTAATAGCAGAGTGGGGCAGAGTTATGATAGGGTTGAAAATGACTGAAAAATAACAGAAATGTGAGAAAACACAATAATAAAGCAAGGAGGAGGGGAGAAGATGAGAAAAGATTGCTTCATGGAAGAGCTCAGGGAAATAGTGAGAAAAAAAAAAAAAAAAAAAAAAACAGAAAAACCTTAAGTCTAAAACTGAAGAACTCTCAAGGATGGCCACTCACACAAAACTACATGTCCAATAAAACTAACTGTGCCTTTCTTAGCTTTTTACTACGCTTCAGTCAAAGTACTCATATAAAGCACATTTCTCCTCCTCTGTGGTTACCTGTATTCTGAGGTGAATAGTGTTAACATGAAAGTTGTTCTCATACATATTTAGAAAACGTTGAGATTTACTTACAGATAGTGATACTGACATAATTTCAATATATTATAGGCTATGTCATTTACTCTCCGGAGTGAAAACAGAAGCTACTCTAAGGAAAAAGAAATTGCTGTTAAAATTAGGTGCTTATAAAATTGTTGGAAGGGCTAAAAAAGCCAGTTCTAGTCTGGGACTCCAGAGTGATTCTAAGAATATCTGAAGTAGTCCACTTCTGAAGCAAGGCTATCCAAGGTGGGCCATAAGGCCTCCTCTCCTACCAGAGAAGGATTGGATACCAAAACTGAAACTGACACACAAAACTATAACACATGGAGGGAGCAGTGAGTTCAAAGAGCTACTACTTCTTCTAGAAAGCCAAAGAATAAACCCTCAGCCCTGTTGCCCAATAACCATGATATTTCTGAAGAGTAGGTACAGCCAGAGTGAAGGAAGAGGGTCTCACTTGGCTATAATTTTCAGGGCTGATGGACAACATTTAATAGGTGAAATCTAATTCACATTTAGAACCTTAGCTGCAAGGGAATTTGGAAATTTTGGTTTTAAGCATTGTAAAATTTCCAAATGAAGGATAAGTAAAATATAGATTGAGAGACCCAATCATAATATTTTAACACATAAGGTCATATATATATTTTCAAATTTTATGTTTAGCAAAATAAAGTAAGTGTCCCATGAGTTGCCTACATATGGCACTGTAAATATGCATATTTCTGTTAAATAGTTAGTTGATTCTCCATTAATATCTATGAACTTTAGGAAGTGAGATGGGATGACAGATGTGGATGACATATAATATCAAGCAATTTCTATTCCACAAACTTTATTTTGGCATTCCATAACAATACAGGGCTCAGAAAATAACTGAGTCTGTGTGAATTTAAATATAATACGTGCAATCCATTAGCTAAATACAAAACACTGCTTTTTAAAGTTGGTGATTTTAATAATTGAATACATATCCCAAATCTCATATGAAATGTGCTAAATAAAGTGAATGATTTGAAAATATTGAATAAATATTGCATCTTCCTCACATTTGCCTAAGTCTTTACACTCAGAAAGAATGGTATTTTGATAGAAGTACATTTCGTAGGTGCCTGTTTGCATATGGATAATCTACTAGCAAAACTTTATGTGGATTAATAGCTCCTAATGCACAATAAGATATGGACCCTTAAGGGACTTTCCATTCACACTTCTATTTCTCCATCAAAGAAAATGCAGACCAACACTTTCTTCAATTAGATTCTTTCCATGTACCAATGTAATTCCCCCCCGGAAAAGATGGTATTTTCTCATTACAAATTGACATCGTCACCATCACTGTTTAGCTCCTCAATACCTCTTATGTAGATAACATTATACATTTCTGACTTGTTTTACAACCTCTCTAATTTCCATCTCTATGCTCGCAAATTCATCTTAAAATACAGCTCGAAATCTTTCACTTCTGTGTCAACTTTTCACTATTTTCAATGGCTCCACATGTGTATCTTCCTTTTCTGTTCAATTTCTTGGACTAATTCAGTTAAAATTTCTTAGTTTATTACTTAATATCAACTTTGTTTCCATTATCCTACTTATTTAATATAGAATTTATAAAATGTATTTCATAGCCACCGCATCATATCCAATGTATTTCCACTTCCCCACATTTTCTCATGTTGCTGTCTACCTAGAGTGTCTTTTCTTCTCCAACTCCTCCTACTGGCATGAGTTCATCCTTCATAAATTGGCTCTAGTGTCACTCTGCTAGATTTCTTTTCCAATCATCCTTGGGGTTTATTTTTCCTCTGGAATTTTACAGACATATTTTGGAGCTTCTTATGGCATATGCCAGTCTATTTGTTTAGTAGTTATTTTGTGTCCCTTACTACACTGCAAGCCCTCCATAGTGCCCAGTATAATGCCATATTCTGTGGCACTAACTTGCTATTGATTGAATATACATATTCATAAATTAGTCTGGAGAAAAAACTTTTATCTGCTTATTAAAAACGTGAAAACCACTGAAATTTCAGTCTTTTTTTTTCTTTTTCTGGCATCCTACAGAGTAGCTTAAAGCCATTTTGCAATTTTCTAACTAAGAAATAAGTCATACGTAGGTTTTTTCTTATTACTTCCCATAACTTACTTTGTAGAATTCTGAGCTTTGATTACAAATCAGAGTTCAAAGTTTTCAAATTCAGAAGAAAAATTGTATTGGGGTTACATGACAAAATCAATGAACAACCAGATTTAAAACAGCAATTTATAAACTACACAGTTGTTTGTTTGCGATAATTAACTTTATCTACTTCTTAGAAATGTTTAAATCAGTTGCTATTTTAGTATTTAAAAGCTATTTATCAAATTAATTTTTAAGACACAAAAATGTACTTCTTGTGAAAGCTGAAAATAAATAAATAAACAAACAAGTAAATAAAAAACATTCATCGACAGGTTTTCTTATTTTAATTCAGGAGCACTGATAAAAAGTCAAATAGACTCCCAATGCCCACATGTCTATTACTTTACACATATTACTTGAAACATTATATTTTAAAAACTAATGTAAAATTATACATAATAAACTATATGTGTAATTTTAGTTTTTTGAAGATTATATAAAATAATTTAAATATTTAAAATAATATAAAGCTACTAATATAAGTTGGGGAAAGTCAGATTTATTTTATTGTCATTTATCCAGAATGTTAGAAGCCAGTTTGCATAGAATAATGTTGAACACAAATATAATGTAATTTAAACACCAGGGAAAAGAAAACACTGTAAGTTGCCTCGAATACTTATTTAGGCATTAGGCTGAGACTTAGAAGCCCAACATTATATGCAGGGCAGCACTGCAAATGGGAATTTTTTCAGTTTTTTTAATTTGAAAATTTAAGAATAATATTATTTACATCCTGAATATTTTAAATCAAACTCTCTTCTCTACTTTTGCTTCCTTAAGAAATTCTCCATCCCAGCCATTGCCACAGTTTTAACATAGACAGTCATCATTCTCACCCCTCTGACCTAAAGAGCTTTTTAATCTACCTCCAGCCTCATCGTTGTCAATTCTCTCTTCTACATTGCATTTAACAGATTATTCCCTATTGCGTATATGATAGACATTTCCTTATTTTAAATGTTTTAATAAATGTCTGTATTTATAAAAATAAATTCCAAGTTCATCCTGTACATGACTTAATGATCTCAGTCTTACATACTTTATCCAGCCTCATCTTTATCATCCCATCTTTGATTTTCTTTGAGCAGTTCAAAAACTATGTATTCCACCTGATCCGAAATAGCTATTCGAGACTTTCTGTTCTCTGAAAACTTAGAATCACACCATTGGTCAAAAACAATTAGTTGGTTATAAGTGATCTTTCTCTTAAAGAGTTCATTAACACATTAACAAATGACATATGGAAAAAAAACCCTCAATGTTGTGTAGTGGGACAAAGCATAGTAAAATTTAAACACAAATTCAATGACTTTTATAAGTATATATTGTGAAAATATGAAAGGTCAGGCACAAGTAAGTCTTTAAGATTTCAAGACCAAGAAACAGTTCATAAAAAAACTCAGTCTCCAAAGAAGGAAAAGTTGGACTTTGCAGTCATATAAAAAGCCACCACATGTATAAACTCAGGGTTTAACTTCTCGTTTTCAACTTCAGAAATGGTTTTATGTTGTTTGTTTGCTTCATACTGCTTTGCCTTTGTTGTTGAATGTGTTAGTGAAATTGAGAGGAATTAAGGATTTGGCATTGACAGTAAAGGCAGCCTTCTCAGCCCTTGCAGGGGTCAGAATGGGGACAGAAAGGAGAGCAGTTTATAGTTCAAGGTAAGGACAGCAGGGAGGCAATTGGTGCCTCAAAACAGACCTAAAAGTATCTGGTTAAGTGCAAAGTGAAAAGGCAGAAGGAGGCTGCAGCATGGATTGAACCAAGAGCAAATTTGAAAAAAAAAAAAAGGTGGGGGAAGAAAGAAGAAGAAGGAGGAGGAGGAGGCGGCGGCAGAGGAGGAGGAGGAGGAGGAAAAAGAAATTTCTTAAATATTGTGGAGAAAGTCGACATTGAAAGTGGAGCGTAAGTCAACCCTGAGTTCTCCTTGAGAAAAAAATATATATATTTTCTGAAAACAAAAACAAAGCCCTCTTCCTGCATTCTTGATTTCACATGAAATTACCTGAAAAATTTTGCAGGCACGGCTTGTCTCTATGGGTATTACAGCTATCTAAAGTAGGTCACTTTGAAATAATTCTTTATAAATGTTCTTGTTCATTCAGAAACACTATGATAAAAATAATATAACTCATAAGTAGAAGGATGCCAACTGTTCATGAAAGGTAATTTTTACCTTCCTGTGTGCATGAGCATATGAACAAACTGAATTGAGAAGAGATTGCAAAGAAACAGAAATGGTGTTTCATTTGCTGACTTCTGATGTGTGTTGTTTATAATACATAAAAAGGGTAAGAAGAGAAGTTTCACAACTTCATGAAATTTCATACGTGGAATTTCACAGCCGGGAGAATGATGAGGGAAGCAGATGGCATAATCATTTATTAAAAAATCAGCCACTTTCTCATATATTTGATAGCTCTTTCTTCATTCTTTGGGATTTGCATTTTAAATGATTAAGGATACAGTAAGACAGCATGAAACCTCATTAACAAAGATATATCTTCCGGCCTCTACCTGAAGGGAAAGTGGTGATTTTTCCACCTCATAGCCCTCAGTTTAAATACCTGCTGATTTGTTTTATCTCTACTTACTTCAAAGTATTTCAGCCACATTAATGCAGCTTTTAACTATAGAAAATCAAGCATTTAGCTATATCCTAAAACAAACCAGAACATTTTTCATTTATGAAGTTTCTATTGTCTATGGCAATATGTAATATATGAGGTTAACCAAGTGCTTCCCTTGATGCTAACATAAGAGAGGATAAACACATCTCTATGATTTTTGAAGTTAATTATGAGAACTACATAGCAGATTTGGTTTTAAACAGATGTGGTGTCTTTACTGCTTTGATGTAAGATACTATAGCAATAGTGGTGGTAGACAGTATACATTCTCACTGTACATATAACAAAGCAATGTAATAATTAAGGTTTAATCAGAGCACTCTCCTGTGGCTTTCCCAATGACTGTTGAGGCAATAATGACATTATAGATTAGATAGCAAATTGCAACAAAGTTAGGCAACAGCATCATAAAAAAGCAATATTGATGTATAAAAAAATTAGGTAAACTTAGTCAATGAAGCATAACACCTTATTCATATTAACCTCCAGCAGGGCCCTCGCAGTCCCAGGCACTGATCCAATCATTTGCTTGCCTAAGTATTTTCCACCTTCTATGCATCACTTACTTCTTCTCTCTAACACCCACTCTGTTCTATAGCAATGCTTTGTGTTCTCTCTTTTACAAGGTAAATACTGAGAAAAAGAAGTGGGAGGCGATTTTCAGCAAAAGACAGTATTAAAGCAGTTAAAGCTGCAGGCACATGAAAAGCATTAGAATCTGTGGGCTGTTTTCATACCTGACTCAGTCCTAAGAAGTTAATTAAAGCATGGCAATCCTACCGACTTCACAGAATAGTGGATGTCCTAGGAGCATAAGTTCTTCTAGTTGCTAGTTAAGATCAAGGAGAATACTAGTGTGTGCTTTTGTGGTTGCACACTTGCGTTGGTGTTTGTATGTGTGTTTTCTTTGGATGGTTTACTTTATTTTTTATTGTAATGGTGATTACATTCAAATAAAAATTTTTCAACCCTACTTCCATGATAAAAATATATATATTTTATAAGCAATAGTGAGCATTGAAGTCAGTGAAGATAATAATAGTTGTCATTCTCAGAAAAGAAAAAACGAGTATTTAATCTGGATGAATCTGGGAATATGAGAGCAGAGGACTTAGGTGACCTCTATAGATTCCACTGAGAAGTTTTACATCCCAATTCCTGTAAAAATATAAAGAATGATTACTGTGTGTCTCAATACTTTACCCTGTGAGATGATAAATAAGCCTTCAGGAGTTCCAGGAAAGTGATAGAGGGTATTAAGTCAGAGGCTCACTAGGAGACACACTGACACCTAAGATACAAAGCAAATACAATAAAACATACAAAAAAAGTGCTCAGAAATGTTTCCTTAATGTATCAATTCCCTCTAATTCTTCTGTGGCTAGTAACAATTGTCTCCACAGGTTGAAAAAGAGAAAAGTGAGCCAACCCTATTATGTTAAAATATGAAAAATAATCTACTATAAACTTTTTTAAATGCACTTTATCTGTTAAAAATAAAAATAACTGGCTATTCAAGTGGGTCAACATCTGAATAAAATATAATTATTTTAACAAAAAACATGTTCATATTCAAAAGCAAATTTTTATAAACATTCCACATGCATGTTGATATGATTTAGCTGTGTCCTCACCCAAATCTCATCCTGAATTGTAACTCTCACAATTCCCACATGTCCTGGGAGGAACCAAGTGGGAGATGATTGAATTATGAGGGCGAGTCTTTCCTGCACTGTTCTCATGATAGTAAATGAGTCTCACGAGATCTTATGGTTTTAAAAAAGTGGAGTTTCCCTGCACAAGCATCTGCCATCATGTGAGATGTGCCTTTCACCTTCTGCTATGATTGTGAGGCCTCCCCAGCCACGTGAAACTGTAAATCCATTAAACCTCTTTCTATTGTGAATTGCCCAGTCTCAGGTACATTATTATCGGCAGTGTGAAAATGGACTAATACAGTAAATTGGTACCAGTAGAGTGAGGTGCTGCTGAAAAGATACCTGAAAACTTTGGGAGGCCAAGGTGGGCAGATCACAAGGTCAGAAGGTGGAGACCATCCTTGCTAACATGGTGAAACTCTGTCTCTACTAAAAATACAAAAAAATTACCTGAGCGTGGTGGCACACACCTGTAGTCCCAGCTCCTCGGAAGTCTGAAGCAGGAGAATCACTTGAACTCGGGAGGTGGAGGTTGCAGTGAGCCGAGATCACAGCACTGCCCTCCATCCTGGTGACAGGGCGAGACTCCATCTCAATTAAAAAAAAGAGAGAGAAAAGAAAAAAGAAAATGTGGAAGCAACTTTGGAACTGGGTAACAAGCAGATGTTGGAAAAGTTTGGAGGGCTCAGAAAAGACAGGAAAATGTGGGAAAGTTTGGAACTCCCTAAAGACTTGTTGAATGGTTTTGACCAAATACTGATAATGATATAGACAATGAAATCCAGGCTGAGGTGGTCTCAGATGGAGATGAGGAACTTGTTGGGAACTGCAGCAAAGGTGACTCTTGTTATGTTTTAGCAAAGAGGCTGGTGGCATTTTGACCCTGCCCTAGAGATTTGTGGAACTTTGAACTTGAGAGAGATAATTTAGGGTATCTGGCAGAAGAAATTTCTAAGCAGCAAAGCATTCAAGAGGTGACTTGGGAGCTGTTAAAAGTATTCAGTTTTAAAAAGGAAATAGAGCATAAATGTTTGGAAAGTTTACAGTCTGACAATGTAATAGAAAAGAAAATCCCCTTTTCTAAGGAGAAATTCAAGTTGGCTGTACAAATTTTCACATGCAATGAGGAGACAATGTTAATCCCCAAGACAATGGGGGAAATGTCTCTAGGGCATGTCAGAGGTCTTTATGGCAGCCCCTCCCATCACAGACCAGGAGACCAAGGAGGAAAAAGTCATGTTTTGGACTGGACCCAGAATGCCCCTGCTGTGTGCAGCTTAGGGAATTGGTGCCCTGCATCCCAGCCACTCCAGCCATGGCTGAAAGGGGCCAACATAGAGCTCAGGCCATGGCTTCAGACAGTGCGAGCTTTCAAGCTTTGGCAGCTTCCACATGGTGTTGAGCCTGCAAGCCACAGAAGTCAAGAATTGAGGTTTGGGAACCTCTGCCTAGATTTCAGAGGATGTATGGAAATGCCTGGATGCTCAGGCAAAAGTTTGCTGCAGGGGCAGGGCTGTCATGGAGAACCTCTGCTAGGGAAGTGCAGAAGGGAAACGTGGAGGCGGAGTCTCCACACAGAGTCCCTACTGGGACACTGCCTAGTGGAGCTGTGAGAAGAGGGCCACAATTCTCCAGACCCCAGAATGGTAGATCCACCAACAGCTTGAACCTTGCACTGGAAAAGCCACAGACACTCAACACCAGCCCATGAAAGCAGCCAGGAGGGAGGCTGTACTCTGCAAAGCCACAGGGGCAGAGATGCCCAAGACCATGTGAACCTACCTCTTGCATCAGCATTACCTGGATATGAGACATGGAGTCAAAAGAGATCTTTTTGGAGCTTTAAGATTTGATTCCCCCTCTGGATTTCAGACTTTCATGGGGCCTGTAACCCCTTTGTATTGGCCAATTTCTCACATTTAGAATGGCTATATTTACCCAATCCCTGTACCCCCATCGTATCTAGGAAATAACTAACTTGCTTTTGATTTTACAGGCTCATAGGCAGAGGGACTTGCCTTGTCTCAGATAAGACATTGGAATGTGGACTTTTGAGTTACTGCTGAAATGAGTTAAGACTTTTGGGGACTGTTGGGAAGGCATGATTAATTTAGAAATGTGAGAACATGAGGTTTGGGAGGGGCCAGGGGCAGAATTATATGGCTTGGCTTTGTTCCCACCCAAACCTCATCTTGAATTTTAATTCTCACAGTTCCCATGTGTAATGGAAGGAACCCAGTAAGAGGTGATTGAATTATGGGAGCAGGTGTTTCCTGCACTGTTCTTGTGATAGTGAATGAGTCTCACGAGATCTGATGGTTTTTAAAAAAGGGGAGTTTCCCTGCACAAGCTCTCTTCTCTTGTCTGCCATCATGTGAGACGTGCCTTTCACCTTCTGCCATGATTGTGAGGCCTCCCCAGCCATGTGGAACTGTAAGTCCAATAGACCTCTTTCTTTTGTAAATTGTTTAGTCTTGAGTATGTCTTTATAAGCAGTATGAAAACAAACTAATACACATGTACTAAATAATAGCATTGAATATTCGAAAGAAAACATTAATTCAAGAAGAAAAATATAAGCATTTGTGTTTTTTATTAATCATGGAAATCAGTTTCATTCTACAAAACATTTTTCATAACTTTTCATAAGTTGCTTTGTTGCCAATCAATCCAGGGCTTTTCATAGAAAACATCACAATAAACAGAGATAGTGCTGGCTTTGTTTCTAATACTCTCTCTTAATAGTGGATTATACTAGAACAAAATCACCTACTTGCTTTGTGTCATTGGCAAAAGATTTGGTATCCTCAAATTTGTTGTCCTACTAAAAGAAAATCTGTTTTTTATTGAAATATAGATGAACAGGTTACATGTAACTTCCTTTCTGATCAAAATTTTTATATTGTTTGATCAGTGGATAGAATTAAATGTATATTTATCTCTGTCTCTGTCTCTGCCTCTCTCTCTCTCGTCTTTCATGTTCATGCTCTATCTGCATGACAGACACAGTAAAAACCACCAGCGCTCATTAATTTTTTAAATAATTACCTGTCCTTGAAATTTTTCTCATAGGTGTTTTATCCTCTAGATCTTTCACCTCCAGATGTTAATGCTTGCTGGAGTCCAAAAGTGCATGATCCTGAAAAGATTTTTAAAATAATAATGCACAGAGACAAGAAGATTCAAGGTCGCTTCAAAGTTATAACTCACAAACTATTTAAGTAATTAAAAATGAGAAAATATACCTGAATTAACTAGTAGAACTGAGGAAATTACATAAGTAATTTAATAACATTATCTGACTAATTTAGATATATGAAATTAAAGTATCTTTCCATTAACAGGATCCTCACATCTCCACTTCAACATATTTATTTTCTTTTTTTCTCTCTTCTTCACTTCTGAAATAGAGAACATGTTAGAGGGAACAAAAAGTAGAGTGCATTTAGTACAGGAAAAATATTAATTGCTTGAAAATGCAAAGTGAGGAAAGAAATCAATTGTGAGTAAACAGCACGGAATGAAACCTCTTGACCTTGTCAGATGCTTTATGGGAGAGACCCTTCAATCAGAAATGTGCTGATGCTAAATTATCACAGGATTTGATCTATCTTTTAATAATTGAAAACTCCCACTCCTGGAAGAGAACCAGTTCTCTTAACAGCCACTAATTTTTCAGAGTGGAAATTTAGTACCTGAAACGATTGCAGATTTATCTACTAAGACTTGTATATATATTATATGGCACATCATATTCAATATTAGGCTCTGATTGTAAATAGCGACATTGTCTTTTGAGATGCACTATTCTGTGATGTTATTATAATTCTTTAAAATGCTGTATATAGTTTAATATCTTTAGTCTCATTCCTTTAAATACCAAACCATAAACAAAGATAAATGCCATTATCTACAACATCAGTTGTTACATGTTGCATAAAAAGAAGATGCTACATGTTGCGTAAAAAGAAGATGTTACATGTTGCATAAAAAGAAGATGTTACATGTTGCATAAAAAGAAGATGAATTCATCAGGTATTTTTGTACAGACATAAAATAAAGAGAAGAATAATTAAAATTGTTATTCAAAACTTTCACTTTATTTTATACGTACAATATACTTGTGTTTTAAAAACTGGTACATTACTGTAAGAAAATTTATCAATGTTCATCACAATTATAAATGCACATTCATGTGGTCCAGCAATTCCATGTCTAGGAAATTATCTTCTAGATATAGTCACATATGGACATGTGTCTGAACAAAGTTACTCAATGCAGCATTATTTTTTAAAAACATATTACTTCTATTGTGGTAAAATATACAAAGTTTACACCTTAACCATTTTAATGTAGTGCAGTGATAATAAATATATTCATCATGTTGTGCAACCACCACCATCGTCCATTCCCATAATTCTTTTCATCCCGTAAATCTGAAACTCTGTTCACACTAAATAATAACTTCTCTTTCTTCTTTCCCTGCAGCCTCTGACAAATACTATTCTACATTCTGTCTCTATGATTTAGCCTAATCTATCTACTTCATATAAGCAGAATTATACAGTATTTGTCTTTTTCTGATTGACTTATGTCACTTAATGTCCTGAAGTTTCATTCACATAATAGCATGCATCATAATTTTCTTCTTTGAAAGGTTGAATAGTAGCCCATTATATGTATCTTTCCTATTTTGTTTATCCACTCTCTGTGGACAATTGAATTGCTTCCACATTTTAGCCTTTGCTACTTCTGTGAACATGGGTATACAACTATCTCTCCAAGATCCTGCTTTTAATTATTTTACGTACATACACAAAAGTGGGATTGCTGAATTATATGATAATCCAGCTTTTAATTTCTTGAGGAACTCCATACCGTTGTTATCCACAGCAGCAGCTGTATCATCTTAACATTTTCCCACCAACAGTGCATGAGTGTTCTAGTTGCTCATATCTTTGCCAACACTTATTATTTTTGAAGTTTTATTTTTATTGTTTTCATACACTCCTACTAGATGTGAGGCAGTAGTTATGATTTGCATTTTCCTAGTGATTAGTGAAATTGAGCATCTTTTCATGAGTTTATGAGGTATATGTATATCTTCTTTGGAGAAATGTTAAAGTCTTTGGGTCATTTTTGAATTGGGTTGTTTCGTTTATTTTGTTGTCCTCTTGAGGACTTCTCTACATTTTCTGGATATTAAACAGATATGTTATTTACAGATATTTCCTCTCATTCTTTGGATTGCCTTTTTAATCTATTGATAAAGTCCTTTTTCACACACTTTTAAAAAAACTTTTCATGGAGTCACATTTGTCAATTTTTCCTTTTGTTGAGTGTGCCTTTAGTGTCATTTCAATGAAGTAACTGGCAAATCCAATTTCATGAAGCTTCTTCCATATGTTTTCTTCTAAAAGTTTTACAGTTTTAGGACTTACATTTAGGTCTTTAATCCATTTTGAGCTAAGTTTTGTATATATACAATATTAGGTAAGAGTTCAAATTTACTCTTTTTCATGTGAATATTAAATTTTCCCACTATCATTTGTTGAAAAAATTGTTCTTTCTTCATTGAATGGTTTTGCCACCCTTGCCAAAAATCATTTGACCTTATACATGAGGGTATTTTTTCTAGGCTTTCTATTGTATTGCATTTTTCTGTATATCTGTCTTTATGACAGTATCACACTGTTTTGATTACTGTAGCTTTGCAGTAAGTTTTGAAATTAGAAAGTGTAAGTCCTACAGCTTTATTCTTCTTTTCCAATATTTTTTGGCTATTTGGGGTCCTTGAGATTCCATAGGAATTCTAGGAAGAGGTTTTGTATTTCCACAAAACAGTCATTAGAGTTTAATAGGGATTGCATTGAATCTGTAGATCACTTTGTGTAGTATTGATATAATTAACAAAAACTTCCAAATTAGAAAGAAGTGAAATTATCCCTATTCACAGATTATGTAACATTGTATATAGAAAATCCTGAAGATTCTACTAAAAAAACTATTAAAATTGATCATTGAATTTAGCAACATGGCAGAATAAAATCAATACACAAAAATCAATTGCATCTATATACACTAACAATGAATAATCTGAAAGAAAATTATATAAACAATTTCTTTTACAATAGCATCAGAAAGAATAAAATGCTTAAGAATTAACATAGCCAAGGAGATAAGAGACATGTAAAATAAAAACTATAAAACATTGCTGAAATAAATTAAAGAAGATATAGATAAATGGAAACGCATCTCATATTCATGGACTGGAAGACTTAATGTTTTTAGGAGGTAAATGTTATCCAAAGCAATCTATTAATACGTATTGAATACAGTCCCTATCAAAATCCTAATGTCTTATTTTATCATTTAAAAAAAGCTCATATCCTAAGATTGTTTCTAAATAATAAAAGTATGTAAAGAAAATCTCAAACTGATGACTCATGTGAATATGTAATAAAATTACTCGAGATGATTTTGCTGAGTATTAAATAGCTAGTCTAGAGATACCCAGGGAATGTAAAATGACTTTTACTTGAGGGTTTAATACCTATGATACCTAATTAATAGCCCTTTTCTATTCAGGTATGTGTAGAAACTAGAAGAGAAAAGATAACAGTTACCTGCACTTGCATATTTACAGCAGCACTAGTTACAACAGCAAACATATGGAATTAGCATAATGTCCATCAATGGAGAACTGGATAACTGGATAAAGAAAATGTGATGTGTGTATACACAAATCATATACCATGGAATATTGCTCAACAATCAATAAAAGAATGAAATCATGTCTTTTGCAGAAACATGGATGGAACTGGAGGCCATTATCCTAAGTAAAATGACTCAGAAACAGAAAGTCAAATACTGCATATTTTTACTTATAAACAAGAGCTAAACAAAGGGTACACATGGATATATAGAGAGTATATAGAGTGGAATAATAGACATTGGAGACTACAAAAGATGGGAGGATGGTATCGAGTTGAGGGTTGAAAAATTACCTATGGGGTAGAATGTTCACTCTTCAGGTGAAGGGTATACTGAAAGCTCACGCTTCACCACTACATGATATATGCATGTAAGAAATCTGCACTGTACCCCCTAACTCTATAAAAATAAAAAGCACATTTAAGGAAAAATAAATAGGCCAGGCATGGTGGCTCATGCCTGTAATCCCAGCACTATGGGAGGTTGAGCGGGGAGGATCACCTGAGGTCAGGGGTTCGAGATGAGCCTGGCCAACATGGGGAAACCCCGTTTCTACTATAAACGCAAAAATTAGCTGGGCATGGTGGCAGATGCCTGTAATCCCAGCTACTCAGGAGAATGAGGCAGGAGAATCGCCTGAACCCAAGATGCAGAGGTTGCAGCGAGCCAAGGTCGTGCCATTGCACTCCAGCCTGGGCAACAAGAGCCAAACTCCATCTCAAAAAATAAATAAATAAATGAAATAAAATAAATAAACAGAACTATCTCCATTAGTTGAAAGATAGAACAGAAAAAAAGAAAATGAATAATTTTATTAAAAAATTTAAGAAAAGCATATCTCCATTTATGCATAAAAATTTATGTAATACATTTGTAATATTTATTCAACAGATTAATTTGAGCACTTACTCTCCACTAGGATGCACAAGATGCTAAAAATAGAACGATTAATAAGACAAAGTTCCCGCCCTCAAGGATCTTATTGTGAGATCCAGATTGGTTTGATAAATGCTGCAACTGTCATAATTATCAATAGAGTTTAGTAATTGTGGAGTCTTTATGTCTGGGCTGTGGGAAGTGGTTAGGATTGACTCATAAAGAGTTATTTTCTCATTAAAACTTGAGAAATCTTACAAGATTTTAAGCAGGAAAGTGACATGATCTGATTTGCTTTTTTTTTTTTTTTTTTTTTTGAGACGGAGTCTCCCTCCGTCGCCCAGCCTGGGGTACAGTGGTGCAATCTCAGCTCACTGCAACCTCCACCTCCCAGGTTCAAGCAATTCTCCTGCCTCAGCCTCCTGAGTAGCTGGGATTACAGGCACCCGCCACCACGCATGGCTAATGTTTGTATTTTTAGTACAGACGGGGTTTCACCATGTTGGTCAAGCTGGTCTCGAACCCCTGACCTCGTGATCCACCCGCCTCGGCCTCCCAAAGTGCTGGGATTACAGTCGTAAGCCAACGCACCCGGCCCTGATTTGCTCTTTACTTACCCAAAAACCTTCAATGAAAAGAAGAAATAGTGACTTAAAAGAAGTAATGTGTAGAACAATCCTTTGGACCCATGAGAAGAAAATTAAATTGTTGTAGAAGCTGCTTCCAAAACTAATGCCAGTGACACTGGCAACACAGACACTCAGGAAAGTGTTTATTCTTATGTCTATATTTCATAAGATCTACTTCAGGCAACAATTTCACCTGGTGTCTTTCCTGCCAAATTATATGTATTTTCATCATCTAAAACTATTTAGACAAATACCTGTAATCTTAGATCAGTATACTCCCTCAGATAACCTAATATTGTCTTACCTGACGATGTGTTAGAATGTCAAATTCTGACAGAAGAGACAATTTTGAAGTAAAGATAGACCCATATTGTACGATGTATTTTGAAAATAATTTCTCAAACATCTTAAATGACACTTAATCACTTGAGAAAGTTATAAAATAGTAATAATAATTATTTCATAAGATTTTTAAGAGGCTTAAATAAGGAAAAACATATTATGGAATATAGCATAAGCTCAATAAATTTATTTTCTTTTTTTTCTCCTTAAATTTGTTAATCATCTTACTGGACTAATTAAACCCCTTATTCCAATCTTTGATTTCACCCTAGTTATTTGTTTGTTTGTTGTTTTGCTTATTAGTGAGTTGGACAGCCATTGTTCTGGTGCCTTTTTCACTAACTAGACTTGTAACCTACTGTAAATCTCTTCACTTCTTTGCAACTGAATGTATTCATTTGAAACATAAGCACACTGAAGCTTTTAATCCCTGGGATCCCCTTTTATTTTCTTTTTTCTGAGACAGAATCTTGCTGTGTCCCTCAAGCTAGATAGGAGGGGTGTGATCTTGGCTCACTGCAATCTCTGCCTCCTGAACTCAAGCGACCCTCCTACCTCAGCCTCCCAAGTAGCTGGGACCACAGGTAGGCACCATCTTGTTCCAACGAAGAATGATTTTTTTCTAAAATAAAATGAGAATTAATAGCATATTAAGCACCAGAACATAAATGAGTGGGAAAAATAAGTATTCATAATAATGTAAAAGAAACTCCAAAGTCTAGAATAGAAGTATGTATAGAAGTATTTCAATGCCTGAATGATGGGCTCTAACATGTTTAACAAACAGGCAGAAACAGGTCTTTTTAAAGGCAGCATTCAACAAAAGAGTTTATTTACCTGATTTTAACACTACAAACATAACTGTTAATCAAATAATCAGCTTGGGTTATGATTGCCAGATAATATGAGAAGTCCAGTTAATTTTGAATTTAAGACAAACAAGATATTTTAGTACAAGTATGTCCTATGCCATATTTGGTGTATACGTATACTAAAAGCATATTTGTCTTTTTAAATCTGAAGTCCAGATTTAATTGAACATCCCATATTTTTATTGTAAATTTAGCAACCCTAACAGAATTCACAAGATACATTATCTATATTTAATAATACATTAAAAATTTTCTAACTCAAGATTTCATTAAGAAAAATTAGCCGTTATCAGATAATTCATTCATCATTCATTAATTTATTATGTTAAAAGTGTCGCAGAAGTCAGATCTTGTGCTAGGTATTTGGATATTCCATATTTAACAAAAGACTATGGCATACCCTCATATACTTCATACAGATATACACCACAGAGAGAAGTGCCACAAGTAAAAAAAAAAAAAAAGGATTTTTTGTATATCTTGATTGCCTCCAGTTACCCTTTACTGAGAAACTGGTGATAACTATTAACATTCATAAATTTTAAAAACGTGATTTCCTGAAATTCCACCAAGTATTTTTAGAATTATTGAATATATTCTAAACCAAGAAAACACATTAAAAGTCATTAAGTGGCCAAAATGGTAATATCCTAAATCTCTCTGGAAATTTAGAAACAGGTTCATCTCCTGATTATGGCAACAGCACTGTCACAGATTCTTGCCATTCTGTGTGCCTCATTATATTGTCATCCAACCACACTGCAGCCCTTTGTTTTATGGTCTTTATTGTTGACCATAGTTGTTTGTTCCGGATCTTTACTTGTTAACTCTAAGAACCATTGCATTGTACTTAAAAAAAAAAAAAAAAAAAGAAGAAGAAGAAAAAGAAAAGCACATCCTGTCTCTGTGACTGTCATTGCAGCACTTTCTGTTCTATGTGTCTACAGAGAACATATTTTCTGTGTCACAGGCCCCTTCTATGAGCTGTGGCTCTGGGAAAAAGCTCATAACTCCTTTGGTAGAAAGAATAACCTCTTAATTGGAGTACATTTTGGAAATAGATGTAGTCTTTGCATAGAATTATAGAATTTCTTGTGAAACACCATTAAACTTATCTCTCACTATTCCTCTCCCCCATATTACTCCCCCACAAAACAAAATAATGCTGGATAGTCAATAACTTTATGTCTAAGATTCTTGGAGTTACAATGCCACAAACTGAAACTGCAGTTGTCACCAAACACTTCCAAATAGATTAGAAATGTTACTTATTTTAGAAATGTTACTTATTTTAATTCTGGCAGTGTTCATTTACAAACATAATTAATGGTTCTTTTTTGTTGTTGTTCTTTTTTTTGAGTTGGAGTCTCGCTGTGTCACCCCAGCTGGAGTGCAGTGGCACGATCTCGGCTCACTGCCAGCTCTGCCTCCCGGGTTCACACTATTCTCCTGCCTCAGCCTCCCAAGTAGCTGGGACTACAGGCACCCGCCACCACGCCAGGCTAACTTTTGGTATTTTTAGTAGAGACGGGGTTTCACTGTGTCAGCTAGGACGGTCTCGAACATACCTTAAATGCAAACAACTAAAGTATATATGATTCTATGTTTAAAAGAGCAAAAGGCTATTGTTTCATCAATTTTCCGACCATTTTGAAAAATATGGTAATAAATAATAACCAAATTTAATTATGTTCTTTCTTACACGTTGATTGAGTTAGTGTGGTAAAATGGAAAATGGAAATAGCTTGGAATGAAGAGACCATGTCTTTAACTGTAAATAACTGTAAGACATTTAGAAAATTTGTCATGATTTAGAGATAATGAATAATTTTCATGATTTCTGTTTCTCCATCTATTTCAATCAAAGGTGGGAATGGTAGAAGGCAAGGGAAAATAGCGAAGTAGTTTCCAGTATAATCTAGTTGCTTTTCGCCTAAGCCTAAATTCTATATATTACATTCTAGTGATAAATGTCCAGGCTTCTTAAAAAAAAATCCCTTTTGGGAATTTATGAGTATGTGCACATTAATATGCTCTGTCTCCAATCCAATTCAAATGGATTCATTAAGTATCTACCAAAGACTGAATGTGTATAAAGTATTAGTCTATGTACAGCATACTTTTCTCATTATTAACTGTAAGTAAACTGTTCTCTATTTTCTTATTTAGACAACTGGAAGGCCATAACATCACCCCCTTAGTAAAGTTCAATTGTGACTACAAGTGCACAGTCCTAAGAGTGATACACTGAGGAATATTTCAGTGGCAGAAGAATGTAACTTAGATAATCTCCTTCTTAGAGGAGTCTAGAAATTGTTATGGCTTCCACCCCATTCCCTTAAACATCCACAAATATCTTTGAGACCTTGCCACATAATTAATCTTATCAGCTCTGCAAGATGCTGCTCTTGGAATGATATTTATATAGGCCATAATTATCTTACATATGTTTGGTTCTAGAGCAATTAAACTACTGGAGATAGTGGGAAGGAGCCTAACGCTCTCATGAGTACAACAAAGTTGGGTAAAAGTGAGCTGAAATAGCAGAGAACGTTTTCTGAGATTTGTGAGTATACACGGTCTCATTATCGATTCCTCTTTGCATCATTCTCTCACCTTGACTGTCTTTGGCTTCCTATTTCTTGTTTCTGCAGTCCTCTGACCCTCATGTCAATCATTTGCTCACTTCACACATTGTGATTCTTTGGCTCCCACTTCTGTCTGACCAGCCTCTGTTAACCATCTGCTGCCTTGGAATAAATACTGATTTCTGTCTTTACCTGATGAAAGCTTAAAGCTGCAGGTACTTTAGTATTTCACAAGTGCTCTCTTTCGCAGGTACCCTTCTTCAACATCCCAAATGATCAGTCATTTCTGATATAGGTAATAAATGTGTCAACGCTCTTTTTAAAGTGTTACATTTTCATTGCACTCACTATGGTCAGAAGTAATACCTCAATATCTGATATTGAAATTGCTGATTTCAAAAGCCTCCATTCCTCTAACCACACATATGGGGGAATGAAGATAATTGCTGCACGTATGCTGATCTTGTCCTTAGAGCTTCTCACACATCAGGAACAAGGCCACTTTTTCCTTATTAGTGCAGCAAGCACCTGTCCACACATTGTGATTTTTAAAGAGTGTGAAAAGATCTTGTTGCTTCTCCAACAATCTCTTCCCATGCCCGTAATTCCTCTAATTGGGCAAAGCCTTTTGTAAGAGAATGAATAAATGGCTGATATGAGATCATTTCCTAAGAAAAGGATTTAAAATTTGAGAAGAACTAGAAAACACAAAGACACTCAGCAACGTGAACCTGAAGAAGAGGGGGGATATAAATGAGATGTTTCATAGAAAGGAAATCTTAATTTGAAAGAAGAAATTTGAGAACAGTAAGAAAATGATATGCTCTTCCATTTGTGATGGCTTTTTTTTTTTTTTATTTTTTTTGCTTACCCAGTGTTGTTTTATGCCTCAACACCCTGGACACTGACTCCACTGCCAAAAGCACTCCTTAAATATAATTTAAATAAAATATCAAAGGAATTATACCCAATGATTGATTTATTGATAGAGTGCTCCTCTTTGGCTATACTTGGAATTTTTTTTTTTTACTTGAGTTGACCTAAAGCATATTTTAGTATTCTTCCAATGCCTAGGATACGTGAACTGTTTCAGAATATGTACATAGGCACTTATAAGGGACAACTGAATAGCATTATTCCAAATGTCCTCAAATTAAAATGATTTATCAAGTTCCATGTTAAATTTCTCATTACATTAAGCTTTTATTTAGCAAAAATGTATATCAAATCATCAGGTTACTACAAAAATCCACTTAAAATAATTTAGTTTTATGTGATAAAATAAATATAAATCTGTGATTAACGCGTGTATTTACCCAACATTAATTAACTGAAAGTTAATAGATTGTTCTTACTAAACATCAATTGATACAAATAAACATTCAGAATTATATCAATAGCATTGTCAGTTATAAGTTTAGAGAAAGACATAGTAAAATCAATCTCAGGGGAAGCTGGTGAGTCATAAAGGTAGAATAAATTGTTAGAAAGATGGTAAATGAGTTTAGCACCAAATGACTAGAGTACTGAGTGATCTACTTTACCAAATGGACAACAAAATAAACAGTAGAAGTCTGATGAGAGCTAAGGTAAATTTAGAAGACATACTATTTGAAACAAAAAGAGTATTATATCCAGACAGAAAATATAACATTTTAATAATAAATAAGTTATATGTATTTATTGTCTCTTGACAGTAGACAATTTGCCAAATCGTTTACAGGGTTCTAGAGCCAGAACTCTGAGTTGCACTCGAAAATTTTCCTACACAGGATCATATTTAGGAGCAATCTTAGAGTATTAAAACTGAAATTTTACTGTCCCCTAAAAGGTATATTATATATTCCTTTTACATATATGTATATGTATCTGGCAATATCAGTGACTATTTTTATATTTCAATGATTGTTTCAACTGCCAAATGTGCAAACACACTTTAAACATTATCTAAGGCAATACTTTGCTTTGTACCTCATCAGGATAAAGTAGTAACTTTTAAAAAATCTTTGTAACTATTTAAAAAAGTAACATATTAAGTAGAGGCTCAAATGAGTTACTTTTTAATCAATCCTTCTTGATTTATATGTCTTATTAATCTAGTTCAACTCAAATAACCACTTATTGAGGATAGGATCAATGAGAAACACTATGCAAGGTAAAGTGTTCTTGTATTTATTTTGAAACATGAAGGGTAAGAAAATTGTAGATGTTGACAGTAAAAACTGAACAAGGCTGAGAGTTTGAGAACGACTAATGTAGACATGTTTAGTTCACTGTCCCTTGAGGTCTCCCTGCATTCTGTTCACACCTTTAAAATTAGGCTGGTAATAAACCATCCCTAAATTATCCTAATGTGTTTGTCATCTCTTTCCACTTGGGACTAATACAATTACCCAAACAGAAACGTGTTTAGGTGGCTGTTCTTCAGTGCCTTAAGCATTCTCTATTTCAGTGCCACAATACCATGCCATTTAAAAAAATAAGTCTCCTTAGGTCAAAGAGCCCCCAGTCAGATCAGAAATCTTCCTCATATAGAGAAGAAAAATATAGCATGTATTTAGGAATAAGAATAATAACATATTATAAATTATTGTAATAAATTACATATTGCAAAAATGATATTTCAGTAAAGTATCCAAGTAAATGTATAGCAGGTTATACCAGGGCTTTAAAAACTATCAGTGCTTGTTAGTTTGGACATAATTTTACTAAAAGTAAATGAAATAAATTGCATAAGCTCATATCTTGAAGATAGAACCGTCAAAAATGATGAAAATTTACTAATCTGGCTTCATTTTAATAAAATTGAAAATATCAATGACATATACATTGCTACATAATAAATTTTTAGTGAGCATTGTACTTTGATGTTGATTTATTTTCACTGTGAAAAAACAAAAAATGTACTTTGTTTCTGAAAGAATCTTTACTTAAATATGCATAGTCAAAAAAAACTGAATTACTTTATAGATGACATATTTTAAAATAATGAAGATAATTAGCTATATAATGGAAGAAGTTCAACAAGAACTCTATTTTCCTATTAGTTTTGTTCTTCTATGTGATGTAACTCTTCTTATGATAGTACCATTTCTAAATGCTATCTAATTGAATATGCTGACATTTATGAAAAGTGCTTATGTTAGTTTTTACTTGCAATGAACTTTCTTTGCATTAGAGTTTAATAAAAGACAGCAGATTAGTTGGACAAGTGACTAGTGTTAAAATGTAACTCTAATAAACATATTTATTGTCTTTTAAATGGACTGTTGCCAGAAATAGTGTACAAATGTGCCTATCTTTATGAATACTCAACAGCTTTTACAAGTACTTCTGTAGTTTACTGAGCTACCTTACTTTACAAGAAAATACAGTGATTTTTTTTTTTCTCCCTACAATTTGCAGAGACAACCTGTTTATCTTGGCATCTGACTCACTCCTTCCACTACCCAGATCTTGCATTTTCAATGTAATCTTCTACCCCACCACCTAAAAGTAAGAGAGACATTTATTCAACATATAATATGATTTTCACTTTTCCATCTTTACTTATCTTCTTTCTTCTGTCTGAAATATATTTTGCTGACTTCTTTGATACTCAAAGTAAAATCTTTCTTCAACCACCAATTCAATATTATTTCCACTAAGTATACCTTCTGATCATCTCAGTCGAGTAATTTTTTTCTATTATTTGTTCGTATAGTTCTTATGTTGTAATATTTACATGCACTGATCTTTTATTTATTTGTACACTTAATAAGTGTGTACCTGACTTAATCTTCACACTGAAGATGTGAAGGAGATCAGAAAGATGAAATGAATTCCATGTACTCAAATGAGAATGGGTAGAGAATTAAGACGAAAGTGTAAATTGGGATAAGTGTTGGCACTCAAGTGTGAAGCTGAAGCACATAACTTCAATTCAGTAAACAAATTTGTCTTTATTTTGAACTATCACAGTATTTTTAAACTAAAGATTAGGAAAGAAGACCATTTCATATGGTGGACCATTTTGTACTACACATGTTGCTCCCCATAATAGTTGGCCCATAGTTGTCATTCAAAACCAGGATGCTAGATTTAACATATGGAAAAACATTGTTTACAAAGCAATTCACTGGAAAGGGCTAGTGAATCAATTATTTAAAAATTTAATGAATCTGAATATTTATTACTGAACAATTTAATTGCTATATTTCTCCAACAATAAGAAAACATTTCTAAATAAACCAAAAATGAGTTTGAGATTCTTATATGAATATTCTCTCATTCCTTCTATCAGAATCTATTGTAATCACCCCTTCTTTTCACTAGAATAAAATGTTTTCAGGCTATTCATCAAAAATACCACAGCATCACATTAATTACACTTGGCAAACATAAAACATAAGTCACTTATAAGTATTAATTTTTTTCCCAAACATCACTATGAACTAGTATAATATTGTGCAGGTTTTACAGATTGTATTTAAGATCTATTTTTCAAACACTCAATATGTGCATCTGGATCACTGCACCCAATATTGCATCACAAATATTGAAGCACAACTCAGTAGCTATGTTCCAGATATATCCCACTGACATTTTCTACAATGCAAAAAGGGTGACATCTGCTTCCCTTCTTATTCATTTTCATAAGAACATCCCACTTCTCTTTTTTTATATAAACCATCAATACATATTCTAAAATAAGATACAGCCTTCAGATGTAAACCCAAGAGTTCACAGACTGAAAGATCTGCTTCCACACCTGTATGTTTTTGGCAGAAAAATGCTTCATTTGGATAGAGAAAAAAATAGAGTGGGAGCCAGGAACAGTCATATAATGTGCTTTGGCAGCTTTTCTACGCCACCGTATTTTTATTTTTAATCTCTATGGATAATTCACAGAGAAAAAAATCTCCTAATGTGTTGCTGAAATATGTATTATATTGACAGCCAAAATGAAAACTCACTGTTTTCTTAAATATTTAAAAAGATGAAACTAAGATGTTATGGCATGTTAAAGTATGAAGAAAGAAACATATATTGCAAATTAATATTAAAATATTTTTCACATGCTCTTCAGCTCTAATAAGTACCAGACCTCACAAACATAAACTGTAACGACTAACAAGTTGTGCTGAATAGATTTCAGAGAGAGAGCGAAAGAAAAAAGTATGATTGTATGTATTTCAGGAGATTTCAAACTCTCCTTGATGTTTATTTGTTATTTCCACCTCATTTTTTATATAGTGTTTCAACTAATATTTGTGTTATGTAACCCAGATGTTAAAAAAGGTATTAAAATATGTTGCTTCTACTTTCCTCCCTCTCTCTCTCTTCCCTTCCTCCTTCTTCCTTTCCTTAATTTATTTGAGCATTTCATGAGTATTTTCTATATACTATACCCATGCTAAGTGAAGGGTTTCAAGGCAGAATACAACTTATAATTAAGTGTAGGAAATTGACACTATTAAAGTAGATTTTTTAGAAGATGTATTCAAGTAGAAGTAAGATGATTATACTCCTCCAGCTTAATGGATTAACACTCATGCTATCCTGGCCACTGTAGCCTCCATATTAAATAGTGTTCCAGGTTCACTATTGGCATGTCTTTTTTTTTAATCTAAGGATAGATGGATTTGGTCATAATTTCATAGTCTTTTTCTTTCACAATATGTTTCCTTTTTCTTATTTGTTTGTTTGTTTTTGCTTTTGTTTTTTTTGAGACAGAGTCTCACCCTGTTGCCATGGCTGGAATGCAGGGGTGCAGTCTAGGCTCACTGCAACCTCTGCCTCCCAGGCTCAAGTGATTCTCCTGCCTCAGCCTCCAGACTAGCTGGAACTACAATCACATGCCACCAAACCAGGTTAATTTTTATATTCTCTACCAGACATAGAGACGGGGTTTCATCATGTTGCCCAGGCTGATCTCCAACCCCTGAGCTCAGGTAATCTGCCCACCTCAGCCTCCCAAAGTGCTGAGATGAGCCTTCTGTCTGAGCCACAGTGTCTGGCCACAGAATGTTTATTTTAACCTTTTTTTTGTTTTACATAATATAAGAAAATTATGCATTTTTTTCTAATCACCTAATGTAGGGTACACCTGCCAAAGTCATGCATTTTTGTCAAGATTTTGAGAACGTCCATCTCCATCACAAACTTCTCCAGTGATTTCTGGCAGTCTGTAGCTCACCAGAAACCAAGAGCAAACAAATTATTGAGTTGATTGGTTGGAAATTCCAGAAACAATATTCCATAATTACACTCATTTGCTTTATATGACTAATTGCTGCCAATTCCCCTCTTTCTTTAGATAATCCTTCCCCCTAAGCCACCGCACCTAGCACTTTTCATGTATATGGTTTGAGCTATCATATTGATGGAAAATACTAATAAAAATATTTCCAATGGGAAGAAAGTTTCAAAAGCATTGGGATTTGAAGGATTGCATACATTGCACCCTTGTTTTATTTTGTTTTGTTTTGCTTTGCTTTGTTTTTATTATTATTATTATTTTTATTATACATTAAGTTTGGGTGTACATTTGCAGAATGTGCAGTTTTGTTACATAGGTATAAAGGTGCCAGGCTGGTTTGCTGCACCCATCAACCCACCATCTACATTAGGTATTTCTCCTAATGTTACCCCTCCCCTAGCCCCCCACCCCCCGACAGGCCCCAGTGTGTGATGTTCCCCTCCCTATGTCCATGTGTTCTCATTTTTCAACTCCCACTTATGAGTGAGAACATGTGGTGTTTGGTTTTCTGCTCTTTTGATAGTTTGCTGAGATTGCTGGTTTCCAGCTTCACCCATGTCCCTGCAAAGGACATGAACTCATCCTTTTTTATGGCTGCATAGTATTCCATGGTGTATATGTGCCACATTTTCTTTATCCAGTCTATCATTGATGGGCATTTGGGTTGGTTCCAAGTCTTTGCTATTGTGAACAGCATAGAACAACCCTTCTTAATTTTCTTTTCTCTCTTTCTTTCTTTCTTTCTTTCCTTCTTTCTTTCCTTCCTTCCTTCCCTCCTTCCTTCCTTCCTTCTTTCTCTCTCTTTCTTTCTTTCTTTTTCTTTCTTTCTGACAGAGCCTCACACTGTCACCCAGGCTGGAATGCAGTAGTGTGATCTTGGCTCACTGCAACCTCAGCCTCCCAGGTTCAAGCGATTCATTTTTGTATTTTTGGTAGAGGTAAGGTTTCATCATGTTGGCCAGACTGGTCTCTAACTCCTGACCTCAAATGATCTACCCACCTTAGCCTCCCAGTGTGCTCAGATTACAGGTGTGAGCCACCGTGCCCAGCCCGCATCCTTCTTAAATTCTGCACCAAATAAAAAAACGATGGCATCAATTGAAGAAAAAAGAAAAGTCACCTTCATTCCTGATAGAGCTACTGGAGAACATACATACCTCAATGTGAGAGGCTCCACGTGGAAGCCCATAGGTGTAGAACTTGACCAGTTCTTCAGAGGAAGTGTTGGACTCTTCAGAAAAGATGCATCTATCCAGATGTCCAACTCACACTAATTCAACTGTTAAGTGAAAGTGGATATAAACAGGGATTTTTTTTCTATAATGGTGAAATTTTCTCTACCCACTTGAGAAATCCAAGCCAATGGCTAGCATTTGTAAATGAATTAACACACTTCACCTCAAATCAGAGGAGTAAGACAGGTTGGCAAAAGACCAAAGGAAATCCCCTCTAATGAAAACCAGAAAAATTGAAAAACATTACCCTACCAAAACCCCCAGAAGAAACAACACACATTTCTTCCAGAAAGCACCCTAGATTCAATACCATGTCTTTTATGGTACTATGTTGGTTACCCCCATAAACCCAATGAACTCTTCTAAACTTCTTGCAGCTGACTTGTTTTCCATCTTCATTTTATTATCACAAGAGACCTGGAGGCCATGATTACAGAGGAAATAATTCAAATATTAAATACCAATTATAGTATATAATAATGCACAGTATCATGCATGTTATATGTCAAATGCGAAGAGAAGGAGAAATTTTCTACTAGGTGGTAGACCTTACTTTTTGACTGGCTACATAGCAGCAATTGAGACAATATGAATACATAATGAATAAGTAATATTAAGAAAAATAGAGGGTTTTAAAAAAATCTTTTTAAATGGTGAGGACAGTTTACAAATTAGTGTACTTCAAAGCCAGTATTTTCCCCAAAGCACAGGGCTTTCCCCCACAACTAGATCAATGTTAACCCTATCTTTGACAGAAAGAAGGAGAGAATCACATATACAACAGCTTTATTATTCCCATGATTATGCAGTTGCAAAAAGACTATTAATAGGAGTAACATCAGCTATTGCAGCATGTATTGCTAATTAAAATAGAAATAGCCTTGTATTATAATGATTAAACAAAGATAGGAGTCAGAACCACAAAACCCACCCTCCAAAATATAAAGCTCTAGATATTAATAATTCAGATTTATAAAAGATAATATAAATCTGAATTTATATTATAAATTAAATAATATATTTTTATATTTATATTATAAAAGATAAAGATAATGGAATATTTTTCCAAATGATTAAGAACCAGAGAAACTAAGATTCTGAACTTCATTGAGCCCTTCATTGTTAACATTTATTAATAAAATATTGATGGTAAAATAAGAACCACGCTTGTATAAAACATATATAATGAACTCTAAATATCAAGGCTAACATTTTGGCATATATTCAAACATGGATACATAAGGTTATTTTGTTTTTTTTTTTCCCCAGTTTATACTGAAGGCCTAGTAAACATACAAAGAGTAGAATTGAATCTAGGCAGGCGAATTTGACCATTCAGGGCACCCTCTTGTTATAGGTTACATTGTGTTCTCAAAATTTATATGTTGAAGCTTTAACCCCCACTACCTCAGAATGTGACTGTTTTGGAGATAGGGCTTCCAAAGAGATAAAAATTAAATTAAAATGAGCCCCCTGAGTGCTCTACTCCATTCTAACTGGTGTCTTATAAGAAGATATTGGGATACATGAAGAGACAGCAGATAAGCTCTTGCACAAAAGAAAGACCATGTGAGGACACAAGGAAATGTCAGTCCTCCACAAGCCAAGGAGAGAGGGCTCAGAAGAAACAAAACCTGCCAACACCTTACTTTTGGACTTCCAGCCTCCAAAACTATGAGAAAAAAATTTCTGCTTTAAACTACCCTGTCTGTGGTATTTTCTTATGGTAGCCATAGCAAACGAATACACTATACTTTATTCTTTAGAAACTACACATTGTTTAAAACTGCCTGAAAAGCTGATTTCATGTTATTAAGAGCTTGGCTTAAAAATTACTAGATGTATAAAGGTTGTCATAAGCAAACAGAAATCACATAGGTGCTAAGGATATTTATCACAAAGAACAGCCTTCCTAGTTACAAATTGTAATGCTTTATAATTCGTTTCTCATTTAAAAATTATAATCTCTAAATTTAGAGTAGCTGACATGCCTTTGTTACCAGTAGAATGTTTCCAGGTTCCTGGCATCTTGAACAAAGAATTGGACAAAATGCACAAAACAAACCAAGGAAAACAAAAGCAAGTATTTATTGAAAAACAAAGTACACTCCACAGTGTGGGAACATGCCCAAGCATGGGGGCTTAAGAGCCCTGGTTACAAACAAATTTTCTGGGGTTTCAATACTCTAGAGGTTTCCCATTGGTTACTTACTGTATGCTCTATGTAAATGAGGAGAATGAAGTGAAGTTATGGAGTCATTTACTAGGAATGCGCCCTATGTAAATGGAGAGGATGTTACTTGGCTTGTGTGGTCTATGTAAATGGAGAGGATGAATGTGAAATTACAGAGTGTAAATGGCGTAAATGGAGAGGATAAAATGAAGTTACAAAGCCATTCACATTCTTGTCATTGCTAAAGTGCTTTCATTTTATTTAGTTCTAGGAAGTCAGCGTGGGTCGGCCTTATGTTCCCTGCCTCCAGGCCTATTTCCTCTCTCATCTTGATCATGGGTATCCATAGGTGAAATAGTAACCAAATTTAGGTTTGTCATGGAATTGATGAACTAATTTTAAAGATTTTGTAAAAATTTTGTTCTCACTTAATGACCAATATGAGTAGAACCTCATATTTCTTATTAAAGCAATAATTTTTATTGAGAGGCATCAAAAACTTAATTGATGAACTGATATTTGAAATTACTCCATGAAGTAGGTATTAACCTATTTTTTCTGTGGCTCTGTTTTAATATATGCATTGTATTAGTCTGTTCTCACATTGCTAAAAAGAAAACCTGAGATTGAGTAATTTATAAAGAAAAGAGGTTTAATTGGCTCACAGTTCCACAGGCTGTAAAGGAAGCATGATGCTGACATCTGCTTGGCTTCTGGGGAGGCCTCAGGAAACTTACAATCATGCTGGAAGGCAAAAGGGGAGCAGCCCCTTACAAGGCCAGAGAAGGAGCAAGAGAGAGATGGGGTAGTTGTTACCCACTTTTAAACAACCAGATCTCAGGAGAACTCACTCACTATCACAATGACTGTACCAAGTGGGATGATGTTAAACAATTTATGAGAAACCACCGTGATAAATTAATCACCTCCCACCAGGCCCCACCTCCAACATAGAGGATTACAATTCCACATGAGATCTGGGTGGGGACACAGATCCACAGTATGTCATGCATTTAATATTGTAGTATGATATTCACATACTGAACCTTAATATGTTTTCACTGCAGATTCTATGTATTGTATTTGTCAGTGTTTACAATTCACTTAACATTTTCTTTGGCTACTTAAATTTTCTTAACACAAACCTAACACTGTATCATTAAGAAGAACCCAGTAACTTCAAGTCTTCTCTCTATTCATTAGAAGATTGAGTATGGTATATTTTCCACTGTAGTCTAAGTTATCATTGTGGAGTCTCATTACTGTGTTACATTCCTATTTATTAAATATACCTAAATTGTGAAAGTGTATGCAATTGAACATAAATTGGCACACATGTACACAAATTTATAATTATTTAAGCTGAAATACAAGTTAAAATTAATTTTTGAATAATATAGAATATTAGAAAGAGAAAAAATTAACTTCAGGTTCTCACCACAAAGACAATATTATATTGGAATCTTTGTTTAGATCAAGAGTATTTTATTTTACATGATCATACTGCATTGACAATTTTATAAATTGTTTTTTCATCAGGTTTCCCTTATTGGTGTTGTTTTTTCATATACTGTATTTGAGTTAAGTTGAAATTGGTATATTTAAGTGCTCACATTAAAAATGAAATCTTTGGCTACAGTTATTGCAAAGATAGTGAACTGAGGAATGTTGAAAAGATATTGGGAGAGGCAACCAAATAGACTATAACCCATTCATAGATATACATTTATTCTTTTTCAACAAGGTTTTTGAGCAATTAAAACTATTAAGCAATGATGTTAATTTCATGATTAAAGAGGAGACATGGGAGGGGGTGTGTATGGCACATACTATTTTATTGGGATTGAGTCCATTTCTCTTTATTCCCTTTGGAGAACTGTTCACATTCGGCTGGTGAATAGTGGCCTCTGTTTACTGATACCCTCAACCTGCTCTGTCGAAAGAGTCAGAGTTGCTTATTCTCCAATGTCTTCACTGTAGTTTGTGAAAATTCTCAACATATTCTCAGGAGAGGCAGTGAGAGCAATGTGTGGTTCTCAAATGTTCAATAACATAGAGGGCTTTTTATATTACTTATGACCCCAGGTATCACAGGCGCATCTTACATTCTGTTGGATCAAGGTCACTTTGTTTATATCAGGGAATTTATATGCATAGTCTATAAGTATATGTTTTGTTGTTGTTGTTATTTCATTTTTTTTGAGACAGAGTCTCGCTCTGTCACCAGGCTGGAGTGCAGTTGCAGGATCTCAGCTCACTGCAACCTCCGTGTCCTGGGTTCAAGTGACTCTCCTGCCTCAGCATCCCAAGTAGCTGGGACTACAGGCGCATGCCACCACCTCCAGCTAATTTTTGTATTTTTAGTAGAGACGGGGTTTCACCATGTTGTCCAGGATGATCTCAATCTCTTGACCTCATGATCCAGCCGTCTCGGCCTCCCAAAGTGCTGGGATTACAGGCGTGAGCCACCACACTCGGCCAGAATATGGGTTTTTTTTAAAGAATATTTTTAAACAGTTTGTCAATTGTTCACAAATTATGTTTTATTCAGTTACAACATTGAGGCAGTTTATATCCTGAGCAGGTAGCAAGTACTTATTTTTGAGTGAGCTAAACTAACAATTGGGTGATTAGCTTTTCTTACAAACTGACTTTTTTTTCCTACTCAATGAATCACAGTAAACAATTCAGGGTAAGATCCTTTAAAATATTTCTAACTTACCTATACTGCAGCTGTATTATTAAATAACATCTTTGATCATATGCATACATATATATGTCATTGTGATATATGTATACTTATGAACAGGTATTTAAACACACACACATACTTCATCTTTGTCTATAAAAAGAAAAATAATTTCAGATATTTTAACAAAAAGATATTCAATACAGGGAATTATGTGCTTGCAGAACCCTTAGCAGCACAGGAGGGATAAAAGACATGGAGTCACTTTTGGCCCTGGTGAAGTCAGGAGCACAAGAATCTTAGTAGGTAGATACCACATTTCTGTTGAATGAGCACCAAAGCAGAGTGACAAGATCACAACTATAAATTGCTTTACATCCCAATTGTGAGGTCTTCTCTTTGCTCTATCTGCTACTGCCATAGAAGGGTAATACCTCTTCTTCCTTTCTACTTTCAAACTTTCACCCTTATTACTCTCAACTAGTGTATTCTAAACCATAATTCTCCTGGCAAAGGATTCTTGGAAATGTAGGTGCCAGTGTTCTAAAAGAGTTTAAAAAGCTATCTGTTTGGCCTGTGTTCTGTACATTTTGAATGTACTATGTAACTCAGCTGCAGGTGGTGGCTCATGACTGTAATCTTAGCACTTTGGGAGGCTGAGGTGGGTGGATTACTTGAGGACAAGAGTTCGAGACCAGCCTAGTCAACATGGTGTAATGCTATCTCTACTAAAAATACAAAAAAATTAGCCGGGAGTGGTGGTGTAGCAGTCCCAGCTACTCTAGAGGCTGAGGCACGAGAATTGCTTAAGCCCAGGAGGCAGATGTTGCAGTGAACCAAGATTGCACCACTGCATTCCAGCCTGGGCAACAAAGCAAGACTCAGTCTCAATAAATAAATAAACTGTGTGATATGGTTTGGCTGTGTCCCCTCCCAAATCTCATCTTGAATTGTAACACCTACAATACCCATGTGTTGTGGGAGGAACCTGGTGAGAGGTAATTTAATCATGGGGGGCAGGTCTTTCCCATGCTGTGCTTGTGACAGTGAATAAGTCTCATGAGATCTGATGGTTTTAAAAATGGGAGTTTCCCTGCACAAGCTCTCTCTCTTTGCCCGCCACCATCCACGTAAGATGTGACTCGCTCCTCCTTGCCTTCCACCATGATTGTGTGGCCTCCCCAGCCATGTAGAATTGTATGTTCATTAAACCTATTGCTTTTGTAAATTGCCCAGTCTCAGGTATGTCTTTTTCAGCAGCGTAAAAACAGACTAATACACTATGCAACCCAATATTCAAATAAATAATACAGATATCTACAACAGTAGCAATTTTTATTGTTATTTTCCTGTAAAACAGGAACTTGATTTTGGCAGAGATGAGAGAAGAAATGTTGAAGATGCAGCAACTAGAAGCAGTCAGAGAAGGGCATAGTCAAATTTATATATAAAGTTTGGACATGTGTGGAAAGACTAGAGATATCAACCCCACCTGCCTTCTTTTGCTGTTTTGTTTTGTTTTATTACAATAGCTTTAGGGGTACAAATGGTTCTTGTTTACATGGATGAATTATATACTAAAACCAAATTTTAAAATATAGCCAGCTCATTACGTGAATTAAGTTTTATAACAGAATATAGAGAATGAGATATAGGCATATTGAATAAATGAGAAACTGAAATTAACCATGTCTCTAAAACCACCTAGCTCCTAAAATTCATTTTACAAAATCTATCATTAATATGTCCTATCCTGGAAAATAAAGATAGTAATAAGAAGACTTTAATAGATACTTTTTATATCTCAAAAACCCTAATCTTTCCCTATGGTGGATATATTTCCTATAATCTTAACTAAAATATTCTCATGAGGTCTGAGTGGAAAACTAATCTCTACAATGAGTTTTCTTGCTCTGGTTATAAGAAACTATTTAAAGGAAAAACCAGTAAGTTGTTCATTCTTCTTTTTTGTTTTTTTGTTTTTTTTGAGACAGAGTCTCACTCTTTCACCCATGCTGGAGTGCAGTGGCAAGGTCTTGGCTCACTGCAGCCCCTGCCTCCTGGGCGCTAGTGATTGTCCCTCCTCAACCTCCGGGTTAGCTGGGACCACAGGCATGTACCACCACACCTGCCTGACTACTTTTTGTGTTTTTAGTAGAGACAGGGTTTTGCCATGTTGCCCAAGCTGATCTCAGGCTCCTAAGTCCAAGCAATCCACCCTCCTCAACCTCCCAATGTGCTGGGATTGTAGATGTGAGCCACCGCACCCAGCCTGTTCCCTTTTATTTAAACTTAAAAATATGTACTAAATAATTATTATTTGTTCAACACTATTTTATATACTAGAAGTTTAAATCCAAAAGGATGCTTCAAGGAGACTGGATTGTAATTATTGTCTATATGTTTGTCAAGTAGAAGCTAAAAAGAGGGGTTAATTAAAGAATTAAGGCACTGTTTCAGTCTTAAAAATTGGATGATTCAAATTTCTGTTAGGATCACACTATTCCTTTCTTTAGAAGCCCAGGAAATGATTGATCTTCCAGTTTTCTCCCCAAAACCCCTGAAACAAAAATAGTCTTTTTTCTAAAATCATCTTGGGAAGCAGTGTAGAGAGAAGAGTCAAATTAGCCCTATTGAGAGAATGATGGAGAGGCCCACCTCTGCCATTAAGCTAAGAAGGAGGGGTCAAAGCTGTGTTCCAAGGAGAAATCTGAAACATCTGCCTTTTCCTGTAGCAGAGTGCAGGACATTTGATATGAACAACTAGCAACGAAAATGTCTAGAAAGAATGACTCCCAATCAGAAAAGAAGATTCCGTACCAGAAATGTTTCCGTGTGGACAAACACAACAGATGTCCCCTATACAGACATGCAGCAACCAGTTATAAGAGAGAAGCATGTTATTAAATTGTTTTAAGGGTTTATTACCAAGGCTTAAGTCTTGTCCAAATCCTTCATGATGTGCAAAACAACCAGAAATTTTTAAGGACAGGATTCACATGATCTGATTTGTGTTTTAAAAATAAAACTTTAGAGCTAAGTGTAAAATAAAATGGAGTTGAGGAAAAGGGACCATTTAGTAGGTTGATCCAGTATTTTTGATAGTAGGTGATGGTGATTTGGAGTACAGTAGAAGCAAAAAAAAAAAAAAAAAAAAAAAAATGGAGAGAACTGAGCAAGTTTAACGGGAATTTAGTGGGCAGAAATGATAGAACTTGGAGGACAAACAAGATAAAGGAAAAACTAATTCATTCAGGCTGGGCACAGTGGCTCACGCCTGTAATCCCAGCGCTTTGAGAGGCTGGGGCGGGCGGATCACATGGTCAGGAGATCGTGACCATCTTTGCTAACACGGTGAAACCCCGTCTCTACTAAAAATACAAAAAATTAGCCAGGCGTGGTGGCACACGCCTGTAGTCCCAGCTACTCAGGAGTCTGAGGCATCTGAGGCAGAAGAATCGCTTGAACCCGGGAGGCGGAGGTTGCAGTGAGCCGAGATCACGTCACTGAACTCCAGCCTGGGCGACAGAATGAGACTCTGTCTCAAAAAAAAAAAAAAGAATTCATTCAATTAATACATATTTATTGAATTATTGCAATATTACTGGGCTTGGTGCTGCAACAGTGAATACGACAAAAATCCCTGGAATCATAGATTATGTATTCTATGGAAAGGTAATTCTCATTCTTCAGCTACTGGTCCTTGGATTCAATCTAACATTAATCATAAACTTATATTTCAAGACAACTGACAAATCTCTCACAAGCTTGATTCATCATCAGTGAAAGTTTCTAGTCCCCCGAATATTTAAAAAAAAAAGAGAGAGAGAGATGCAGCTCCTGAAGGAAAATGTCCCAAGTTGTTTTTGTTTGTTTGTTTGTTTGTTTGTTTTTACATGGAGATAGTAGATCAAAGGACACCTACTGAGAACAGAGTTCTAGTCAGTCAAACTGAATGGCTGCTTCAGAACCGTCAAATCTTCCAGGACAAGAATCTTTGCTATCCTTGCCCAGAAAGACCACTGTGATTCTTTCTTCCTGTACCCTAGTCTAAATGGAAGCTTTTATTGCTGTTCTTCTGCGCCATTGTGTTTTGAATGTGTGAAAGTTTGTAAAATTTATCATTTCTCCACAGATTACTGGACTGTGATGAGCTCCATCTGGACTTGAATGAAAGGAATGCTAATCATCCTGGATGTGGATCCGGGCAAGACAGTGTGTTGTCTTCCTCTGGGAACAGGATGAGTGAGGTTTCCAATTGTGTATAGATAGTTGCATTATGTTAGAGGAGAACATATTTTAAATGTTATGTGTAGGAAGAAAGGCTTTGGGTATCCATAGGAATGGTGGAATATAGCTAATATATTATGCTTTTACCAAAAGAGGGTTCCTACTCCTACTAATAGACACTCTTTTTTTTTTTCTTTAGAAATTATCTCTTGCCTATTCTCTGTCCATGTGTTTGTGTGGGATTGATGCCAACTCCAGGTTCCAGGCATGAGACAATGATCTGAACCTGGCCAGTAAGAGCACGTTCTTCCCAGCCACACTGACTGTTTCATGCATAGTCATCAAAAGGAAAGCATAGATAAAAGAGGGAAACGGAAGATTCTTGATTACATTGTTTGAACTCACAGAAATAGTAATGCTAAATCATCTCTAACACTAGCATTTTCAATAAGTATAAGGGCTATGTCTGTCTTGATTACTATATTATTCACATGTAATAGGAAAGTACCTAGAAGATAACAGGAAGATAACTATTTGTTTAATTGAATTAAATCAAATTCAATTTAATATTTTAAGATTTTCCTGGACTGTAAAATATAATTTTGATGAACGGAGAAAAGAGCAAATTGTATCACACAATGAAATGTGTGCTAAATAGCCCTGAATTAATTGGTTTGCCTTTCACTGGACATTTCACCTTAAATCTTACAATTTCTTATCATTTTTATGGTCTCAGCTCGAATTTTAAGCCAAAGTACAAGAGGAAAGGCCTGTATCACACAAGTCCACTAATTTCCTCACAGTATTCAGAAGACTTTATTTTCACCATATTAGAGTTTTTTCCTACATCTTAAGTATATTCTTTTATTCGATATATAGTTTATTAGAGAGATACGCTCCATTGTTCTCTCTTTGTTTATAGGCAAAAACTTGGTGAGTAGCTATTTCACAAAGGGAGAACAGGAAAATTAGAAGTTGGGGGTAGGAAGAGAAGGAGTTAAGTTTTGAATGTATTGGAATGAGGCATCATGGGATATCTGGGTGGAGGTATCTCTCACATACAGTCTGCAGTTTAAAAGAAAGCTTTGTGTTGGAAATCACATTTCAGAGTTATCATGTTGTAGATGTTAAGTAGTTGTACACAGATCAGTACAAGAGCCCATTCAAGGTGAACATCTAGACTAAGAAATGGAAAATGCAACTGGGACAAAAGAATATTTAAGGGTTACAGGCCAGGCGCAGTGGCTCACACCTGTTATCCCAGCACTTTGGGAGCCAGCGACAGGTGGATCACGAAGTCAGGAAATCAAGACCATCCTGGCCAACATGGTGAAACCCTGTCTCTACTAAGAATACAAAAATTAGCTGGGCGTGGTGGTGTGCACTTGTAGTCCCAGTTACTTGAGAGGTTAAGGCAGAAGGATTGCTTGAACCCGGGAGGCGGAGGTTTCAGTAAGCTGAGATCATGCCACTGCACTCCAGCCTGGTGACAGAGTGACACTCCGTTTAAAAAATAAATAAATAAATAAAAAGAATATTTAAGGGGTACAAAGAAGAGCACACAGAAAGGTAAACATAATAGCAGACAAGACAGAAAATATTTCATGAAGCACAATTAATGTGAACTGAACACAAGTTGAGTAAAATTCATTAACTCTTGTGTTCAATGAACATTTATTAAACCACTACTATGTGTCAGGTACTTTTCTGAATGTTGATAAAACAGGACTGTATGAAACTGGGCGGAAAAAGTCTCTCTTCTCCTAGATCTTATAGTTGCTCAGTCCTCTGCCTGCTATGCACTGGCATTACAGAGGAGCGTAGACAAGGATCCCATCAATGGAGCAAGAAGTGTTGTCCCATTTATGCAAAGAATATCCATTCCTAATTCGGGATACTGTAAGACTTTCCAGGAAGAACATGCTATCACCACATTGACCAGAGTCAAGAGGAGAGATTGATTGAAAATGCCCATTGGATTGAGTGCAGTAATCTTGGAGGCCTCCCTTACATAAGGTAAAAACTTGCAGAGGGGGTGGTGTGACTGTACTGGGTACCCATGGTAAGGGGATCCCAGGAAAAAATCATACTTGTTACCACACCAACTGACCTCAAATGTTGTAGTTGGAGGTGGCATCATGTTCAGAGCAGTCACAGGTAACAGCTGACAAATGGACCCAAACAGAGCTGAAGCACAAAATTTGGCCCTGAATGTAACTTTTCTTCCATATGAGTAACAGTAGCCCAAGACCAGCATTTCAACACCGGTCTAGTTATTCAGTCTCATGCTATAGTGGGAAAGGAACATAATGTTGGCCAGCAAAGTCAGTCTGGTCACCAGACTGTTCTGAAACCAGGGGCCTGAGACAGCCACATGAGGGAGTTTCAGATCATCTCAGGACATCTGGTAAATGCCACACAGGGAGTTAGTGGTGGCAAAGCTCTCCAAAAGAAAAAAAAAAAAAATAGGAACCATAACTTGTAAGATTCACAGTGGAAGTTCAGGACACACTGTTGTGATAGTAATGCCAGTGCCAACAAGATTTAAAGCTTCAAGGAAGACATTTTTGGTCCCTGAGCAGTGAGCATATGGAGCTCTGACAAGATGGCACTGTTGGCCCTGGCTGGTCTCAGCCACTGAAAGATGACTTACAAAAATTGAGAATAGCCATCCAAAACACAGGGTACCCAGAGATACTATCCTGGGACAAAGGCCCTGCTTTCAGGGTCCTAGTGTCATACCGCACCACATTGCCCAAATATACTGCTAGCCCTCAAATCCTTGTCTCAGGGTTAGCACCTAAAACAGGGTCATTTAAAATTAAGAAAGTCAATATTTAAATAATGAACATAAATGATTGCTTATCCTGACTGAATTTGGTGCAAATCTCAGTTCCAGCACATGATCTGAAGAAACAGATAAATGATTTAATTTTAAAAGCCTCAATTTCCTTCTCAAGAAAATGAGAGCAATTCCTCATAGACTGTTCTAAGGACTTAAAGAGATCCCTTGTGCTAAGTTCCTCATACTGTTCCTGGAGCAAAAGCGTACTTATTAAAAAGCAAGTTTCAGTAATTAACATATTATTCACTGCAAATTTTCATGGTAAAATAAAGTGGATCTTGTCTATCCTTCAATTCTTTCATCAGAATGAGGGAAATATCTCCACATGAAAATATTAGTGAAACATCTTCACATGAAAATATTAAGATTTATTCATAGGAATGAATCTCTGTGTAGGAAACCAAATAACTTAGATGCTAAGAAGACTATATTTTAGATAAAATTGTCAACCCTCCATCAAATAAATAAATCAAAACCCTAGATGCTTGAAAAAATTTGATTATTTACTAACACACTTTTGTAGTTAAAATAAACTGACATATGTTCATGCTTATCAGTGCTATTTAAAAAAAAAAGTGAGCTCAAATATATCCTGGTGAATCAATACCTATTAACCTACCTGTAAAGGACACCTTTCAGCCAAATTTCTTTCATGATTTGAAACTCCCACTGGGGCCAAAAGAACACCTGTGTTTTCGTATCATCTTTTCCAGATGTGGAGCAGAGGAGAGAAAGGAGCTTGAGACTTAAAGTTGTCTGAGGTCAAAGATCAAAATATTGAATCAGAATTTTTATTACAATTAATCCACTAAAGGGATGACATAAATACAAATGCTTATCACACCAACAGTCATAATTTTTGTGATATGGTTTATCCACTTTTCTCCATTGTTCTTACCACTACTTGGCAAACCTTATTGCTGTTTATTGTCTGCCTTTCATGCTAGAATATAAGTTCCACCATATCAGATTCTTGCTCTGTTTTATTCACTGCTGTATCCTCAGCATGTAGAATAATATCTGGCATATAGTAGGTGCTTAATAAAAAGTTTTTGGGTGAGTTAATTGGAAAAAGGCACACTCCAGTAGCAGATATTTGAAAAGAAATCTTGAAAGAGGCAGGACTCAAGCTTAAGTTTACAGGAAGAATGTGATCTCACTAGGCAAACATAAAAGGTTGTTTAAAGCAGAAAAATTTTGCAACATAATAAGTAGTTTGGCTTAATTTTGTATTTGCACTTTGGTGATTTTTTTTCACTCCACTTTGCCTCCAATTTTCCCACATTAACTTGTCATTTAGTATTTACTTAGGGTTGTCTCACCTGTTTATTGAAGCATAACAGAATTCCAGTGAGAATGGCTGACACTGATTGAGTAAACGCTCTTTGGTCATCTTGTTTTGTCTGTAGCATTAGGTATGGCTCACTGGTGGTATTAATGGAGAAGTTGAAAACAACTGCATAATATATGAATCCAACAAACTGCACCTGAAGTATCAGAACAACATTTCAAACGTGTTTATTAAAGTATTAGCACAAAGACTAAAACTCAAAACATAAATTGAATCTGCATTATTATGGACTTACGATACTTATGCAGCTAAACAGAGTCAGCATTACATTAAAAATATGCAGAATGCTTATGGTGATTTCATAGCATCTATCTTAACAGTTGTAATAGCTTCTTGCCTAAGTTCTCTACTTCAAATTTTCCCTACTTCACTCAGATATACACATTGTTAGAAGATTAATTTTTCTGAAGCAAAGCTGATGTTTGATTACTCCTTTCACACATTTGTTCAACAAATATATAGACCAATTTTAATATGCAAGACAATGCACTAGATACTGGGATACACATAGACATGGCCCTTGTCCTTACAGATTCCAGAAATTTAGTGATTCTCTATTATCTAGAACAGCATTTTGCATTGATGTTTATATGAACTAGAGTAAATATGACCAATGTCAAGCAATGTGGAAAAATTTGGATGCAGTAAATAAGTTTTAAATGTACAATATACCTCTGGATTTTCAAAGGTAAATATAGTATTTAGTATATTCTGAATTTTTGATTCAATTATTTGTGTATATGTGTGCTTATGTGGAGAAGCTTTGGCTATGGCAAAAAAAAGTCACATTCTGCAGAAATGCTTCTTAATTTTGTATATCATGTAATTTCATAAATGTTCTTCTATATGTGTATTTGCACAAAGAAATTTCAATAAACACTTGTTGAAGGGTAAAATACCTTACTGTCCCATGAAAAATAGTGAAAAATTAGACCTTAGATTTTTAAAGATGGTATTGTGGAGATCGTGATGGAATAATTGCAAAACGCCTTACAAGAAATAATAAAGCACATTCTATTTATCATTCTAGGATTCATTATTGACAAGTTTACCCTTAACCACCAGTATGTGAAACCTACAATATGAATAACAACAAAAACATTTTGAAAATTCTAAGAAAATATGTATTCCTTAGTGTACCAAAGAAAAGACATCTTGTTCATTTACTTCCATACAAGTAGTATTCAGTACTAATGCATGAATATCAATGTATTAAAAAGTACCTGCACTTTTTCTGTCCACAGCAGAGAAAATAATTCAAAGATTAGAGTCTAATTTTGAAATTAAAATGTGGATAAAGAATAGACAATGATGGGCTGGGGGTGGTGGCTCACGCCTGTAACCCAGCACTTTGGGAGGCCGAGGTGGGTGGATCACGAGGTCAGGAGATCGAGACCATCCTGGCTAACATGGTGAAACTTCGTCTCTACTCAAAATACAAAAAAATTAGCCGGGCGTTGTGGCGGGCGTCTGTAGTCCCAGATAATCAGGAGGCTGAGGCAGGAGAATGGCGTGAACCCGGGAGGCGGAAGTTGCAGTGAGCCGAGATCGCGCCACTGCACTCCAGGCTGGGCGACAGCACGAGACTCCATCTCAAAAATAAGAAAAAAAAAAAAAAAAAAGAAAAAGAATAGACAATGATGGTATAGTGAAATTATTTATTATTTCACCTTCAAGGTAAGATCATTAGAGAAAGGCAATTTGCTATATGTAGGAATTGTGTTTCATTAACAACCTGGAGCAGTGAGGGCTGAAATCACATTCTTAAATACATTAACAAAATTTTTATTGCTTCTCCCAGAGACAGAGTGTTGTGTTTAGTTGTTAGTAGTATTCAGCTTAAGGGCAAATTGCAATGAAAATTTTGTTGAGGTGAACTGAGATCTCAGCTATTTACCATGGCCAAAACGAAATTGATTACACACCTTGAAAATTGCCTATACTAAAATAAGTGTTGTTTAGCATAAAACAAATGAGAGAAAATAATATATGTTAGAATATAAAATCAAACTTTTGATGAGTTAAAAATTACATAACATTTAAATGTGTCTTTAACAATGTTCCTTATTAAGAAAACATTCAAGGCCAATGCTTTACCTCTATAATCCCAGCACTTTGGGAGGCCAAGGCAGGAGGTTCACTTGAGGCCAGGAGTCTGAGGCCACGTGGGAAAAACTGCGAGGCCTCATCTCTACAAAAAATGTTTAAAGTTAACAGGATGAAGTGGCACATGCCTGTAGTCCCAGTTACTCAGAAGATTCAGACAAGAAGATGGCTTGAGACCAAGAGGTGGAGGCTGCCGTGAGCCACGATCGCGCCACAATACTCCATTCTGGGAAACAGCATGAGACTCAGACTCTAAAAAAAAAGAAAGAGAGAGAAAAAAAGAAAAAATTCAGTGTGAGACCAAGATAAATTCAATAATTTAAAAAACGTCCTAAATCTACCAGAATTCAAGAAGAAATTATCCTTACTAATTTGAGAAATGTAGATTGTGGAATTTCTCATTTATTATATTGGAAACATTTTATATCTGAGCAAAAAGTAGCATCTTTAAAAACTGCTATTCAACAAACACATTCATTTAGAAATAAAGTCAAAGATTCATAGAAAGTTAAGACTGATACTACTTGCTTATTAAAGGATTGTTTTCACATATTCAATTTATATCTGTAATGACAAAATCACAAAAAGTTAAAGAACTACTTTTACTAGTTTACATCTAGAAGTGGAATAAAATAATAATAGCAATGATCATTAAAATAATGATAATGATTATAATGATGATGATGATATGATGACAAAAACATGTGACAGAATGATAGTATTTAATATTTGCTTGAAATGGAAAATTGCCCTTTAGCTTTTACTATTGGAAAAAAAAGATATACACTGAAATAGCTTTATGAGCATCATAATACCACTTATAATAGGAAGCATAAAAATTAGTACATACAGTTTGCAGACTTAACATGTCTTGGTTCAAGTGAATCTCTTACTGGGGGTCCTGGTTACTCCAAAAAGGGAGCTCTTTTCCATCCAGTGTCACAAAGCCAATATGCAAAACACAAAGTGAGTGTCAAGCAGTGCAAATATTATTCAATGGTCATAGAATGGGAGAAGTGGGAGTGTAGCTCACAAATCAACTTCTCAGCTCTTGAGAAGAGGGAATTTACAAATATAGGGTATATTTATAATGATGGGGCTAGGCATTAAGAGGCAGGGGAGAAATATTCATGTTTTACTTGAAAAGAGAGAGATTTTCTTAGAATTAAGGAACCACCTCTTTTCTGTCCTTTTTGGGTCTCTTCTAGTCATTGTCATGGTAATTGTCAACTGTCATTGTCATTTATCATGGAAAGTGAAATGAAGCTAGAGGTTCTTCAGAGGTCAAGATGCCATTGTGGATTCTGCCAACTTCAGTTGATTTAGTCCTAGGAAGAAACTTAACAGTCTCAGACATGCTAATTATCAGAATGAAACAGAGTTAAAGCTGAGTAGAAATTTGGCTGTCCATTAGACACTGCCTTGGGCAACATAGGCAGGGTAGGCGTCCAGCTAAGTCACTTAGGCATTATATGGATCCAGTTAAATCATGTAGGCATTGTATTGAGCAACCAAAGTGGGGTAGGGGTTCAGCTAAGCCATGTAAGCACTACCACGGGTAACAAGCCCACAAGCCCGGCCTCAGCATTCCCATCAATATCATAACACAATGTAATTGCACACAGATATAAAGAGAAAGATATACATTAATACATACATTTGAATTAAAGATAACTATTTAAAGACCTTTGCAAGTGCTTCATACTAGGATAGGTCCTTGAAAATTTTTCTTTAGGCCGGGCGCAGTGGCTCACGCCTGTAATCCCAGCAGTTAGGGAGTCCAAGGCGGGCGGATCATGACGTCAGGAGTTTGAGACCAGCCTGACCAACATGGAGAAACCCCTCTCTACCAAAAAATGCAAAAGTTAGCCAGGTGTGGCATCAGGTGCCTGTAATCCCAGTTACTCAGGCTGAGGAGGGAGAATCATTTGAACCCAGGAGGCGGAGGGTTCAGTGAGCCAAGATCATGCCACTGCACTGCAGCCTGGGCGACAGAGTGAGACTCTGCCTCAAAAAAAAAAAAAAAAAAAAAAGAGAGAGAGAGAAAATATTTCTTTAAGCTTAAGCTTTCCATGTATCAATGTCTTCATTGGATCATCATGATACTTAATATGTACAGAACTTGAAAAATAACACAAACTAATATGCTGAAAATGCCTGGAAGAATTGCTGATATACAAATTTTTTCCTTTCTTTCCTTCTTTTCTCTTGGTTTAATTTTTTTATCTTGTTCTCTTACTACACATAATGTTTTTTAAAAAAGCATGGTTAATATGGATATTTGTCTGGTATCATCCATATTGTTTTCTGAGATTTATCATAGAATTGGTTTCTCTTCCTGTTATTTGGCATTCGTCTCTGTTATTTCAGTGTCTTATAAAAGTCTGTACAAAAATAACCTTTTAAAAATCCTTTCCTTAAAAAAAAAATGAGTAAGCTAATTAGCCTGCTACATTGATTGTTTAAAAACGAAAATGTATACAATGTTATTATAAGGCAATCTCAAAAAGTATCTTGCCTATGACTGAAGTTCTAGAACATGGTAATTCTGTCATCAGTATGCACAGTGACATGGCATGTGCAAATGGCAGATGTAATACAATCAGATTTTGTGAGGAAAATAAATACTTCTTATGGGCTGGGCACAGTGGCTCATGCCTGTAATCCCAGCACTTTGGGAAACAGGAGGATCACTGGAGACCAGCACAAGGCCAGCCTGCATGACGTAGTGAGACCCACTCTCTACAGAAAAAAAAAAAAAATTACCTCGGCATGGTGGTGCATGCCTATATTTTCAGCTACTTGGGAGGCTGAGGTGGGAGGATCACTTGAGCACTGGAGTTAGAGGTTGTAGAAAGCCATGATCACAACACACCACTTTATCCCAGGTGACAGACTGAGACCCAGTCTCAATAAATAAATAAATTAATTAATTAATTAAATGTATATCTATATATGTATATATATACACACACAAATACATACATATTTTATTATACATAACTTCATAATTTCTTATGCCACAATGTGATTCATAAAATTCAATTAACAAATTATTTATTGAGTATCTACCATGTACAAATCACTGTTCTAGGTCCTGGGAATTCAAATCCACTTATTTGATTTGATATATCAATTCAATTTCTATAAGTGTAATAGAGACTCTGAGGAATGAAAATGAACAGTAAACATATTTTCTCTTCCTTATGATTTCCTTAATAACATTTTCTTTTATCTACCTTACTTGATTATAAGAATACAATGTATTATGCATCTAGCATACAAAATATGTGTTAATTGTTTATGTTACTCAGTAAGGCTTCCGGTCAACAGTAGGCTATTTGTAGTAAAGGTTTTGGGGAGTCAAAAGTTATACATGGATTTTCAATTGCATGAGTCAGCATCCCTAACCCTCTCATTGTTCAAGGGTAAACTATAAGAGGAGACTTTTCAACCACTATCTATCAACTCCTTCCCCACTCTGGCTTCTTGGCTATAAATCATCACTTACCCTTGTTGTATTTGAAGTTGAGCCTGTGTGTGTGTGTGTATATATATATATAGTAAAGATTTTGTATGCTTTGTTTGTTGTTTTATATATTAAATAAAGTCTGACAATTTTTTTATTATTTTCTAATTGACTCATTGATCTGTCGTTACATTTTTCAATGTAAATGTAGAATGGGGCAGTTTTCTTTTTTTTTAAGCATCTTTCAAGTTTGTATCCTGTTTAGGCTAAAGCGTGACAAAAGCAGCTATTAAAGCTCACCTTAACCTTCTGAGTTCTCATTTTTCTCTTTGATTTTGGCCTTGTAACTAACTCTTTATTAAGTTATCAGAATTTTGATGTTTATATGAAGTTTTGTTTCTTGTGGTTTTTGTTTTAATATTTAAACTGACATTCTATTTGTTTTTAACGGAATGATTGGTTTGAATAGATGAGCTTGCCCTAACGACACTTCAGAATCCATTATGTATATTGAATAACAAAATAACAACTTTTAATGATATCAGCAGAAATGTCTTTATACTGAAGTTATGAATAATAGTGAAATAATTGGAGCAATGCAAACATGCATAAATAGTAACAATTTTCAACTTAGGTATTTGATTGTATAAGTGTAAAAGAAAATATTATTCTAGCAGAAAGACTATTTAAGACTATTGCAACTGAGTATTGTATTAAAAGATAAGGCTTGACTCCAAATACAACAAGGGTAAGTGATGATTTATAGCCAAGAAGCCAGAGTTGGGAAGGGGTTGGTAGATAGAAAATTAACAAGAAGAAACATCAAGGTATGAGAATTCTTGCCAAAACAACTTGAATAATTTTTGCTTTAGGCAGGTGAGTGTGATCAGATGTCAAGAGTGGGAAATAAGAAATTCAATTAGATTTTGAGAGTGATCAAGGGTAGAAGATTCTTTCTAAACTAACTTAGCAGGATTCTCGCTAAGACTGGGCTATGAGCCCAGCAGGGATGAGGGCCAAGGTTGAGACCTAGTCAAAAAGAAGACTCAAAAGAACCTGACTAAGCTTTAGACATGGATTCTTTTTCATTAATATATTATGGAATTGTTAAACTTTCGTTTTCAAGTAATTTTATTATGCATGGTATTTATTCTTTTATCATGAAATATAACTTGAGCACCTATCATGTTCTAGTTATACTTTTAGGAAAAGTGGAATCCAATGGCTGAAAAATGACAGATAGTTTTCTTGGTCTAGTAGAGAAAACATTCAATTAACAAAGAAGCAAAAAATTAATAATTTTAAATAATAATCAGCTTATGAAGAAAATGTATTCATGAAAGAAAAAGTTTAGAAAGGGTGGTCTGGGAAGGATTTTCTTTTTTTTTTATATTATAATTTAAGTTTTAGGGTACATGTGCACAACGTGCAGGTTTGTTACATATGTATACATGTGCCATGTTGGTGTGCTGCACCCATTAACTGGTCATTTAACATTAGGTGTATCTCCTAGTGCTATCCCTCCCCCCTTCCCCCACCCCACAACAGGCCCCAGTGTGTGATGTTCCCCTTCCTGTGTCCATGTGTTCTCATTGTTCAATTCCCACCTATGAGTGAGAACATGTGGTGTTTGGTTTTTTGTCCTTGTGATAGTTTGCTGAGAATGATGGTTTCCAGCTTCATCCATGCCCCTACAAAGGACATGAATTTATCCTTTTTTATGGCCGCATAGTATTCCATGGTGTATATGTGCCACATTTTCTTAATTCAGTCTATCATTGTTGGACATTTCTAACAAGATAACATTTGAGTCAAAATTTAATGACTGAGAAGTCAGACTTAAAGAATGGGGAGATAGCATCCTGAGTAGAGGTAGCCTGCAGAAACCCCCAAAGCAGGAACAAATCTGGATATACCCGCTAAATGAACTCCCAGCTTCTACTCTGCTTACTGCCAGTCTATTTTTTATGAACAGCCCAACTGATCTCCCCAAAACATAGATCACACCTTGTCACTTCTCTGCTCATGACTTTGCAATGACTTCTGGCCTCACTCAGGCTCAAATGTATCATGTGTACTGTGTTCTACATGATCTGTTCATTTCTCCATTCTCTGCTTCTTCATGCCAGCCTTTTGGATCCCAACTACTTCCATTCTCATCATTTTTCATTCAGCTGCAGCCATAATGGCCTGTTTGCTGCTATTTGAAAACACCACACATGCTCCGTTCAGGACCATTACACTTACTTCTTCCTCCTTCCTCAAATGCTTTCATAAATGGCTCACTTAATTTTGGTCCCTGCTCAAATGTCACTTTAGCAAAGAGATTTTTACAAATAATCCTTAATTTAAATAGCATCCTTCCAACTTATTCTCAAGTTGCTTGCCCTGTTCATTCTTCTGCATTGAACTTATAAACTCCCAGTATTATATCTAGTAGTCTCATCTTATCCACACATTTCCTTTCCATGGTTTCAGTTACCGTCGGTCAACTGGGGGTCCAAATGTAGGTAAGTACAGTATAATAAGATATTCTGAGAGAGAGAGAGGGAGAGAGACCACATTCACATTACTTTTATTATAGTATATTGCTATATTGCTATTAATGTTCTATTTTATTCTTAGTGTCTGTTTATCTCTTTGGTATAGATTGAATATTTGTCCCCACCCAAATCTCACGCTGAAATGTAATCCCCAATGTTGGAGGTGGGGCCAGGTGAGAGATGTCTGGGTCATGGGTTTGGATCCCTCATAGTTAGGTGCAGTCCTTGCCACAGCAAGTGAGTTTTGCAAGATCTGGTTGTTTAAAAGTGTATGGCACCTCCCCACCCACTCTGTCTCTTGCTCCTGCTCTGGCCATGTGACGTGCCTACTCTTCACTTTATCTTCCACCTTCTGCCATGAGTAACAGCTAACTGAGGCCTCCTCAGACACTGAGCAGATGCTGGCTCCATGCTTGTACAGCCTGCAGAAACATGAGCTAATTTTGTTTATAAATTACCAAGTCTCAGATGTTTCTTTACAGCAATGCAAGAATGGCCTAACTCTTACTGTGCCTAACTTATAAATTGAACTTTATTATAGGTGTGTATGTATAGGAAAATACATAACATATGTAGGTTTCAGTATGGTCTGCAGTTTCCGACATCTACTGAGGAATTTGGAACAGATGCCCTTTGGATAGGGGGTCTACTGTATACTTATTTGTTATTTATTTTCACTTACTTTGCTGCCTCCAAGAGTGTAAGCTCCAGGAAATCAGGGATTTCCTAGTTGTATTTAAAAATGGTATCCTCAGCACTCAAAAGAGCTTATAAAAGACAGTGGGTATTGAAAATTTGTTTCTTGACTGAATTATCATTCTGAGCTATGTATTATTGTAATATTCATTGGACTGATGAGAAAATTATGATTCACAGAATTTATGTCTTAGCAAAAGCTGCTTAGCTGGTAAGACTTAAACCTGCTTATGTTATTTTAAAAATGATTTTTCATTTCTTGGTAAAACACATTTGAGAATTATGGATAACAGTGTAACATTTATTTTTTAAATAAAAATTGTAATAATCACGTCTTTAAAATAAAAAAAAGAAGTCCTATAATGGATCAAGAATAAACATCTCTTAGTTAAATATAATTGTAGAAAATGTTAGAAAATTTGAGAGACAAAATTTCCACTGTGCATATCATGTTTCTTAGGTAATGGTTGGCTTGCAAGATGATTCTCCAGGAAAATATTTTATAATTCAAAGCCCATTCTCCTTGGTGGAAAAACTCAGACACAAGAATTCAGAATTATTGCAAATGCTGCAGTATCAAATGCTAGCAATTATAATAAAAGAGGTTTAATTTGTTTGTAATGGTTTTAAAAGATGAGCTATCATATATTGTATCTCCTTTATCTGACTTTCACTAAAAAGTCAGATAAAGGAAAAAGATAAAAAGAAAAAAAGTTTGGTATTCATAGACTGTGTAATCCATATATACAAATCTGGAAATAGTTGGTCCAATTCAAACCAGTAACTGTCAGATAAAGGGTATAGATTTCATTCCTAATCCTCTGATCTAAGGATTTCCATATTTTGATCTTATAAAAGCTTTCATGTCTTTTGGAAGTTGCATATTTGCTAATGGTAGAGGTTAGGACTGAAAGCATTTAGAAATGAACCATCTTAATTGAAAGTAAGACAAATGTAGATGCATTATAAAATAATTATTTTTAAAGCTTTCAGATGAATATGAGAAATTAGAGATAAAAAAGCAGGTAGAATGATTACTTGATGAATTGGCGTATTGTGTTTTGAAAGGAAGGCAAATACTAAGCAACAAGGACAATTGTGAGACTATATAATTAAGCCTTTTCATGAAAGAAAAAAAATTCCTCTTCTTACCCATAGTTTGAGGTTGTCTTTAGCATAAAAGATAAGGTTGCAATTAGAGGGAAGCACAGCACAAGTACCAAATTATGTTTATTAGAGGATAAAAGATTCACATGTAAGTGTATTTTGTGTTGTTAAAATGAAAATTACATCAACTGGCTTTGATAGAACATAATAGAATGCTTTTGCTATGATGATATATTTTCTTTTTAAATGGCCTTAACTGAAGAAGCTGTAGAAGTGACTTATATTTAGCAATTCCTTTAGCCACTGTCAGTTAGGATCTTAAGGAATTATGTGAACTTAAATACAAATGATATGACTTTTAGAAAATGTTATAGCAGAAGATATTTACATAAAATGTAAAATAGGATTTAAAGTCAGGAATATGTATGCCAGTGAAATGAACAATTAATTTTGTTACATAAATCATAAATCTTATAATGCACTTCTTATATTTATTATAACAAATTATGAAGTAAGCTATTGTATTATATTGTCTGATTAAATTTTGGAGGTAAAGTACTTTCTTTTGCATTCCTCCTGCTTCTTTTGGAAGACAGCAAGAATAGTTCATTTTTAAAAGCGCATTAAATGTTTATGTCAACTGACCTATCATTTAGTGTAATAAAGAAAGAAATTTATCAGGCTTAACTTTGAAATATTTGTATGTAAATTTTCCACAGCAAATATGCAGAGCCAGGCTGATTTCGGGCCCTCAACATACCTTTGTGCTACTTTCCCTAGTTGTGTATGCTTAGATAATTCAATTTAATGTTATTAATAAATTGAATTAAAAGAGAATCAGAAGGATACATATTTGTGCATATACACTCACATGGAAACAAAAACATGCACATGTACTCAGGTGCGTGCATGCACACCCACATGGTGAAGAAGTAAAATAACATCCACTTTGTTCTGTGAATTCATAGGTACTTCTATTCAATTCTTTAACTCAAGCCTTGCCAATATATGGCAGGGTATAGAAATATGTGAGGAATTTGAAGCAGGATCTACAATGATGGGACAATAAATTATTTTTTAAAAAATTACTAATATGGAGGAATCAAGTGAGAGTTCGATTTCTAAAAAAAAGACAAGTGCTGTTCTCTTTAAGGCTTGGAAACATCTGAAATAATAGGAAAAGATGAATGCTCCTTACAATTGTCTGGAGAAGTAATCAATTTGTAGAAGAATGATAGCATGAAAAAAATCTGTGAATAGAACCTGGATGAGTTGGAGGAAAATTTGATAAAATTCTTGCATTCATTCTGTAGCAAAATATAGCAAGTGAAATAGAAAGGTGAAATTATCGTAAAACAGTATGGGAATATTTAGTGTAACCCAAATTTTGTTTTGTTTTTTGTAAAAATTTTGTCATGCTACTATAAAAAAATACCCAAAACTGAGAGGCTTAATATAACATAAATTTATTGTCTCTCAGTTCTACGAAGCTAAAGTCTGAAATCTAGGTGTTGGCAGGGCCATGCTCCTTCTGAAGCCTGTAGAGAAGATCCTCCTTTGCCTCTTCTGAGCTTCTGGTGGTGGCCATGGATCCTTAGTGTTTCTCAGCTTATAGCAGCATAACTCCCATCTCTGCCTCCATCTGCACATGACATTCTCCCTGCAGCCCTTATCATCTTCCTCCTGTGTATATCTGTGTCTGTGTCCAAATTTTCGATTTTTAAAAGGAAACTGTCATTATTGGGTTTAGGGCCTACTCTAAAGACCTCATTTTAAATTGATTACACCTTTAAGAACAGTATTTTTATAAAAGGTCACATTCTAAGGTACTGAGGGTTAGGACTTCGATTCATCTTTGGGGTAGAGGGAGATATGACCTATCCCATAACAATGTTACTTCCAGTACATTGCATAAGAAACGCACACACTGGACCAGGTTCTAAGATGTGGGGAGGGAATATACATGAAGATAAAGAACTGAGCTTCAATACAAACCTATCCTACCCCTAATTCAGACTGCATTGCATCCTCTGGCACATCACCTAGTCTTTCAATGTCTCTTCATCTGTAAATTGTAGTACTCCCTGAAAAGTTGGAAGGATTAACAGCAAGACCTTGGGAGTCCAGTCTTAAAAATATCCTGTCGATGAATATCACAAGAGTAGCCTTTGCTCAGTTTATGTAGCAAAGTCAGCTGGCTGACATATGAATGAAACCTAAGACAGGTTTTCTAATCAAGGGAACAAATTAGCCCCCTATCTTGCTCAGGAAAAAAGCCCTCCAGATGAACATAAGCAAGATACTTTATCTCCTCATCTTAAAATCTGGTTCTGGTATTTCAGCAATTGTGTAGAACTCTCTAAATTAAAACTAACTCATACAAATTAAAACATGTGTAAATCCTTCAGAAAGATGCTAAACAAGCTTATCCATTTTTTAAGATTCATAGAAGAACAACTGCTGTCAACTTTTCTAAAAAACTTAAAAGCAAAGATTGTTAGTGCATGAATTATTTTACATTATTTCCAATAAGATAATGTCACTGTCTCCTATAATTATTTCCATTATTTTGTATTAAAAAAACTCAACGTTACTTTTATTTTCAATTCTGTGTCTATAATACTAGATTAAAATTGAGATACTGAATTATGCTTAAAAAAGTAAAGATTTCATTATTTTCTTTCTTTCATTATATTTTAAGTTCTGGGATACATGTGCAGAACGTGCGGGTTTGTTACATAGGTATACATGTGCCATGGTGGTTTACTGCACCCATCAACTTACAATCTATATTAGATATTTCTCCTAGAGCTATTCCTCCCATTGCCCTCCACCTCACAACAGGCCCCAGTGTGTGATAGTCCCCTCCCTTTGTCCATGTGTTCTCATTTTTCAACCCAACTTATGAGTGAGAACATGCGACGTTTGGTTTTCAGTTCCAGTATAGTTTGCTGAGAATGATGGATTCCAGTTTCATCCATATCCCTACAAAGGATGTGAACTCATTCTTTTATATGGCTGCATAGTATTCCATGGTGTGTATGTGGCACATATTCTTTATCCAGTTTATCACTGATGAGCATTTGGATTGGTTCCAAGTGCTTACTATTGGAAATAGTACTGCAATAAGCATACATGTGCATGAGTCTTTATAGTAGAATGATTTATAATCCTTTGGGTACATAGACATTAATGAGATTGCTGGGTCAAACGGTATTTCTGGTTCTAGATCCTTGAGGAATCGCCACACTGTCTTCCACAATGGCTGAACTAATTTACACTCCCACCAACAGTGTAAAAGCATTCCCATTTCTCCACATTTTCTCCAGCATCAGTTGTTTCCTGACTTTTTAATGATTGCCATTCTAACTGGCATGAGATGGCATCTCATTTTGGTTTTGATTTGCATTTCTCTAATGACCAGTACTGATGAACTTTTTTTTTATGTTTCTTGGATGCATAAATTTCTCCTTTTGAGAAGTTTCTGTTCATATCCTTCACCCACTTTTTGATGTTTTTTTTTTTTTCCTATAAACTTCTTTAAGTTTCTTGTAGATTCTGGATATTAGCCCTTTGTCAGATGGATAGATTGCAAAAATTTTGTCTCATTCTGTGGGTTTCCTGTTCACTCTGATGATAGTTTCTTTTGCTGTGCAGAAGCTCTTTAGTTTAATTAGATCCCATTTGTCAATTTTGACTTTTTTGCCATTGGTTTTGGTGTTTTAGTCATGAAGTCCTTGCCCATGCCTATGTCCTGAATGATATTGCCTAGGTTTACTTCTAGGGTTTTTATGGTTTTATGCCTTACATTAAAGTCTTTAATACATCTTGAGTTAATTTTTGTATAAAATGTAAGGAAGTGGTCCAGTTTCAGTTTTCTGCATATGGCTAGCCAGTTTTCCCAACACCATTTATTAAATAGGGAATCCTTTTCCAATTACTTGTTTTTGTCAGGTTTGTTGAAGATCAGAGGGTTGTAGATGTGTGGTGTTATTTCTGAGGTCTTGGTTCTGTTCCATTGGTCTATATATCTGTTTTGGTACCAGTACCATGCTGTTTTGGTTACTGTAGACTTGTAGTATAGTTTGAAGTCAGGTAATGTGATCCTTCCAGCTTTGTTCTTTTTGCTTAGGATTGTCTTAGCTATATGGGCTCATTTTGGTTCCATATCAAATTTAAAGTAGTTTTTTTTAATAATTCTGTGAAGAAAGTCATTGGTAGCTTGATGGAAATAGCATTGAATATATAAATTACTTTGGGCAGTATGGCCATTTTCATGATATTGATTCTGCCAATCCATGAGCATGGAATGTTTTTCCATTTGTTTGTGTCCTCTCTTATTTCCTTGAGCAGTGTTTTGTAGTTCTCCTTGAAGAAGTCCTTCACATCTCTTGTAAGTTTTATCCCTAGGTATTTTATTCTCTTTGTAGCAATTCTGAACAAGAGATCACTCATGATTTGGCTCTCTGTCTATTATTGTGTATAGGAATGTTTATTATTTTTGCACATTGATTTTGTATCCTGAGACTTTGCTGAAGGTGCTTATAAGCTTAAGGAGCTTTTGGGCTGAGACGATGGGGTTTTCTAAATATACAATTATGTCATCTGCAAACAGAGACAATTTTACTTCCTCTCTTCTTATTTGAATACCCTTTATTTCTTTCTCTTGCCTAGTTTCCCTGGCCAGAACTTCCAATACTATATTGAATACAAGTGGTGAGACAGGGCATCCTTGTCTTATGCTGGTTTTCAAAGGGAATTCTTCCAGCTTTTTCCCATTCAGTATGATATTGGCTGTGGGTTTCTCATAAATAGCTCTTATTACTTTGAGATAAGTTCCATCTATCCCTCATTTATTGAGTGTTTTTTTAGCATGAAGGGGTGCTGAATTTTATTGAAGGCCTTTTATACATCTATTGAGCTAATCATATGGTTTTTGTCATTGGTTCTGTTTATGTGATGGATTACGTTTGTTGATTTGCTTATGTTGAACCAGCCTTGCATCCCAGGGATGAAGCCTACTTGATTGTGGTGGATAAGCCATTTGATGTGCTGCTGGATTCGGTTTGCCAGTATTTGATTGAGGATTTTCGCATCAATGTTCATCAGAGATATTGACCTGAAATTTCCTTTTTTTGTTGTGTCTCTGCCAGGTTTTGCTATCAGGATGATGCTGGCCTCATAAAATGAGTTAGGGAGGAGTCCCTCTTTTTCTATTGTTTGCAATAGTTTCAGAAGGAATGGTACCAGTTCCTCTTTGTACCTCTGTTAGAATTCAGCTGTGAATCTGTCTGGTCCTGGGCATTTTTTGGTAGGTAGGCTTTTAATTACTGCCTCAATTTCAGAACTTGTTATTGGTCTATTCAGGGATTCAACTTCTTCCTGGTTTAGTCTTGGGAGGGTGTATGTGTCCAGGAATTTATTCATTTATTCTAGATTTTCTAGTTTATTTGTATAGACGTGTTTATAGTATTCTCTGAGGGTAGTTTGTATTTCTGTGGGAACAGTGGTGATATTTCCTTTATCATTTTTTATTGTGTCTATTTGATTTTTCTCTCTTTTCTTCCTTATTAGTCTCGCTAAGCTGTCTGTCTATTTTGATAATCTTTTTAAAAAACCATCTCCTGGATTCACTGATTTTTTTTGAAGGGTTTTTCGTGTCTCTATCTCCTTCAGTTCTGTTCTGACCTTAATTATTTCTTGTCTTCTGCTAGCTTTTGAATTTATTTGCTCTTGCTTCTCTAGTTCTTTTCATTGTGATGTGAGTGTGTTGATTTTAGATCTTTCCCACTTTCTCATGTGGGTATTTAGTGCTATAAATTTCCCTTTAACACTGCTTTAGCTGTCTCCCAGAGATTCTGGTACATTGTGTCTTTGTTCTTATTGGTTTCAAAGAACTTAGTTATTTCTGCCTTCATTTCGTTATTTACCCAGGAGTCATTTAGGAGCAGGTTGTTCAGTTTCCATGTAGTTGTGTAGTTTTGAGTGAGTTCCTTAATCCTGAGTTTTAATTTGATTGCACTGTGGTCTAAGAGACTGTCCGTTATGATTTCCATTCTTTTGCATTTGCTGAGGAGTGTTTTACTTCCAATTATGTGGTCAATTTTAGAATAAGTTATATGTGGTGCTGAGAAGTATGTCTATTCTGTTGATTTGGGGTGGAGAGTTCTGTAGATGTCTATTAGGTCTGCTTGGTCCAGAGTTGAGTTCAAGTCCTGAATATCCTTGTTAATTTTCTGTCTTCTTGATCTGTCTAATGTTGACAGTGGGGTGTTAAAGTCTCCCACTATTATTGTGTGGGAGTCTAAGTCTCTTTGTAGGTCTCTAAGAACTTGCTTTATGAATCTGGGTGCTCCTCTATTGGATGCATATATATTTAGGATAGTTAGGTCTTCTTGTTGCATTGATCCCTTTACCATTATGTAATGCCCTTCTTTGTCTTTTTTGAGTCTGTTTTATCAGATACTAGGATTGCAACTCTTTTTTTTTTCTTTCCGTTTGCTTGGTAAATATTCCTCCATCCCTTTATTTTGAGCCTAGGTGTGTCTTTGCACGTGACGTGGGTCTCGTGAATACAACGCACTGATGGGTTTTGACTCTTTATCCAATTTCTCAATCTGTGTCTTTTAATTGGGGCAATTAGCCCATTTACGTTTAATATTAATATTGTATGTGTGAATTTTATCCTGCCATTATGATGCTAGCTGGTTATTTTGCACAATTAGTTGATGCAGTTTCTTCATAGTGTTGATGGTCTTTACATGTTGGGATTTTTTTGCAGTGGCTGGTATAGATTTTTCCTTTCCATCTTTATTGTTTCCTTCAGGAGTGCTTGTAAGGCAGGCCTGGTGGTGACAAAATCCCTCAACATTTGCCTGTCTGTAAAGGATTTTATTTCTCCTTTGCATATGACGCTTAGTTTGGCTAAATATGAAATTCTGGTTTGAAAATAATTTTCTTTAAGAATGTTGAATATTGGTCCCTACTCTCTACTGACTTGTAGGGTTTCTGCAGAGAGATCTGCTGTTATTCTGATTGGCTTCCCTTTGTTGATAACCTGACCTTTCTCTCTTGTTGCCCTTCAAATTATTTTCTTCATTTAAACCTTGGTGAATATGAGGATTATGTGTCCTGGGGCTGCTCTTCTCAAGAAGTACCTTAGTGGTGTTCTCTGTACTACTTGAATTTTAATGTTGCCCTGTCTTGCTAGGTTGGGGATGTTCTCCTGGATAATATCCTGGAGTGTGTTTTCCAACTTTGTTCCAATCTTCCCGTCACTTTCAGGTACACCAATCAATCATAGATTTCGTCTTTTCACATAGTCCCATATTTTTTGGAGGCTTTGTTTATTCCTTTTTTTCCCCTCTAATCTTGTCTTCACAGTTTATTCAATAAGTTGATCTTCAATCTCTGATATCCTTTCTTCTGCTTGATCGATTCAGCTATTGTGCTTGTATATGTTTCATGAAGTTCTTGTGCTGTGTTTTTCAGATCCATCAGGTCATTCATGTTTTTGTCTAAACTGGTTATTCTAGTTAGCAGTTCCTGTAACCTTTTATCAAGGTTCTTAGCTTCCTTGCATTGGGTTAGAACATACTCCTTAACTTGGAGGAGTTTGTTATTACTCACCTTCTGAAGCCTACTTCTGTCAATTCATAAAATTCATTCTCTGTTCAGTTTTGTTCCCTTGCTGGCAAGGAGTCGTGATCCTCTGGAGAAGAAGAGGCATTCTGTTTTTTGGAATTTCTGGCATTTTTGCATTGTTTTTTCTCATCTTCGTAGATTTATCTGTTTTTGATCTTTGATTCTGATGACCTTTGGATGGGGTTTTTGCATGGGCATCCTTTTTGTTGATGTTGAGGTTATTCCTTTCTGTTTGTTAGTTCTCCTTCTAACAGTCAAGCCCCTCTTTGCAGGTCTGTTGGAGTTTGCTTGAGGTACACTCCATACCCTGTTTTCCTGTGTATCACCAGTGGAGGCTGCAGAATAGCAAAGACTGCTGCCTGCTCTTTCTTCTGGAAGCCCAGAGGGGCACCTGCCAGAGGCCAGTTGGATCTCTCTTGTATGAGTTGTCTGTCAACCCTGCTGGCAGGTGTCTCCCAGTCAGAAGGCATGGGGTTCAGGGACCCACTTCAGAAGGCAGTCTCTCCCTTAGCAAAGCTCGAGTACTGTGCTGGGAGATCTGCTGCTTTCTTCAGAGCCATCAGGAAGGAACATTTAAGCCTGCTGAAGCTTTGTCAACAGCCACCTCTTCCCCCAGGTGCTCTGTCCCAGGGAGATGGGAGTTTTATCTATAAGCCCCTGACTGGGGCTGCTGCCTTTTTATCAGAGATGCCCTGACCAGAGAGGAGGAATCTGGAGAGGCAGTGTGACTACAGTGGCTTTGCAGTGTTGTTGTGGGTTCCACCTAGTTCAAACTTCCCAGCAGCTTTGTTTACACTGTGAGGGGAAAACCGCCCACTCTAGCCTCAGTAATGGTTGATGCCCCTCCCCCCTCCAATCAGGAGCATCCCAGATTGACTTCAAACTGCTATGCTGGCAGCGAGAATTTCAAGCCAGTGGATCTTTTCTTGCTGGGTTACATAGGGGTGGGATCCGCTGAGGAACACCACTTGGCTCCCTGACTTCAGCCCCCTTTCCAGGGCAGTGAACAGTTCTGTCTTGCTGGCATTTCAGGTGCCACTGGGGTAAGAAAAAAAAAACTTCTGCATCTAGCTTGGTGTCTGCCCAAATGGCTGACCAGTTTTCCTCAAACTGTCTGCCAGCTTGAAACTCAGGGCCCTGGTGGTGTGGGCACCCGGAAGAATCTCCTGGTCTGTGGGTTGCAAAAACCATCGGAAAAGTATAGTATCTGGGCTGGATAGCACCATCCCTCACAGCACAGTCCCTGATGGCTTCCCTAGGCTAGGGCAGGGAGTTCCCAGACCCCTTGCACTTCCTGGGTGAAGCAACACCTCGCTCTGCTTCTGCTGGCCCTCCGTGGGCTGCACCCACTGTCTAATCAGTCCCAATGAGATGAGCCAGGTACCTCAGTTGGAAATGCAGAAATCACCCACCATCTGCATTGGTCTTGCTGGGAGCTGCAGACGGGAGCTATTCCTGTTTGGCCATCTTGCCACTCTCCTTCAAATAATATTCAAGAAAATAGTAACTTTATCCTATCTAGAGTGAGGAATATGAAGCAGCTCCAAATCCAAAAATAATGGTATAAATTTTCACAGCATAATACTTGCAAAGCCACTGGAATTGCTTTTTTGTGTGTGTTTGTTTGCTTTTGCTTTACTTTGTTTAAATAAATGTTTTATTTTGAGAATTGCTTTAGATTTACAGAAAAATACCAAAGATGATGCAGAAATCCCAAATATCCTATACCAACTTTCCCATAATGTGAATATTTTATATTAGAATGATACATACTAATATTTTTATGTTCTAAGAATTCCACCCATGGAATGTGGTATGAATGAAATACTACATTTCATTTAGTAGTTGTATATCCTTTGTCAACATGTTTATCTAGAAAGTTCTAAACTGTGACAGCTTATCAGAATTTCCTTGTTTTGATGACCTTGACAATTTTGAGATACATTTAGGTATTTTATAGAATATTGCCAGTTGGGGTTTATTTACATTTTTCTAATGCTTAGATTGGGTGAGTTAGTCAATGGGAGGTAGGTATAGCAGAGATACAGTGCCATTCTCATCACGTTATATCAAAAGTACCTACTACCAAATTGATCAGTGTGGATGAAAACCTTGATTATTTGACAGTGGCAGTGATTGTCAGGGTTCTTTATTGTAAAGTAACTATTTTTTCCTGTTTCATACTTTACTCTTCTGAGGGAGAGAGTCACTATGTGCTGCTAACACTTAAGAAGTAGGGTTTCTTGCCCAAATCTTTTATTTTTTCTGTCTGAATAATCTATAACATTTGTTGCAGAATATATCTGCTGGAAGTTAATTGTTAATTCCCTCCATTTTTGTCCATGAGATTATTTACTTTCCCTTCATTTTGAAGGATAATTTACCAAATGTAGAGTTCTTGGTTGGTAATATTTTTCCACCAACACTTCAAAGATGTCTCTCCAATCTCTTCTTGCTTTGGTGGTTTATATGAAAAGTCTACTGTAATTGTTATCCTCATTTACTATAATTAAGTTATTTATATTCATCTCCACTTTGGCTTTCTTCAGTATTTTCTTTTTCTTTGATTTCCTGCAGTTTGAATATGACATGTCTAGGTGTGCTTTTTGGTATTTATCCTGCTGGTGTTCTCTGAGCTTCCCAGATGGATGGTTTGGTGTCTGTCATTAATTTTGGAAAATTCTCTGGCATTATTACTTCAAGTATTTCTTCTACTTTGTTCTACTTCTTTTTAGTATTACACATACACATATATTATATATTCTGATATTATCTCACAAATATTAGATGATTTTTTTCTCTAAACAACTTCAGTTGGCAAAGTTTCTATTCACCTATATTCAAGACCACTGATATTTCATATAGCCTGCTGTGTACGGTCTGCCAATGAACTCATTAAAGACATTTCTTTTGGTTACAGTGTTTTTGATTTTTAGTATTTTATTTTTTATTTTTTTCTTAGCATTTCCATTTCTCTACTAATATTACCATCTGTTCTTGTATATTCTTTACCTTTATTGTTAAAATTCTTAACATATATAATTATTTTATAATTTCTGTCAGATAATTTCAATATCTGTGTCGTGTCTTAGTCTAACTCTGATGCTTTGTTATGTCTTGCCCTTAAGAATGTCTTACAATATTTTGCTGGAAGCCAGACATGTTGCATCAGGTAATGGAAGCTGAGATAAATGAGTCTTTAATGTGAGAATTTATGTTAACATAGCTAGAATTTTGGCTTTGTTTAAAGTTTGTTGTGTCTAGAGTTACCAGAATATTCAAATTTCTCTAGTACTTTTTCTTTTCTTTTCTCTTGTTTTCCTATGTTTTCTCCTCATAAATAGGGTGTTTTCCTATGTTCTGCTCCTCATAAAGAATCCGTGTGCCCTTTCCCCGACAATACTAGAGTTATCCTAGAAGTTTCTTGGTTATATACTTTCAGATTCCACAGAGCAAAATTCTATGTATATTTCAAACCATAGTTAAAGTGCCACTCTTGTCTTGATTACTCTGGTACATAGAGTGTATTGCTTTTGGCCAAGTACCAGTACACAATAACCAACTCAAGCCACACATTTAGCCTATATAGCCCACACATTAGATTTCATCCTTATTGTTGTTTACATTGAAAATAGGACATTTGTAATAATTGCATTAGTTTCTCAAGGCTTCTGGCTAACTTAGCCTTCTATATAGTGACTTCTAAAAGGGCCAGAACTGTACTGCTGGCAGATTTAGTTGCAAGCAAAAGAAAATTAAAACAGGAAGTTATTTTATTCAAAGCATACTGAATATCTCCAAGAACTGTTACAAAATCTTAAGAATCAGTGGTCCTTAAAAGCAAGAGGAGGGAAGAAAGAAGAATAGGAAGGGGAGGACAAAAGAGGGGAGGGGAGAGGAGGAAAGGGAGAACATCCGGAAGTACAGCAAACTTACACCACAGAAGCAGTCCAGTTAGACACCTCTGCTATTCATTTGAAACACAGAACACTGAAGGATACCACATCCACCCCTAAACCAGAAAACAGGGAATTGCTGACAACACTGAGTATGAAGTTCCTGGAGCCTTTCTTTCCCTGGCTCCGATTCAAATCCAGGATTTTGCAGCTAACTTATCCCTCAAGTTGCTGTTTATGTGAGCATGGAATAATCTGGAAGTGCAAGTAGTTGATTTTTCCAGGTTCCTTGGTGGTAGTTACACCTGTTTCATACCACGCCTCATCTTAAATAGAATGACTCAGAATTCCCTGTGCATAAGAAAGGATTGGGATTCATGAGCTGGGCTGTGCACAGCATGACAAATAGCCTCTGAGATGACTTACCCATAGATTTATCCTCAGCAAAGAAGACCCTGCTTAATGTGTAGTAAGTGTTTGCTGAAAAAAAGGAAGGAAGGAAGTGTTACCATAGGTAGCTAGTCAGACATGAGCAGGGCAGGAGAAGGCTCCCCCTACATGCACCCCGCCCCCCGCCTCCATACACATGCACCAGGAACGTCAGGACACCATCAGGTGATGTTCAAGCAGTTAACTGTCTCTCTAAAATAGTAATTGGCTGCAGCCAGTTGCAGGGAAAGGCAGTTTCCCAATAAACAGAAACACCTGAAGCTGGTGATCAGTGACTTCCTGATAAGATCTCAGGATTTGGGCAAGTGGGCTCACAAATGTGCTTTAAGAGGCAAAATGGCAGAGTTTAACCAGTATATGACCTTCTTGGGACATACTACTGGTAAGGGAAGAATGCCTCAAGTGAGCATTCATACAACTCCAGTAAATACACAGCACATGCTCACCTCCCAAGGGCTAGCAGGTAACTGTGCATGTGGACAGGCCACCCCAAGAGAAAAATCAGGGGTGAAGGGACACAAGACCCCGGAAGTAAGTCAACATATAAAATCCCAAGTCGAAAGGTCAAATCATGCACTTGTCTCTCAAGTTGCCCACTTGGGCCTGTTCCATGTGTACTTTCCTGCCTTTTGTTTCTTCTTTAAAAACTTGTAATAAACTTTCACTCCTGCTTTAAAACTTGCCTCAGTCTCTCCTTGTGCCTTATTGCCCTTAGTCAAATTATTTCTTCTGAGGAGACAAGAATTGAGTTTGCTGCAGATACATATGGATTCACTGCAAGGAAGGAAGGGAGGAAAAAAGGAAGGGAAGAAGGAAGGAAGGAAGGAAGGAAGGAAGGAAGGAAGGGAGGGAGGGAGGGAGGGAGGAAGGAAGGAAGGAAGGGAGGGAGGGAGGGAGGGAGGGAGGGAGGGAGGGAGGAAAGAAGGAAGGAAGGAAGGAAGGGAGGGAGGGAGGGAGGAAGGAAGGGAGGGAGGGAGGGAGGAAGGGAGGGAGGGAGGGAGGGAGGGAGGGAGGAAGGGAGGGAGGGAGGGAGGGAGGGAGGAAGGGAGGGAGGGAGGGAGGAAGGAAGGGAGGGAGGAAGGGAGGGAGGGAGGGAGGGAGGGAGGAAGGGAGGGAGGGAGGAAGGAAGGAAGGGAGGAAGGGAGGGAGGGAGGGAGGAAGGGAGGGAGGGAGGGAGGGAGGAAGGAAGGAAGGGAGGGAGGGAGGGAGGAAAGAAGGAAGGATGGTTACCTTTTAAGTGCATTTAGTGAAAATTGTCTTAAATTCAACTTTGTCAAAAACTAGTATTGTAGTTTCTAGTAAATAGGTAAATATATTTTCTTTACACTATCAACATATAATTTAACTGAGAAATATAAAGCATGTAAACATTTTTGTTATGTTTCTAACTCAAGAGCAAATACCATAGGCATTACAACATTCAATTCCAATATTTTTTATTGATTTTAATTTCTTAAAGAAGTACCTCAGATGTTGTCCACATTTCCCTTCATTGATCATTCATTTGAGTAGCTTAGTCACCATCTCAGGTTAAATGTCACCTCTCCACTTTCCCCAGATCACAACAGAAAGTCATGATCTAACATGATCATTTCCTTCTAAGTTTGCATGTTGTCTTAATCTGATCCAAATTTTTCCAAGGTTGCATTAATAAATATGGGCTAAGTTTTACTCAGTGTAGAAAGAAATTGCCTGGCAAGTGGGGACTAAGCCCATGAGTATTGATGCTTTATTTATATTGTTTCAAGACCCAAATCTTCTATTACTAAATACATGGAGATATTCAGTCCAAAGGATTAATTATTTTCCACCACATGTTCTCTTGCAGGAAAGGCAGCAATGTTTCTTTGTATAAGAAAATCCCATTTTTACTTTGCAGTAAAATTAAGTGTACTGTGTAACATCATTAGTTAACATGAATTGTGAAAAGGTTTATGCTTTTAATTTATATTATCAGGTAGTAATAACTACATTGTACTTGCACAGGCATCCACTAAAATGATATTATATTTAATAAAATAATCTAATGGGATTTTACTATAAAGGCATATTAGAGAGAGAAAAATCACCCAAAAGAAAGGCTATGCTGGGAATTATTTTATTCTGAATTTACTTCTCTGTTCCTATATAGGTATTTTATTTTAACTGAAATTGCTAACCTGCTAATCAAAACACATAAAATGGCCTCAGAAATTGTCTTTAATCTACTTTATCAATTAGTTTTCCACTTCATATCTCTTTGGTAGAAAGTATTACAGGTGATTATTTCAGTTCAAAGGCAAACAAAAGTCATATAATATTTGCTTCTTCATAAAGTTATGGTCTAAAGTATTTGGCTGACTCCCGATTTTTCTGAAATAACCAGTGTGTGAAGCTTATATTTCATGATCCACCACAAATACATTTGCACTCTGTATGATTGTCAGCCTCAAACCACATATTTTCCTTGTGACAAAATACATTTCATTCTATATTGGGAAAAATGCATTATAGGCAAGCAAATTCCCTCTACATTGAAATTAATGTTATTTAAAGCACATAAGTAATACATTTAGAAAATTGCAAGTACTTATTAAACAATGAGAGTATAAATTAGTTTATATACATAAAGTACTAAAAAGTGAAACGCAATATCCTTTTTTATGCTTGATTATTGCAGAGTAATAATACATAAATAGACAAAAATTATTTCTCAATTCATAACCAGAAACAACACATCCTCTGAATATGCTTTTATTTAACTTATTTTAAGATTTTATACAAATAAATATTTAGCAAATATTTATTGAGGGCATAATTTATGCCAGACTCTAGTTAAGAAATGGAAAAAAAGTTTGGTAACGTAGAGTTTCTTTCATTGATGAATTCATATTTCTTTTGAGGTGTAACTCATGCTTGCAAAAGAAGTGTCAACTGGAAAATATTTTCAAAATGAAGAGTTTCCTTGTAAGAGAATATCTGTAATACAAGAAAAGGAATGTCATCACATGAAGACATTAGGGAAAACAACTTGTAGCATTATAGTATCGTAAACATGTTTTCACTCTATGCACATATTTTCTAATATATCTCACTCATTCAGTCACAGATACTCGTTGAGCACTTATATCACCATTCTCTGGTATGTTATGGAAGAGAGCTATATTGAAAACATACACAGAGTACAGCTTCCTGGAACTTACATCGTAGTGGAGAATCTAGACATGAATACATAATCATAAATGCAATTTCTCCTGCAAAAGAAGTGATAAAAGAGCTGTTGTCTAACAAAATAGCTTGCCAATTTGACTTTTTATATAGTAAAATGTTGGAAGGGGCTATATAATAAAATGATGATAGGTTGGGGATAGGTTGGACCAATATTTCTAATTTCTGTTAGTTATTTTATTTGATGTATATAGCAATATTCTCTGAAAGCATTTATCAATATTTTTAAGCTTTTAGAGCCTGAAAGCAGGAATTTGCTTCCTGTGGCTTTAGAGAACTAGGTGCAGAAATCTGTCCTGTGGCTAGACCCTTCGTGTTCAGGAAGAATTATTTTAGTGAGCCTTCATAATCATTCAGACCTGAATGTTTTGCTTACTCACTTTTCTTATTTAACTTTAGACTTGGTGAGGTTAAATAAATGTAAAGACTTAGCTGTTTATTCTTTCATTTGATAATTTAAAATGCTCGGCATAGGAAAAGAAGTAATCTCAGCTACTCAAGAAGCTGAAGATTGAGGATTCTTTGAGGCCAGGAGTTCAAGGCCATAGTATGCCATGATATTGGCTATGAACACCCATTGCACTCCAGTCTAGGCAATGTAGCAAGACCTCTGAAGAAATAAATAAATAGGAACATAAGTAGATTCTATATCTCAAGAGTCTGTTTTACTTGGTTTGGTTAGAAATGAAGAGACTGGCTAAACAAGGTGTTTGGGCTAAAACAACTTGGAGTTTCCTGGACAAGAAGGAAAAGAAAAAATAAAAGAAAAATCCCTGTGCTAAGATAGGATACTATGCAATCTAGTAATTGGGTTTATTTCCAGAATATCATGGCATTAATTGATAATTTTATGAATGTCACAATAGTACAGTCTGTCTATTCTATTTTACTACATGGTTCAAACTGTTTGAACTTGACTGTTGACATTATTGGATAGTTCATGGTACAGAATGATGTGTTGCTATATGAGGGCATCTAACATGGCCTGGAGGTTTAGAGAAGTCCTGCAAGAGGGAGTGGTGTTGAATACAAGACCATAAAAGGTAAACAGGTGTTTCTCAGGCAAAGATTGTTTAGCGTGGAGGTTGAAGAATGGGAAGTTGGAGCAAAGGGAAGGAACATCCAGAAGTACATGGATTTGGAGTCTTGATGTAAGTAAGACCATAGATATAATCAGGGGTCAGATAATTTACTACTTCACATTCGATGTTAAGGATACTGGATTGTTCTTAAAGAAATGGGAAATCATTACGGGTATTGAGCAATTCAAATGGAAAAAAAAAACAAGTATTGAAAAATGAAATAAAGAAAAATTAGACTTGTTTTTGTTGTGATGCAAGTTTGACCTTTAGACTCCTGATTCTCATCATTTGTCTTGACTCCTAATTTCCATGGCTTGTCTTGACTCTTAATTCTCATGACTTGTCAAGCTAAATAAACAGAAGAGATAATTACTATAAGCTCCTTTCTGTTATATTTAGGAAAGCACCTAAGAGAGATAATACTCATATTTCTTGGTCCCCTGTTTTTCATTCAGTCTGTTGTAGATAAGAGGAAGGTAATTACTTGTTCCTGTTCTTAGTTTTCTGTACACAAATGGGAACAGCATGATATTACTGGAGACTAGATATTGTTTAACAAATACATCGTTCTTTTTATTTCAAAGGAAAGACTCCATTCTACAACCATAGTCTATGCATTCAGCCAATCCTCTCACAAATGCAACCTGTGGGTACGACGAGTTACAGAGTAGAGTACAGATTAATTATCACAGTTTTACAAAATGTTAAATAATTAAAATTTAAAATTCTTCTTCCTAATGTGAAATGTTTACATAAAAACAAATATTCAAAAGCCTACATTGCTTAAAAAATCTGCATTTGTTATACTTAGAATACTTTTTAAATTTTTTAAACATTTTTTGATATCTTAGAGGAAAAAGAATGTGTGATACCCAATTATTCCAAAATACCAGCACATCATGAACACATTAGTATAGATAAATATATTCATATTTGAATTACAGCTTTCCTTTGGTAGGTGGTCAAAACCAATGTTTACTTTTAGATTAATATAAGAATTTCTTGATATGACCATTTCCAACTTACTCATCTTAAGAGTCAACTTAAGAGTTGACTCAAATTAATTATATTACAGGCATTAATTTGAATTCCTCATTGTTTCCTCTATTTGCACTTTAACAAAAAATTAAGTGCTTTTTATACCTTTTTTTAGCAAATTAATTTATTATGTGCTTTTTCAGAATGAAAGTTTACTTCCAGAGTCCTACAAAATTCAAGATGAAAAATCCTAACATTTATTCACTTGCAAGCAATGACAAAATCAAAATAGAAATAAAACCAAAATCATAAACAAACTTTATATTTTTAATGTAAGCTATCTTATAATACATTGTTCAATTTCTAAACGATGTTAATAGTGTCATGTCTATATTAATATGTGGGCTTAATATAGACCTAATCAAAACTTAAACATTCCCCTTGTTTATTAACAAGATGAATTATCCTGAGACTTTTTTGGAAAAAAAAATACATCCTCAATATCTGTGTTTTCTAAATCCCCACTAATGGTGTATCTCATTTGATTTGTCTTTGAGGTATAACCTATAGAAATATTCTAATGTGACTGTATCAGCTTTCTAAGATGTCCTACGTTTTAGTATTTTTTATATTCTTAAGAAGAAGATTTACTGAAAAATGGAACCAATAGAGTGGGCATTCAGGCTGTTCACCAAACACTTATTGCTCTTACTGATATGGATAGGATTGCATTTCTGGCTTTCTTAGGAGCGATTAGGATATGGAGTAGCCAGAAGAGAAAAATTGTACAGCTTCGAAAGAAGAGCATTTAATTACAGAATAAACCCCTCTAAAATTTATTTCCTGTTGCCCTGATGACTGGTGGATATTCACTTTTGTATTGATGGCAATTGGTATTTATTTATCTTTTTGTAAATGTAAACTACAAGTCAAAAATTATTTAATTTAAAAAAGTTTTAGTGCCATCCATCAATACAAAAATTAATGTCTGGAATGACAATAAAATTTATTTTGCCTTTTTGTACACTTTATTTTGCACCAGACAGTATTTCTCTTCCATGAAAACTCCTTACACATGCAAGTCTAGAGATAAAATATGAATTTCAACAGGGAGAGAAATAATGAATCCCCACGGGCAAGTTATGTTTGAGATCTTCAGGGAATAAACATTTTCACACCATGACCTTAAACATGTCTCAGAGACAAAAAGTGACTTTCACCATTGCAAAGCAGTTCTGTTACCAAGTCATATCTGTCAGGCAAGAAAACCGGACCTCCATAAAATGACATCAAAAGTAACCAATGAATGCAACGGAAGTAATATTATGTCTAAGTAACATTATAGATTGTACTTGTTGCCATAAATATACTTACCTTTAGAAGGCAATTTATCCAAGGTAATAATTTAAATAATATGTTCATTTGAGCTGAAATTTAATGACTTTAAGGCAATATACCAAAATATATTTAACTAATTTAATATACCTTATCAAACATTTAATAAACTCTATTAAGATATTAAGGTAAAAATTACACAATATGTAAAGAAGTTTGTGTGCATCTAGTATATATTATTCTCACTCCACTATTAAATACTGTTGGTTTCCAATTCAATTTTAATTCTTCATATACCAGTTCCAAATTTTACTTTAGCTTAATTTTTTTTTTTTTTTTTTTTTTGAGACAGAGTCTTTGATGCCCAGGTTGGAGTGCAGTAGCACAATCACGGCTCACTGCAGCCTCTGCCTCTACCTCTCAGGCTCAGTCGATCTTCCCACCACAGCCTCCCGAGTAGCTGGGACTATAGGCATGTGCCACCACACCTAGCTAATTTTCTTATTTTTTGTAGACACACGGTTTTACCATGCTTTCCAGGCTAGTCTCAATCTCCTGGTCTCAAGTGATCACCCAACCTCGGCCTCCCAAAGCACTAGGATTAGAGACATGAGCCACAACACCTGACCAGATTTTTTTTTTTTTGTCCAATCACATTTTTTTTTGTTTGATGGTATGTGAAGATTTCAATGTATTCCAAATATTAAGTATTTAAAGAGTGCATCATGTCTCCTTCCAATACAAGCTGTTTTTTCTTCCTTTTGATTATGTTCAACCCTCAAACCATTGACAGAGGTAAAGAGGAGAGACACAAAAGTTCAGAGTATGACCTAGATTCCACAGATATCCGAAAGTACATCAACTGGATATTCTAGTCATCCTCTTTTCCTTTTCTCATCATTACTGAATGTCTTTAGGCCATCTAAACTAATCCCATTGTATCTTTTATCTCTGTCTAGGTATTGATACCATGAAAGCTCAAGCTACCTTCATCTCTCCCATCCAAATCTTCATAAGTCTTTGCACATTCTCTATCTTATCTCCATCTTCCACTCCTCCCTAACCCATGAAAAGCAACCATAGTACCCCTAATTTCCCAATTTATAATTAGCATCATTGTCTATATTCTCAAACACTTCTTCAGATTATCATGACCTTCTTACTCTATTAGAAACCTTGGCCTGTCCTGAGCACACAGCTTCTCAGGACAGGACACAGCAAATAGAAATATATCTGATGCCTGGAAGAAAAGAGGCTCAGAGGAAAGCTTTTGTACCCGCTTTACCATGGTGATTATTGGAAAGGGACTTTGATTCATTTGCTGTTTTGCTTGTTAAATGTGGCATTGAACATCCAAAACTGTGTACAAATAAAATCATACATGGGTAAGGGCAGTGTGCAAGCCCTTAGAGGGCTGCAGCTTTCTAAGGCAGTGACAATTCTTTCTCTCATTTCCTTTATATCACTGCATTGTCCTTCCTTATCATTACTGACTCTTGCAAACACTTTCCCATCCCTCTTCTTTTAAAATACAATACTTGAATTTAATTCTATCCTTACTCTTCATTTCCTTCAAATAATTTTACCTTCCATTCTCCCTAGGTCATTTCTTTCCATCATGATAATCCTAGACCTTGTCATTACCAATTACTGCTGTCTCTTGATCATATTGATGACCTCTCTTCCCTTATTTTCCAGGTTAAATTGTATAGTAAATCCTTATATTCACTTTCTCTCATATATCCTCAACTCCTCAGTCCCTCTCTCATTTTGCCTTATCTGCATGGAAAATTCATAAATCTGTTTATGCTTAAATACAATGATCTGCCTACCTTGAATCTGCATCTAGACAAATAAATCTGATAGAAGAAAAGCATCACACTAATTGGCTTCCCTTTAACAATCATGACAATGAAACTCAAGGGGTCTTGATGTTGTCTAGAAATTATACTACATATCTTGAGTCTATTCACTCTCCCACAGTCCTTAAGCAGTATTTCATACTTTCTCCAATCCCTTCAAAAACCTGTGTTTTTCTTTCTCATTCTTATATAAGAGCCTTTCCTCTTACTTTACATAAAAAATTTAAATTCTAAACATTTTAACAGACTCCCATCACCACACTTAGACACATATCAGCATCTGTGCCCAAATACTCAAACTTTCTGTCTGTTAACATAAGATAATTATCAATGCTCTTGTCTCAAGCCAATACCTCCAGAACGTCACTAGATACCATCCCCTTTCATCCACTCCATCAATTTATATCTATATATTTGTTCATTATTGTTAGCATATGGACATATTAGCATATTGCCTCATTCTAAAAAAATTTAATTAAACATAAAAAATCTAATACAAACAACAAAAATGCTTCTCCTGATACAATTTTCTCTTCCTTCACCAAATTATCTGCTCTGTTTTTTGCAAAAAAATACCCTCCAATTCCAATCTTTACATTTTCTCATAAGCACACTCCAAGCAGGTTTCTTCTCCCTAGTATCCATTCAAATTGATCTAATCAAGATTTTCAATGACCTCCAAATTGCTAAATCCAATAGTCTCTTCTCCATTTTCATTTGACTTGACCTATAAAATAGCATTTTTTTCGAAAACACCATATGCTCTTAGTTTCTTTCTATTCTTGGTTCATTTATCTTCTTTGTCCAAACTTACTCTCTTGATAATCTTATACTTTTATAAGCCAATGATTTTAGCTTTCAATATTCCATAAAATCTGCTCTTTTTTCAACTCTCTTTCTTTACTTTAATTGACAAGCAAAAATTATATATATTTATGGTATACAACATGATGTTTTGATATAGGTATACATAGTGGAATGGCTACATCAAGCTATTTATCATATTCATTACCTGGCATACTTATTGTTTTGTGGCGAAAACACTTCAAATCTACTCTTTTAACATTTTTAAATACAAATAAAATCATTATTTACTGTAATCACCCTGAGGTACAATAGATATTTTGAAATTATTTCTCCTGTGTAACTAAAATTTTGTGTATTTTGTCTAACACCCCCCCAATTCTCCTAATCAAGAGCTGCTGATAACCACAATTTTAATCTGTTTCTATCAGTTCGATGGTTTTATACTCAACATATAAGTGAGGTCATGCAGTACTTGTTTTTCTTTGCCTGGCTTTTTTCACTTAACATAATGTCTTCTAAGTTTTTCTATGTTGTAGCAAACAACAGCATCTCATTCTTTTTTATGGCTAAATAGTGCTCCACAGTGTATATACCACAGTGTATATATACCACATTTTCTCTATCCATTCATCTGTTGATGGACACAAGTTGGTTCCATATCTTAGCTATCATGAACAAAGCTATCATGAACACGGGAGTGCAGATATCTCTTGATCATACTGATTTTGTTTCCTTAGGATATATACCCAGACGTGAGATTCCTGGTTCATATGGAAGTTCTACTTTTAATATTTTGAGTAACCTCCATAGTGTTTTCCATAACGGCTGCACCAATTTAAACTCCTTCCAACAGTATACAGAGTTTCTTTTTCTCCACATTGTGTCCTACACTTGTTATCTTTTGTCATTTTGATAATAGTCATTCCAACAGGTTTGAGGTTTTATTTTATTTTTCAAATTTTATTTTAGATTCGGGGGCACATGTGCAGGTTTGTTACAAGACTATATTGTGTGATGCTGATGTTTGGGATATAATTGAACCCATCATCCAGGTAGTGAGCATAGTACCCAATAGTTAGTTTTTCAATCTTTGTCCCCTTCCTCACTACTCCCTCTTGTGGTTCTGTGTCTATTGTTCCCATCATTAAGTCCATCTGTACCCAATGTTTAGTTCTCACCTATAAATGAGAATGTGGTTTTTGGCATTCTGTTTCTTTGTTAGTTTGCCTAGGATAATGTCCTGTAGCTGCATATCTATGTTGCTGCAAAGGACATGATTTTATTCCTTTTATGGCTTCTTATAATTTATGTTGTATTTGTACCACATTTTCTTTATCTAATTCACCATTGATGGGCACCTAGGTTGATCCCATGTCTCTGCTATTGTGAATAGTCCTGCAATGACATATGAGTGCATGTGTCTTTTGGATAGAATGAAATATTTTCCTTTGGGAATATACCCAGAAATGGGATTGCAGGGTGGAATGGTAGTTCTATTTTTAGTTCTTTGAGAAATCTCCAAACTGCTTTCCACAGTGGCTGAACTAATGTACATTCCCACCAACAGTGTTTATGCATTCCCTTTTCACTGAAGCTCTGATATCAGCTGTTTTTTTTTTTCTTTAACTTTTTAGTAATAGTCATTCTGACTGGTGTGAGATTGTATCTCATGGTTTTGATTTGCATTCCTCTGATTAGTGATGATGGGCATTTTTTCATATGGTTGTTGGCTGTTTATATATCTTCTTTTGAGAAGTGTCTGTGTCCTTTGTCCACTTTTCAATGGGGTAATTTGTTTTTCTTTCTTGATTTGTTTAAGTTCCTTATAGATTCTGAATATTAGACCTTTGTCAAATGCACAGTTTGTGAATATTTTCTCCCATTCTGTAGGTTGTCTGTTCACTCTATTGATGTTTTCTTTTGCTGCACAGAAGCTCTTTAGTTTAATTAGGTCCCACTTGTCAATTTTTATTTTCATTGCAATTTCTTTTGAGGACGCAGTAACAAATCTTTTGCCAAGGCCAGTGTTGAGAAGAATATTTCCTAGGTTTCATTCTATGATTTTTTATAGTTTGAGGTCTTATATTTAAGCCATTAATCCATCTTGAGTTAATGTTTGTATATGGTGATAGGCAACCCCTTGTGTTTTTATTTTACATTTTCCTGATGACTAATGATGTTGGGCATTTTTTTTTTCATATACCCATTGGTCATTTGTATTTTTTTTGTTGAAAAATGTCTATTTAGGTTTTCTGCCCATTATTTAATTGGATTTTTCTCTTACTATTGAGTGGTTTAGTTCCTTGTATATTTTGGATATTAAGCCATTATCAGATGTATTGTTTGAAAATATATTCTCCCATCTGGTAGGTTGTCTCTTCACCCTGTTGATTATTTCCTTGGCTGTGCAGAAGCTTTTCAATTTGATGTAATTCCATTTGTCTATTTGTGTGTGTGTGTGTGTGTGTGTATGTATGTGTTTTTTTCTTGTGCTTTGGTATCACACAAAAAATCTTTCTTTAGACCAATGTCATGGAGCTTTTTCCTGTGATTTCTTCGAGTAGTTTTAATTTCAGATCTTAGGTTTAAGTCTTTAATTCATGTTGGTTAATTTTTGTAGATGGTGTAAGATGTTGGTTTTATTTTATTCTTCTGCATGAGAATATCCAGTTGTCCAATACCATTTATTAAAGAGAATACCCTTTTCACTGTGTACATTCTTGCCATCTTGGTTGAAAAATAAATTGACCATAAATATGTGGATTTATTTCTAGGCTCTCTGTTTTGTTCCATTAACCTGTGTGTCTTTTTTATGCCAGTATCATGTTGTTTTTATTATTATAACTTTGTATAGATTTTCAAATTAGGTTATGGGATACATCTAGCTTTTTTGTTTGTTTGTTTGTTTTTCTCAGCATTACTTTGTCTAATCAAGGTCCTTTATGGCTACATAAGAATTTTAGGATAGTTTTTCTATTTCTGTTAAAAATATCATTGAAAGTAAACAATCATATCATCAGCAAAAAGTTTCAGTTTGAGTTCCTCTTTACCAATTTGGATGCCCTTGATTTCTTTCTCTTGTCTGATTGCTCTGGCTAGGACTTCCTGTACTATGTTGAAGAGGAGTGGTGAGAGTTGGCATCCTTGTTTGTTCCAGTTCTCAGAGGGAATGCTTTCAACTTTCCACCATCCAGTATTGTGTTGGTTGTGGGTGTGTCATAGATGGGTTTTATTACATTAAGGGATGTCACTTGTATGCCTACTTTGCTGAGAGTTTTAATCATTAAGGGATGATGGATTTTGTCAAATGCTTTTTTGCATCTACTGAAATGAACATACAATTTTTGTTTTCAATTCTGTTTACATGGTGTATCACATTTATTGACTTGCATGTGTTAAACCATTCCTGCATCCCTGGTATGAAACCCACTTGATCATGGTGGATTATGTTATTGGTATGTTTTTGGATTCAGCTAGCAAGTATTTTGTTAGGGATTTTGACATCTATGTTCATCAAGGATATCGGTCTGTAGTTTTCTTTTTTAGTTGTGTCCTTTCCTGGTTTTGGTATTAGGGTGATGCTGACTTCACTGAATGAATTAGGGAGGGTTCCTTCTTTCTATATCTTGTAGAATAGTGTCAAAAGGATTGGTACCAATTCTTCTTTGAATGTCTCGTAGAATTCTGCGGTGAATCCATCTGGTCCTGGACTTTTTTTTGTTGGTAATTTTTTAATTACCATTTCAATCTCATTGCTTGTTATTGGTCTGTTCAGAGTATCTAATTATTCCTGATGTAAGCTAAGGGAATTGCATTTTTTTCAGGAATGTATCCATCTCTTCTAGATTTTCTAGTTTATGTGCATAAAGGTGTTCACAGGTGGCTTGAATGATCTTTTGTATTTCAGTGCTGTCAGTTGTAACATCTCCTGCTTCATTTCTTAGTGAGTTTATTTGGATTTTCTCTCTTCTTTCCTTGGTTGATCTTGACAATGCTCTATCAATTTTATTTATCTTTTCAAAAAGCCAGCTTTTTGTTTCACTTACCTTTTGTATTTTTTTTTTTGTTTCAATTTCATTTAGTCCTGCTCTGATCTTGGTTATTTCCTTTCTTCTGCTGGGTTTGGGCTTGGTTTGTTCTTGTTTCTCTAGTTACTTGAGGTATGATCTTAGAGTGTTAGTTTGTGCTCTTTCAGTCTTTTTGATGTAGGTGTTTAGGGCTATGAACTTTCTTCTTAGCACCACCTTTGCTATATCCCAGAGGTTTTGATAGATTGTGTCATTATTGTCATTCAGTTTGAATAATTTTTTTAAATTTCTCGTTTGATTTTGTTTTTGCCCCAGTGCTCATTCAGGAGCAGGTTATTTAATTTCCATGTATTTGCATGGTTTTGAAGGTTCCTTTTGGAGTTGATTTCTAGTTTTATTCCACTGTGGTCTGAGAGAGTGCTTGATATAATATCAATTTTCTTATATTTATTGAGGCTTGTTTTGTGGCCTATCATATGGTCTGTCTTGGAGAAAGTTCCATGCGCTGTTGAATAGAATGTGTATTCTGAGGTTGTTGGATGAAATGTTCTGTATATATCTGTTAAGTCCGTTTGTTCCAAAGTATAGTTTACATCCATTGTTTCTTTGTTGACTTTCTGTCTTGATGATCTGGCTAGTGTTATCGATGGACAACACTATTATTGTGTTGCTGTTTATCTCATTTCTTAGGTCTATTAGTAATTGTTTTATAAATTTGGGAACTCTAGTGTTAGGTGCATGTATGTTCAGAATTGTGATATCTTCCTGTTGGACAAGGTATTTTACCAGTAAATAATGTCCCTCTTTGTCCCTTTTAACTGCTGTTGCTTTAAAGTTTGTTTTGTCTGATATAAGAATAGCTATTCTTATATCTCTGCTCGCTTTTGGTGTCCATTTGCATGAAATGTTCATGGATGGGTAGAATCAATATTGTGAAAATGACCATACTGCCAAAAGCAATCTACAAATTCAATGCAATCCCCATCAAAATGCCACCATCATTCTTCACAGAATGAGGAAAAACAATTCTAAAATTTATATGGAACCAAAAAAAGAACCTGCATGGCCAAAGCAAGACTAAGCAAAAAGAACAAATCTGAAGGCACCACACTATTTGATTTCAAACTATACTACAAGGCTATAGTCACCAAAACAGCATGGTACTGGCACAAAAATAGGCACATAGACCAATGGAACAGAATAGACAACCCATAAATAAACCCAAATATTTATAGCCAATTGATCTTTGACAGAGCAAACAAAAACATAAAGTGGGGAAAGGACTCCCTTTTCAACAAATGGTGCTGGGATAATTGGCTAGCCACATATAGAATGAAACTAGTTGCTCATCTGTCACCTTATACAAAAATCAACTCAAGATGGATTAAGGACTTAAACCTAAGACCTGAAACTATAAAATTTCTAGAAGATAACATTGAAAAAATCCTTCCAGACATTGGCTTAGGCAAGGATTTCATGACCAAGAATCCAAAAGCAAATTCAATAAAAACAAAGACAAATAGCTGTGACCTAATTAAACTAACGAGCTTTTGCAAGGCAAAAGGAACAGTTAGCAGAGTAATCAAACAATCCACAGGTGAGAGAAAATCTTCTCAATCTATACATCTGACAAAGGACTAATATCCAAAATCTACAACAAGCTCAAACAAATCAGTAAAAAAAAAACAAACATTCCTATCAAAAGTGGGCTAAGGACATGAATAGGCAATTCCCAAAAGAATACAAATGACCAATAAACATATGAAAAAATGCACAACATCACTAATGATCAGGGAAATTCAAATCAAAACCACAATGCAATACCACCTTACTCCTGCAAGAATGTCCACAATCAAAAAATCAAAAAAAAAAAGTAGATGCTGGCATGGATGCAGTGAACAGGGAATACCTCTACATTGCTGGTGGGAATGTAAACTAGTACAGCCACTATGGAAAACAGTGTGGAGATTCCTTAAAGAACTAAAAGTAGAATTACCATTTGATCCAGCAATCCCACTACTGGGTATCTACCCAGAGGAAAAGAAGTCGTTATTCAAAATAGATACTTGCACACGCATGTTTATAGCAGCACAATTGCAAAATCATGGGACAAACCCAAATGCCCATCAATCAATGAGTGGATTAAAAAACTGTGAGAGAGATATATATATATGGAATACTATCCAGCCATAAAAAGGAATGAATTAACAGCATTTGGAGTGATCTGGATGACATTGGAGACTATTATTCTAAGTGAAGTATTCTAAATGAAGTAACTCAGAAATGGAAAACCAAGTATTGTATGTCCTCACTGATATGTGGGAGCTAAGCTATGAGGACACAGGCATAAGAATAATGCAATGGACTTTGGGGACTTGCGGGGAAGAGTGAGAGGGGGGCGAGGGAGAGAAGACTACAAATATGGTGCAGTATATCCTGCTCAGGTGATGAGTGAACCAAAATCTCACAAATCATCACTAAAGAAATTACTTATGTAACCAAATACCACCTGTACCCCAATAACTTTCAAAAAAAAACTTAAAAAGTCATTGAAATTTGATAGAAGTTGCACAGAATCTGTAGATTATTTTGGGTAGTATGAACATTTTAATAATATTAATTCTTCCAATCAATCCATATGAAATATACTTCCATTTATTTGTGTTTTCTTTCATTTCTTTCATCAGTGTTTGATAGTTTTCAGTGTAAAAGTCTTTTACCTCCTTAGTTAATTTTACAAACCAAATATTGAATTTTTAATAATATTGAAAAGTTATTATTTTATTAATTCAATTTTCTAACAATCTATTTTATTCTTTATTGTATTCTATATTCTTCTACTCTATTATATTATTATATATAGAAACTACTCATTCTACTCTATTATATTATTATATATAGAAACTACTCATTTCTGTACATTGATTTTGTACTGAAATTTAACTAAACTCATTTATCACTTCTAACAGGTCCTTTGGTGGAACCTTTGGAATTTTCTATATATAAGATCATGTAATTTGTAAACAATTTTTATTTCCTTCCTTCCCTATTAGGATGCCATTTATTTCATTCTCTAGTCTAATTGTTATGGCCATGACTTCTAGTATTACATTGAAAATAAATGGTGAGAGTGAGTATACTTTTCTTGGCCTTGATCTTAGACGAAAAGATTTAAACTGTTCACTCTTTAAAATGGTGTTGGTATAAAAAAAATTGTGTTGGTTACAATCTTGTTATATATGACCTTTATTGTGTTGAGGTACATGCCTTCTGTACCTAATCTGTTGAGAGTTTTTATCATAAAAGGGATTGAATTTTGTCAATTGACTTTTTCTGCAGCTATTGAGGTGATCATATGAGTTTTATTTTTCATTTTGTTAATATGGTGTATCACATTTATTGATTCTTATGTGTTAAACAATCCTTACATTCAAGGAACAAATCCCGCTTGATCATGGTAAATGATTATTTTAATGTGTTCTTCAATTTAGTTTGCTAGTAATTTGTTGTGTATTTTTGCATCTATGAAGATCAGATATGCTTGCCTATAATTTTCTTTTCTTGTAGTGTCCTTGTATGAACTTTGGGTAGTGTTAAGTCTGAAAGTGTTTCCGCCTCTTCAATTTGTTGAAAGTGTTTTAGTATGCTTCTTATTACATCTTTAAATTTTTAGTAGAATTCAACAGTAAAGATATTGGGTCCTGGGCTTTTTTTGATGGAAGAATATTTTTTACTGATTGATTCTTGCTCATAATTGGTCTGTTCAAGCTTTCTATTTCTTTGTAGTTTAAAGTTGATGGACTGTACATGTTTAAGAATGTATCAGTTTTTTCTAGGCTGTCCTATTTGTTGATGTATAACTGTTCACAGAAGTCTTCTGATCCTTTGCATTTCTCTGGCAATAGAATTACTCTTTCCTTTCTGATTATATTTATTTGTCTTCTCTTTTTTTCCTATACTGTCCAGGTAAAACTTTGTTTTCTTTCATAGTTTCAAAAAAATCAATTCAGTGTTGTTAGCCTTTTGTATTGTTTTCTCCAGTCTTTATTTCATTTATTCCTACTCTAATCTTTATCATTTTCTTTCTTTTATTAACTTTGGGCTTAATTTGTACTGTTTTATCCAGTTCCCTGAGGTGTAACATTAGATTGTTTATTTGGGATCTTTCTTATGTTCTATGTAGGCATTTATTGCTATAAACTTCCTTCTTAGAACTGCTTTTTGCTGCATCCTATAATTTTGGTATATTATGTTTTCATTTTTTTATCTCACGATATTTTTAAATTTGCCTCTTAATTTCTTCATTGACTCATCAGTTGTGGAAGAGCATGTTAATTAATTTTCATGTATTTGTAAAATTGTCAATATTCTTCCTATTGATTTCTAGTTTCATAACATTGTGATAAAAATATATTTAATATGATTTCAATTTTCTTAAATTTGTTCCAAGACTTGTTTTGTGGCCTAACATAAGATCTATCATAGAAAATGATGGGCCAGGCGCGGTGGCTTATGCCTGTAATCCCCGCACTTTGGGTGGCCTAGGCGGGTGGATCACTTGAGGTCAGGAGTTCAAGACCAGTCTGGTCAACATGGTGAAATCTTGTCTCTACTAAAAATACAAAAAATTAGCCGGGCACAGTGGCATGTGCCTGTAATCCTAGCTGCTGGGGAGGCTGAGGCAGGAGAATCACTTGAACCTGGGAGACGGAGGTTGCAGTGAGCCGAGATCGTGCCACTGCACTCCAGCCTGGGGGACGGAGTGAGACTCCATCTCAAAAAAAAAAAAAAAAAAAAAAAAGAAAATGATTCACTTGCACTTGATAAGAATGTGTATTCTGTTGCTGTTGGATGGAATGTTTTTATTTGTCTGTTAGATCCATTTGGTCTAAAGCATAGTTCAAGTCTAATGTTTTCTTATTGATTTTCTGTCTGAATGATCTGTCCATTGTAGAATGAATGGGATTAAGTCTTCTACAATTATTATATTGTGATCTGTGTGTCCTTTCAGATCTATTAATATTTGTTTTTTATATTTAAATTCTCTGTTGTTGGGTGCCTATATATTAACAATTGTTATATCTTCTTGATGAATTGATTTATTTGTTATTATATAATGACTATATTTGTCTCCATTTACAGTTTTTGACACAAAGTCCATGTTATCTGTGTAGATATCTTGCTGTCTTTTACACTTGCACCAAATTTTTTTTTTTCATTATTTCACTTTCAATCTATTTGGATCTTTAAAGGTTAAGTGAGTCTTAGTTTCTACTGAGAAGTCTGTTATTTCTTATTGGAACTCCATTATTTGTGATTTGCTTCTTTTTTCTTACTATGTTCAAGATTCGCTCCTTGACTGTAGTTTTTGAAGTTTGAAGTTGTATTTGTATAGTCTTGTTTGTATTTAACCTGATTGAAGGCATTTGGCTTTCTTGTAGGTGGATATTTATATCTTTTCCCGAGCATATTGTTGGATTTTAGTTTTTTGTTTGTTTGTGTTTACCTATTTAGCAAGTCTGTCTTTTAGTAAGAGAATGTATTTATTTGCATTCAAGATAGTGACTAATAGATAAGGACATAATCCTGCCATTTCGTTAACTGTTTTCTGTTTCTTTTTTTTGTAGACACTTTGCACCTTTATTTCTGTCTTGTTATCTTCCTTTGTGATTGGATAGTTTTCTTTAGAGAATGCTTTGATTTCTTACTTTTCATATTTTGTGTGCCTACTGTAGGGTTTGCTTTGTGGTACCATGAGGCTTACATAAGACATCTTATAGTGATAGACAGTAATTTACACTGATAGCAATGAGCTTTTATTGCATAAAATCACATTGCACTTTTACTATGCCATCCTCCCACACATTTTATGTTTTTGATGTCACAATCTGCATCTGATTATATTATGTATTCCTTAACAAATTATCCTAGACATTATTATCTTTAATATTTCTGTCTTTTAACCTGCATACTAAAGATATAGTAATTTACACACCACCATTACAAGGTTAGAATATTCTGAATTTGACTCGTACTTACTTTTACCAGTGAGTCTTACACTTTCATAAGTTTCTGTACTATGAAATATCACCCTTTTCTTTCAGCTTGAAGAATTCCCTTTAGCTTCTCTTGTAAAATAGATCTGGTGTTTCACCTTTTGTTTTAATTATTTATCCCTCTTTCATTTCTAAGGAACAGTTTTGCCAGCTACAATATTCTTGGATGGTAGGTTTTTTTGTTTTTTTTTTTTTTTCCTTCAGTATTTCGAACATGTCATCCTACACTCTCCCAACCCATAAGGTTTCTATTGAGATTTCTGTTGGTATTTCTTATTGGAACTCTCTATGTGGATGTGATTTGTTTCTTTTTTCTTACTGTGTTCAAGATTATCTCTTTGACTTTGATTTGTAAAGTTTGATTATAACATGTTTTGGTATAGTCTTGTTTAGATTGAGTCCAGTTGAAGGCCTTTGATCTTCTTTTACCTGAATATTTATATCTTTCCCCAGATTTGGAAAGTTTTCTGCTATTTCTTTAACTAAGCTCTAACTTCCTTATCTCTCTCTTATCCTTCTTGCACTTCTGTAACTCTCGCACTTCTGTAAACAGTTGCTGTTTTAATGCTGCTCCATAAATCCCATAAGTGTTCTTCACTCATTTTCATTATTGTTTTCCTTATTTCTTCTAATTCCTATGATCACATATTTTTAAATAATTTGTCTTTGAGTTCACAAATTCTACTGCTTAATCAATTCTTCTGTTGATGTTCTTTATTGCAATTTTTTTCTATTTATTATATTTTACTCCAGAATTTCTGTTTGATTTTTAAAAATAATTTTAATCTTTTTGTTGAATTTTTTTGTTTAGATCATTTATTGTTTTCCTAATTTCATTGAATTTTTTCTCTGTATTTTTTGAAGTTCACTGAGTTTCCTTAATATAATTACTTTGAATTATTTATTGTGTAGTTCATGTATCTCCATTTCTTTAGAGTTTGTTACTGATTCTTTATTTTGTTCTTTTGGTGGTGTCATGTTTTCCTGATTGTTCTTTATCTCATGGCTGTGTGTTGCTGTCCACATGTTTGAAGACTTGTGAACTTACTTTAATCTTTGATTGGCTTTGACTGGGAATATCCTTCAACAGTCAGCTCAACAAGATTCTGGGCAGGCCACTTGGCTTGATGCTGGAATTTTAGGGCAGGGTTTCCTAGTGCCTGAGTTAACATGTGGGTGGGGCTGGTGCCTAGATCTGCAGGACTGGACCTGAGTCCTGGAGCCAATGGGATAGACCTCTTGATTGAGCCTTTGTGGTTAGGCCTGGAGCCTGGGTCCATAAGGGCTGGCCTAAAGCCATGAAGGCTAGGTCCAAAGAAGCTGACCCAGTGTTAGAATTAGCCTTGAATCTGAATCTTCATGGTCATACCAGGCACTGGGATAAGCTAGGCATCTTAGTCCACTAAGATAGGCTTGGAGCCTAAGTCCATATGGGCAGGCCTGGGGCTGGGGACTAGATCTATAGGGGTAGACCTGGAGCCTTGGACTGTGAGGGCTGGCCTGGCACAAGAGTCCAGTGGAATGGACCTGGATTCTAGATCTGCTACAGCCAGCCTGGACTCTGGGTCCACTGAAGTCTGAGGTTGCAGGAACTGACCCAGACCTGGGACCAGTCTGGTACTGGGGCAAAGTAAAGGCTGGGCCTGTGGGGGCTATTCTGGAGCCTAGGATTTTGGTTACTTTTCTAATGCATGGAGCCATGGTGGCTGGCCTAGAGGATAGATCTGCAAGGACTGGCCTAGATCCTGGGGCCATGAGGACCAGCTTGTAACCCATGTACACAATGGTGGTTTTGGAGCCTTGGTCCATGGCTTACAGTCCAGTGCTAGGATATAGTGGGACAGTCCTGGAACCTGGGTCTACTAGAATAAGCTTGGATCCTAGGTCTGCTGTAACATGGTGCTATAAGGGCCAGTCTGGGGAGTGGGGCCTCAGGGAGTAATAGCCTGGCACTGGACAAGCCTGGGTCCTATGCCTACAGGTGCCAGGTTGATGCCTGAAGGCAGGGGTGCTGACTTCATGCCAGGGTGAGCCTGAATTGGGGAGCTGTGTGGGTTGACCTGGCTTAGGGCTGGTTGGAAATCTAGGGCTGGCTTGGAAGCTGGAATCACAAGGTCTTGTCTGGCAGTGAGTAGGTCTGATACTTGTATCTACAGGGACCAGCCAGGAGGCTGAATCTGAAGATGCTGGCCTGATGACTAGGCTTGGAGTGCATGGCATGGCACTAGGGCAGTCCTGAAGCCTGGTGCCTTAGGTATCAGTCTAGTGCTGAAGGTAAAATGGAGGTCAGGGCTGTCAGGTAGCCTTGCCCTGAGGCAAGACTTGTGAATAAGTCTGTTGGGGTTGGCCTGGTACTGGGGCAGGGTGAGTGCTGGGTCAGGTCCAAAGTCTGGAGCTATACAGGCCTGCCCAAAACTGTGTTTTACTATAGTGGGCCTAGTATTGGGGACTGAAACAACGTCTAGTGCTCATTTCTCTCTCTTTTCTCCAAATGGATTGTATCTTTCTCCATTCTGTGCTGCCTGGATTTAGAAAAAGAGCAATGAGAGTAATGTAAAACCATCCTTCTCACTGTCTTCAATGAATCTTTCCTTATTTGTGCTTCACCCAGGTGCTGTTATGTCTCACCTCGTTTCTCTAGCTCTGATGAAGGTATTTTTGTGCATGGATAGTTGTTCAAATTGATGTTTTTGCAGGGAATGAGCACTGGAAAGTCCTATTCCATAATTTTACTGATGCGATGCCCTGGCTTTTCTCCACATCTCTGAAATCTAAATTCTAGGCACACACGCTTGGCCTCTTTGGCATCCCTTGTATTGGCTATTCCCTCTGCAAATGTCTTCTCCAAAATATCTGCATGACTATCTAACTTACTACCATCTAAGCCCAAATGTCATCTTCTTAATGAGCTATACCCTGATGACTTTATTTAAAATTGCAAACTATCCCTTCTCCCAACCCTCCAAAATCCCCACTTTGCTTTATTTTTGTTGAATTTATCACTTTTTAAATATACTGTGCAGAAAAGAGTTAACATAGCAGGACTAACTGCTGTTCTTTGAAAGGCCTGCTTATAGGTTTGTTCCTTGGCTGGTATCTGGGAACTTGGTTTTTGGAGAGTTTCTAAAACTTAACTAACAGCTAAGAGTGACTTATTGTGCCTAAACTGTGTAAACAATATGGTTTATGTTGAGCATCTGTTTTTTTCCCTAAGAGTCTGAGATTTGGGTATATGCCAGGCAGAGGATGCCTATGTGATCAGCCTCCAATAAAAGCTGGGTGTCGTCTCTAATGAGCTCCCCTTGTTGGCAACGTTTTACACATTGCCATAATTTGTTCCTGGGGGAATTAAGTGAAGGACTCCATTGGGAGAAGACTCTGGAAGTTTGCATCTGGTTTCCTCCAGATTTTTTTCCTGCATCTTTTTGCTTTTCTTGTTTACTTTGTATCCTTTCACTGTCATAAATTATAGCTACAAGTCCAATGATATTCTGAGTCCTATGAGACCTCCCAATATTAGAGGTCCATAAATCATCAAATCTGGAAGTGGTCTTAAAGATCTCCCAACACATATAGTATATTAGTTAGGTTTCTCCAGAGAAAGAGGTTCAATAGGCTATAGATAGATGGACACATAGATAAAAAGAGATTTATTGTGAGGGATTGGCTGCTACAGTTATGGAGGTTGGGAAGTCCCACAATCTTCTGTTTATAACTTATTAGCACAGGAAAGCCAGTGGCGTATTTTCATTCCAAACCTGACATCCTGAGAACCAGGAGAGCTGTCTTTGTCTGTTTAGTAACTATACAGGAATACTTGAGTCAGAGTAATTTATAAGGAAAAAGAGGCTTATTTGGCTTATGGTTCTACAGTCTGTACAAGAAGCATGGTGACAACATCTGCTGGTTTCTGGTGAGGTCTTCAGGCTGCTTCCACTCATGGGAGAAAGCAAAGGGGAACTGGTGTGCGCTGAGAGCCTATGGCAAGTGAGGAAATGAAAGAGAGAGGGGAGGTGCCAGACTATTTTTAACAATCAGGTCTTTTTGGAATTAACAGAGTAAGAATTCACTCATTCCTGCCTCAGGGAGGGTATTAATCTATTCATAAGGAATCTGCCTCCAACACCCAGATACCTAATGCTCCCTAATGGGAGCATTAGGCTCACCTGTCAGATTTGATCTTAATGGAGATCAAATTTCAACATAAAGTTTAGAGGGGTCAAACATCCCTACTATACCAGGAGCCAGTGGTGTAAGTCCTGATCTGAGTCCACAGACCCAAGAACCAAGATTGCTGATGTCTGATGTCACGGAAAACTGGATGTACCACCTCGAGCAGAAAGAACATCTACTTTTTGTCTGCCCTTTTGTCTTCTTGAAGTGCTCCGCAGATTGCATAATGCCCAGCTGCATTGATAAAGGCCATCTTTGCTCAGTCTACCAATGCAAATTCTACTGTCTTCTGGAAACATTCTTACAGAGACACAGAAATAATGTTTTATAAGATATTTGGGCATCCCTTAGCCCAGTCAATTTGGTACATAAAATTAACCATCACATATTGTATACAATTTATTTATGTGTCTTTATCCATTTTTTTAATTTTTTCAATTATAAGTTCGACAAGATATAAATTCTCATTGGTTTTGTAGCTTAATATATCCCAAATGCCTAAATGCACCCAGCTTATAGTAAATACTGAACATATATTTGTTGAATTAATGATAAATTCAATTATATTTTGGGGGAAAAGATTCTGAGTAAATTTACCAAGAAACATTCATTAAAGAAGGCCTATTAAAATATAAAAGTTATATAATAAAGCTTAAAGAAAATGAAGTTATACCATATGATTAAATAGTAAAATTAAATACTATGAAAATGCTAATTTCCCCAAATTAGTATATAGGTTTAAATAATGTCTAATAAAAACCAAAGATTATATTTTTGACAATATTATTTAAAAATTCAACAGAAAAAAATCATTTTTAAATGTTATAGTCCACAGTTTCTTATTTGTCCTTTATCTGTACTCATATTCTAAACCTGTATTCTTACTTCATTGCTTCCTTTAACTTGCCTTCAACTATTATTCAAAAATTTTAACAATATCCAAACTATATTCTGTCTTTATATTCTATTCTGACATTCAGGATCATATCATAAACTTGCTAAGCAAAATACATACATATGTGTATATACATGTACACACACACACACACACACACACAAACACAAAGTCGAATTCCTCCTTTCTATTCTCTTCCAACCACCCTCTTAAGAAGTAGAAACACTGTACATACTACAAGAAAATCTACAAATATTTTACCTCTACCAAAGAGGTTAGCAAGACTAACACATTCTCCTTCCTTTGCCTCTCCTGATTTTGTCCATTTTCTTCCACTCCAACTTTAGTTGAAAAATACTTTGATTTAAATTTAAGCATACATGTTTTAAACTTATTTTTTTAAATACAAGGGAGTTTTTGAAAAATGAAAATGAGTACATGGCTAAGATAGGGTGATAGATAAGAGCATTGAAGAACCCTTGAAGAAAAGAGTAAATAAAAGACAACATATTGGAAGAGCCACTTTCAAGAACAGTAAAGCCAAAGTTACAAGAAATAATAGAAATCATGGGGAGTAAACAAGGAAAAGTAGTTTCTGTAGTAAGGGACATAATTATTTGTGTAGTCGCATATCCTAAGCTCCTTGGTGTGAAGTAGGAGTAGTGAAGGGAGGGAAAATGACCTGGCATAAATAATGAGAATAAAGAGAGAAATCTATTACATCATCCATCCCAGAAGTATAAAGGATAATGGGAGAAAAAATACTAACAGTTAAGAGAAATGAAGAAGAAGCAGAGTCCAAGGGGAAAGTCAGATTTTAGATAAAGCAATGAAGTGAATATGACTTATGATGTGAATATTTGTGTCCCTTCAAAATTTGTGTGTTAAAATTTTAAGTCCCAAAATAATAGTATTAAGAGGTGGAGTATTTTTAGATAATTAGTGTCCTTATAAAACTGTTTCCAGAGGGCTACCTGCCCGCTTCCAATATATGCAAACACAGCTAGAAAGCACTGTCTATAAGGAACAGGCCCTCAACAGACACCAAGTCCACCAGTGACTTTTCTTATCTTCCCAGACTCCAGAACCGTGAAAAATAATTTGTTTTTTTTAATAAGTCACCTAAAGTCTTTTTGTTATTGCAACCCAAACAGACTAAGACAGAAATTGGTACTGGGATTGGGATGTTGTTATAACAAATACCTAATAAGTCACTTTATAGAAAGCCTCAGTTTTTTTAGATAATATCTAGGTGGTTATGAATTGAATGTTGGTAGATATATGAATGATAAAGACCATTTTGATGAGGTCTTAAGGAAAAATTAACATGTCATCAGAAACAGGAATTAAGGTTACCCTTGTTACAAAGTGGCAAAGAACTAGGGTGAATTGGTTTTGGTTTTGTGTCTTAGTGTTTTGTATTAGGTAGAAGTTGTAAGTAATAAAACTTAGTACTTGGCTAAGGTAATTTCTAAGTATAGTGTTGAAGTTGCATCATGGTTTCTCTTAAATGCTTATTGTAAAATGCAAGGAGAGAAATTATACTAAGACAATTTTTAATCAAAAGAAAAGCAAAACCTAAAGATCTAGAAAATTCTCATCCTGTACATATTGAAAAGAATGAGAAACAGTATTCAGGAGAGAATACCAAAGATAATGCCAAGTGATGATTAAACAAGCTTAGTATGGATTAACCATTTCTATGAAAGTCAGGTGTTATTCATCAATTTGGGTAACAGGCTGGAAGAGTTTTGAGTTAGATGTTAGAAACAGTGTACATTGCCATAAACAATTGATTAAGGGTAATTCTGGTGAGGCCTCAGAAGAAGACGAAAACTGCTTCCTGATTATATTTATATATCTAAAATAGTTGAATTAATAAAAACAGTGAGAAGTATGGTGGTTTCCAGGAGCAGGAGGGAAGAAATAGGGAGCCGCTGTTTTACAGGTATCAATTTCAGTTACAGAGATTTGCTGTACAACATTTTGCCTATAGTTGGAAATACTTTATTTCACACTTAAAATTTGTAAGAGGGTACCTGTCATGTTCAGTTTCTTTAACCACAATTTAAAAATGAAGGGAAATTCATAGTATTTTTCAACATTTTTTGGTTAAGAGAGAGCGTTTTTCAAATTTTACACCTTTGGTGGAGAGGCAGGGCTCAAACTATTACAAGTAGTAAATAGTTCTCAAAATTATTTAACGTGAATTGTTCTGGTTTCATGCTCTGTAACAAACAAAAGAAGTCTCATTTGGTTTTCCATACACATTTGTGAAACAGATTATTTTTAAAATAAACTTTATATTTTAAAATAATTTTAGATGTATAGAAAGTTGCAATGACAGTGCAGAGATTTTCCTTACGCTCCTCACCCAATTTCACCCATTGTTGCCAAAAAATGAAGTTGTGCTTTCATGTCCTTAAGTCTGAGGAGTGGACTAGCCAGACATCTCTCAGGAAAGAGCACCTAGAATCCAGAGAACTCTAGGTAGAATAAACAAATCCATATATATTATATCATTGAGGATTTAGGCAGGAGATAGAGCCTACTCTAGTCTTTTCAATGGAAGAAATTTACTATTAAAAAAATATTAACTATTTAAAGGGCATGATGTACAAAAATGAGAAAAAAAAACTCTAATGATTACTGGGACAGTTGATGTAAGTATTAGCCATAACCTTTAGAAATAAAGGAAACTATCCAAAGAAAGAATAAACTTGGAATAACCTGCTCTCCCTCAAGGTGGAGATTCAGATCCTATTAGGGCAGAAGCTGTTGTGGCCCATTAGATGGCAGAGAAGATCTCTGAGGCTAAGTTTAGTGAGCAGGACTTCACTCAATGAGTGCCATTGGTACTTGTAAGGAAGCTGCTGGTATGTCTGTGAAACTAACTAGGAAATTTCCCATTGGGATTCTGGTGAAATTTATTTATTAATCTGTCTACAAAGATGCTAGCAAAACTGCCAGAAATGTACTTAATGAGATACTAGCAAAACTTGCTGGTGTGCCACTGAGTCTCTGGCACACCACTGGTAAGAAACTCATTTGCTGACAAAGAAGTTGCCAGCGCCAGGGAGTCACTGTTGGCAGCCATGCTGTGAGAACAAGAATCAGAATTCCCTTCTGCTTGTAGTGCCCTCTACTGACAAGGTTACCATTTTGCTGGATGGCAAAGGAAATATGGTAACAGGGCCCAGCCCCAGTATCACCAATCAGGGCAAATGAAGGTAGATTTAGAGATGAGAGGCAATTAATTGATAACTGGTTCACATATTAGGTGTCAACTCAACTAAGAGTACATGTAACAAGGACACAAATATCCTTCCTTCATTCAGATGTGGGAAAAATATATATAGCTTCTTTGTTTCTTTATAACTCTTCCTCACGAGCCAAAAGCATCTGAGTAGCAGAAAAATAAAACTCACTATATTTTACTCCAATCCTTTAGATTTATTACATTGTTATAATGTAAACATCCATTTTATACATGTACTCAGTATGGTTATATGAAATGCTCTGCCTCTTAAATTACCTCTCACTCCTACAACGAAATCAAAGATGGCTGGAAAGATGTGAGTGCTTAGGTTAATGCAGCATCTTAGGAATGAGTGGAAGAATCCTTGGAGCTACACAGTGTCCTCTACATTACCCTATACATGATGGTTAATATTAGGTGTCAACTTGATTGGATTAAGTGATGCCTAAATGGCTGGGTAAAGTATCATTTCTGGGTGTTGTCTGTGAGGGTGTTGCCAGAGGAGATTGACATTTGAGTTGGAAAAGGAGAGGAAGACCCACTCTCAATGTGGGTGGGCACCACCCAATCGGCTGCCAGCTGGCTAGAACACAGCAGGCAGAAGAAGATGGGATAACCTTGCTTGCTGAGTCTCCTGGATTTCTTCTTGTGATGGACACTTGCTTCCACTCCTCTTGCCCTTGGACATCACACTCTCGGTTCTTCAGGCTTTGGACTCTGGGACTTGCACCAGTGGCTTGCAGGGGTTCTAGGGCCTTTGGCAACAGACTGAAGCCTGCACTGTTGGTTTCCCTGGTTTTGAGGCTTTTGGATTTGGACTGAGCCACTACCAGCTTCTTTCTTCCCCAACTTACAGATGACCTATCATGGGATCTCACCTTATATAATGTAAGCCAATTCTCTCTAATTAACTTCCCTTCATATATACATATATCCTATTTGTCTGTTTCTCTGAAGATTTCTGACTAATATACTATATATCTCAATGAGGTGGTAAATGGTCTTGTCTGTTACTTGTACTAATTAGTTTTAAAAGTTAAGACTGGTCTCATATGCATTTTGGGCAAGAAGTGTCCAAATCTATTCTTAGAGCTGAAACTTCTTGTCATTTTGTCATAGAAGTCACCATATGTAGTGAATTCCTGGTGTCTGGACTTCATTGACTCAATAAATATCAGTTGTTATCTTTGGCATTCTTTTACCATCACATCTAAGAATTTCTGGGATGCTGGATCAGCTATGGGAGGTGATGATCACCAACTCAGTTTCATTTATCTACTTACTATGCTACCATTTTGTACTCTGAGCAATAAATGGTTTAGTGGGCATTTTCTAAAGGCAGGCAGGCTTTTAATAGTGAAACTGGAGATACTTGATACCACCTAGAGCTTCAAAAGCCACGCCCAAATAATGGAGTGTTCCTAAAGACTACACACTTTCATGTATACCTACAAGAGTTGGGAATAACAGAGATAAAATCTCTAGCTTCTCCCTATTCACTCTTATGTTCTCCACTTTCCCTCAGAGGCAATAAGGACCTGTATCAAGTTTTGCCTTTTATAATAACTCATTTCTTCCCTACACTAACCTTATGACTAAGTATCACTGATATTACAGGGTAGAACAATAATAATTTCAGGTAACATATTGCTTCAGACCATAAACGCAACTTTAGAACCACTTAAAGTTTTCTGACAGATTTGCATGCAATCTATACTCACTTTTCATATTTTTATACCTTCTATATTTTTTGTAACCCATGACAATTTTGTTTCTGTCCTTCATACTCTTAACCATGAAACCTAGAATAAACGGCAAGTTTAGCCAAGAGACATGGGAATGAAAATCTTTAGTCATAAAGGTTGAAAGGTGGCCACATTATTGTGCAGACAACTAAAGTATCAAAGAAATAAGTAGGAAATACAACAAAATGAGAGATAAGAGATGTGTGTGAGTGTTCACATATTGTCTGTAAGTTTATCTGTAGATAAGACATCAATTTAAGTGTATAGCAATAAAATGTAAATAAAAAGGAAGATTAAAGTAGCAGTTCAAAGAAACAGAGCTGTATGGATATTAAACATATGGTGAGTGATTTTATTATACCCTCTGGGTACTATTAGAACACTCACAAGTAATCTGATTACTTGTCCCATCTGGAATCCACAAAGCTTCAGGTTAGTTGCTATGTACCCAACTGCATGCCCTCAGAATAATTGGTGTTGTCTTACTTTTTTTCCTTATTAGCATTCTCTATCATCACCAAAAATGACATGGAAAGAGTACCCAAAGTGCATAACTGAAGCTGGCAAAGGAGTCTCATCTGTTATTTTTGTTTTATCTCATCAGCCCTTTCTTTTGAAGTTTTACAGAGGGATGAACATTTTATTTCATCTTGTCTCATCTAGTGGCTTAAGTTTAGAAGTTTTGCCAATTTGAAACACGTCGTAGTCTACATTCCAATCAATGTGGATATGAGTGTGTATGTGTGTGTGTGTATTGTATGCATCATTTATTGCAAGACAAAGACATTCTAAAACCTTTTTAATCAATGAAGCCTTGAATTTGACTGGAACTTTTCTTTGTGTACCACTACACTTTCCCTAAAAGTTGTCTCTGCTTTAGACATTTGTTAGTAGTGCCAATTTGAGAGACATTTGCCAAATAATGTGTGGATGAATTTTTAGCGCTTTCAAAGAAAAGAAACACAAGGTAGCCTAGGAATTTATAGGGAATCCATTATTTCTTTATGTATTGTAATTAGACTAAATAAATGGCCCTTTAGTAACATTTTTTCCCCACCCTGCCCCTCTAACTTCCTTCTTTCTCTTGTTCTGTCTTCTTGCCTTTTGAGGTGTTAAAGCAATTAAGTAAAAAAAAAAAAAAGAAAAAGAAGCCTGACTTGTCATCTTTCATGGTGACTGGAAAATCAATATTCAGCCTCTTCCAGTCAGAGAAGGCTAGTAAATCCAAAGATTGGACCCTTTAACATGAACGATTTGCAAAACCAATTTACTGGGAATTACTTAAAAATGCCCATGCCAAATCTATTAGTTATAAGACTGAAAACTTATAAAATTTTATTCTAGCCTCATATTTTCCTATTTTGAATGCATGTAGGTTGATTTTCTTATTTGATATACATGCATTTAATCACCATTAATTGTTGTTTCAAAATGTTCTCAGTCTGAATTTAATTTATGTTTAGCTTCCTCTCTTCTTTCATATTGTTTTAAATGTATTTTCTCCAAAACTAGCTATCATCACTTTATTTTTTAATGTATTGATAAGGACTTTCATATTCAAACCAGCCTCTCTTAATCCGTAATTCAAAACAAAACAATGGAATTGGAGAAAAGAAAGATGTTTAACACCAACAAATTTCAAGTGAGACAGACAATATAAGATAGAATACAGGAGGAATCCCCAATAAATGTGAAGCAGATGAAGCTAGATTAAAACATTCCAATCTTTATAAGACTTCAACTTTATACCAATTAGAATATGGGTACCAGCCGACTTCTATGTGAATGATTTTGGGGATGAGGGGGAAACAGACACTGAAATTTCATTTTCCTCACACAGCAAAGTCATATCTTCAAATCCATGCAGAGATATAAACTACATAGGAACTAAGCAGAAAATAAGAACAGGTTAATGAATGTGAGGCAGACATATCAGAACACAATAAGTAAATTCTTGGCAGGTCATTTTAGACAAGGGGCTATGCAGATAAAGCCTGAGATGGCACCAGAGAAGGGTATTTAGCTACCAGTGTAGTGTATAATAGACAAATAGACAGTCAAAACACTCATCTGCTATTTTTACCAATAAGGAATCCAGATTAATCTTTCCTATTGCTATAATGAGTTATCAAAATGTAACAAAAACACACCCTAGAGAGATATACTGAAGAACAAACAGAACTGCATTTAATTTTCTTTGACAAATCCAATTTTGTAATTATTTTCTCAGGTTTTTAATTTCAATGTGACTTTAACATTTATTCATTTATGTATATGCATTACTTTGTTTTAAAATAATATTCCCTGGCCGGACGCGGTGGTTCACGCCTGTAATCCCAGTACTTTCGGAGGCTGAGGCAGGAGGATCACCGAGGTCCGGAGTTCGAGACCAGCCTGACCAACATGGAGAAACCCTGTCTCTACTAAAATACAAAATTAGCTGGGCGTGGTGGTACATCCCTGTAATCCCAGCTACTCTGGAGGCTGAGGCAGGAGAATGGCTTGAACCCAGGAGGCAGAGATTGCTGTGATCCAAGATCATGCCATTGCACTCCAGCCTGGGCAACAGGAGTGAAACTGTCTCAAAATAATAATAATAATAAAAAAATAATATTCCCTAAATTTACACATATCGATTCATGAAACATTGCTCAGGAATAATATAGTTGCATTTTTATTTCTTTATATTTATATATAAACAATAATGTAATCATCTTTTTTTTTTTTGTCTCTTTAGACCGAGTCTTCCTCTGTGGCGCAGGCTAGAGTGCAGTGGTGAGATCTCAGCTGTCACTGCAACCTCCACCTCTGGGTTCAAGCAATTCTCCTGCCTCAGCCTCCCAAGTAGCTAGGATTATAGGCATGAGCCAGCAAGCCTGGCTAATTTTTGTATTTTTAAGAGAGACAGGTTTTCACCATGTTGGCCATGGCTGGTCTTGAACTCCTGACCTCAGGTGATCCACCCACCTCAGCCTCCCAAAGTGCTGGGATTATAGGTGTTAGCCACCGCACCCAGCCCAATTTTTACAGATATATTTTTCATTTTTAAATAATTTATTTCAAGACATGGATTTTATTTGCTTATATATGCCTATATACTAATATATATAATTTATACAAATTAATATTTTTAAAATATATATATATAAATATATGGTTTTAGGAAGACATTTTTAAGTATGGTATATTTTATTAAAATAGAAATCATCAGAAAAATGTTTGCATTTATAAGGTAACATATATATACTTAAACTGTGTGTATGTGCGTGTGCATGTGCTTATTTTAAGTATTGTGGTCACTGTGGAATGCTTCCTAAAAGCCAGTTGTAGCCTACTGATTCACTTAACTTTCTTTATTATAGAGATAGAAAAGATATTCATCTTTGTACATTGCCTGTCATTTAAGGGTGGCCAGATATCATAGTTCTGGCCAATGTGATACAAGCAGAAGTACTTCAGAGAGTTATCTTTTTTCATCAAGATTTAATGAAAAGATGGTTTGGGTCCTTTCATTTTTATCTTTCCTGAAACATAGACATAAAGCTTAGAGGCAAAATAGCCATCTTGCAAAAACCATACACCAAAAATGGAAGGGCAAGATCTGAGAAAGAGCTGAGGTCACATAATGATACTAGAATAATATATCTACCCTGGCCTGCCTCCCTCTGAGGTCCTCATTGTTGAAATGAATAAATCTATTATTGTTTAAGCCACAGCATTACAATTTTCTGTTTCGTCCATCAAAAAGCAATTCTAACTTATATAACTAGCATATAAATTCTGAAAGCTTTCTTGACTAATTGTATTTTAATAAAATATATTATTCTATAAATAATTCCCTGAAAGCCTATGAATAGAAAATATATTTTAAAGAATAATAACTTCAGAAAATAGTACTTTCAATTTTTAAATTTTTCCATTGCCAGTATTTTATAATAGTGGCTATGTTGGTTAAACTAAATATCTACAAGTAAAATTTTTATTTTTATTTTTTTCTGTGAACTTTACTATAGTATGATTCTCACATGCTGGCTTAAATTTTACTTGCCATAACCTGAAACATGCCTTTTATCAAAATAAAGTCATGAAATATTAAAATCAGAAATTAATATTGAAATCAGCAAACATCTGTTGATTGCTTAATATGGTACTAAATTAGGCTTTCTTGAGAACAAAAAATATAACATATATTATTTGTCATGAGATAATGTAAAATGAAGCTTCACATGAACAAAGAAAGCAAGAGCAACATGCCAAACTCTCCACAAAAAGAATTACCATAAGACAAACTGCTGTAACAAGCCCCTCTTGGACATCACATTTTTCTGATGAACTACAGTCTTTTTTGGTAAAATGAATATCAACTTTGGCTGAAGATGTTCCTGATGGTCTTTGGCTCTTGAGCACTGACATTACTAATGATGATTTTATTTTTTTTAATTTTTATTTATTTTATTTTACTTTTTAGAGATGGGGTCTCACTCTGTCACCCAGACTGAAGTACAGTGGCAGAATCATTCCTCCCTGCAGCCTCCAACGCTTGGGCTATCATCCCACCTCAGCCTCCTGAGTAGCTAGGATGACACCTAGTGTGCACACCACCGCACCTGTGGTTTTTTTTTGTTTGTTTTTTGTTTTTTGTTTTTTTTTAAGATACAGAGGGGTATGTGTCTCCTTATATGACTCAGGCTGGTCTCAAACACCTAGCCTCAAGCAATCCCCCCGCTTTGGCTTCCCATAATGCTAGGATAGCAAGCATGAATCACCACTCCTGGTCCCCAGTATTTCTTTTGTATTGATTAATTCATTTCACATTTTTATAACATTTAACATTTGCAGCAATATTAATTCAAATGAATAAACTAAGTTGCAAACATCATGGTACACTGTAGTACCATGCAACTGTATCAAAGATGTCTAACCCTTTAATATGTCAACACTGCCCACACCTATGGCCAACCACCTCTTCATAGATTACCAAGGAAAAGAAATCATAGGTAAATGTTATGAAATATACGCATGTAACAGACTAACATGGCTGAACTAGATAATTGATTTTAGAGACATTGGTGAGGTAAATCTGTAATGACCAATTGAATCTGGTTTCATCCCTTGTCAACTGTATTTTATTCACAATTTTGAGAATAGGTGAAGCATAGTATAATTTGATTGTGAACATAAATCTGGTGCCTGTGAATAGGAAAAAAAGACTGGATAAATATTAGGAGGGATATGGAGAGGTGAAAAAGAATGAAGAATATTAAATAGTTCCCATCTGCACTGCATAATTTCTCAGTACATTATTTTAATTAATTCCATACAGCACCATAATTGTATATTTTTGTACACTTTCAGTCATTTGTCAAAAGTACTTTATGGTTTTTTTTTTAACAGTTTTTCTACAATGCCTACTTTATTTCAGAAATCAGGCACTTAATACAAATTCATTGAAGATTGAACCAATTTTATTTTTCTTCACAGACATAATTTTACTTCTTTTTAATTTTTTTCATAGTTTTTGATGGATGGGAGACTTTTCTAATTTAAATGAAATGGAAATTGTTTTAGGTCAAATGTATAATTGTGCTAAATCTTTCCATGTTTGATAAGCTATTCAGCAATAAATTTGTACACTATTTAGCCAGTATTCCTAGACACTTTATCATCTCCTTTTTCTAGTAAAGCATTTGAATCCTAGGATCCAGCAAAAGATAACACTTATAATTTAATATGTCAATAAAAGATACACAATTTAATTTAAAAAGGCTACTGTAACCAGTTTGACTATAACATATTATAGCTATCATTGAAATAGATGAAAGATAGTAGATTAAATACTTTATGGTAATTTTATGGTATTGAGATTTGTTTTCTTGTCACAGCTGAACTGAGATTTCTTATCACATAGCTATAAAAGAGATTTCTAGATTTACATATCTAATATTTGCATTATAAAAATAAAGCACCACAATTATTTGCTTATCAAGGGTATCCATAACAAATATGCAATAACATAAACATACCCAAATGATTGACAGACTTTTTCAGGTTGCATCCTGATATTGTTTTACTTCTGTCATAGACATGATATATGGTTGAACTCTGAAGGCATGGTAAGGGAAAATGGAAGAAAAAAAAGCAAATATAACAAAGACCTCGTATTATCACTTATTTGGGCTTACTAATCATCAATTTCCTGCATTAAGACTATTTAAAAAAAGTCTGTGAGAATAAGTACATTTCCATGAAAATGTGGTAAACGACAAAAATATACCATGATCAATTATCAAACAATAAGGCGTTATTGAAGAATTATAATGTCTGCTTCTATATGGCAGATACATTACCATTAAAACTTTTTGTATAGTAATTACCAAAAAATAAACTTCCACGTGGGAAAATTATGCTTGCATAAAACAAAGTTAATGCATTTTATCCATCTAGTAGCATTTGTCATTGACCCTGTTTTTTAAAAATTGCAGTACTTGAAGCATTTTAATAACATTCACTTGCTTTTGGCGTTTTCAACATATTTATATCATTCATATTGTCCAGAATCTTTCCAGAATCATTTTCTACATCGTATTCTGTGCCTGAGGAGGCTGAACTTCATGGACTGAGTCAATAGGCTCTCTGACCCTTGAACTTCTCACTGGATTTAGGCCGTCTGAAGAGAAAATTAGGGGGCAGGCTGACAGTAAGGGTGAAGTATATTCCTGGCTCATTTTTTGTCTGGTTGCAGACTAGCTATGGCTAATTCGCAACTGAAGTTGTAGTTCCTGTCAGGTGGCCATCTGAGACTACAGCATTCCCTTCAGGTTGTGGGAATCTCTCCATCTTCCTCACTCCTTGAAGATGAGAGGTGATGATACTCTTCAACCCGTTAGGCCTAGCATGGAGGGTTCATCATTCCTTGCTGGTTTTCCTTCACCATGCTCAGACCTTTGTAAATATCATTTTATTCAACGCCCTTTAATTACTACATTTGAGGATGGCAAACTGCTTCTGTCCAGAACTTGAACTGTTACATTTTTCTTGAATTTAGTATAGTATTTTTATATTGGACAATATCATAATTCAAATATCCAACATTATCAGAAAAGTAAGAATGCTGGATTTTTAGTATACTGACTTATAAGCACATGAGTAACCGACCTTCAGTAAATACTCATTACACATTTGCCTGCTAACTTAGGGTACAGTTAATCAAAGTTAACTTTTTTGATGAGTAGAGTCATTATCAATTAAATATTTTATTAACACTTATAGTTTAAACTTTAGGTACAAATATAGATGTCATGGATCAACAGATGTTAGATGTTAAAAGGGACAGTGCAAAATTGTCTTCTAGGAAAGCTTATCATTTGTACTACCACTAACATCATAAGAAAATAAATATTTCTAAGCAGTAACAGAATGGATTTTGTATATATTTTTTTTAATTTTGTCAGTCAAGTAACAAAAAGTAGCATCTTAGTATTGTTTTAATTAGTATTTTGGTTGCTAGTGAAGTTGGATATATTTTTATGTGCATATTGACAATGTGCATTATTTTTTAGTGAAATGTCTCCTCACAGTTTTATTCATTTATGTTGGAGTAATTAAGCTTTTAGACGGCTCTGATGACCAAGATTTTATTGAAGGCAAACTATAAATTATGATGTTTTCCATTGATATAAGGTAGACGTGGAGGACATTCTTGAGCGAAGATGATGAGTTTTGTTTTGGACAAATGATACATTTGTGGGTACCCATGGATGTCATTTATATGACATGGGTAGATGGATGGGTAGTTGATTATACAGTATATTAGAGCTTGGTAAAGAGTTTTGTACTGTAAATATAAATTTGTGAAAGTTCAGAGTACATAAAATATAAATAATCTAAATGATTAGTGTGTAAAGTGATTTTTTAAAAGTACAATATTATAAAGAATACCAACTTAATGGCTTTGGAAAGAAGTTCATGTAGAAGAGGCAGAAGGAATAGAAAAATTAAAAGCATGTAATGTCATAGAAAGTGAGAGAAAATGTTATCACATATTGGGAAAAGTCAAATATAATGGAAACAAAAAATTGCAATTTTTTAATTAACAAAAATGTTTCCTTAGTGACTGTGTTGAGAGACATTTTAGTGTTATGGCAGAACTAGCAACATGAGAACTTGAAGAATGAATGAAAGGTAAGTGACTGAAGATGAGGGTGTAAAAAAAGTCATGAAAGGTCTTTTATTGTGAAGGAAAATTGAGACAGTTTTATTTGCAGGAAGTTATGGAACTGAGGGAGTTCAGGTTAGTGTTTCCAAAAAATTAAACTGTAAACAGAATTGAGCATATTTTAATTCATTAAGAATTAAATAAGACTTAATTGAGACTTAATTATTAATGAAGAAACTAAGTGTGTCAGAAAACTACAAGCAACAATAGACAAGGGGTGACTGATAGAGTTATGTAACAGAGAGAACAGGAGGGTATAAGATCCAGGGCATAAATAGAAAACTAAACTTGCTAACACAAATGACTTGCAAATCATTGGTAAAGATACAATTATGTGTGTCTGTGCAAAAGAATTAAGATAAGTGAATAATATTAGTTTGATGGTAAGTAGATTCTCTGGAAAATATAAATTAATTTTCCTAAACATGAGGGGAAAATGAGGTGGGTGATAAGATTGAAGATTTGGGTATTGTAGGAAAGTTTAAAGTAATTTCTGAGGACAAGCAGCAGACTGGGAGAAAACATTTGCAAAGCACTTATCTGGTAAAAGATTTGTATCCAGAATACGCACACAAAAAAATGTCATGACTCAATAAGAAGACAAACAACCCAATTTAAAAATTGACAAAAATAGGCCCAGCGCAGTGGCTTATACCTGTAATTCCAGCACTTTGGGAGACCAAGGAGGGTGGATAAAAGAAAAGAAAAAGTTATTCAATGTTAGTATGGGTTATTGAAGGACACTGTAATCTTTCCTGGAAATTTCTGAGGTTAGAACTAGTCTTTTGTATTTCAGGATGGTTTTCAGGCCAGTTTCATTAATAATTGATAATAGGTTAACTTATAAAACAAAGTTAGGTTGGTAGAGATTAATCAAAGTATTAATCCACAGAAAAAATAATTATTTCTCCTTTTCAGAATACTATAAATTCAGTGTTTTCTTAATACTCATATATCTGCAAGGTGAGTCAGAAGAAATGTTGTTCTGAAGGGGTGATGTTTATAAGATGGCACAATAGGAAATTTTGAACTCTTCCCCCCCGCCATGAACACACCAGTTCAACAACAATACACAGAAAAAAAAAAAAAAACATCCCTCTATAAACAATTCGGAAACTTGTTGAGAGGCTATTGGAAATGGGACAGCATGAAGCCAGTCACACTGAAGCTGGTGGGGACACAGCGCCATGCAATCAGGAAGAAAGCCCTGATTCCCAGCTTTTCTGTGGGGTTGGAAAAAGTTGGACTGCATTTTCAATTTTCAAATTTTTCAAGGGTTTCCAAGGCTCTGGCTTTTGTCTTGCCTGTGTCAGAGTACTGACGGTATCTAGCATACTGTAGATGCCTGGGAGCCACAGAAGAAAGATGGTATTTTTTACTAACATACAAGCACTCATTTTAGTCCATCTTCCTTGCTCAATGTGGCATGAGTGGGTGAAAAATCACATATTACATCTTTTCCCTGAAGAAGAAGAGAGTTGTACCATTTATCTAATATTCCAAGTCTTTCTGCCTGAGGGAGAGAGTATATCTTAATTTCTGAAATTGCTGGTGGTACTTGACATACTCTAGATGCTTTAGAGTCACTGAAAACTAAGAAGGCAATTTCAACTAGCATGAAGTTTAGAGAGTTCAGAGCCTCTGGCTGGGCTGATTGATGAGGATTTTCTTCTGTAAAGGCCAGCTTATGAAGACTGAGAGAGGTGGCTTTTTTTTTTTTCTAATGTACATACTAATACAAAGAGCCAAAGAGTACAAATAGAGGACAGAGAAAAATGTCCCAAACAAAGGGAAAAAAAATGAATCTCCTGAAGCTGACCATAATAAAATGTAGATATTTAATTTACATGACAAAGAATTTAAAATAACCATCAAAAACATATATAGTGAGGTCAGGAGAAAAATGGACAAAGTAAGAATTTCAACTGATAGAAAATATAAAACAGAAATCTTGAAGCTGAAGAATACAACAACTGAACTGAAAAATCTACTAGAACAGTTCAAGAGCAGACTGGATCAAATAGAGAAAAGATTGATAAACACTGGTCATCAGAAATTATCCAGTCAGAATAGCAAAAAGAAAAAAGAATAATGAAAACTTAAGAGACTTAAAGGACTCCATCACATGGAATTCCATGATGGAATTCTCAGAAGAAGAGAAAGAAAAGGAAGATATTTTATTCAAAGAAATAATGACCAAAACTTCCCAAATCTGGGGAAGAAAATGAGCATTTAAATCCACAATTCCAATAGACCCAAATAAGGTGAAGACAAAGAAATCCACACTGAGGCACATAAGTGAATTGTCAAAAGTCAAAGACAATGATAATTTTCAAAGTAGCAAAAATAAATGATTTGCCATGTACTGGATAATTCCTTAAGACTATCAGTGCATTTCTAAGCAGAAATCTTGCAGGCTAGAAGATAATGACAGGACACAGTCCAAGTGCTGAAAGAAGAAAGCTACCCACCAAGAACGTAATACATAGAGACACTGTCCTTCAAAAATGAAGGGGAGATAAAGATGAAAGGTAGGTTAAAAAAAAGAGAATAGATCACATGTTAGGTCACAAAACACACCTTAACAAACCTGAGAAAAATTAATCACACCAAGTGTCTTTTCTGAACACAATGAAACTAGAAATCAGTAGGAGAAGAACAACTAAGAAATTCTCAAGTATTGGAAATTTTTGATTTCATTGCATCAAGGAGAAACAGAAGAGGGGAATTAGAAAATATCTCCACACAAATTAAAATGAAAACACAATATACCAAAGCTTATGAAACACAGCAAAAGCAGGCTAAGAGGGAAGTGTATAGTTATTAATGCTCACATAAAAAAATAAGAGTGCAGATAAACAATCTAACTTTATATTAAAGAAATGAAGAACAAGAACTAGAACTAGAAAATTAAGAACAAACTAAGCCTAAAAGTAGCAGAAGGAAGAAAATAATAAAAATTAGAATAGAAATAAGTGAAATAACTAACAGAAAAACAATAGAAAAAATCAGCAAAACAGAATTTATTTTCTGAAAAGATGAACACAATTGATAAGCCTTTAACTAGACTAAAAAAAATAAAAAAGACTCAAATAAGAACAGAAATTTAAAAGGAGATACTATAATTGATACACAACCTAGGTATGGTCATCTGACAGCCAACTCAAGCAAATTTTGAGGATATTTGTGCTTTCTAGTGAGTAGAAAAATAGTATTACTTTGCATTTACATATTTTTTCTCTCCCTCTCTATTTTATGATTATTTAAATAACTTATTTACATTTTATTAGTTATTAGTTGATATAAAATTATTAAAGTAGGGTCAGCTTCCCTGTGGGACTGGGGCATGGCTGTCTTCCAGTCCTACCTGCCTGTCATCCCCTCCCAGGGCTACTGACTTGCTATCCCACTGGAGTGTGTACACAGTGCGGCTTCTGCTGCACAGCCTGTGTGCTTTGCTTCACTTGAGTGTGTTTTGGCTGACTGGGCACCCTTTGGATCTCACAGTGCAACAGGAACCCAACCTCAGTGGTCCTGAGGAGGGTGCCCTGAGCAGGTCCTGGTGCCCCAAGGCAGTGGTCCATGGCTAGGGAGTGCTGAGCTGGTATCTGCCTGGCACTCAAGCGGGAGAGGAGGCCACACTCTCAAAAAACTCAGAGGGTGAGTAACAGGGGTTCGTGGGCTGGTGTTGGACCTAGGCATGCTTCTCCATTGGGCTGGTCCTTAACAGGCCTCTGCCCAGGAGAGTTCCACGGCCTGAAACACCTAACAACAACAACAACAAGAAATAATGAGCCCAATGCCAGTGATCAAAGTTGGCTCCTACAAAGCCCATGAATAGACTGGTGACAGGGTCACTTCTCTCCCCCTTGCACTGCAAAGCATAGCTGTAAACATAACGATATACAAAGGAGCTGAGCAGCTGAGAGTTTATTTCCCACCCATTGCCCTCAAGCTCCATCTACTGGTTTGTGGCCTATACTACAACACCAAAAAGCACTTTGTTAATTCTCCCCACTGTGAAACCCAGGGCAAGAATTCAACAAAGACACAAAGACACTGTACAGAGGCTTAGCCCTCTGAAAACTTTCAGAAATGAAGCCAACTGACTATACTCAATTTACATCATAGTTAAAAGGACACCAACCATCCCAGATAAGAACTAATTAGCGCAAGAACTCTGTCAATTCAAAAAACCAAAGTATCCCCTCTAAATGAGCCCACTAGCTCCCTAGCAATGGTTCTTAACCAGTCTGAAATGACTCAAGGTCTGAAAGGTGAAACTGCCATTTTAAGAAAGACCCAAACTGAACTTATTGAACTAAAAAATTCATGAAAAAAGAGTTTCTTAATACAATCAGAAGTATTAACAGCAGAATAGATCCAGCTGAGAAAAGTATCTCAGAGCCCAAAGACTGGTTCTTTGAATCAACTCAGTCAGACAAAAATAAAGAAAAAATAATTAAGAAAAATGAACAAAACCTCTGAGAAATATGGGATTATGTAAAGAGACCAAATGTATGACTCTTTGGTATTCCTGAAATAAAATGAGAGAGAATAAGCAACCTGGAAAATATATTTGCGGATATAGTCCATGAAAATTTTCCTAGTCTTGCTAGAGAGGTTGACATGCAAATCCAAGAAATACAGAGAAGTCTAGCTAGATACTATGAAAGACAACCATCCCCCAGGCACATAGTCATTAGATTCAACAAGGTCAGTGCAAAATAAAAATCATAAGGCAGCTAGGAAGAAGGGGCAGGTTAACTACAGAGGGAACCCCATCAGACTGGCAGCAGACATATCAGCATAAATTTTACAAGCCAGAAGTGATTGGACCCCTATTTTCAGCACCTTAAATAAGTGAAATTCCAACCAATAATTTTATATCCTGCCATACTAAGCTTCATAAGTGAAGGAGAAATACTTTCTCAGACATGCAAACTCTGAGGGAATATGTTTTCACTAAATTGGCCTTATAAGACATCCTTCAGGGAGTGCTATATATGGAATAAAAAAAAGATACATGTTACCACAAAAACACACTTAAACACATAGCCCACAGGCACTATAAATCAACTATACAATCAAGTCTACATAACAACCAGCTAACATATATAATGACAGGTTCAAAATCACACGTATTAGTACTAAACTTGATTGTAAGTGGGCTAAATGTCCCACTTAAAAGACACAGTGTGGTAGATTGGATAAAAAGTCAACATTCAACCATCTATTCTCTTTCTGAGACCCATTTCACATGTAATGATACCCACAGACTCAAAGTAAAAGGATGGAGAAAGGTTTGCCAGGCAAACAGAAAACAAAGAGCAGGATTCACTATTCTTTTATCAGGTAAAACAGACTTTAAGCCAATAAAAATGAAGAAGGATATTGAAGGGTTTTACGTAGTGATAAAGGGTACAATCCAACAAGAAACTTTAACTACCCTTAATATATGTTCACCCAATCTTGGAGTACCCAGATTCATAAAACAAATTCTTCTTTGCTTATGAAAAGACTTAGACAACAAGACAATAATAGTGGTAGACTTCGACACCCCACTGACATCATTACACAGATCACTGAGGCAGAAAATGAACAAAGAAAATGTAGATATAAACTCTACACTTGATCATTTTGACATAGTAGATACCTATAGAAGATTTCACACAACAACTGCAGAATACAGAGTATTTTAATGTGCACTCAGAATAAATTCTAAAAATGATCACATGCTTGGTCATAAAGAAAGTCTCTATAAATACAAAAAGACTAATATACCAAGCACACTGTCAGACCACAGTGCAATGAAAATACAAATCAATATCAAGAAGATCTCTCAAAACTACACAAATACATGAAAATTAAACAACATTCTCCTGAATAAGTAAATATCAAAAGTAAGGAATAAATTGAAAAAATTCTTCAAGTTACAAAAATATGGACACAACTTACCAAAATATCTGAGATGCAGCCAAATCTGTGTTAAAAGGAATTCCCTTTGAAAACTGGCACAAGACAGGGATGCCCTCTCTCACCACTCTTATTCAACATAGTGTTGGAAGTTCTGGCCAGGGTAATCAGGCAGAAGAAGGAAATAAAGGGTATTCAGTTAGGAAAAGAGGAAGTCAAATTGTCCCTACTTGCAGATGACATGATTGTATATCTAGAAAACCCCATCGTCTCAGCCCAAAATCTCCTTAATCTGATAGGCAACTTCAGCAAAGTCTCAGGATACAAAAATCAATGTTCAAAAATCACAAGCATTCTTATACACCAATAACAGACAAACAGAGAGCCAAATCATGAGTGAACTCCCATTCACAATTGCTTCAAAGAGAATAAAATACCTAGGAATCCAGCTTACAAGGGACGTGAAGGCCCTCTTCAAGGAGAACTACAAACCACTGCTCAATGAAATAAAAGAGGATACAAACAAATGGAAGAACATTCCATGCTCATGGGTAGGAAGAATCAATATCGTGAAAATGGCCATACTGCCCAAGGTAATTTATAGATTCAATGCCATCCCCATCAAACTACCAATGACTTTCTTCACAGAATTGGAAAAAACGACTTTAAAGTTCATATGGAATCAAAAAAGAGCCCACATTGCCAAGACAATCCTAAGCCAAAAGAACAAAGCTGGAGGCATCATGCTACCTGACTTCAAACTATACTACAAGGCTACAGTAACCAAAACAGCATGGTACTGCTACCAAAACAGAGACATAGACCAATGGAACAGAACAGAGCCCTCAGAAATAGTGCCGCATATATACAACTACTGATCTTTGACAAACCTGACAAAAACAAGAAATGGGGAAATGATTCCCTATTTAATAAATGGTGCTGGGAAAACTGGCTAGCCATATGTAGAAAGCTAAAACTGGATCCCTTCCTTACACCTTATACAAAAATTAACTCAACATGGATTAAAGACTTAAACGTTAGACCTAAAACCATAAAAACCCTAGAAGAAAGCCTAGGCAATATCATTCAGGACATAGGCATGGGCAAGGACTTCATGTCTAAAACACCAAAAGCAATGGCAACAAAAGCCAAAATTGACAAATGGGATCTAATTAAACTAAAGAGCTTCTGCACAGCATAAGAAACTACCATCAGAATGAGCAGGCAACCTACAGGATGGGAGAAAATTTTTGCAATCTACTCATCTGACAAAGGGCTAATATCCAGAATCTAAAATGAACTCCAACAAATTTACAAGAAAAAAACAACCCCATCAAAAAGTAGGTGAAGGATATGAACAGACACTTCTCAAAAGAAGACATTTATGCAGCCAAAAGACACATGAAAAAATGCTCATCATCACTGGCCATCAGAGAAATGCCCATCAAAACAACGAGATACCATCTCACACCAGTTAGAACGGTGATCATTATTAAAAAGTCAGGAAACAATAGGTGCTGGAGAGGATGTGGAGAAATAGGAACACTTTTACACTGTTGGTGGGACTGTAAACTAGTTCAACCATTGTGGGTATCAGTGTGGCGATTCCTCAGGGACCTAGAACTAGAAATACCATTTGACCCAGCCATCCCATTACTGGGTATATACCCAAAGGATTATGAAACATGCTGCTATAAAGACACATACGTTTATTGCGGCACTATTCACAATAGCAAAGACTTGGAACCAACCCAAATGTCCAACAATGATAGACTGGATTAAGAAAATGTGGCACATATACACCATGGAATACTATGCAGCCATAAAAAATGATGAGTTCATGTCCTTTGTAGGGACATGGATGAAGCTGGAAACCATCATTCTCAGCAAACTATCGCAAGGACCAAAAACCAAACACCGCATGTTCTCACTCATAGGTGGGAATTGAACAATGAGAATACATGGGCACAGGAAGGGGAACATCACACACTGGGGCCTGTTGTGGGGTGGAAGGAGGGGGGAGGGATAGCATTAGGAGATATACCTAATGTTAGATGACAATTTAATTGGTGCAGCACACCAACATGGCACATGTATACATATGTAACTAACCTGCACGTTGTGCACATGTACCCTAAAACTTAAAGTATAATAATAAAAAAAGGAAAGTGTATAGCCCTAAACGCCTTCTTCAAGAAGTTAGATCTTAAATCAACAGTCCAACTCTGCATCTAAAGGAGCTATGAAAAAAGGACAAACCAAAACCATAGCTAGCAGAAGAAAAGAAATAACTAAAATTGGCGTATATAATAAGATTGAGATGCAAAAATCCATATAAAAGATCAATAAAACAAGAGTTGGCTCTTCAAAAAATAAATAAGATTGATAGATCATTGGCTAGATTAACACAGAAAATGAAAAAGAAGATCCAAATAAGCACAATCAGTAATAACAAAGGCAATATTACAACTGATCCCACAGAAATACAATAGATCCTCAGGGTCTACTGTTAACAACTCTATGCACACAAATTAGAAAACCTAGAGGAAATGGATAAATTCCTGGAAGCACAATATCTCCCAAGATTGAATCAGGAAGAGATTAAAACCCTGAATAAACCGATATCAACTTCTGAAATTAAATCCATAATAACCTACCCACAAAATAAAGCCCTTGACTATATGGATTCACAGCTAAATTCTATAAGATGTACAAAGAAAAACTGATACAATCCTACTAAAATTATTTCAAAAAATCAAGGAATAAGGGCTCCTCCCTGACTCACTCTATGAAGCCAGCATCATCAGCCTAATACCAAAAACTGGCAGAGACACAATGAAAAAAAGAAAATCTTTGACAAATATCCCTGATTAATATAGACCAAAAAGTCCTCAATAAAATAATAGTAAATCAAATCCAGGAACACATCAACAAGTTAATACACCACAATCTAGAAGGCTTTATTCCTGGGATGCAAGGCTCGTTCAGCATACACAAATCAACAAATCAGGTATGAGAAAGAAATAAAAGGCATCCAAATAGGAAAATAATTCAAACTGTTGTGGTCTAGCTATCTATGTCTGGACCCAAATTTTATCTTGAATTGTAGCTACCGTAATTCCCATGTGTCCTGGGAGGGACCCTGTGGGAGGTAATTGAATCATGGGAGCAAGTCTTTCCTGTGCTGTTCTCATATTGAATGAGTGTCACAAGATCTGATGGTTTTATAAAAGGGAGTTCCCCTGCACATGCCCTCTTGCCTGCCACCATGTAAGGCATGATTTTGCTCATCCTTTGCCTTCTGCCATGTTTGGGAGGCCTCCCCAGCCATGTGGAACTGTGAGTCAATTAAACCTCTTTCCTTTATAAATTACCCAGGCTCAGGTATGTCTTTATTAGCAGCGTGAGAACAGGCTAATCCACAAACTATCTTTCTTCACTGACAATATGATTCTATACCTAGACAATCCTAAAGACTCTGCCAAAAAGCTCGTAGAACCCATAAACCACTTTAGCAAAGTTACAGGATACAAAATCAAAGCACAAAACTCAGTAGCAATCCTATACACCAGTGACATACAGGTTGACAGTAAAATAAACACCACAATTTTACTTACAATACCCAGGCAGATTACCTGAGGTCAGGAGTTTGAGACCAGCCTGGTCAACATAGTGAAACCCCCATCTCTACTGAAAATAAAAACATTAGCTGGGCAAGGTGGCACATGCCTGTAATCCCAGCTACTCAGGAGGCTGAGGCAGAAGAATTGCTTGAACCTGGAAGGCGGAGGTTGTAGTGAGCAGGAGATTGCACCATTACAGTCCAGTCTGGGCAACAGAGCAAGACTCTATGTCAAAAAAAAAAAAAATTTCTAGGAATACATCTCACCCAGAGGTGAAAGATCTCTACAAGGAGAATGACAAAACAATGATGAAGGAAATCAGAGATAACAAAAATAAACGGAAAAAATATTCCAAGGTCATAGATTGAAAGAATCAATACATAAAAGTGGCCATACTGTCCAAAGCAACTTACAGATTTAATACTATTCCAAGCAAACTGCCAATGTCATTCTTCACAAAATTATAAAAATAAAAATAAACTATTGTAAAATTCACATGGAACCAAAAAACACTGCAAATAGCCAAAGTAATCCTAAGCAAAAACAACAAAGCCAGAGGAATCATGTTATCTGACTATATTGTAAACCTACAGGAACCAAAACAGCATGGTACTGGTACAAAAACAGACTCATAGACCAATGGAAGAGAATAGAAAAATCAGAAATAAAACCACATACCTACTACCATCTGACCTTCAACAAGGCTGGGAAAAAAAAAAAAGCAGTGGATAAAGAACACCCTATTCAAAAAATAATGCTGGCATAACTGGCTAGCCATATGGCAAAGAATGAAGCTGGACCCCTACACCTCACCATATACAATAATTCATCCAAAAAGATCAAAGGCTTAAATGTAAGACATCAACAAATAAAAATGCTAGAAGATAACCTAGGAAGTGCACTTCTTGACATCAGCCTTGGCAAAGAGTTTTTGGCTAAGTCTCCAAAAGCAATTGCAATAAAAACCAAAATAGGCAAGTGACACCTAATTAAACTAAAGATAATCTGCACAGCAAAGAAATTATCAACAGAGTAAACAGACAATCTACAGAATGGGAGATATAGTCACAAACTCTAACAAAGGCCAAATATCAAGAATCTATAGGAAATTTAAACAAATCAACAACCAAAACACAAATAACCCCATTAAAAATGGGCAAATAACATGAACAGACACTTCTCAAAAGAAAACATAAATGCAGTCAACAAACATGAAAAAATGCTCATCATCTCTAATCATCAGAGGAATGTCAATCAAAGCTACAATGAGGGCTAGGCATGGTGGCTCATGCCTGTAATCCCAGAACTTTGGGAGGCTGAGACAGGTGGATCACTTGAGGTCAAGAGTTTGAGACTAGCCTGGCCAACATGGTGAAACCTCGCCTCTATTAAATACACAAAAATTAGCTGGGTGTGGTGGTGTGCACCTGTAATCCTAACTACTTGGGAGGCTAAGACAGGGGAATTACTTGAACCCAGGAGGCGGAAGTTGCAGTGAGCTGAGATTGTGCCATTGCACTCCAGCCTGGGCAACAGAATGAGACTGTCTCGAAAAAAAAAAAAAAAAGCTGCAACGAGGTACTATTTCACACCAATAAGAATGGCTACTATTAAAACATCAAAAAATGACAGATGCTAGCAAGGCTGCAGAGAAAAAGAAATGCTTATACTCTATTAGGGAGAATGTAAATTAGTGCAGCCACTGTGGAAAGCAGTCTGAAAATTTCTCAAAGAACTTAGAACTACCATTCAACCCAGTGATTCCAATACTGGGTATATACTCAAAAGAAAATGAATCATGTTAACAAAAAGACACATGCATTTACATGTTCATCACAGCACTATTCACAATAGCAAATACATGGAATCAACTCAGGTGCCCATCAATGATAGATTAAAGAAAATGTGATACATATATACCATGAAATACCACACTGCCATAAAAAAAAAATATTAAAATCATGTTCTTTGCAGCAACATGAATTCAGTTGGAGGCCATAATCCTAAGTGAATTAATGCAGGAACAGGAAACCAAACACCACATATGTTGTTGCTTATAAGTGAAAGCTAAACATTGAGCACACATGGACATAAATATGGAAACAATAGACACAGAACTATGAGAGCAGGGAGGTAGGGAGAGGGGTGTGGTTTGAAAAACTGCTTATTGGTTACTATGCTCACTAGGTGGGTGATGGGATCCATACCCCAAACATCAGCCTCATGCAATACATGTAACAAACCTGCACATGTATTATCTGTATCTAAAATAAAATTTGAAATTAAAAAAAAGAATTACATATTTTATTTTTTTCATATCCCTTGCATCTTTTCCAGTCTGCTGCTTAACTCAGTATACTATATGATACTCTGTTTTATTTAAATTTTAGATTATGACTTGTATTAATGTTATTTATGTGTTGATATAATTTTATATTATTTATATATACATAGTTTTTATAATTTTTTTCTCCAATTACCTAATCGAAAATTCACAAAGACTATTCGATAACTAATACAATTAGTTATCAAACTTAATCTAATGGTTCCATCTAGAATATGGAATGCAGAAACTGCCCAGTCAATGTGAGGTAGAAGTCTGAATCTTTGTGTTGTTTTCAAATTTGATAAGAATGTTTATAGCATTTTGGCATCGAGTTTAACATTTATATTACTATTTAGAAAATACTTGATATTACTACAATAACTTGTGTTCTATTCTTAGCTTGCAAACTTGTGTAATGAATGATTGCCGTGTTTCTCACTTGAATATATTTTCAGATGTAGACGTAATCTTGCATATTGAATTCCTGATTAAGTTATAGCATTCTTTTAAAATATCAATAAATGTAATTTGTGGCCAGGTACGGTGGCTTATGCCTATAATCCCAGCACTTTGGGAGGCTGAGGTGGACAGATCACCTGAGGTCAGGAATTGGAAACCAGCCTGGCCAGCATTGCGAAATCCTGTCTCTACTAAAAATACAAAAATTAGCTGAGTGTGGTGGCGCACACCTGTAACCCCAGCTACTTGGGAGGCTGAGGCAGAAGAATCGCTTGATCCCACGAGACCAAGGTTGCAGTGAGCTGAGATTGCACCACTGTACTCTAGCCTAGGTGACAGAATGAGACTTCGTTTCAAAAGGAAAAAAAAAAGGAATATCAATAAATGTAATTTGAAAATGTTTTATGTAGAATGTTTACATGTATATTCAAAATTAATTTACACTATATTTTTGTTTTGCTATACTGTACTTTCCTGTTTTTTTCCAATCAACATTGTTTAAATATTTAGGAATTTCCCTCTGTCAATTATTTTTTAAAAATTCTATTCATAACCTATTGCTTGTAAATACTAAGCAAAACAAACCAAAAGCAGAAACATAAAACTCCAATATTTTGCTCTGTAATTAAATTTTATTTAATCACTTTTAAAAGTATAGGCTTAAAGGTGGTTTTATTGTAAAGTATAATGCATGTAAGATTCTCTTTCTAGGTAATTAATCTGTCTTTTTATGCTGGAAGCTCTTAGAATTTTCTCCATCTCTCCGTAATTTTTATATTTCAAAAGACAGTTCAAAATAAAAATACTTTTGTATTAATCCTATTCACATTTGTTGGACTCTTTAAATGTGAATGCTAAGGTTTTCCTTCAGCTGTAGTAAGTTATCTTTATTATTTCATTTGTCTCACATTTTCTCAATCTTTCATTTATCTCCATTTAGAAATAAAAATGGATAGATGTTAACATTTTTTATTTCACTCACTAGATCTTTTAACTTTTCTTTGTCACATTATATATATTTGACATTTTAAAATGTATTCTCAGCAACTTTATCAGTTGATGTTCCAGGTCAAACATTTCATCACATATTCTATTTATTTTGTTGCTAAATCCATCTATTATGAATTTTGTAAATTTTGCAAAGCTGTCAATTATTATTTTATGGATACTCTCTTATCCCTCAGAAGACTCTAATAAAATAAAAAAAATTTATGTGTCCCATGAACTTTTAAAATTGTGTTTTAAGAAAATCTAAATCTTCAAAATTGACTTAAAATCTAATATACATTTGACCAGACAACCAAAAAATAAAAAAAGAAAATTAAGGGTTTTTAAAATATTTGCTAATAAAAAGTCCTCAAGTATATATGATTTTATAGGTTATAGGCTATATTTAAATTAAAAATAGAATCTTATAATTCTATACAGTTTGGCCGGGTGCGATGGCTCATGTCTGTAATCCCAGCACTCTGGGAGGCCAAGGCAGGAGGATCACCTGAGGTTAGTAGCTCAAGACCAGCCTGACCGACATGGTGAAACCCCGTCTCTACTAAAAATACAAAATTAGTCGGGTGTGGTGGTGCAAGCCTGTAATCCCAGCTACTTGGGAGGCTGAGGCAGGAGAATTGCTTGAACCCGGGAGGTGGAGGTTGTGGTGAACCGAGATCATGCCATTGCTCTCCAGCCTGGGCAATAAGAGGGAAACTCTGTCTCAAAAAAAAAAAAAAAAAAAAAAAAAAAAAACAAAAGAGATTCTATACTGTTTAACAAGAAAATGTATTAAATTATTTTATGAGTCAAACAACACCCATTATTAAAACTTACAGAACATACAAGAAAACCTAGACTCATTCATGTTGAAAGATGCCAAATATTTAGCAAAACAGTAGTAGATAAATACAGGTATGAACTGAAAAAATAATATACCATTGTCAAGTAAGCCAGAATTCTCTCTCTTTAACTCAATAGTGTAAGGATCTTAAAAACTAGGGTATAAATTACTATAATTTTTTTACATTAAGAAACTTCAAGAAGAAAAAACAATGTAAAACACACATTTACAAAACAGCTGATTCTTTTAGATAGTATTTAAATATTTCTCAATAAATTATTGTGAAATTATTACAAAAGTTCCCCAAATTATACATTATACCTGGTACAATAGAAATGTGAAAATTGCTAAGAACATTTTGAACTATGGAGAACAATGGGGAGTATTCGATTAAATCAGAGTAGTGGGTGCATATCTAAGATGGATAGACAATGCACTGAGTTGCACACTCATTGGTTTGTCCTGAAACATATTGAGTTAGAGTTGCCTAGACTGAAATGTGATAATGTGCTGTCTAATGAGCTTGCCTGGTGATTCCAATGAACAGAGTTCGGAACTCTAATCTTAGTTCTCAAATGCCATGATTTATTAGGATCACCTGAAGTCATAGACAATTCAGATTACAGTTTCTTCCTGCAGAAATTCTGCTTCAACAGATGTAAGTAAAGAAATTAGAGTCAGCTGGGTGCAGTGGCTCATGGCTGTAATCCCATTAATTTGGGAGGCTGAGGTGGGTGGATCACCTGATGTCGGGAGTTCAAAACCAGCCTGACCAATATGGAGAAACCCCGTCTCTACTAAAAATACAAAATTAGACAGGTGTGGTGGCACATGCCTGTAATCCCAGCTACTTAGGAAGCTGAGGCAGGAGAATCACTTGAACCCAGGAGGCAGAAGTTGCCATGAGCTGAGATTGCACCATTGCACTCCAGCCTGGGCAACAAGAGCGAAACTCCGTCTCAGAAAAAAAAAAAAAAAGAAAGAAATTGCAGTCAAAATTTAAGATGAAACATTCCAAGTTGAAGCAGTAAACACTAAGAGAAGCATAGGTTTATATTACCATTTGACTAGTAGTCATTTTAATTGTTAATTTTATCTCCAGCCTAAATATGACTGCTACGTGTAGGCAGAGTTATCATAGGGAAAGATTACAAATGGGTTTAGGAGTTAATCCAATTATGTCATTTTAAGATTATTAGGAATAGGTGGTTTTATACAGATTAGCCTTATGGGGCATTGTTTGGACAGAATGTTTTGTTAACTAATTTGTTAACTAATTAGGGTGACCATTGAGAGGGAGGGGTCAAACATGGCTCTTGGTAATGACTTTTGAAGAATAAGCCAATTTGCGGGAGATGATGATATATTTTGTCAAGCTTTATCAGCCAATAAAGATAAAAAGGTCTAAAAGGTCTCAGGAAAGAAAACGCTGTCTTTGAAAGAATAGAAAGAACATTTGAACTACTAAAAAGGAAGAAGTCTAATAAGAAAAAAGGTTAGAATCGAATTTTTGAGACTATAAACCTTTCTAGAAATAAGAAGTAACATCACAAATTTCTAAAATGAATGAGAATGCCAAATACTTGAAAATTAAATAAATACTACCTTAATTCCTCAGAGAATAGCTAAATGTAGAAGCCCTTCAACCTAATATTTTTTTCTCACACATGCACAAAGAATATGCCTATTGTACCAGTTCCCCACTTGTAACACAAACCTCCGTAACCTTTAACTAAACTCCTCATTGATACTAAAGTGTTTTTACTTCCCCCATTAACTACATTTGCAATCCAAATACAGTGTGGAAACACTTGAATAACCTGTGTTTAGCCTCAGAGAGGTATTAGGTTACAAATTATATGTGCCCAATATCAATCAATTTTAGCTTTTTGAAATACATAATAGGCCACCAACTTTACCTTGGACCACTTTTCATCTCATTCAGAAAAGATCTTTATTATGTAGAAAACTGTTATATGAAATATGTGTTCCACAAAAGCTCTCTGGGAGTCTCATTTTATTTATTGAATTATATTTTAAGTAAACAATGCTAAAAAAAATTCTCCATTGAATTAGGCTGTAGGTGAAAGAGTTTTATAATCTACTCTTTTTCATGTTTTTTATGTTCTACCTTTCATATTTGAAGTGTTCTTATATATATCACTGTTTCACAAAATCATAAAATCAGATTTCTAAATCTAATCTCCTACACGATAAAGTCTCATAAATCGATCAAGTTATACCACCAAGAGACATAGTTACTTACTTTGTACATTATAAGGAACACCTCAAATAAAATAATTGACTTATTTTTCATAAATACTAATTGTTTTTGCTTAACTTTAGTAAACTTGGAAATTACCTATCACTATTTTATGTAGTTCATAATTATTTTTATGCTACATGTTTAATGAAAATTCCCTGAATATTTCAAGGTTACATCCTTTGAAACATAGAAAGCCTATTAAGAAATTTAAACTTCCAAATAAATTCTTTTTCTACTAAATTGCTCCTTTCAGTCAACACATTAGCAATATTGAATCACTTAAAGGCTCGGCTCTTGCTTCTTTATTTCTCATTGGGAAATCTAGTGGTAGTTTAGGTAACACAATTGCTCTTTATGTGGATTTACCCTTGATGAGCCAAACCCTTGAATGTTGTGAGCCACCGGAATTTGATTATTCCTGTCTCAGACTCACCCATTTTTCATCATTGATAGGATAGCTTGTCCTATATGGCTAGGATAGAATTCAGCCTATCCTTGCTAGAAGGTCAATGACAACTAGTCCTGATGTTATTTGGGGCTTCTCTTCTCATTCTGTTTGTGTTGAATATCCTCTGCAAGACTGTGAAAGCACATTTTCCATATGACACTCTCACTGTGTGAGGCGAACAATCTGTCTGAGACAACTTCTATGCTAGCATATAATTTTTTAATTGGATTTCCACCTGACAATGGATCTTGGCCCCAGTGGCCTAATTTTCATAGCATATAGACCCTACTTACCCTAAATTTTAACCACTTCTTTTTGTCATATCTATATCAGTGAAGCTGTCCACTAGATTAAATTTCTTTAATATCAGACATGTCCATCAATAAGTTCTAGCTCACTTGTTCTTAGACAATTTCGTATTGAATTACTGAGTGTGTTTCAGGAGAAAAGTGACACTTCCACAATCATTAGTAGTTCATAACCCTCCCTACCACCTAAATTTCTATTTATTTCATGTCTTGGTTTCATTAAAGCATCATGTTTAAAAACTGTTCATATAACTCAAAAACTTGAATAATGACTTTCCTCTTGGAACAGAATTATTCTCTTTTGGAAATACAAATTAATTTTATTTTATCATCTCATTAATAATCCCTTATTATTCATGTTTTGGTAGTTGTAGTAATTTCTGAACTAGAAAGTTCCTTTTAAAAATACTTGCTTTTCATCAATAGTCTATCAGGATGAAGTGACATAATTTAATCCAATTCCCACCCTTCCTTTTCATTGAAAAAGTATTTTAATAATTTTAATTCTGAGAGTAAAACTGGAAAATTTAGTTCATTGATTTTCTGCTACAATCAAAATAGCAGAAAAAATTCTTTAGGTGTAATTAGCAATTACATTTCTTAGTGTGTAAGTAGTTTGCTTTATACTTGTTATTAAATAATGCAAATTAGAAATGAAATATCTTCATTTCAAGCTATAGATTCTTAGAGGGAGAAATATAATTAAACTAGTGTCTTTTTTTCTTTTTTTTCAAACATAAACTAGCATAAAGAGGTTACTAAACTTACAAATTATGCTTACAAAGAGTTTAGTAAAACTTCAGTATGTTCGTCTATATCTTACTTGTATTGTTAGTTCATCTTTGATTTTCATTGGTTTTTATATAAAAATGTTCTATGATGGTACTATTCGTATAAATTGATTGATATATAAAAATGTACAAACAACTCTTTGACAAGTTTCCTTGTCTATTGTTTCTTATACTTTTGTTCCTCTAATCTTATATTTTGCTGTTCTCAGTTCATTTTTAAGTTACGCAAGGAGTTTCCCATGTCTATTAAGCAGTTCTCACATTGCTATAAAGAAATAGCTGAGACTGAGTAATTTATATAGAAAGGTTTAATTGGCTCACAGTTTTGCAGGCTGTATAGCAAGCATGATGCTGGCATGTGCTCGGCTTCTGGGAAAGCTTCAGGAAACTTACAATCATGGCGGAATGCGAAGGGGCAGCAGGAGCATCCATCACATGGCTAAAGCAGAAGCAAGAAAAAGACGGGGAAGGTCTCAAACACTTTTAAATGGTCAGATCTTATGAGAACTCACTCACTATTGCAAGGACACTGCCAAGGGGATGGTACGAAATCATTCATGAGAAATCTGCCCCCATGACCCAATTACCTCCCACCAGTCCCCATCTTCAACATTAGGGATTATAATTCAACATGAGATTTGAGTGTAGAAACAGATGCAAACATTATTAATATATTAAATACAAGACCGGTGTTTTCCTCAGTAAAATATTGATATTTTTTGAAAAAAACTTGGATTTATAAATGTTCTTTATTCATTGCATAAACATCACAATATTCCTAAATTATATGAGTTAATACAATTTTTTAAAGTTCAACTAATTTTCAAGAAACATTGTCATGCCTACTAAAAGATTCATTTCTTAAAAGTGAAATTAAATGACCATGAACTTTAGATAAATGGAAAACCAAAAATTTACTATTTGATTGTCACCTCTTATCCATTTCTGATCTCTATGTAGTTTTTAGGATTTGCTGATTTAATCTGGAAGTTTTCGATAATCAATATAGGAAAAAAGTAGAAATTCATTTTTTTAGCATACTTTTCAAAATAAAGATAAAATAAGGTAACCAATCAGTTATACAAAGATGCAAATAACTTCATCTATAAGGGTATTCAATATCTGTTTGCCTTTGCATATTTAATGAATGTCAGACTCAGATAATTGAAATAATTATGGTTCTCAGGTTGGCACTTTTTTTCATATGTCTATTTGCAGGCCCTATCTTGTTTAATTTATCAAAATATTCCAATCCTTCCCAATTGTTATAACCTCAAATGCTATCATCCTGGCTCCAACTATCATTTCTCACATGGGTTAATGTGTTATAGAGCATCCCTTAGGGCTCTGAGCTGGCCATGCACTGCAATCCTGGAATGTCCTCCCACATATGCTAACAAATAGCTCATTGAATTTCTTCAAGGCTTTGCTCAAATGTTTAGCTCTCAACATCAAAAATTTTACTTTGCAGCTGGGCACAGTGGCCCATGCCTGTAATCCCAGCACTTTGGGAGGCTGAGGCAGGTGGTTCACTAGAGGTCAGGAGTTCGAGACCAGCCTGGCCAACATGGTAAAACCCCATGTCTACTAAAAATACAAAAATTAGCTGGGCATGGTGGCACATGCCTGTAATCCCAGCTAGTCAGGAGGCTGAGGAAGGAGAATTGCTTGAACCTGGGAGGCAGAGGTTGCAGTGAGCCGAGATTGCATCATTGCACTCCGGCCTGGGTGATGGAGCAAGGCTCCATCTAAAAAAAAATTTACTTTGCAATCCACCTCTGACAAAACTGCTTATTTTGCTCTATCTTTTAGTATAAGACATTGTTAACTTTCTATATAACTTACATCGTTTGTGTCTATTATCTGTTGACTTTCAGCCAACCTTGTTTGCCCCTTAATTTTTAGTTATGTTAAAATGCCTAGAATGTCTAACCCACAATAGGCATACTAGAGTGAATGAATGAAGCTTTCACCTTATGCCAATCATGTATTTTACCAAGTCTTCTGGTTCACTTTTTTATCTACAGATATATCAGTGTGACACCATCAATATAAAAGACAAATATGATGCTCTCTTACTTCCAAAATCATTCTACAATGCCTTATTCTGTGGGGAACTATATATATAATTTAACTTTTAACTTCTTACTCTTTCCATAATTTTATCCTAAATAATGCCTGGCCTTCATTCAATCACACAGTTTTACCCAAAGCTTTTTCTTTTTCCTTTTTTTTTATTATTATTATACTTTAAGTTTTAGGGTACATGTGCACAATGTGCAGGTTAGTTACATATGTAAACATGTGCCATGCTGGTGTGCTGCACACATTAACTCGTCATTTAGCATTAGGTATATCTCCTAATGCTATCCCTCCCCCCTCCTCCCCCACAACAGTCCCCAGAGTGTGTTGTTCCCCTTCCTGTGTCCATGTGTTCTCATTGTTCAATTCCCACCTATGAGTGAAAGCATGTGGTGTTTGGTTTTTTGTCCTTGCGATAGTTTACTGAGAATGATGATTTCCAATTTCACCCATGTCCCTACAAAGGACATGAACTCATCATTTTGTATGGCTGCATAGTATTCCATGGTATATATGTGCCACATTTTCTTAATCCAGTCTATCATTGTTGGACATTTGGGTTGGTTCCAAGTCTTTGCTATTGTGAATAGTGCTGCAATAAACATATGTGTGCATGTGTCTTTATAGCAGCATGATTTATAGTCCTTTGGGTATATACCCAGTAATGGGATGGCTGGGTCAAATGGTATTTCTAGTTCTAGATCCCTGAGGAATCGCCACACCAACTTCCACAATGGTTGAACTAGTTTACAGCCCCACCAACAGTGTAAAAGTGTTCCTATTTCTCCACATCCTCTCCAGCACCTGCTGTTTCCTGACTTTTTAATGATTGCCATTCTAACTGGTGTGAGATGGTATCTCACTGTGGTTTTGATTTGCATTTCTCTGATGGCCAGTGATGGTGAGCATTTTTGCATGTGTTTTTTGGCTGCATAAATGTCTTCTTTTGAGGAGTGTCTGTTCATGTCCTTTGCCCACTTTTTGATGGGTTTGTTTGTTTTTTTCTTGTAAATTTGTTTGAGTTCATTGTAGATTCTGGATATTAGCCCTTTGTCAGATGAGTAGGTTGCGAAAATTTTCTCCCATTTTGTGGGTTGCCTGTTCACTCTGATGGTAGTTTCTTTCGCTGTGCAGAAGCTCTTTAGTTTAATTAGATCCCATTTGTCAATTGTGGCTTTTGTTGCCATTGCTACCCAAACTTTTTCAAATGGAAGGTGCTTTCACTTGCATAACCCACAAAACTTCCCATTATACTTATGTATCATCCTCATCAGAGTCTGTCATAAGGTCATATATGAGATGGGATCTTCCTTATTTCACATTGTGTCTTCCAGACCATTTTTTTCTTCAATAATAAGAAAAGCCCAGATCCTTTATGGTGCATGCATTTATTGAAGTCATACCTATGCAACAAATTATAAGTACTAAGCATTATGATCAGAATTGTATACACATTATAGTTCATGAAACACATATATACCACATCCCATTTTCTCTCTTTATTTACATTTACTAAACTTTGCTTATTCACCATCATTCCTTGAAGTATTAATGTCTTCTATGAGCCTATTCATTATTCAGAGTGAGCTTTAAAACCAGACAAAAATATATACACACCTAAATTATGTGTTTTCTGGGCTAGTTCCTATCTGCTATAGACTGAATGTTTATGTCCCCACAACATTCACTTGTTGAAACCTAATCCTCAATGTGATGGTATTTGGATGTGGGGCCTTTGTGAAGTGATTGGGTAATGAGGGTGGAGATCATATCAGTGAGATTATTGCATTTATAAAAGAGACCCCAAATAGCTGCCTAGCTCCTTATATCGTGTGATGACACAAGAAGAAGATGACAGTCTATCAACCAGGAAGTGGGACCTCACCTGACACAAAATCTGCTGGTGCCTTGACCTTTCTAGACTCCAGAATGGTAAGAAATAATTTACTATTGTCTATAAGCCACCTAGTTTATGGCATGTGGTTATAGTCACTCAGATAAACCAAGATCAGGCGCCAGGTGACGGGCACAGCCTGGAAGAGTTTTGACTTACATGCTGAAAGTGTCTACATGGCCATGAATGAAACTTTAAGATACTTCTCAAGAGAACTCAAAAAGAAAAGGAGAAATTACAGAGAATGCCTCAATATTTTAAGAGAATACCTAAGTAATCTTGAACAGATGTTCATATAAATATGGATAGTAAAGGGCATTCTGATGAGAACTCAGAATGCAAAGGAATGTTTTTGGAAACTGAAGAAAGATCATCGTTATTATAATGTAGCAAATAACTTGGCAGAATTGGTTTTGTTTCATATTTTTTGTGGAAAGTAGAACTTGTGAGTGATGAAATTGGATATCTGGCTGAGGAAAGTTCTCACTCAAGTGTTGAAAGAGCAGCATGATTCTTCCTGATTGCTTATAATAAAATGCAAGAAGACAGAAATGACATAAGGACAATGATTTTAATCAAAATGGAAGCAGAATGTAAAGACTGGGAAAACTGAAAACTCTCAGTATATTCATATTATAATGAACGAGAAAGCCTCTTTGGGAAAGAACACTAAGGGTGTGGGCAAGTGACTGTTTAATAAGGAGATTAGTGTGGATCAACCATCTAAACAGAAGCCAGGAGCTATTATCCAGGACAATGGAATAATTACCCTGAAAGCAATTTAAGGATTATTAGGACTAACTCTCTTATCACAGGCTCAAAGCGTAAGGGCCTTCAGGGAAGAGTGGTTTCAAAGGAGAGACTGTCAGAGTCTGTGGGACCTCAGTTTGCCTCAATGCCTTGCTCTCTGGCATTACACACAGCTGCCCCAGGTAAAGTTTAGGTGGGCCCTCATGTAGCACAGGCTGCATTGGCCACCTCTCTGAAAGGCACAGACAGAAAACTTTGGTGGTATCTGCATGTTGCCAACTCCACAAGCTCACAGATAATAAAAGCCCCGGGAGCAGAGTTGCCTCCACTTAGATTTCAAAGGATGAGACTTAAGTCCCCCAGAGCCAGTGTGTGATCTTCACCCCAGTGGTCCTGCAGGGCAGAACATTGAGCTAGAAAGGATAATGTGTTAAGGTCTAATGAAATTTGCCCCATTCAGTTTCAAACTTACTTAAGAGCTGTCACTCCTTTTTCTTTTCTCTCTTTTGGAAAAGTAATGTCTATCCTATGCCTGCCCCACTATTATATTTTGGAAGCAAATAATGCATTTGATTTCACAGGTTCAAGACTGTAAAGGAATTACTTCAGGATGAATCATACATTAAGTGTCATCAACATCTAATTTAGATAATATTTAGATGAGATTTTGGACTTTCTACTTTTCAGTTAATGTTAAAATGAGTTAAGACGTGGGGCTGTTGAGATGGAATGAATGTATTTTGCCTGTAAGAAGGACATAAATTTTGGGGGAACAGGAGTATGATACCATAGGCTGAATGTTTTTATACATTCAAAATTCATATATTGATTTCTAATGTGATGGTATTTGGAGGTGGGATCTTTGAGAGTTGCTTAGGTGATAAGAGTGGAACCCTCATGAATGACATTAGTGTCATTATAAAAGAGACCCCAGGAAGATCTGTTGCCCTTTCTGCCATGTGAAGTTACAGTGAGACGGGGGCAGTTTATTAACCAGAAAGCAGACCCTCACCAGACACCAAATCTGCTTGTGCCTTGATTTTGGACTTCACAAGCCTCCAGGACTGCAATAAATAAATTTCCCTTATTTATAAGCCACTGGTTTATGGCCTGAACAGACTGACATGTAAAATATGTGATTATTTAATAATACTTTCATTTGCTCCACAATACAAGTCATCATCTTGTATCTATCAGACCTATCCTGCTCTTACATTCTATTTATCCAGCACACGTTCTCCAATCCTTTGCTTTAACTAATGAGTACTTAATTTTCTAAACTCACCCATGTCTTTCCATCACATAACATCTTAACTTTGCATAATTGTATATGTTATCATGTCCTCTCTCTATACATATGCAACTAAAAGCTGCTGAGGAACATAATAATAATAGATAGCATTAGTAGAATGTTTACCCTATACCGTTGCTAACATGTTAATTTTAGCACCAATGCTAAGTGCTAACATATGCTAATTTTATAATTCTAACAATCATACAAAGCATGAACTACAACCAACCCATTTAAAACAGGTGTAAAGTGAAGGTAAAAAGAGCTTAAATAATTTAATAAAGATCAGTTGACTATTAAGTGGTACAACTAGGATTAAAATCCAGTCAGTCTGGGTCAATTGTCTGTACTTTTAACTGCTACAAGCTACCAACTCCTATTGAGGAAAAAAAAAAAAATCACACACCCATACTAACTGTAGATATAGCATTTCAACATCTTTAACTTCAACTGGATCTTTCACATTGCCAGGCAGTCCATCTATTTGTAACCAATTTTTCAAAAAATTTACTGTCTGGGACTAGTTCTCTAAGTCAAAAATTTTCAATGCACACTCGTAATATGCAAAGGTTTCTATTTTTTGTAGTTACAAATGTTTTATTTCAGTAAATAATAATGAAGTTCTACACAGAATGATAAAAATTCTGATAGTCATTGTAAGCTCCCTTCCTCATTTCTGGCTTATATCTAGATGGAAGCCTGAAGTAAGAAATGGAAAAAAAAAAAATGCCTCTTCTTTATTTCATTAGTTCTCATTACCTTTCCTTGTAAGTTTCCAGCGGTGGTTTGTAGAAGTTCTGGCTCAGAAAAGGAATAGACAGAAAAAGTATCGTGCTGAAGAATGACTTTACGTGCTTCTTACTACCCTGATATGCCATTGGTGCTCTCTTGATTTGGAATGTGTTCAAAAATATTTTATGGTGATCTGTTAGTTTGTTAGAGACACTCTATTCCTAGGTATTTCTCATCTGCCTTCTTTAATATGGACAAAGTGTCATCTGCTTGGCCTCTTTTGATATACTCCCAGTGTCTGATTTTTGGTGGTCCACTCGCATGCTCTGTAGAGATCTCCGATCAATTAGAAAGCCGTGTGGGCAAAGTACCTTCAAGATAACTCCTGAATGACTCATTCCCTCTTGGCTCATTTCTAACCCAAAGAAAATGCATATGCTTTTAAAAAAATCCCAACAAGTTCTGGTGTAGACTAATTCTAATGTAGGCTCTCCTTTCTCTACCATCAGAGAAGCAAAACAGACACTGCCATTCTTTTCTGTGATACATGAATCAAGCAGTAGCTCCCACTGTTTCTCACTTTAGGAGACACACACTAACCTCTCCAACTAATCTTAATGAAGCCCATCACTATCAGTCTTTAGCTTTCTTTCTTTTATATTTTTAAGAGAGCGTATGAGCTAAAGACCATAACATTCTTTAAAATTTTTTTTCTTGCAATACCTACAGAAGTTTTCTAACATCTCCAAATAAGATTCACTATAAACTGACCTCTGTTATTTTGTACTTAGACTTCTAGATCTTTAGAAAATAGAGAGAAAAAAAATTTATTTTAATATCTCTTTCAAATACGTTTTGTTTTCTGACTTATACTTTTCTTCTCCCTGAAGAATTTCTTCTAATATTTTTTGGAGAGAAAGTCACCTGGCGATGTATTCAGTTTCTGTTTATCTGAGAAAGTATTTATTTCTGCTTTACTGCTAAAGGATAATTTCAGTGAATATAGAATTCCAGATTAGTGGTGTTTTTTTTTTCTTTCAACACCTTAAATATTTTACACCACTCTATTACTAGATATTCTTAGATGCAGTATTTTTTTATTGTTGTTGTTTTCCCTCCATGTTTGGTGTTCTCTGAGCTTTCTGGATCTGTGTTCTGTGTCTGCTATTGATTTTAGGAGTTCTTGACCATTATTTCATTAATTATTCCTTCTCCATTTCTTTCTCTTTGGTATTCCAAGTAGGTATATTTCATGATTTTGAAATAGTTCCACAGTGTTTTGGTGTTCTGTTCTTTCAATTATTATCATTCATTATCTCTTTGCATATAAGTTTGGAAAATTGCTTTTCACCTAATTTCAATTTCAATAATTTTTCATTAGCCACATCGAGTTTACTCATGAATCCAAAGAAGATATTCTTCATTTCTGTTATGGAGTTTTTCATTACTAACACTTTTTTTTAATTCTTAGACTGTGTATATTTCTGCTTCCATTACTCATTTTTTTCATGCATGTTGTTTATTTTCTCCATTAGAGCCATTAATATATTAATCAGTTATTCTAAATTCCATCAACTAATTCTGATACCTCTGTCGTATCTAAGTCTGCTTAAGATGATTACTTCCTGTTTTTAGATTGTGTTCATCTTGCCTTTGAGTATATTTGTATTCTTTTGTTGATAGCCAGACCTGTTGCATTGGGCCATAGAAACTGAGGTGTATAACCTTTAGTGTTAAGACTTACGACAATATGAATAGGAGGTGGGTTATGTTTCATATCTGTTATATTTGAAGATGCCAGAAATTTCAAATTCCTTTAAGTTCCTTGTTTTCCACTCTTCTTTAAACTTTGGACTTCATTAAGTACTCTTCTGAAAAAATGCCTGCCTCTTGGAAGTCTTTAAGTTATAATCTACTGTTCCTATACTGGACTCCTGTTGATATGGTGGTCAAGTGTTGGTGGGAGGGACATTCTATAGTCTTATGGTTAAATCTCAGTTTTTTAATGAGTGACCTATTACTCCTGGTTGTAAACTTTACAACAGTTGCTCCAGTGACATGCAAGTTGGTATTCCTAATTTGAAAATAAAAAATTTAAAAAAAATCCAATCTGTGATGGTTAATACTGAGTGTCAACTTGATTGGATTGAAGGATGCAAAATATTGTTCCTGGGTGTGTCTGTGAGGGTGTTGCCAAAGGAAATTAATATGTGAGTCAGTGAACTGGGAAAGGCAGACACACCCTTAATCTGGGTGGGTACAATCTAATCAGCACTCAGCCTGGCTAGAAAATAAGCAGGCAGAAAAATGTGAAAAGAGAGACTGGCCTAGCCTCCCAGCCTACATCTTTCTCCTGTGCTGGATGCTTCCTGCCTTCGAACATTGGACTCCAGTTTGGGAACTCAGACTGGCTCTCCTTGCTCCTCAGCCTGCAGATGGCCTACTGCGAGACCTTGTGATCACGGAAGTTAATATAACTCCCCTTTATATATATGTCTATTCCATTAGTTCTGTCCCTCTAGAGGGAGTGTGAACCCTGACCAATACACAATCCAAAACACTTCTAGTCAAAGCATTTCAGATAAGGGATATTCAACCTGTATCTTTTTCTCTCTCTTCCTTCCATGAGACAGAAAGGCTAGAGGGGGCTAAGAAGGAAGAAGTGCCTTTCTGCAAAGTGTGATAAAACTTTGAAGACCTTTTTCCCTGGAAAGAAGTCCTTTTATGAAAAATACTCTAGACATATTTCACAATGATTGTTCTTCCTCTCTTCCAGACGGAGCCACAAGGGATTTTTTTGTTGGATCACCACTTTAACAATCTGATGGAATTTGTGGAGTTAAAACCCACAGAAGTATGGTAATCTATTTAAGACTGATGCCAGCGGTTTCTCATTCTCATGTTATTCCATACTCAGTCTCCTATCATTCACTAAAATTATGTAAAAGTTTCTACCAGTTTATTACTCCTATGGCTTCTGCTCCAGGTAGGCAGATTTTTAGCTGTGACTCGGTTAAATTGTCTCTCCAGATTTCAGGCTGGAAGTTTGCCCTGCAACCTCAGCTCTCTCCTAAGTTGAAAAAAGTAATTGAATTTCATTTTGTTCTGTTTTCTGGTGGTTAAAAGGATGTGTGTGACAACTCTCAAGCTCTTTAATTGTTGATGGTAGGAGTCTATTTTCATTTCTTCTATTTACAATGTAAATTTGAATTTTGGATTCACTTTCCAGAGATACTGATTTGCACCTAGCTTATTGTTACCAGTTTTCATTTATTCACACTTTTCTTCTATTTATTTATTCATTTACTCCATGTTGCTGAGCACATATCACATGCTGAGTGGTGTTCTAAATTCTGGTGTTCAAAGATAAATTATATATATACTTAACAAGTTATAGAAATTAAAATACTCAATAAATAACTTACTCAAGAAGGGCAAGGCAACAGTTACTTAAATATTTGCATGTTCACCTTTTAGTTTACTGTAAAAGTATTCATTTTACTAAAAAAGACTTATTTGTATAAACCTTTTATAAAAGCTTATTTATTACATAAAAGGTTATAAAAGCATATGCATAAAATTCAATATAACCCCACCCATCAACTAATTCAAATTTTTCCATGCTAGTACGTTGGTTGAACTTTTTAATTTTATTGTGTATGAAGAGATAACTTACTATACAATTTAATAATACAAGCAGTTTTTTAAAAAATTTAATTTTTTTATTTTACTTTAAGTTCTGGGATGCATATGCAGAAGATGCATGTTTATTATATAGGTACAAGCAGAATTATTAACATAAAACTTCTAAAGAGACAAACATATTTAAAAGCTATTGTTTGAGTGTATAATGTTATGTTAATTTTTATGTGAATCTTAACTATATTCATGAAGTATGGTGAAAAATGTACTGGAATCCTATTCAAATATTCACCATTTGCTAAGTTTCTGAGTGTAAACAGGTTCAACACGGGACTGTCAGAGATTCCTTATACATTGTTTGTGGATGTATAATTCAGGAAACTGCTTTGAAGTATAATTTCATGATGTTTAATACAGCAAAAGATGCATATGCCTACCATCAAACAAACCCATTGTTAAAGGAACTTTCACACCAGTATGCAATCCATCGTAGGGGCTAAGACCCTTGACCCCGGAAGTTGTACTAAAAAATCAACTGGCAAAAGGCACGTTAATTGGAGAAAAGGCTTACAAATTTATTTATCATGTATACATGGGAAGCTTCAGAATGAAGATCTAAAGGTACAGGGGAAATTGTCCATTTTTACGCTTAGTTTTGACAAAGTATTGGCAACTTCTGTTGAAGTATAATTTGACAGAAAGGGTACAGTCTAATGCTAATCAAGTGTGGAAACCCAGCAAGCCCTCTCTGTCTAGGTCCTTCTTGGCCTTTCTGAATATGCATTCCTTCCTCTGGGTATGGGCATGACCATCACTGGAATGGTGGTAATATGACCCACACTCAAAGAAGGTAGGTCAGATAATTTATTTATGGCCAGTTATCACACAGAATATTTTTAGGCTTTATGGCTGGCTTTCAAGACAAGGGGTCCTCTGGTTTCTATGACCTGCACTGGGGAAGGACCCTAATGCTCTGACTAGCTTTGGGGAAGAATGGGAATGAAAGAGAGGAGGGCAGAAGAAAGTCAGAGGTAAAACTTTTGCCTGTGAGGTTGCTTCTGAGGCCTTCATTTTGGGTATTGTTTTCTGAGCCACAGAATTTTATATATATGCATTGTTTACAATAGCTAAAAAAAAAAAAAGAAACCTAAGGTTCATCAGGAGGAGAAAGGTTAAATATATTGCTATATATTCATCATTTTAACACCATATAACAGATATCGCAATAATAAAGTTACGTAACTATGTATGAATATAGATAAATGTCAATAACAGAATACTGAGGAAAAGAAGCAAGTTAAAAATGACATGAAATTTGATATTATTTATATGATGATAAGTTATGTACAAAATAATGGTATATTTTAAGTGACATATGTAAGTAGTATTTATACTTTTATAAATACTGCATTCAGGATAGTGGTTGCCTCTGTAGAGGAGGTAGGAGCCTGGGGGTTGGGAAGAGTAGAAGTGTGATACTTTATTTGTTGTACTACTGGTGAGTCAAGAATGTTTCATGTGTCACTTTGTAAGTCTATTTTTATATTTCTATAAAAATAAATAAAATGGCAAAAATTACAAGTTCTCTGAGTATTAGCTTCTTCATCTATAAAAATTGTTCTATTCACTTTACTTGGTTTTTCTGAGTAATTAACTGGGTAATGTATGATGAAATAATTAAATATTTTTAAATTTAAAGTGTTATATTAATTTGTATAAACATATGTACACAAAGAAAATGTATTTCTCTATAAACATAGAAATACAAATTTAAAGACTAGAATTTTTCCTTAGAGTCTCAGAGTACTATTAAGTGTCAAATTTTGTAAGTAGTTTTGTTACTTCAGTGGCTAGGTTTTAAGAAGATTTTACATTAATAGTTTAATAGAAATTTTTTAATTATTCTAGAACCTTAAATTCAACATGAATAAAAGTGAATTTTCTTGTTCTCTTCATAAATGCATCATGGGCATTTATCGTACTAAACTAAAAATTGTTTATTATATCTATCACAATTTCCTAATTTTTCCTTTGATTCAATGAGAGTAATTTATTTTAGAATTGTATTATTTTGTTTTACTTTGAACAGCGCAAGCTTTCAATTCCTATCAATATGCATCAGATTATACGAAAACACAAGTTGACCGATAGTCAAAGAGAAATAAAATAATATTTTTCAGAACCAAGAAATCTGGTAATGTAGTTAATTTTTACAATTTTCCGTGTAGATCGTAATAAATCCATTGCAAATTAAAAATTACTCATTGGCTTATGGATCAACAAATATTTTTCTACATTGTTTAAACAAGGGGCAGGGAGAAATGACAATATCTTTTTGTCCAAGAAACCCTACTTAATTTCCTAGATACAGGGACATTTTCTCAGCCTGCCTTTAAGGATCTCAAATTTGTTAGAAGAATGCTTTAATAATTAATATGGGTCCATTAAAGACTAACTTATTTTTTCTTTCTTTTCATTGATTCTCAAATTTATGTCAGGCAATCTACAATAGTAATGATTAAAAGCGGGTTTACTACCACCTTGGATTCATAAAATTAGGCTATTGTGCTAGAGGGAAATATAAAGCTAAGGACATGGAGGAAGTGGATACAAAGCTTATAGAACTTTAAATAATAGAGCAAGATATTTTAAAAATTATTAGATTCAACAGCTTTCTTTGCTACTTAAAGTCGTAGAAGTTGTTTATCAAAGAACAATGGATTTTCTTTAATTCTATTTTTGGATAGATTCTGTTATGGCTGGCGAAGAATGTTGCAGGAAATTATCTACTACCACTGCTATGTCTATTGCAGTTGCTGTCATATTTAATTCTTGATAAGCATGTAATTAAATAGTGTCATTACCACATCAAATAGAAATAAGACAAGATGATTCAATGTTGGAAAGTACATGCACACACAAATAGAAAGCACAAAGTTAACCTCCTGGTGGAGACTCGCTGCCAGATATTTAGCAAGAGTAATCTTGCAGAGTAAAGACCTCAAGAGCACCAGACGTTAAGATCTTTTCTATTCAGCACATTGGAAAGCATAATTATTACCAACCCTTTGCTATTAAAACATCATCAAATTATGTTTATAGAATATTATTCACTGAGAACTTCATAGCAGTTTCCCAACAATAACCCTGACCATATTAATGCATAGGGAATATTAGTATTGACTCCTTCGAACCAATAAAAAGCCAATGTAATAAATTATGACTCCAGAGTGAGCAAAATAACCCTTACTGGCCATATGATGTTAACATAGCCATAAAATATTTCCTTCCTACTCAGCAGTACATACTGGACCACATACCATGAGGAAAATAAAAGTTAGAAATTCCTTTATAGAATAAAACAAACATAGAAATACATGAGCACCTTACATTTTCCCCATGTTTTTGGTTTATATAAATATTTTAACACATGAGCATATTAAGAAAATATCCACTGTGCATGGTATTGACTAATTTAATCATCACAGCGAAACTTCAAGAAATGTATAAATAACCCCTATCAATTAAAAAGAAAAAAAGAAAAAAGAGACTTAGAGTAAATAACTTGTCTAAAGTCATATTGCTGCAAGTGAAAAAGCCAGGTTTGCCTTATCATCTTTTTGGTTTTGTTAATTTATTGTTGTTTTGTTGTTATTTTTATTGGACATTGGGACTGTTTCTTCATTGATCTTGTTTGACAGGGAATCTCTTAGCCATTTTAACTGAGTCAGAGAGAAATATATTTGTAGGGAATTGATACACAGAACAAAGCTACTGATTTAGACTGAATCCTGCCCCATAAAGTACATGTGGGTGAAAATGTGAAGGAGATGGGAACCTTGGTGGAAAATGAAGAGTAGCTCAAGGTTTATAAACTGATTTTTCAAGGAGTGGAATATTGGGATCTGGGAGACATACAGCCTAGGTACTGATGATAGTCTTGTCTTCTTGTATAAGATTGGGATATAGGGAAAGACCTGGGTTAGTGATAAAAACTGGTCTCAGCCTTGGTGCACTCATATCCATGGCCTCTTTAGTCCAAGATCTACAATATGGGCCCTGTCTGAAGTCTATTTCCTTGTTAAAATTGCAGCATTCCATTCTTATAATTTTCTTCTGTTATTTTCTATATAGAATGTTCAGTTTTTAATCCATTTAGTACTTTTGAAGTTTCAACTTACAAAGAAATAAAACTTTGCCTCATTAATTGCCTAAAATGATGCTATCTTTAAACACAGGGAAGTCTTCATAGCATAATAATAGGAAGGCCATTTGTACTGCTTGAAATATATATTATTGGTCATTATTAAAAAAATTAGCTACTAATTAAGAAAATATTAGCTCACTATTGTTTTGTTTCTGTAGCTTCTTTAAAAAAATCTCAAAGTTATAGATAAAACAATATTAAACATAAAGGAAAAATAATATCAGAGATTTATACTTGGTTAATAGAGTTTTTAGTTATTATATATGTCATGAAAATATACATCACTAAAAAATAATATCTAATGTATACAACTTTTATAATTAATAATATTAAGTTATCCAGTGAATTTTAATTAAACATTACCTCCAAACTTTTCCCTTGAGATTAGATGGTACATGGAGTTTACAATTACTGTGAAAGCATAGTTATGGAGAAAAAACAGTAAAGATATAAATACTGTGGTACTGTTTTATCACATTATATATGTTCATGACTCAAAGAATAAACAGATAATGTTGATCTCTCACCCTGGATACCTATAAGGAAGTTTTACCCCAATTTAGTTAACTGTATAATAGTAATAATTTAAAAGAGCTTTTTGTTAATCAGAAAAGAAAAACAGTACATCCAATATGAGGAAATATAATTCCTTCAGGAATGAATGTATGTCCTTCCTTTAAAATGTCAAGTGAAATTAAAACAAAAAAAAATGTAACACAGAAAGAAAAATTTCTCTGTTAAAACACCAAAGTCTAATTTTTAGAATACAGACTTTTGTTTTAAAGTATTTAATCTTGAATAGCAATTATATTCCTTAATTAAATTTAGGTGATGGAGATTACTTTGTTGCTTCTGGGTATTATTCTTGTTGGCAAATGGAGAAAGAGGAGAATAACTAATATGTCTGAAACATTTACAAAGCCTACTTCTCAAACTATTCCAAATGAAATTCTAAAATTAGTAACTTTAAATACTGTATACACGTATGTTTTTTTCAAAACGATTTTGGGGTCCCTATTCTTGTGGATTGATTTTCCCACTAAGTACATATGTGTGACCTATGAATGACGGCATGTACAATCTAGACTTACAGAACTATTACAATGTAGATTGACACTTAGTATGTTGACATAGACTAGGCAGTTTTCAAAAAATATAACCTGTAAATTAGTAAATTAGAATATGCGATGATTAAAAAGCTGTTGAGATTTAGATTTGTGTTATAAAACAACAATGGGAAGGAATTTTACCTTGAGAATCCGGTTAGATAACATGAATGATCTCAGTGAAATTATAGAAGGTAAATGGAAGCTGAACTAGATAGTCTGTAGGTTGTCAGCACTGAAATTCTGCTATACTATGATATCATGCGAGAAGCACAAGTTAAAACAAATGGAGGAATAAAAAGAGATTACACCACAGCAGCCAAGATTGGAGAGAGAATATGCAAGTCACAAGAAGCATTGTGATATTATTGAAAACATATCGTATCGAGGACTCTAGAAACCTGGTACTTATTAATGGCTACGTCATGATCTTATGGTCTTGCAAACATTTTCCCACTTAACGTAGAAAAGGGATTGGAATTTATCATCTTGGATTAGAAATGCCAGTAGAGTTAAACTAAAATGAAATGCTAAATAACTACTTTAGGCATAGTATGTACGCGTGTGTCTGTGTATACGTGTGCACACGCATGCACACATAAATTTAGTGTAATAAGTGTGATATTTTAAGGTTTATGCTTTATATACATACATAACAGAGTTTTTTAGACGTGGCTTTCTTTAGCTCTTTAAATATATTTAAAATTAATTATTTGAAGTTCTTATCTAGTAAGTCTAACACCTGGGCCACCTCAGAGAAAATTTCTATTGATTGCTTTTTTCCTGTGTATGAGTCACACATTCTTGTTTCTTTGCATGCTCCTTAACATTTTTGTTGAAAACTGGTCATTCTGATTATTATTATGTGCCAAATTTAGAAATGAAATTCTTTCCCAGGATTTGTTGTTGATACACTTGTTTTAATTCTTTGTTTAATATCTTTTCTGAACAAATTTTGTAAAGTCTTTACTCTTTGTCATGTGGCGTCACTAGAGTCATTTCCATTAGCTTAATGATCGCCTAATGATTAGACAGACATTTTCTTAGTAGCTGAAACCAGAAAATTTATGTTTTTCCAGAGGATTCTGTATATGTTGGGGCACACCTTCACCACACAAGCAGGAAGGTTAAAATCCTAAATTAATCATCTTTCTGCTTGCACAGAGCCTCAAGATTGGCCAAAGGTTGTTGAGTTTAGTGTCTTTTCATGTATTTCCTGATCATGCACACAGTCTTGGGCACACACACAACCCTCTAGATTCAAGGAGCATGTGAAAGCTTTTCAAATTCCTTATTCCCCAAAGCATCCCATTCTTCACCTTTTCTCCCAAGCTTTTTGGTTAGTATTGATACGGCTCCCATGACTGGAGGAACATCAGGGTCCTTTGTCTCGCGTCAGTTTAAATAAAAGACATGTACACACCTGGAGTGGTTTTAAGGAGCAGAGAGAGTTTAATAGGCAAGATAGAAGGAAGAGGCTCCCGTGTACAGAGACAGAGGGAGGAGGACTCCAAGTAGAGAGAGGGAACCCTTAGTGTGGAGGAAAACATTGGTTATATTAGGAGGCTGGAGGAGGTGGTGTCTGATTTGCATAGGGCCCAGGGGATTGGTTTGACCAGGTATGTCATTCACATAGCCCGAGAAAAAACTGCCCCCCACCCTAGCCTTTTAATATGCAAAGACAGGGCATGAGGACGTTCTACATGCATGGGGACATGTAGGGGAAGCCATGATGCTAGGCACATGTGGTGACAAGAAGAAGGTAGGAATTGCCATATTGGATGGACCCAGTTTCTAATGGCCTCCATTTGTATGTCAAAGCTTGCTGGCCTGGCCCTTCAAGCCATTTTTCTGCTAGACAAGAAACGTTTCTGGAGCTGCTTTAAAAGAAAACAAACAAACAAACAAACAAAAAAACCGTACCAAGGACCCCTCATCCTCTCTATCTGCCTAAAATAATTTTTAAATGACTCCTGTAATAGTATATTGTTTGCCCCAATTGCTACTTCTTGCCTCAGTAACTAAAACGTCTGCCTGCCTGCCTGCGCATATTTTCAACAAACGCCATTCTCCACTCCTCAGATAATGAGTTTAGCACACGGTAAATAAAGACAAATAAAGAGAAATAAATCAGGCAAAATAAAGACAGGGCTTTTGAGTAGATTTTTTTCTGGAAGTCAATAGAAAGATCAGAGAAGGACAATTATTCAAAAATAAGGTGTATTTTGCTCCCTCCACAACTGCTACCAAAAATGTTTTCTGTTATTTTAAAGTCTACTGCTGAGCTGAGAAAGAAACTAAGGTAAGTTAAAATGCCACAGGTCTTACTGTTCCTGCAGAGATTAAGCCATTTTTCTTGAATGAGCACTTTCCAGATTGCTGCAAGCTTTCAGTTGCATAATTCCAAAACAGTTAATTCTAGGCATTTTTGCTATTTTTTCATTGCGTTTTAGAGGGGGAGTCATTTGCATGCATTTCCTCACTCTGCGATTTTCACTGACACCTTTTTTTTTTTCTTATTTTCAAATGTGGCTCAAAGTTTGCCAACAGAGAAGATACTTAAAATGTTATTTGCCCCCTTCTTTGTGTTTTGAAATACAATGTGTTTTGAAATTTCTAAAAGACATTTATTATATGCAATTGGTTCATGCACTTATGGAGGCTGAGAAGTCCCACGATCTGCCATCTGCAAGCTGTAGACCCCAGAAAGCCAGCAGTGTGGCTCCACTTTGAATTTGAAGGCCTGAGAACTCAGACAACTGATGGACTAAGTTGTAGTCCAAGTTCAGTGGCCTAAGAATCAGAGAGAAAACAGTGTAAATTCTAGTCTAAGGCCTGAGGGCCAAAGGTGTCAATGGAATAAGTCCCAAATCAAGGACGGGTGAAGATTGATGTCCTAGCTCAGTCAGGCAGAGAAACAGTTAATCCCCCCTTCACATTTTTGTTCTTTTCAGGCCCTTAAGAGATTGGATGGGCTGGGCGTGGTGGCTCACGCCTGTAATCCCAGCACTTTGGGAGGCCGAGACGGGCAGATCACAAGATCAGGAGATCGAGACGATCCTGGCTAACACGGTGAAACCCCGTCTCTACTAAACAAAATATAAAAAATTAGCTGGGCGTGGTGGCAGGCGCCTGTAGTCCCAGGTACTCGGGAGGCTGAGGCAGGAGAATGGCGTGAACCCGGGAGGCGGAGATTGCAGTGAGCCGAGAGCGCGCCACTGCACTACAGCCTGGGCAACAGAGCGAGACTCTGTCTCAAAAAAAAAAAAAAAAAAAAAAAGATATTGGATGATTCTAACCTGCTTTACACAGACTATCAATTTAAATGCAAATCGCATCCAAAACACCCTCACAGACACATCCAGAAATGTTTCACCAAAAATCTGGGCATCACATAATCTGGTCAGTTTGACATATAAAATTAGCTATCACCGATAGTGCTGCACTTTATAATCGGATTAACTGGATAAATAGCAATGTTATTAATCAAAGGAAGAAAAGATGGATGAGTAACATATTTGGATGGTAGAGAAGGAAATTCATGATATTCTTTTGGGACATAAGAGTTTCTTTTGGAACATCACCTAGCAGAGAGAGTCCAAATCTGGACATGGACATGTAATCATTGAAGTGAGGTTGAAGGAATAGTCCACTGAATGAGAGCGAATGAAGTGCTGCCTAATTTACTTTTATTTTGTCTGACACAAAACTACCAATTCTCTCCAAACAATCTTGTCTTGATTTCCACAGCCCTCATAAAATAACTCAATTTCTCAATTTCTCCATAAAATAATAACTCAATTTCTCCAGTTAATGTGATGACAAACATAAACTTATTTTTACTCTTTTCTTTCTTCACATTCCACAGCCAATCTGTTAGAAAATTTTGTTGTTTCCACTTTTTAAAATATGTCTCAAAATTGAACCCATCTCAACACCTCCACTAATATTATCTTGGTCCTATCACCCTGCCCCATTATTCTCTTTTATATTATTGTAATAGCCTTTTTACTGTTTTCCCTACTACTATATTTACCCCTTTCAAATAAAAGTATTCTCAACACAGCACCAAAGTCATAACACACAATTTTCTATGCATGACCCTCTAACAAACTAACTACATCTCATTGTGAATGATACTCCATGAAGATACTCCATGAAGCAGCCTCCGGTGATGTTACTGATCTTGCCTCACTCTGTCTGCCCTCACTCCTACTGGTTCATCCATGTTTCTTACTGTTCTTGAAAAGCATAGCGATGCTCTGACCCCTTGTTCTTTGCGTTTGAAAATGTCTTTGCCTTAATTTCTACATGGCTTAGTTCTTCACCTTCTTTAGCTATTTTGCCAAATGTTATATGTTCACATATTTAAATTTGCAATTTTTTACCATACCTTTACAATTCCTAAATTGCTTCTCTATTTTATTCAATATACTATTACCAGCAATGAATCCACATCCATACAGGTCTGCAACAATCTCAGTTCTTTCCTCCTCAGAAGAAATAATGCACCCATGGGGAAGAAGGCAGAAGGAGAGACTGAAGCTAGTTTTAGAACAGGAGTGAAAGTTCATTAAAAAGCGCAGTGGCTCACGCCTGTAATCCCAGCACTTTGGGAGGCCAAGGTGGGCAGATCACAAGGTCAGGAGATCGAGACCATCCTGGCTAACACGGTGAAACCCTGTCTCTACTAAAAATACAAAAAATTAGCCAGGCGTGGTGGGATGAACCCGGGAAGCGGAGCTTGCAGTGAGCCAAGATTGCACCATTGCACTCCAGCCTGGGTGACAGAGTGAGACTCCGTCTCAAAAAAAAAAAAAAAAAAGCTTTATCATAGGAAAAAAAGGAAGTAAAGTACACTAGGAAGAGGGTCAAGCAGAAGACTTGGGAGATGAAGTGCATGGTTTGACCTTTTGACTTGGAGTTTTATACTCTGGCATGTTTCTGGGGTCTTGCATTACTTCTCCCCTGATTGTTACCTTGGAATGGGCTGTCCACACGCACAGTGGCCTGCTAGCACTTGGGAGGAAAGCATACGGAGTGTGATTACTGGAGTTGCACGCATGCTCACTTGAGGTGTTCTTCCCTTATCAGTGGAATGGTCCTGGAAGGTCATATACCATTTAAACTTTGCCATTTTGCCTCTGAATGTGCATACTTCAGCCCACCTGCCCAGCTCTTGAGATCTTACCAGGAAGCTGCTGATCACCAATTTCAGATGTTTCTATCTATTGGGAGACTGCCTTTCACTGGCACCAGCTGCAACCAATTATTATTTTAGCAAGACAGTTGAAAACTGCCTAACTATCACCTGATGGTCACCTGACGTTTCTGGTAGGGTCGGAGGAGGGGGGTGCCTCTCCTGTCCTGCTCATGCCTAACTTGCTACCTACTGTAACAGTACTTTTCAGCATCTTGACTATATCAGTTTTCTAGGGCTGCCGCAACAAATAACCACAAACTTGGTGGCTTGAAACAACAGAAAATTAACCTTTCACACTTCCAGAGGCCAGAAATCCAAAATCAAAGTGTCAGCAGAATTGGTCCCTTCTGGAGGTTATGAGGGACAACTTGTTGTCCGCCTATGTCCTAGCTTCTAGGGGCTATTGTCAACCCTTGGCATTGGGTCTATATAACTCTTATTTCTGCTTTCGTATTCACATGGCTGCTTTCTTTCTGTGATTCTATTTTCCCATCTTCTTGAAAAAACAACTGACATTGAATTTTGCACCCCCTCCCCCTACCCAAAAAAATCCAACATGATGTCATGTGGAAATTTTAAACTTAATTACATCTACAAAGACCCCCTCCTCAAAATAAGGTCACATTCACAGGTACCTGGGGTTACAACTTGGAGATATCTTTAGTGTGGAGTAGACATAAGTCAACTCATTATTTCACATAGTATGCATTTATTTATTTGTTAATTCTGTTTCCTTCCACTAGAACATCAAGTGCATGACAACAAGGATTCTATGCGTTTTAATTATATTTGTGACTTGACCAATTTCTGACACACAACGAAAGCTTAAAAAACATATGTTGAATAAATATAAGAAAATGTGGAAAGTGCATAGGGATTATCAACATAATTAGAGCCAAAAGTAGAAAAATCTGGGAAGCCGAATAATTTTTTTTTTTAAGTGGTGCTCCTGAAGTCAAGAGTGTTTGCTTAATTAGGGAGTGGTTTTTAAACTGAAAGAGGCATGAAAAGAGGCCTCCTGGTGATTTGCGTATCAGAATTGTGTTGGTACCTGTGAAGATCTTCTTATCACTTGGAAACATGCCCAAATCTGACACAGGTTTTGCCTTCGTGTTTTGGTATCTTAATGACTATGTCACTCTCTTGTTAAAAATGATAAAATGAGGCCGAGGCAGGTGGATCACCTGAGGTCAGGGTTTTGAGACCAGCCTGACCAACATGGTGAAACCCCATCTCTACTAAATACAAAAAATTAGCCCAGCATAGTGGCACACGCCTGTCATCCCAGCTACTCGGGAGCCTGAGGCAGGAGAATTGGCTGGACCCAGAAGGCGGAGGTTGCCGTGAGCCAAGATTGTGCCATTCCACTCCAGCCTGGCCAACAAGAGTAAAACTCCTCAAAAAAAAAAAAAAATAAATAAAAAAAAAAGATAAAGCAGATCAGGAAGGAAATAATCTCTGTCACTGTGTTAGAACTTATCAACCCTGTTTTTACTAATATTCTTTTGGAGTCTCTTGCTTCTTACTCCCATTGAATTGTCAGCCTACTGACCCTTATTTGGTGTTTGCAGACTATCGGGCCTATTGAAAGGAAACTAAAATCTCAGGACCCCAAACTCACTATGCCAAAGGGAGAGTTAAACTTGGGAACTCAGTCATGCGAAAACTGTGTTCCTTTTGTTCCCAAACAGATAGTAATTTTACATCCTTTCTCTGTCTTATATAACATGTAGATCTACTGATTGGGAGACAAATGCATAATTCACTCCCTCCCCACAATCCACTCCTTTCTTTTCACATGTAAAATATAGTTTCACTGAGTCCTAACCAGAGCCTCAAAAGAATGTGACTGTTTGCTTCATTGCCTGCTCTCCCCACTTTTTTTTCTTTTCCTCCATTCCCTCCTGCTTGCTATTTCCTGTTTAAATATAGAAGTCCTCACAACCCTCTCTGGAAAAAGCACAGGTCACAGATCCTACTGTGACTTGTGTTTCTTTTTTCCCAGAGCATCCACATCCTTGGCAAAACAAATCTCTAAATCGATTGAGATGCTTCAGTAACTTTTTGTTTTATAGAACCTCTGGGTATACGTGTTATTTACCAGCTCTATCTTTTAAACTGGACAAAAGTTTTCACGCTTATTAAATCTATCTTGCCAATTCCAACCCATAATCATTTTGTGATAATTTGTAACTTTTTTCATTGACCATATCTGAGTAACAAACTTTTAAATAATTCAATGTTTAATTCAATCTATTCCAATCTATTCTTTTAGAAGCATGCAAGTAATTTATAAAATATAAACAACAGCTCTTAGATATGAAAAATAAATGTATAGAGGTGTGTATTTTATTCAATAACTATAATAAAAATTTTTTGTATTGAGCTATAGTGCAATATGACCATAGGGTGCCATTTATAGTTATAGGGCTGTTTTTCTAGTAGAAAAAATGCACAAAATAATGTAAGCATATCAACCGTGATCACAATAAAAATGTGTTTATTATGTGTGAATATGTTTCAGTCATATTACTTTAAAATATTTTCTGATTTAAATTCAATTTTTTATTATGCAACTGGTATATAATCCACATAATTTTCACTTTATGTGGTACAGTTTTCAAATGCAAAGTTATTCAATTCTTGCAAATACTTTCAGCACATACTATGTATACATTATACATTTAGGAAAATAAACTGACTTTTTAGAATTTGGCTGAAATTGTTGTTTTCTAACTTAATATCCATTTAGTGGTAATTTATAATAATCTATTATTACAATGACTTGATCTTAAAAATCTCTCTAGAAATCTGTTATTTTATTCCCTTTTCTTCTGAATTCAGAGTATAGCTCTCCACAAGTAGTGACAGAATCTTCCCATTAAAGATGTATGTGAAAATGGTTTCATGCCATGCTCCTGGTATAGAGAAATTCAGGACATAATCTCATACTAAAGGATAAATACAGTAACCATAAAAGAGAGAACTAAGTAAACCAATATAGAGTTGAAAAATTGCCTCAAAGTCTTGTTGATTTAAATCAATATAATTTTACTTCAGGATATGGAATTTCATTAGAGAAGTTTTAGTTTTTATTTAATTGTGAAAGCCTTCGCAGGTAGGAGAAAGAAACTCAAAACCTGAGTGCAATTGGACTTTTTAAAATCAAAGTGAAGAAAAAGTATATATTATTGGAAAAGCGAAATATAATAAAATTTTATTCAAGTAGATGAAGAAGTTAGAAAACATTGTAATACAAAAAGTCTCAACTAAATTAATGTATCACTTAAAACTGCTTATCTGAGAATGCTTTATAGACCATCCAAAAGTGATTTAAAGTAGAAAAAAAAATTCTCATGCAAATGACCAGAATTCAATATATTGTTTGTTCACTCTTCATAGCATTTATTGGTCTGTGGCAAAACCAATACCAATGGTGTGATGATGAAATAAATTTTAGATATTTTGTTGTTAATACATCTGGATATCTTTGTGAATACCAATTTTGCAAATATTACCATTCTCTGTCTTTTCTTCTTTTTTTCTCTTTCCTTTTTCTTTCTTTTTTCTTCCTGTCCTTCCTTCTTTCCCTCCCTCCTTTCCTTTTTCTTTCTTACCTGCTTACTTGTTTGCTTGATTCTTTCTTTTCTTTTTTTCTTCTTTCCCTCCTTTTTCTCCTCCTTTTTCTTTTCTTTTCTCTTCTCTTTTCTTTTCTTTCTTTCTTCTTTCCCTCCCTCCCTCCTTTCTTTTCTTTCCTTTTTTCTTTTCTTCTTTTCTTTTCTTACTTTTTCTTTCTTTCTCTCTCCCTTTCTTTTCTTTCTTCTTTCTTTCTCTCTCTGTCTTTCTCTCTTCCTTTGTTTCTTTCTTTTCCTTTCTTTTTCTCTTCACAAGCTTTTCCAGAAATAAGTGAAGATGCATGAATACCACTTATACCTTCTGACTTTTCCCCTTTAACCTAAGACAAGACCTCTTAAATTTTGCTTCAATAATTATCAATACTGAGAGCTAAACTTTTCTTCAGAACCATATTTTCAAAAGAGAAAAAAATATTACTGCATTTTAGAAAAATAAAGCCATATTGAGAGACAGAAGCTAGGAGGTCAAATAGGCTCAATAGTTAAGTGATACCTTTCTTCAAATAAGCCTAAGATTGAATTTGCTTCCAATTCACTTCTCAACCATTGTATATGTTACTATATTTTATTAGCCTTCTAGTTGATCAGAAAATTTGGTAGAAGTTTCCAATATTAAACCCATGAATATCAAGGTTCTGCTGTATTAGGTTCAAAATGTGATCCGAATGCCTAACTTGCATAACAGATTTCTGGCTCACCAATCATCCATGCCTAAAACTGTCAAATCATAAATATGAGAATAATACAAAATTATGTAAGTCCATCAAGCTCACCAATGATTAAATGAGTTTTAAAGCAGTAAAATTAGGACAGATTAAGAAAGCTGTAATTCACTTGTACTTCCACTTATTCGAGAGCTGAGGCTGGAGGATTTCTTGAGGTTAGCCAATCAAAACTAGCCTGGGCAACATAGCCAGACCCAATCTCTTTTTTTTTTTTTTTTTTTCTTTTTTTTTTTTGTGACAGAGTCTCGCTCTGTCGTCCAGGCTGGAGTGCAGTGGCGCGATCTCGGCTCACTGCAAGCTCCACCTCCCGGGTTCATGCCATTCTCTTGCCTCAGCCTCCCGAGTAGCTGAGACTACAGGTGCCTGCAACCACGGCCGGCTAATTTTTTTGTATTTTTAGCAGAGACGGGGTTTCACCGTGTTAGCCAGGATGGTCCCTATCTCTTGACCTCGTGATCCTCCCGCCTCGGCCTCCCAAAGTGCTGGGATTACAGGAGTGAGCCACTGCGCCTGGCAACCCAATCTCTCTTTAAAAAAAAAAAAAAGAAGAAGAAAAGGAAATAAAGTATTAGTCAGTCATGGTGGTACACACCTGTAATCCCAGATATTCAGAAGCCTAAGGTGAGAGGATCTGTTGAGCCCAGAAGTTCAAAGTTGCAGTGAGCTATGTTGAACCACTGCACTTCAGCCTGGGTGACAGAGCGAAATTCTATCTTTAAAAAATAAGCTGTAGTTCCTGCCATCAAAGAACATTAATTCAACATCTACTTTAGGTATTTTCAAACACTAAGGATACAATTAAACAAGGTCTAGAAGAAGACTCAGTAATATGAATGGGAAATTAAACAATGAGCGAGATGCCATAATAAGGGAGTACAGTCTCATGGAGTCTTATGGGAGTCCATCAAAGAAACATCAAACCAGGACTTAAGGTAGCAAGTAGAGATGGTGGTCAAGGAAGAATGCCAAAAAGAAATTATACATAAATATATGAGACCTACAGGGTACAGCCATGGAAAGGAGTAGAAATAAAGTCCCTGTTTTAGACAAACACAGCATCATATGGAAAATTCTGGATGATGGAAAAGCATGTCAGTCAAATAAATGACAAGAGGGATGGAGAAGATGGTAGAATAGAAAGCCACGCCCAACCATGTCTCCCACGGGAACATCAAATTCAACAACTAAAACAAAATCCCCTTAATGAAAACAAACAAACAAAAAATCAGGTGAGCACTCACAGTACCTGGTTTTAACTTCATATCACTGAAAGAGGCACTAAAGAGGGTAGGAAAGACAGTCTTAAACTGCCAATGCCACTCCTCCCCTATTCCCCTGCAGGTCATGTGGTGTGGGGAAATCTGTCAACTTGGGAGAGGGAAAGCATAGCAATTGTGAGACTTTGCATTGAATTCAGTGCTGCCTTTTCACAGTGGAAAGCAAAACCAGGCTGAACTCAGCAAATGCCCACCCATGGAGGGAGCATTCAGACCAGCACAAGCCAGAGGGGAGTTGCCCATCCCAGAGGTCAGAACTTGAGTTCCAGCAAGCCTTGCCACCATGAGCTGATGTACGTTGGGGCCCTAAATAAACTTGAAATGCAGTTTAGGCCATAAGGACTGCAAGTTCTATTGCTGAGCTGGGCTCTAAGCCAGTGGAAGTGAGAGGCACACAACTTACTGAAACACCAGCTGGGGCAGCTAAGAAAGTGCTTGCACCACCCCTCTCCCCATGCCAAACAACACAGCTCATGGCTCCAAAAGACACCCCTTCATTACACTTGAGGTGAATAGAAGGAAGAGTCAGAGGATCTTTGTGTATCATCTTAGATACCAGCTCAGCTGCAGTAGAATAGGGCACCAGTCACAGTCATGTGGCCCCTCTTCCAGGCTGTGTTACCCAGATGACATTTCTAGACACACTCCAAGCCACAAGGAAACCTGCTGCCTTGAGTGAAGGGCACAGTTATGGAAGGATCCATCACCTGCAGACTAAAAAGCCCTTAGGCCTTGAATAACCAACAGTGATAATTAGGTGGTATGCTGTAGGCTTTGGCTGAGACTCTGAGACTTTCTGGGTTCCAGTGAGACTCACCAAATTCCCAGCAGCAGTGGCTACAAGGAGAATCTCCTTCTGCTTGAGAAAAGTGGAGAGAAAATTATAGAGGTCTTTTTTTTGTAACTCAGGTACTAATTAGGCCACAGCAGAGTATAACACCAAGCAGAATCTTGGTGTCCCTGATTCCAGGCCTTGGGTCTTGGATGACATTTCTGAAACTTTGTTGGGCCAAAGAGGAGTGCACTACATTGAAGGGTGCCTCTTAGGCTGACTGTAGAGCCTATGGGCTTTAAGGGAACATAAAGGGTAGGCTGGCAGTACTCCCTGTGAGGCTGTGGAGATCCTGGCCATGGGGTGAGGTTCCTCTGCCTGTGGTTAGGGGAGGGAAGAGTGGGAAGGACTGATTCTCATAGTTTATGTGCCAACTCAGCCAGAGAACAATAGAAAACCAGGTAGACTTACAAGGTTTTTTGACTCCAGTTTCTGGCTTCTAGACAGTATCTTTGGACTGTCCCAGAACTCACTGCTCTGGAAGGAAAGAAACAAGCCTAGCTGACTTTGCCACCTGCTGATTTTAGAGCCCCAGGGCCTTGAACAAATATAAACAGTAGCCAGGGAGTGGTTACAGTGGGCCTTGGACAAGATTCAGTGCTGTGCTGGCTTCAGGTCTGACTCAACACAGTCCCAGTGGTGGTGGCCACAGGGGTGCTTGTATCACTCCATCCCCATGTCCAGGGAGCTCAGAACAGATAGATAGGCACCATTTGCTTGGGAGAAAGTAAGGGAAGCGATCAAGAGTCTCTACCTGATAATCCAGATAATTCTTCAAGATCTTATCCAAGATGACGAAGGCAATAACTCTTAAGAGTTTGCCAGAACCTCAGTGTAACTATGCTTGGAGGCTTGGAGTGTCTTCTAATGTAGATATAGCTTAGATTACAACACCTAAGTCCTTTTGAATACCTGGAAAACCTTCCCAAGAAGGACAGGTACAAACAACCCCAGGCTACAAAGACTACAATAAATACCTAACTCTTCAAAGCCCAGACACAGACGAATATCCACAAGCATTAAGAGCATCCAGGAAAACAAGACATCAGCAAATGAACTAAATGAGGCATGAGGGTCAATCCTGGAGAAACAGAGTTATGTGACATTTCAGACAGAATACTAAAATTAGCTTTTTTGAAGAAACTTGAAGAAATTTGAGATAACACACAAAATGAATTCAGAAATCTATTAGTTAAGTTTTATAAAGAGATTGAAATAGTTAAAAGGAATTAAGCAGAAATCCTAGAGTTGAAAAATGCACTTGACTTAATGAAGAATTCATCAAAGTCTTAATAGCAGAATTGATAAAATAGAAGAAAGAATTAGTGAGCTTGAAGACAGGCTATTTTAAAATACATAGTCAGAGAAGACAAAAGAAGAAGAAGAAAAAAAGAATGAAGCATGCCTACGGGATATAGAAAATATCCCAAATAGGCAAATCTCAAAGTTATTGGCCTGAAAGAGGAGGTAGTAGAAAAAAAGAGATAGGAGTAGAACGCTTACTCAAAGGGCCCAGGCCTGTAATCTGTAATCCCAGAACTTTGGAGGGCCAAGGAAGGCAAATCACTTGGTACCAGAAGTTTGAGACCAGCCTGGCCAAGGTAGCAAAACCCCATCTCTACTAAAAATCCAAAAATTTAGCCTGGCATGGTGGTGCATGCCTGTAATCCCAACTACTTAAAGGACTAAGGCAGGAGAATCACTTCAGCCTGGGAGGCAGAGGTTGCAGTAAGCCAAGACTGTGCCACTGCACTGGGTGACAGAGTAAGACTCTGCCTCAAAAAAAAAAAAAAAAAAAAAAAAAAAGAAAAACAAAAGAAAAGAAAAAGAAGGAAAGAAAGAAAGAAAGGTCTAATCAAAGAGATAATAACAAAGAACTTTTCAAACATAGAGAAAGGTATCAATATCCAAGTACAAGAAGGTTGTATAACACTAAGCAGATTAAATCCAAAGAAAACTATCTCAAGGCATTCCATAATTGAATTTACACAGGTCAAGGATAAAAAAGGATCCTGAAAGCAAGAGAAAAGAAACAAGTGACATACAACTGAGTTTCAATACATCTAGCAGCAGACATTTCAGTGGACATCTTACAGCCCAGGAAAAGAGGAAGGACATATTTAAAGCACAGAAGGAAGGAAAAAAAAAAGTATATCCAGTGGGACTATTGTTCAAACATGAAAGAGATATATTTTCCCAGGCAATCAAAAGCTGAGGGATTTCATCAACACCAGGCTGTCCTACAAAAAATGCTAAAGAGAGCATTTCAAACAAAGAAAATGATGATAATGAGCAATAAGACATCATCCTAAGGTACAAAACTCACTGACAATAATAAGTACACAGAATATTATAGCACTCTAACTGGTGTGTAAAGTACTCTTCTTATCTTAAGTAGAAAAGCTACAACCAATAGGCTGGGAGCAGTGGCTCACGCCTGTAATCCCAGCACTTTGGGAGGCCGAGGTGGGCGGATCACGAGGTCAGGAGATCGAGACCATCATGGCTAACATGGTGAAACCTCGTCTCCACAAAAAAATACAAAAAAAATTAGTCAGGCATGGTGGCAGGTGCCTGTAGCCCCAGCTACTCAGGAGGCTGAGGCAGGAGAATGGCGTGAACCTGGGAGGCAGAGCTTACAGTGAGCCGAGATCATGTCACTGCACTCCAGCCTGGGTGACAGAGTGAGACTCCATCTCAAAAAATAAAAAAAGAAAAAAAAAAAAGGAAAACTAGAACCTATAAAAAAACTTTTCATGATATAGAAGGTACAATAAGATATAAATAAGAATGACAAAAAGTTAAAAAGTAAGGTGATGAAGTTAAACTGTAGAGTTTTTGTTAGTTTTCTTATTGCTTGTTAGTTTTTCTGTTTATAGAGTGTTAAGTTGTGGTCTGCTTAAAATAATGGGTTATAATATACTATTTGCAAGCCACATGGTAACCTCAAACCAAAAAACATAAAACAGATACACAAAAAATTAAAAGCAAGAAATTAAAGCATACTGCCAAAGGAAATCACCTTCACTAAAAGGAAAAAAGAAAGGAAGAAATGAAGGAGGAGATGACCACAAAACAATCAGAAAACAAATAACAGAATGGCAGGATTAAGTCCTTAGTTATAAATAAACATTAGAGTAAATAAACTAAACTCTCCAATCAAAAGACAATGTTGCTGAAAGGATTACAAAACCAAGACCCAATGATCTGTTTCCTACAAGAAACATACTTCTCATATAAAAACACACAGAGACTAAATAAAGGAATGGAAAAATATATCCCAAGCCAATGGAAACAGAAAAAGAGCAGGAGTCACTACAAGTATATCAGACAAAATAGATTTCAAGATTAAAACTATAAGAAGAGACAAAGAAAGTCATTATTAATGAAAAAGGGTCAATTCAGCAAGATAATATAATGATTGCAAATATATATGAGCCTAACACTGGACTACCCAATTATAAAAAACAAATACTATTACAGCTGAAAAGAGAGATAGGCAACCATACAATAATAGCTGGAAACATCAACACCCCACTTTCAGCATTAGGCAGTTCTTTCAGTTGGAGAATCAGAACAGAAACTTTGGACTCACTCTACACTATAGATCAAATGGATCTAATACATATTTACAGAATATTTCTTCTAACACCTGCAGAATACACATTCTTCTCTTCAGTACATAGATCATTCTCAAGTATAGACTTTGTGTTTGGTCACAACATAAGTCTTAAAACATTCAAAAATAGTTGTCAAAAATCTTCTCTGACTACAACAGACTAGAACTACAAATCAATAGCAAGAGGAATTGTGGTAAGTACACAAACATATGGAAATTAAGTATGCTACTGATGACCCATGGTACAATGAAGAAGCTAAGAAGAAAATTCAAAATTTTTAGAAACAAGTGATAATGGAAACAAAACATATGAAAACTTATGAGATACAGTGAAAGCAGTAGTAAGTGGGAAGTTTATAGTTACAAGCACCCACATCAAAAAAGAAGAAATAACTTCAACAACCTAATGATACATATTCAAGAATTAGAATAGCAAGAGCAAACCAAACCCAAAATTAGTAGATGACAAAACGTAACAAAGACCAGAGAACAAACAAAAGAAATTGAAACTAAAAAAATACAAAAGATAAATGAAATAAGATTTTTTTAAAAGGTAAATGAAATGGACAAACTTTTATTCAGACTAACTATGAAAAGGGAGAGGATACAAATAAATAAAATCAGAAATGAAAAGGAGACATTACAACGGATACCACAGAAATCAAAAGAAGCATTAGTGACTAGTATAAGCAAATATATGGCAATACTTTGGAAAATCTGGAAGAAATTGACAAATTCCTAGAACATACAATCTACCAAGATTGAACGAGAAAGAAATCCAAAACCAGAACAGTCTGATAGCAAGTAATGAGATTAAAGTCTTAATACACAGTCTCCCAGTAAAGAAAAAAAAAAGGACCCAATGGCTTCACTGCTGAATTCTACCAAACATTTAAAAAAGAATGACTACTAATCCTACTCAAACTGCTACCAAAAATAGAGGATGATAAAATACTTCTAAACTCATTCTACAAGACCAGTATTATTACCCTGATACCAAAACCAGACAAAGAAGAAAGAAAAGAAAAGAAAAGAAAGAGAGAGGAAGGAACGAAGAAAGGAAGGAAGGGAGGGTGGGAGGGAGGGAAGGAGGGAGGGAGAAAGGAAGGAAGGAAGGAAGGGAGGGAAGGGAAAGGAAGGAAAGGGAAGGGAAAGGAAGGAAAGGGAAGGGAAAGGAAGGAAAGGGAAGGAAAGGAGGGAGGAAGGAGGGAAGGGAGGGAAAGGAAGGGAAGGAAAGGAGGGAGGAAGGAGGGGAGGGAAGGAAAGAAGGAAAGAAAAAAAAGAAGAAAGAAAGAAAGAAAAGAAGAAAGGAAGGAAGAAAGAAAGAGAAAATTAAATTATTAAATTACAGGCCAAAATAATATGATGAACATTGATGCAAAAAATCCTACACAAAATCCTAGAGAACTGAATTCAACTCTACATTAGAAATATCTTTAACCATCACAAAGTGAGATTTACACCTGGGATGCAAGGACGGTTCACTATATGCAAATCAATCTATGTGATACGTTATAGTAAAAGAATGAAGGACAAAGACCAAATGATCAGTTTAATTGATGCTGAAAGAGCATTTGATAAAATGCACCATCCCTTCATACATAAAAACCCTCCAAAAACTGGGTATGGAAAAAATATGCCTCAACACAAAAAAAGTCCATATGACTGACCTACAGAGTGTCATACCGAATAGGAAAAAAACTGAAAGATTTTCCTCTAGGATAATAACAAAAGACGCCCACTTTTACCATTGTTTTTCAACCTAGTACTGGATGTATGAGTTAGAGGAATCAAACAAAAGAAAGAAATAAAGGGCATCCAAATTGGAAAGGAAGACATAAAATCACCCTTGTTTGCAGATGATATTATCTTATATTTGGAAATACCTAGAGAATACACAAAATAACAGTTAGAACCGATAAACAAATTCAGTAATATTGCAAGATACAAAATCAGCATAAAAAGATTAGCATTTCTATATGCCAAGAGGGAACAATCTGAAAAAGAATTCAAGAAAGTAACTTCATTTATAATAGCTACAAGTAAAATAAAATACCTAGGAATTAACTTAACAAAAGAAGTGAAAAATCACTACAATAAAAACCATAAAACATTGATACAAGAAATTAAATAGGAAAAAAGAAAGATATTTCATGTTCCTGGATTAGAAGAATCAATCAAACTATGAAACTACTAAAAGAAAACTTTGAGGATATTCTTCAGAACATTGGAGTGGGCAAATATTTCTTTAGTAATATCCCACAAGCATAGGCAACCAAAGCAAAGATAAACAAATGGGATCACATCAAGTTAAGAAGCTTCTGCATAGCAAAGGATATAATCAACAAAGTGAGGAGACAACATACAGAATGGGAGAAAATATTTGCCCATTACCCATCTGACAAGGGATTAATAACCAGAATACATAAGGTACTCAAACAACTCTATAGAGGAAAAAATCTAATAATTTGATTTAAAAATGGGCAAAAAAAACTGACTAGACATTCTTCAAAAGAAGACATACAAATGGCAAACAGGTGCATAAAAGGGTGCTTAGCATCATTAATCATTAGAGAAATGAAAATCAAATCTACAGTGAGATATCATCTCACTCCAAATCAAAACTACAATGAGATATCATCTCACTCCATTAAAGTGGCTTTTATCCAAACGACAGGGGATAACAAATGCTGCGGAGGATGTGAAGAGAGGGGAACCCTTGCACACTGTCAAGGGGAGTGTAAATTAGTAAAGTCACTATGGAGAACAATTTAGAGGTTCCTCAAAAAACTGAAAATACAGCTCCATGTGATCCAGCGATCCCACTCCTACATATATACTCTCAAAAAAGGATAATCAGACCATTGAACAGATATCTGCACTCCTCTGTTTACTGCAGCGCTACTCACAATAACTAAGTGGAAGCAACCTCACTGTCCATTAACAGATGATTGGATAAAGAAAATGTGGTACATATAGACAGTGGAGTACTATTTAACCATAAAAAGAATGACATCCTGTCATTTGCAACAACATGGATTAAACTGGAGATTATTGTGTTAAATAAAATAAGCAAGGCACAATCACAGGAAGACAAACTTTTCGTGTTCTCCCTTATTTTAGGAGCTATAAACTAAAACAATTGCACTCATGTAGATACAGAGTAGAAGGATGATTACCAGAGGGTGGGAAGAAAAGTGGGAGTGTGGGTGTGAAATGGGGATGGTTAATGGGTACAAAACATAGTTGAGAAAAAATGAATAATACCTAGTATTTGCTAGCACAGCAGGGCAACTGTAGTCATAAATAATTTAATGTTACATTTTAAAATAACTAAAAGAGGATAATTTGATTGTTTGTAACACAAAGGATAAATGATCGAGGTGATGTATACCTCATTTACGCTGATGTGGCTATAACACATTGCATGCCTATATTAAAATATTTCATGTAATTTATAAATATATACATCTACTATGTATCCTCAGAATTTTTTTTTAAATAAACATCTTGTGTCCAAGAGTGCTCCCAGTTTTAAAGTACTGTTGTGGGAGGAAGCTGGAGAAGTGATCTGCAACCCCACACTAAGGAGGTTGGCCTTTATCTGAGGGCAATCATGGGTCAAGCAGTGAAGTGACTTGATCAGACTAAGGACTCAGTAAAATTTTCTGGCTTTGGCGAAATATTCATGTTAGGTGATAAATTTATTAAAAATTCTCCCCAAAATTAAATATGTGAAAATAAATGTCCAAAATTTTTATATAAAGAATAGAAGGAGCATTGAACTGGGAATCTAAAGATACAGATCGAACCCCAATTCTGTCATTTACTAATTGTATGGCCTTGGCCAAATTATTTAATATCACTTCAGATATACATTTTTACATTTGTAATTTATAGATAACAGTATATACCCTTTACAAGGTGGTTTTAAATAAAAAATAAAGTCTTGAAAGTTTTATTTTTTATGTAGGTTTTATTTGTTATTTAAAACCAAAATCATCAAGAACTAATTTTGAAAATCATCAAGAAGAAAATATTGAATATTTTAAGAAATATAATTATGAATAAAATGCCAAAATGCCTACCAAGAAAGACAAGAGAAGCATTTTAAAACTCAAATGCTATAAATCTATAGGGAAGAAGAAAAATATTTTCATGTTTATGATATGGGTGAAAATTCTTTGAAATGAGCTAAATCTATATACGTGAAAATTATTTCGGTATTATAAAATGTATGTTAGAGCCCACCTATTACATAGACTCTACTGTCACTTTTTATTTGTTGATAATTTTGTGTAACTTACTCCTATTTGGAACTAGAGACCCCTCAATTACAGTTTATAATTAACTATTACTGCTACTTGTAGCTATAATGGCATTTATCTAACAAAATTAAAATTATAGTGAGATTAGAACTATTGGCTTATGGTCCAAATCAACATGACATCTTGACTCATTTTTCTTTAAAAATTGATTTAATATTATTTTTTCATAGGCACATTGTATGTCACTTTATATATTTTTAGAATAAGCAGATGATTAATAAAGTCATTAGGATCATTAACATGTATTGACTAACCAAATGGTAGGAACACTATACTTTAAGTCAGATGTAAACAGCTGTGTTTTCTAAAAATGAGTAAAATAAGATGCACATATTTCTTCAAAATTAAATAGCTAAAAAAATCCCATTAAAGACACATATACTGTATTAAAGATTCTTATTTATAAAACCTGGTTCTACATGCTGTGACAGTCACGATGTCATTACGGCATTGTCTCTGACCTTCACATACTCAGGATTTAGTGAAGGATTCTATCACACACATACACAAATCCCTCTCTCAAGAATGGAGGATTTTTTTTATAAGCATGAAAAGGGCAGAGAAATGTGAGAGAGTTTGAAAGATAGAATTTAAAGAATTTGAACCTTACTTGACAGAGAATGGAGAGTGAGGCAGAGAGTAAAAGTTCAAGATTTGAGAGCTTGCAGGATACAGTCAAATAAAGTATCATTAAATAATATTCAAAATTAGAGAATATGATTATATTTAAGGTAAAAGGTGGATTGGAAAATAAAGTGAGCCCTATTTAGATAAACTGTATTTGAAAAGGTTGGAGACAACTATGGTAAAATGTTTAACAGACTTTTAGAAATGCAGGTCTTGTGTTCCGGAATGAGAGAAGGAATAGAAGCATGGACTTTGGCATTAGCCACCCGAAGGTGATATTTGAAGTCTTGCGATTAAAAAAAAAAAAACTTGTAAATGGAGAGAAGCCTACATTCAAAAGGTGGGAAAATTAAAGTAGAGTGCAAACAGGAGTACCAAGGGAGTGCAGTGTCATAGAAACCAAGAGAAAAGAAAACTTCCAGAAGAATGAAGTAGCTTAGTACTGAAGGTAGATTTAAAATAAACTTAAAAGTAGCCATGAAATTTTAACAAAATGACTCTTTTTAAAGGGATAATTTTAGAGATTAAGCCCAAAACAAAACTAACGCATATACTGAAAGGAAAGTAAATAAATTTTGGAATGTGTGGAGCAAAACGGACAGAGGAATAAATCACCTTTTTCATTGTTAAAACCAGAGAAAAATTCACAAGTTTGGTAATAGTTTTAAGACTCAATTGGAGGAAGAAAAGAGAGAAGCAGTCTGGATGCGGTGGCTCATGCCTGTAATCCCAGCACTTAGGGAGGCCGAGGCGGGCGGATCACCTGAGGTCGGGAGTTCGAAACCAGCCTGACCAACATGGAGAAACCCCGTCTCTACTAAAAATACAAAAAAATTAGCCGGGCTTGGTGGCACATGCCTGTAATCCCAGCTACTAGGGAGGCTAAGCCAGGAGAATCGCTTGAACCTGGGAGGCGGAGGTGGCGGTGAGCCGAGATGGCGCCATTTTACTCCAGCCTCGGCAACAAGAGTGAAACTCCGTCTCAAAAAAAAAAAAAAGAAAAAGAAAAGGGAGAAGCTAGAGATTGACAGTGAGGCTATTCCAAGAATAAGAATAGCATGAGATTCAATTTTCATCCTATATTTTTGTATATGTACTTATAAACAGATCTATAAAATTACACTCTACTCTTAGTAAAAATAATGGCTACCCTTCTGAAGGATTATTGTCTTCAGGAAGCATCCAATAAATGTTAGGTATAATTTTGTTTTAGGCATGTTTTTGAAGGTGTTGCACGTATTGTCTTATTTAATCGTCACAAAAACCCTCTGGGAAAAGTACTAACGTCATCTCAAAATCATAGATGAAGAAACTTGAGGCTTAGAGATTTTAGTATGGTTCAACAATTTACAGTGCAGACTTTCAGGAATCAGAACTTAAGTTATTATATTACTGGCTAATTCTCTGCTGTCTTCCTGATATATTCTTTGATGAGTTTACTGAATTGCTTCTTCTTCTTCTTTTTCATGTTTAATTACATCCTAAAACTTTGGAACTAAAAAGCGTTGCTATTGCTCTACTCCAATCCTTGTTTTACAGATGAAAAAACCACGGCCTACTAGAATCTCTTTAACTTACCCAGGATCACCGACCTGAATGCAAAATACCAAGAATCATAGTTCTGCCACTCCTAATTTTCTTCTCTTTAACTTCTATTTTAACTTGTCATAAAATGGCTTCTGAAGTTTGAATTCTTACTTGGGGACTTAATGGTTTTGACAGAATGGGAGGTTAGTTTATATAACTAATAATGTAACATATGTAGATCATAATTTCCCCTAATATTTCATTTTGCAGTTTGCACTTACCCATCTTTCTTCTTACTGTCTGCATCTATTTTTCCAGTGTTTCTTGAGTTTGTGTATGTACATGTTTTACCTATATCAAAGTGGCATTACGAGCCTTAGACTGTAAATTTCCAGAATACAGGGGCTATATACAGAGTAATGAAATTTTGTTTAGCTCCAAATTTAGTCAATATTCAAGGCCTAACCTTGAATATTGAAAACAAATGACCTAGATTCTACATTGGGTTCTATTCCTGTTATCAACTGGACAACTTTAGACAATTCACTTAACCTTCCAATTGCCTTATCTCTAAAAGAAGAAAGATTAAATCATAACAATAATTATATAAAGAGACTAATATTTATCATATATACTTTTTATGGACTTTAAAATCAGAAAATAAGAAAATAAATACTAAAAATTTTGTGGAATGGAAAATGCATTTCAATTTAAAATGTGAAAATGGATGGATCAAAAAGAGTGATGGGAGGATTGAGGTGGGATGCAATGGAAGGCATTTAAATGTAGAGTTTTCTGCTCAAAAGACACATGAGCTATGAGTTAATTTTGTCTTCATCTCAAAGGCAAACAAAATCATAGACTCTTAGCAATCAAAGGGTCTTAAAGATTATTATATCAGCCTCCTTCTTTGATAATTCAAGGAGCTAAGACTTTGACAAATAAGATCACCAGTCACAAAATTAGAAGTAACACTGATATTCTGATTGTCAATATTGTTTTTTAAAGTACTACACTGTCTCACAGAGACAAGCAAATAACACAGTCACAGTGTGTATAAGGAAAACAGATAAGTGGTTGGTAGTTGTTTCCCATTCACTCATCAATTCAAATGACTGACATTCAAAATCTACTCCAGGCAATACACTAACAATGTCAGATAAAAGACACATCATCCAGTACTTATTGAAAATTGCTAATGATTGTAAAATCCCTGAATAGTACAGTGTACAGTAATGTAAATACTTGGTTAATCAAAGTTCCAATAACCCAAAACACTACATTCCACTTTGTGATTAATAGCTATCTACCTTCCTGGTGCCCCCTGCAACTTGAGAAATATGAAGATGCACTTTGCCAGAGTTGACAGCATCCTCTCATCTGACACCAAAACAAAGAAAAATGTGTTCCCCAGATGTATTAACAGCAACATCTGGTCCTATTAATGCAGGAAAAAAACATAATCCTCTGAAAAGCAAATGCATAATATATACTCCAAGGCTGGTACATATCTTGCATTTCAATGTGACACAAGTTTCAGCTTGCTTATGATTTGACTTTAGTCTCTGATTTAAAGGTTGCCAGCTGCAACAAGAGTATTTGGAGGTGCCAACCTGGGACCACAGATAAGTCATTCTAGTATGAATGTTTGCTCTTGCTGAACATCAGGATTCTACAAGTCAATACAACGTGAGGGAGAATGTCATTATGCTTAAAGATGTTCAATTATAGATTCAAATGCATCTGCTATTCATCACTTTTAATCATTGTCATTGTCTGATAAGAGCACCAAAAAAGGAAAGATAAGTTGATGCTAATGAATCTCAGTCTCCAAAAACATTCCATTTCTCAACCATTTTCAGAGGGGAAAAACTAGATCAAGTGGTATCTTGTGTACCTTCTAATAACACAAGCTTGCCGAGAAATAAATATTGCATAATGCTAAAAATAAAAAAAAAAAGCCTTTAAAATTTATTTTTAGTCAGGTGTAGTGGCTTGTACCTGTAATCCCAGCACTTTGGGAGTCCAACGTGGGAGAATTACTTGAGCCCAGGAGATTGAAAGCAACGTGGGCAACATAGTGAGACCCTATTTCTACCAAAAAAAAAAAAATATGCTTGGTGGAACAAGCCTGTAGTTCCAATTATTCAAGGAGCTGAGGTGAGAGAAGCACTTGAGCCTGGGAGGTGGAGGCTGAAGTGAGCCATGATTGCACCACTGCACTCCAGCCTTGGTGACAGAGCTGAGACCCTGCCTCAGAAAAATATATTTTTAAATTTTTTATTTCTTTGCAGATGGAATCTTGCTAGGGTAGAATAAAACTCCTTGGCTCAAGGGATCCTCCTGTCTCAGCCTCTGAGACTTAGAGGCACATCCCACTGCACGTGGGTATTTTAAATTTATTTATTTATTATTTATTTATTTATTATTTTTTGCTAAAGAAATTCACAAATCCTCAACCTGATCTTCCATAAGTTTTAGGGTAAAATACAACATAGGTATTGTAACTTTATTTTTTTTTTATAAAATAAAATTAGTGATTTGAGAAGCCTTTTAGAATTGCAATGCCCTATTAGTTATCAATTTTTATTTTGAGGAGCTGGTGAATGGACCAAGAATAATAAGGTAAATCAGCTAATTTCCATAAAAAAGTTCTCCCAGATAATTTCTATTAGCTTTATTGTGTGATTTATTTCCCCTTTTAGAATGCATTCCTCTGCATTGGAGAAGATTTAATAACCCAGCAAAAATTACCTTAATCATTTGTATAGGTTGCTGTCTTCTTTATATCTACCTGTGATTATGTTTCTACCAGAAATAAGGACTTTGGAGAAAAGAAGAAAGGAAAGTCACTGTATGTCTGATATGGAATATCTGAAACTGTAGCACATTATTCACCAATACTGTAGGAGCATATGATAAAACAAACAAAAAGACCCACTGAAACAAACAGTGGTAAATGAAATGGTAAATATTTCAGTTACCATTTAAATTAGGCTACATGCCATTGATTAAGACCATGTAGTTTGACTAAAACTTAATTGTCAAAACATGTTTAAATCAGCTTAATTACTTTTTGAGATAGTCTCAAAAAAAATGAAATAAGAAAATTCCTGAATTTTTGCCACATTAGTGTTTAAAGCATCAGTTCATGACTGTTATCCTAATGAGAGTAAATGAAGTCTAATTTAATGAGTTAAAGTCTATTTTTCTATCATATTTCTTTTTGCATAAATACTACTGTGAGCATAAAACTCTTCCAAGAATGTAATGACAAAGTAGACTATTTTATCATTTTTACCTCTGCTGACAGAGGATAAAGAATTATGTCCCTCTACCCCCAAGAAATTTGAAGAACTTCATCTATGACCAAATACTTCGGACTAAGGCCTAACTTGAAGGACAATATCTCTGATTACTATGAAAGCACATTCATGTTCCAACAATACGTATACCCGGCCCTTCACACACACAGGCACACATACACATATACATACAACATACTAAAAGCTTATACAATAGTAAGAGGATGATAATTATGAAAGATAGGTTTCTTTTTTTTTTTTTGAAACAGTCTCTCTCTGTCACCCAGACTAGAGTGCAGTGGCGCGATCTTGGCTCACTGCAACCACCACCTTCCGGGTTCAAGCAATTCTCTGCTTCAGCTTGCCAAGTAGCTGGGATTACAGGCGCCCACCACCAGGCCTGGCTAATTTTTGTATTTTTGGTAGAGACGGGGTTTCACTATATTGGCCAGGCTGGTCTTGAACTCCTGATCTCATGATCCACCCACCTCAGCCTCCCAAATTGCTGGGATTACAGACGTGAGCCACCACTCCAGTCCTCATTTTTTTAATGACCAATTTTTCCAATAGCTGTTACAGATTCTGAAAAACCTGATCTATAAACATATCTGTAAAATGGAGTGCTGCATGAGTCTAACAAAACATTGAATTGCAGTTAAGATCGTCACTTTGGCATACAAAGGACAAGTAAGATAATATCACTAAATGGACTTGCTTGAAGCTGAAATGACCAAGGAACAGAAGGCAAAAGAACTTAATACCACACAGCATATGAAAGAATTGTGAACCGTTTGAGTCTATTTCACTTATTAATGTTAAATTTAAAGAAAGATCTAATAATATAGTTGTTCTGTAATATAAAAAATGGTTGCTGATTATCACACAAATATAATATTTAGGCATTGTGCTAATCTTTCCCGTGTTATAGATGTGGAAAACAGAATAAAATACATACAATAATTTGGTCATGTTAAAGACATTAAATACCACGAATGGGATTCAGAAAACTGTGTAAAGTGTAAATCCCTACCACAACTCACTTGCCTTCACTATGGATCCTGTTTGAGTATAATACATAAAATAACTTTTCTAGATATTTCACAGATCATTGTTTTTCACATTGAGGTAGTGTTCACACTGACAGTAATTTATTATTTTATTCAAAATGTTGTCCCTGTACTATTTAACACGAGGTGTAAAGCCAAAAATCATGGGACTTGTCCATATAGAACATTTCTTGTTTGATTGGCTTTTGTTTTTTCACGAAACAAATAGTTGTCAATAGAATAATTGAATAGATATACAAATGGTGTAACCAGCATAAAGGAAAAGAGTAGGTTAACTGGAGAGTGAATAACAGGAAAACTTTAATTCAGATTGAGAACCCAGGGAAAGTCACATTTTAACAAAGTGGCATTTAATAAATTGTCCAATGAAAAGCAGGGAATGAGACAAGGGAACAGTGAATAAAAGGAGGCTAGAGAGAGGAAAAAGTGGCTGTGAAATCTGAGTTTGAAAAAAAAATGGCCTATTCAACAAAATAAACACATTTAAAAGAAGAAGAAACAGAACCAGACATTAGATCATACTGATGGGAAGAGTTTATCAAGTAATGAGGTTGAATGTATTGGGGGAGAGAAACAAGAGTAATTATGACTGCAGGTGAGAAACTTAAATATAGCAACCATTCATAAGGAAGATGGTGGAAGAGAGGACAGGAAGGATGAAATAAGAGACACACAGGTTTTTTGGTATTCGAGCCACATTGACAAGAGAAGACCATCAGATTAATTTTGGTTAGCAGTCACACTCTTTCACAATGGGCATTTAAAAATTCAAAGGCTATTGTCATACTAAGGACCCTTAAATCAAGCATGTGCTGTCAATAAGCACTTTCAGTAGAAATTGATTTTAAACAAGACAAAGTGCATTGGCTAGAACTATTTTAATGGAGGATATAATCAAAATGTTTAGTGTTTAGTTGCATATGTTGACTTACTCTTTTCTAATGCTCATGAATGTAGTTATACAGAGAGAAAGTGAATCAAATAATATGATTAAAAATATCTCAAAATGCCAGGCAGGGTGTCTGACACCTGTAATGCCAGCACTTTGGGAGGGTGAGACAGGAGGATCACTTGAGTCCAGGAGTTCGAGACCAGCCTGGGCAAAATAGGGAAACCCTGTCTCTAAAAAAAATTTAAAAAAAATTAGCTGGGCATAGTGGTGTGCTCCTATATTCCCAGCTACTTGGATGGCTGAGGTGGAAGGTTTGCTTGAGTCTGGGAGGTCAAGGCTACAGTGAGCCATGATCACGCTACTGCACTCCAACCTGGGTGACCGAGTAAGACCCTGTTTCAAACATATATATATATATGACAAAGTGTTCATTCAGGAAATAATATGGTCCTAATATAACATGTGGATAACAAGTGCATTTTGGGTAATAATTATTATTTATATCATTTACAGTCTAACTAAAGGTAGATTCAGATATGTAAAGGCAAACAGAGAAAATACAATATATCATATTTAAAACCTCTACAATGTATTCAAAATGTATCGGCCAAAAGAAAAGACACTACTATTTGGTGTACCTAAAAATAAATACTGCACTCAGTAAAAAAGATATTGTGTTAAGTAGAAATCAGAAATAACTATGCAGGAAACAATGCATGCTTTTGGTAGATAAAGTAAAGTAAGTGTAAAAATTTAACAAAATTAAACAATGAGCATCTTAATCTCTGGAAGGTGATGTAATGACTGAGACCTTTATTTTGTGTTTATATGAATTCAGAAAGCTCTATTTTGAGGAAACTATCATCTAACTGAAAAATGCCTATTTTAGCATAGATTAATTACATAGGAATGTCAAGTAAAACCCATGCAAGTTTCTTTGTGAAAACCAAATATATCTCAGCTGTAAGTCATCACAAGCATTCTGATGTTCCGCAATCAATCTCAGGAGAAGATTTTTGAAATAATGTTTTTCTTTCAAATGCTAAAAAATCTAATTAAATGGATGTAAATTTTTATGTTTATTTATTATAATCTCTTACAACATGGCACGTACTTTTTTAGATTTGTATTTGTGAGTCCTAATTTGTCAAAACATGACTTCTTTAGTTTTACGGCCTTTAGCAATTTCACTTATAACACATTCATAGTCTGATTCTCCTTGAGCCCTCATGAATCTTGATTTTACAGCATAAGCACAAATGCAATAGAACATGGTTCTCATTTAAATTACGTGAAATTGATATTGTGCTGCATTCAGATGTCATAAGAAAGAATGTATCTGGTCATGGCAGGGCTGTCAGAGACAATGGAGACTGAAGCCCTTAAGAAAGAATGCTCTGTACTTTACCTTCGCATGAACTTCAGAATCCTTTCCAGAGAGAATTCTGATACTGTCACGGTACTTCTAACACTGGATTTTATTACAAGCCATAATGCAGCCTTCATAATGTAAATTCACCTACCCTATTGAAAGTACAGATGTTTTTAAATAATCTATTCTTGCTAGAGATCAAGAGTTTATTTTACATGAGAGTGGCATTAAACTACTTTCTTCTGGGTCTTAGAAAACCATTTGCTTCCTACTTATTCCCTGATGACATTAATATATCTATCATTTCACAAGATAGAGAATCAAACTGTGTAAATGTGAACAGTTTTCCAGAGATTAACAATTTGTATAGTTAATTCAGGGGTGGGGGGAAGCCTGTCAAAATCGTCCTTTGAAGTCATTCAAAATGCTGCAAAAGAGTTGGATTCTATATTGCTGTTTCGCTTCTGTTCTCAGAAAGTGATAATTAGTTAGAAATACTGTTCATTTAGAAGAACAGGATTTGGGATTTCTAAGACTAAGGCCAAAAATTTACTCTGAAGTGTCTTCTAGTAATTTCTTCTTTAAGTCCATCCTCAATCCTATTATATCTAGTTCTTAATATGTTAACCATATTACTTTACTGATGGTTAACCCATCAATAAAGTAATATGGTTAACATATTAAAAAATTGGATGTATTTTCAGTTCTGGTTATAAGCAGAGTAACCCATCCAAAACTGCTTACAATGTGGTAAAAAAAAAAAAAGTAGGAATCACTAGAATCTAAATAAGCTTTACTATCAGGATTAAAATATAACTGAAATATCAACTATATTGTTATACAATAACAATATAAGTGCCGATGTCTGTACAATATATTTATAACTGAAGAGTATTTATTTGTCAGGTACAAAATAGTGCTCTGTGAAATACCAAATAAATTGTTTTATGGACATTATTCCTAGTAAGGACAACTGAGCTATAGGGATTTAAATTTTAAACAAGTGTCTGAATCCTAGTTATGGTACTTAATATCTAGATAAGTAACAATGATCAAGTTATTTAATACACTTCATTCCAAATCTCTCATTTATAAAACAGGGAAAATAGAGAATCAATAAAAAGGAACTAACACAGTGCCCAAAATAAAATGTGTATTTAATATTTGATAGCTACAAATACTGTATTACAACAAAATTATACCATTACAACTTTCTCTGTTTCTAGGAAAGTGAAATAGGCTTATGAGGTTTATCTAACACTGCTCAAGGAAGGCGGACCTGACTATCTTCCACGTATGAGAATTACTGTACTAGAAGGGCATATTCTCTAGCACAGTAGGGAAATTCTTCCAGCTCCATGGCATGGAAGAACTATCTCTCGAAACATGTAGTTCTCAAAATGCATGTTAGAATCACCTGAGGATCTTTTTGGTCAAGCTTCACATGCTTCTTAGTGTATATTATTTTAAAAAACTATATTTAGATTTGGGTGAGAATGAAGCACACATATTATCTCTCCAGGTGAATCTGAAGTTTGATCCATCCCCAAATCAATTCCATTTGCTACCCTCAGCTCACAGCGTCTGTATCCCTTTACTCTAGTGCTGTGTTTGGACAGATTCTGATTATGAATTCGTTTCTCTGTGATCTTGATAACATAAAGGGTTGTGGGAGACAGAAGAACATGAATATTCTGGGCAAATATATATCCCCTTCAATGAATTAATTAATTAATTGAAATCTGCTTTATAAGTCATTATCTTGTTCATTAATCAGCATGATTCAGTCTCCTCAGACCAAATCCATTCTGGCTATATCTGTAAACCCGGTTTCAACCTTGAAACACTGTGGACCAGATCTTGGCTAGTGATGATTGCACAGTGTTATCCCATATTATTAGGCTTTGTTCAAGTTGAAATCTCACTTGTTTGTTCTCCCTGATTTTTCTGCTATTTCTGCATGTAATAAAGTTAAGAATGGATTAGTTAGATGGGGGTTCCAAGTCATTTTCAAGATATGGTGATTTTCCAGTAAAGACAAAACAACTGAGCTTTAAAATTCATTTGACATAAGTGTTTAGGGTGGGTAACATTTTTTTTGAAGGGTGTATATGCCTATTTTGGCCTTAAGGTATTTAGATCTCAGACATAGTGAAGACCATAGAAGACTATTTATTTATGTATGCATTTACTCATTTAGTAGTTCATTGCAGTTTTACTATCAGTACTGAAATGTAGTTTTAACCCAAATATGAGTATTCTAAAGATTTTACTTTTAATCTAATTTTGCACAGTATTTTTTTAAAATAAGGGCACTTAAAAGTTACTAAAAGAGAAGAGAGTCCATTGTCAAATTTAGTCAAGATTCCATCAATCCATTTAACCAGCACACTAAAAGTGTTTTTCTACATTTCACATATAATTGGGCACATTAAATTTATGTTCAATATTTATGCCAATTTAGTCACAGTAATACAGAAAATGCTTTTAAAATCTATAATATTGCATAGTAGGTAGACTTCTCCAACACAGAATTTCTACAGATTGTATATTATGAATAAAGTTTTACAGAATCAGTTTGGTATTGAGTAGTAGTATACAAAAGCTGTCTTAACCTTGCTAACTTTGGAGAACAATGTATTTGAAATCAGTATCAAAGCAGAATTAATATCATTTTTATTTTTTATTCAGTCTATTAATCCCTTCATATATTTTATGAACATTTATAACATTGAGGATTTTAGTCATTTCCCTTACAGTTTTGAATGTAGTGTCAGGCACGGAAAATATCCAGCTCTCCCCTTATTCTGCAATTCTGAGCTGAGAGCTTATATTAGGTTTCTCATTTCTCTTTCACACCTTTTGTCAGTAGACGGCACTCACGTTAGGAGGGCAATATTTAAAAGTGGTACTGAGCATGAAATACTGGTGTCAATGTTCAACTCTGCTTTTATTACTGAGTAAACTTGAATATGTGATTATATCACTCCATGCTTCCATTTCCTCATCTGAAAAGAAAGCAGATTGTAACAAAGGACAATATTTTTGAGTACTTACCGTGTGCTAACATAGTGTTAAGCAATTCATGTAGGAATTGGTTTCCATTTAATTCACCCCAATTAATACGGGGGATGGGTAATATCTTTTTTTAAAGAAAAGGAAACAAGCGTTCTGAGATATTAATAAACTTATCAGAAATAGTACCACTAGATAGTAGCAATGTTGATTTCAAATAAATCTTCTTAAATTCTAAATTCATACAGTTCTACTAATAATATCTACCTCAGTGATATTATTAGTGATTATAAAAATTATTTTATAAAATATAAAGCAATATAAAAGTGGTAGAAATTATTGGCATTGATAGTACCCTTAACCCCTCAAGACTCATGTATGTGAACCAGATATTTATCAGCACTCAAATTTAAAGTAAGATAAAAATTCTCTACCCAAGATGTAGTGCCTTTAGAAGGGCTGGAAATCGATTTGAATTATTTCTAGCAATAAGTAGAAAATTTGGACAACATTTAAGTTAGGTAGAAAGATGTTATAAACGGTTAAGATTATGTATTTTAAATCATATAAAATTAAAGTACCTATGATATATATTTTTACTGTTTCTTATCCAAACATTAAGAGAACAGTTGTATGAATGGTGTATATACACTACATATGTATGCGTTTTAAAAAAGCAAGATACAAATTATAGATACTCTGTATCTACAACACAGACTACAGATACTCTGTATCTACAACACAGACTACAGATACTCTGTATCTACAACACAGACTATAGATACTCTGTATCTATAATACAGATTATAGATACTCCATAATACAAATTGGAGTATTATATACAATATATAAAATAAAAATTATAGATACAGATATAGATATCTATATCTATAATACAAATTGTAGATACTCTGTATCTATAATACAAATTATAGATACTCTATATGATAGGTTTTGTGAGATATATGTTTGTGCCTATTTCTTATGCATATATATGTTGATATGGTTTGGCTGTGTCCCCATCCAAATCTCATTTTGAATTGTAGTTCCCTTAATCCCCACGTGTCCTGGGAGGGACCCAGTGGGAGGTAACTGAATCATAGGGGCAGTTAACCCCATGCTGCTATTCTCGTGATACTGGTGATAGTGGGTGAGTTTTCAGCACATCTAATGATTTTATAAGGGCCTTTTACCCCTTTGATGGTTCCCATTCTTCTCTCTCCTGCCACCATGTGAAGAAGGATGTGTTTACTTCCCCTTCAGCCACGATTATAAGTTTCCTGAGGCTTCCCCAGCCATGAGGAATTGTGAGGCAATTAAACCTCTTTTCTTTATAATTTACCTAGTCTCGGGTATTTCTTCATAGCAGCATGGGAATGGACTAATATATATGTATATTACATATTTTATATAATTGATCTATCAGTCTATATATGTTATAAGCATGGGCAAGAAACGAGAAGAATCCACTCTAAATAGATGATTCTTCTTGGATATTGATATGTTAGGACATTTTCATTTCCTCTTTATGAGTATATCTCAGTCTCCTGTGCATTTCAAATCCAGCATAATTACTCATTAAATAGGAAAATACTCTAAATATTTTTAGTAAAAAGTTATCTAGTACAAAATTTTTTACCCTTATTATAAGCAGGATAACAGTTGGCACTCACTTAATGAAAATGAGCCTTTTTAATTTAACATAATAATGTAATTTACAGTAGCTTAAATAACAAGAATATACATTTCCTATTTTTGTTCATTTACTATTTAGCTTTTATATTGGTCTTATGTTAGAAATTTTGGTAAATATAGGATTTTGTTTTAATTCTAAAGAAAGGTAAAGAGATTGCTTCATTGATTACTAATCACGGCATTAGTTTAGTTAAATACGAAATGGTCTTTCAAAAACATTTTCTAAAATGATGGATTTAGATAACACATGATGTTATCAGAATACTCAGAAAAGATAAATAATTGCATTGCCAACCTCCAATAAGAGTTTGTAAATATGAAATTATGAGTGTACTAGATGGACAGAGACAGCAAACACTTCAAAAATATTTTACATACTGTAGACTGAAATAGAAGTTTGAGCATTATAGGGAACTTTGTAACTACTGACTACAATAGAATTTGGGGAATCAATCCTTTTGGTGTCAAATTATTTTCATACCTGATTTAAAGAATAGCATTCTGTGAATTCTTTTAAATTAATTTTGCTTATATTTTTTTGTGCTTTAATTTTATTTCTACCTGTGTTTTTATTTACATATGGTGTGATAATTGCTCTCACACCAAATTGTTTAACTGAAATTAATATAAACACTGAGAGGTGGGACATGCCATTATATTCCCTCCATTAAAGGAGGGGGCTGAGGAGGCTATTTACATTTTCTTTGTCATCCAGTGCTCTCAAGTAAACATTTCAGATATTCCATGTTTAGCCTGATTAAATCCTTCTAATTTTGACAGTTTGAAACAAATGCTTTTAATAAAATGCACATCTTCCAGGGTATGTGTTAATGATTATGGTTAGCTATTCAGACAAAGAGAAACAGGGAAGGTAACTGAGATTAATTTCCTAAGGAGGGATAAGAAAGTTTTCTTAGGAAATCCTAAATGTGAGCTCATAGTACCTCAACCTGAAAATTTAGTTTAAAATTATTAAAAGCCTGTGCAACATAGAGAAGGCCTGTCTTTACTAAAAAATACAAAAAATTAGCTGGACATGGTGGCATGCACCTGTAGTCCCAGCTACTGAGGAGGCTGAGGTAGGAAGATCACTTGAGCCTGGGAGGTGAAGGTTGCAGTGAGCTGAGATCACACCACTGTACTCCAGCCTGGGCAACAGAGCAAGACTTTGTCTCAAATATAAATAAATAGACAAGTAAGTGCATAAATAAATAAAATGATTAAAATATGGTAATGCTCCCATATGCCTTTTAAAAATAAATACAATTCTCTTTTCTTCTTCTTTTGGAAGGCTCTCATGTTTCATAACAGCTTCCAGAAATTTCCAGAGATAAAGCTCCAAGAAAAATAAGATCTCAGTGACTAAAACAAAGGAAACAAAAACAGCAAGCAAACAAAATACAGGCTCCCATGAATGACAGAAGAAAAAAACAAAAAAGGCTCAGATGCACAAAGGTTTCAGATGCTGAAGGGATCAAACATAATGTTAAAAATGTTTAAAGTAATAAGGAACTGAAATTATTAATAAAGGGCAAGGGACTAAACATTGGCAAGTACTATAGACAGAACATAAATGCATATAAAATCTTAGAAATTAGCAATATAGTATTTAGATACAAATTTAATTGATGTGTTTAATAGTGGAGTAGGCACAGCTGAAGAGAGACCTGAAAACATGATGGAAAGGAGTTATCAAAAATACAACACACAAATATCCAAAGAGGTTGAAAATATGAAAACACTGATTAGAGACCTAAATAGCAGAATTCTAATATCAAATATAGATCCAGTTGGGAATCCAGAAGGGAATGAGAAAGAAAATAAAAGAGACACATATTCAACAAGAAATGGATGAAAATTTTGTGTAAATGAATATGACATTCCACAAATTTAAGAAGTCTGTATGATCACCCCCTCAAAAGGTAAAGAGAAATACCTAGACAAAACAAATTTAAATATTTAGAAAACTGAAGACAAAAAGAAAATTCTAAAAGCAATTAGAAAGAAAAAAGATGGTTAATTTCAACAAACTTATAATTAAAGTAACTCCTGAATTTCTTAATATAAATCATAGAAGCCAGAATACAGTGGAATGACATCTTCAATGCACTAAGAGAAAATGAATGTCAACCTCAGATGTTATATGAAGACAAAATACCTTTCAACTATTAAGACAATATAAAGTTGTAAACAAACAACATTTAAAAACTAACAAAAATTAAGGGAATAAAATTCTAAAGGATAGATATGAAGGCATAAGGGAATTTACCCCAAATGAAAAGTCTGAACTACATCAAGGAATACAGTACTTTGCAATGAAAGTTTTAGATCTGACAATTAATCCAAGCTCCTATGTATCTTCCTTTTTTACAAATACTATTACCCTTTGGTAAGACTTAAAAACAAAGACAGAAAAAAAGTGATGGTTTAGAAACATCATGGATTTGTTTTTAGACCTGTTGTGCATTGGGTATCTTTGGAAGATTCATGTGTAAATGCCAGGTACACATTTGTATCCAGGGATCCAAAACTTATGGGAGATGTCTGGGCTGAAGATGAAATACATAATCAATGTGCATATTAATGTTTACTGGAATCATGGGTATGATTGAGATTACCCCAGGTTAGCATGTAAAATTAAAAGGAAGTAATCTAGGACTGAGCACGAGAAACTCCAACTCACAGGAATTTTTCCTGTGAGCTGAAAATTTGAATTCAGTTTTGTAAAGTGACTTTTACTTCTAACAGGATAAAATTTCTTTATAAATTCACAATACTTTTTGGGTTCACTTAACTTTTAATTTTCAAAAAGAGAAGTAACATTTTCTAGCAGTACTTGATGGCATTTTTTAAAGTTATCTGCTGGGGAAGCATGAAAGATAGTTTATACATTTTGAAGATTGCAGAGTTAAGTGGTAAAAATTGGATCATAATAGCCACCATGTTATTTGTTGATTTTTAAAATGCATTCAACCTATATTCACTAAAGCCTTTCTAGGTATTTGCTTTGGATCTTCATGAAGCTTACACAGCAGTGGGGGAGCCAGAAAATAAACAAATATGATACAATGTTATAAAGAAAATAGCCATAAGATGAAAGAGTGGAACAGTGTGCCATCTTAGATTCAGGTATTCTAAATCTCCAAAAAGGTAACAGTAAGCGGAGACATAAGTGAAAGCGAATAGGAAGTCTCACAGATATCCAAAAGGAAAGCATTTCATATAATCTTAGCATGCTCAGGAACATGGGGTACAATGATCAAGGTAGAGGGTGTAATTCTACCTTAGTAAAAGGAATTAAACTAAATATGAAGAAATAAGGCAATAGTATTATCCGTCTGGAGGGCATTGGTAATCAGGTAGAAAAAGAGATGTCACTGTTTTTTTTAAACCATAGATCAAGTTGAATTGTTGGTTATTAAATTGTCATAGGAGGTCTATTTAGGTGGATGAGCAGAGATATGAAGACACAAAAACAAAAAAACTCCTATTTATAATAAAGGATAATGGTTTCTGAAATCATAATTATATAGAGGTTTAGATCACATTATTGTATTTCTCTATCAAAATGTAAATCTAAATTTCTTCCCCTCAGTGTGATATTCAGCCAAACAATGCTCTAGATCCCATAAAACTCCTGGAATTAGATGTAAATATAGAGTATTACATTATCGGAAATCATTAGACAAATCAATGAACCTTAATTGTATTAATAAAATATGTTAAAGAATTAATCCATGGTTCATTTATTATTTCTTCGAGGAAATTTGCCATATCTACATTTCATAGTATTTTCCAAAATTAAGCATTGGCACCCCTGGAATTCCCAAACTACCGTATCAGGGAAGGAAGAGTAGTTCTTTGTCATTTATAGGTCACTTTGCAGCCTTGACCACCCAAGTTTAGTAGATGTCAACTACAGGATGGTCTAGCTGAAAATTCTACAACAGGATATCAGGTCTGTAAATTAGATGGACTTCAGAGAATTTATTTTTTTCTTTGTAAAAAGTGCCATGTTCTTGCCATTATTTTTAAACTTGAGCTCTTTAGCATCTCTTTCAAGGGTATGCCATCTATTTCTTATTACCCTGCCTTATTTACTCATACTTATCTTTCATTACTGTCTGTGCAGAAGTTCCATTCCTGACCCACTAAATGGTTGTTTTCCTATTAATTTGTTTTGAATATGTGTTCCTGACTTTTGTGTATGTCTTTGCTATACATGGGAATCAATCCTTCACCCCTACCCCACTATGCTGTCCTTCCAACTTTAAAATATCTATTTAAAACCTTCTGGTCAGTGCACTGCTTTTTAACAATTACTGAATTTTATCTCTCTTAGCGCTTAAATACATAGTTTCTTTTACAGGCATTTTGCAAATTTTATATCCCATATTTGAATATGTATTGCCTTGTATTTCTCACTGATGTGAAAATTTCAATTACTCTTAATATTCTTCATAAGACATAATACAATACTATTCACCAATCAAGAAATAGCAAAACATCAATCTTTTTTGGTTGATCACTGGATAGTAGCTTGTTTTTCTAACTAATCTATTCACATTTGGTAACGAGTAGATTTCTAAAATTTGATAGCATTTAGGTATATATTTTTCTAGTCTTCAGATAAGGAAAAGAAAAATGTATACAGTTTAATTTTTATCTGTGATACTGAAATATAGGCACACTAAAAATTTGCCATCATATAGTCTTAAAATGTGTAGCAATGCAGAGGCTAATCTGATTGAAAAACACTGCAGGGTGATAGGCCTTAACATGTGCAAATTGTCTAAGAGGATAAGTCCCTAGTTAGTTGGGATCTCAAAACATTCCTGGAAACAGGCATCATAAATAATGACATGCCTTCTTGATCTATCGATGAATACTTTCATTCTTTCCTTTGAATAGTAAATCATGTTGAAAAAACATCTAAGTTTAAACATGTTAGGGTATATTCTGAGATGACAATACATTGTCAGCACATTTACAGATGCTATTATTAGAGTAAGTGGATGATTGATGAAAAGAAGTACTGACCTAGAGTTACAATTTTTTTTATAAAGGTTATACCAAACCCCAGGCAACTGCATTCAGTATTCATAGAGTCACCGTGCTTAGTCGCTTTATCTGTTTACACAAATATAATAGCATTTGATAGATGGTGTGGATTTTTTTGCACAGTAGTATAACGAATAAGGGAAATCATAATTATCTTTTTAAATTATTAATGGCTGAATTTATGCTGTCACTACTTCCAACTACCTAACGGTATTGAAGTGATGTACGATCACCTGAAAAGCACTTTGCTATTCAAAAACAATATATTATGCCTTCCTAAAAATCTCACATCAAAGACTTATTAAGTATGGAGTATCATAGAAAGGTAAAAAGAATAAGCTGTACAGAGTTCAAATAAAATAAAACTTGTAAAACAAATGAGTAAATTAACTGCGTCCACTTATTGTAACTGGTTAAATTAGAAAGAATAACATGGAATTGAATGGGTATATAGTATAATTTATGTTCAAGACTGCATGTACAGTAGCATAATATATAAATATTCTAAACACAAATATAATTAAATCTACAAATAGGAACTATTGATGTGGTGCATAGAGACTTTGTGGTAGATTGATAATATTCCCTTGCAACTACTTAAGAGAGAAAATGAGGAACAGTAATTTTACTTGGGCTAGTAGCTGCTGATATTGCCTATTTTAATATTTAATTGTCATTGCTCTTGAATGGTATTGAGCTTATGATATTCTACTAAAAATACATTTTTCCCTTGACAGAAAAATTCTACCAAAATAAATACAGTATTATCTAACTAAAAAGAGAAAAAAACCATGTTCTTTAATGTTGAATGGTGTTTCTGTGTTAATAGTCATCTGTCTCATAATTTGTCTTCTCTTTTTTATATTTAATTCATTTGTTCTATGCATTAGAGTGTATACATGTGTGCATATGCATGTGCATGCATGAGCAAGAGGAGAGAGATGGACCCTAAGTGGCAAAGAAGTATATTTTACTTTCCATCTCACTGTCTTATATCTTACTAGTGAAAAGCTAGTTGTTTCCCATGTATCCCTTAATATTTGCCATAATACATTTGCAGAATCCTTTTAATCTGCCAAATGATTGAATGTATAGAAATTTAGTCTTTGCCCAGTAGGATATTGCAATAACATTCTTAAGGCTGCTGATATTAAATGCATGGTTTAAATAACTTTGTATCACAGTCATCTTGATCTGTATTTTAATTCATTACATGTTGCTTTGTGATTTGATTGCGCTTGTGAAATAACCTCTGGAATGTTGTGAGAGTGTTTGTAAATGGTTTATTTCCTTCTCTTTTATCTCTGAATACCTATTGCATCTGGGAGATTACCTACTAGCATGAGTAACATAGTATTTAAGCTTCAGGATGAAATCATTTGATGCAAGAAAAAAATTATTTAACAATATATTTAAAAACATTATACTAAATAAGAAAGAAAAAATCCTAAAAAAAGGAATTTAAAAATTCTTACTCTCTTTTATCTTTGGAGTTTATATTTACAAACTTCAAATTACCATGTGAAAACTAAAAAAATAAAGGCATATCTAGAACAGTGTTATGTATGCACACCACATATTTAACAAATGTTTATTAATGATAATAAATCCTAAATATATAAAAAGTCTTTAGTATTGAAAGAAAGATATTTTCTGCACTATGTATAAAACATTTTATTTTCTGTGCACTATAGATTTAAAAAAATAATTCTTTAGTATCAGTACCCTGAAATTTATCTTCTGAAGGCCTTCCCATACAGAGACAAATATTTATCGATTCTGTGATTTAAGCATAGGCCAATGTATTCAACGCTATTTCCCACTGGCTTTATTGAATTGTACAATGTATTATATCTTTCACATTATTACTACATATTACTTTTCCTAGAGGAATACATCAGCCTGTAGACTTTCAATTACTCCCCATTATCTATGAAATATCTCCACACGATATTTTTTATTCCTTCGAGAAAAGCTACCTAAAGTATAGCTCAATAATTACCCTCTAACTTTCGTAAACTTCCCTTTGTTACTGAGTTCCCTTTCTCTGTAGGTTGTTGCTTCCCAATGTTCCAGAATGTAGGGAGTCATAATTTTTTAATCAATTTATACACTTTTGCTTTCAACCAAACAGTAAGTTCCATCTAAATCAACAAAATTTCTGCTTGTAGAAACAAATGTTCTTGAAAGGAGAATAATATTCAGTGTTTTTGAAAACCCCATGTAATAATTTATCTCAATCCCCGTTTTCCTATTTTAATCAATTTTAATAAAAATCGAGAAAGAAGGGCCAGGCATGGTGGCTCATGCCTGTAATCCCATCACATTGGGAGGCTGAGGAGGGAATACCACTTGAGTCCAGGAGTTCAAGACCAGTCTGGGCAACACAGGGAACTTTGTCTGTACAAAAAATTCAAAAAATTAGCCTAGCATGGTGGAGCGTGCCTGTAGTCCCAGCCACTAGGTAACTGAGGTGGGAGGATGGCTTTAGTCCAGAAGGTCAAGGCTACAGTGAGCCATGATAATGCTACTACACTCTAAACTGGGTGAAAGAGTGTGACTCTGTCTAAAAAAAAAAAAAAATCAGGAAAAAAGAATATTTTATGACATGGTTATCCTTAGTAAATTCAAGAATATTCAGGAAAAAAACACAAGATATTGACATTGATATAATTTTAATAGGAAGTGAGTTTTAGAATTGTTAAAGAAAATTAGTAGATGAAAATATTAATGAAACTTATAGAGGCTAAAATTTTTAAAAATCTTACTTGGGTGGCGTAATTATCTGTTCATGCAGGTAATTGACATCATCCAGAAAAAAATTACAAAAGCAATAAAATGATATTTATAATATTAATGCAATTATGTAAAAATATTTAAGAAAAATACCACACACCTTTGAAATACATTTAAATACACAAATCACTAAATAGAATGCATACTGTTGTGCATTTTCCAAATAATTAGTATTGGATGATATTCCAGGGAGTCCTAGAGACTAAAATTAAAAATGATTGCTTGCTTCATGTTTGTAGAAGTTTCCCAATTACACATATGCCTACATCTTTGAATCAGTAAACATAACAATAGCACCCAGATAATTTTATTTTTACACACTTATCACACCTACAAATATTGCCAAACATGTTTCTTCAGTAAGAAGTAAAATAGATCCAAGGTCTTTTAGTATCAGTGTTGATTCATTTTAGTACTTTACCATTTTTTCATTCAGTAACTATTCACTGGGGCCCCATTATGTGTTGAAAGGAGGGGATGCACTGATTTCAGCATGCTCCTCACATGTGACTCTAATTCTACCACAACCACTACCTTTATTGCTGTTTCCAGGTAGATGCTTCCCCCTTTTCTAAGATAATTCAGCTTCTCTAAAATGCATGACTTCAGACACCTTGTCAACTATCTGTGCTCACTGCAGACATTCACTATTCTTCCTATTATGCTCTCTCTTCATGAAAACATTAGAATCTTGTTTTCTGGTTTTTTATCCATTATGATTCCTGCCTTATGGTGATTTTAATAGTCATTCTGATTCTCTAAGCACTCCGGTCTTTCAGTTCCTTGACTTCCACATCTCTGATGTCCTTATTCTTTGACTTTTTTCACCTGCCTACCCTATATCCATACCTTAGGCATTATCAATAATAGAACTTCATCCAGGGCTCAATTAAGTGCAATCCTCTCTCTGATAACCACTTCCTCTCTTTGTAACTAATTTCATTTAATATCACCCTGTTATAAAACTTGGACCCCAGGAGGGATGATCCCACTCACTCCCCTCATATTATCATTTACATCCTTAATTAGCTGTGATTTCATGGTGTTTGCATGATGATCACCATTTTGCATTCCATCTCACCACTCTTGGCTTTATTCTCCCTCTGCTGTACTGATATTTTAAGATTATTTGTAACATGGCAAGAGCTGACTACTACATTCACCAGGCTCTGTTGTTCAGCAGCCATAATTATTCTTCTGAGAAACAATTCAGATCATATTGCATCATTACCTAAAGCATACAGTGCATTTTAAGTACATTTGAAATAAAATACAAAATGTTGCAAATGAATAATGGAATCTACATAATCTGGCCCCTAGTTTCCCTTTGCCTACACTACCTGTGGCTTTCTGTCTTCCTCACCATGCTCCAGCTATACTGGTCTACTCATTGGCCTTTGAAAATATGATGCTGCCTCTTCCTTTCAGGGCTTTTGTTAGGTTGTTCTCTCTTCTTAGACCACTCTATTCTAGGTATTCACATACTCCCCTGTGATTTAGATTGCTGCTCAAATGTAACCTTCTTGAGAAGGTCTTCGCTAGACAATCTATTTTAAATTGCACTTGCTTTCCATTCTATTTTCTATCCTGATTTTTTTTGTATTGCACTTATCACTTCATGGCATTCTATTGCAATAACTATATCGTTAATGTATTGTTTCCATTACTCTAAAATGCAAGCTCTAAGAGGTCCTAGACTTTTTTGTTTGTTTGTTTTTTTGTTTTGTATTCACTGCTGCATTTCTAATGCCTGGTATTTAGTGTGTGTCCATATTATCCTCATGCTATTCATTTGTTGAATGAATAGCTTGGGAATAATATGAATAAAGAATGAAAAGGGAAAAATAGGAGTAAAAGATTTCCAAGTACTGCAAACAACACATACTTGCAATGGGAAGCATATTAGTAATTTGAGTAATGGACAGAACACCAGGTAGACAGGATAAGTGGTAAGCAGATGAGTAGTAAACAAAGGAAAAAGGCACAGGGAAAGGAGTCCTGAGAAAGTCCACACTAGTTAAGGACTGGATTATAATAATTATCAAAGCCCATACATGGCATTTTTCTATGAATTTTATCATAAATGCATCAAGAAGCCACTGAATGATTTTAAACACGAAAGTGATATGAACTCTATGGTGTTTTAAAAATAGTTATAAATAAATGAATAAAGTTATTTGTATAAAAACATAAATCATTTTACAAAGAAAGCTTAAAAAAATGGAAAAATCTCTGCAGTGATACTTGTGCTAAAACAGTCTAAAGAGACTATCTACACACATGTACCTGGGAAGTCAGTTGAAGGTCGCAAACCAGGATGACAACTCAAGACTATGAACAACAAAATGTCTTACTTCATTAAAAAATATGGAACATTTAATTTATTCTAAAAATCTGTTCCCATAGTACCATGTGTCTCTAGATTAATGACTGTATATATGTGAGTTTATTTAATGATTAAGATGGCGTGTTAATATCTCTTCAGAATGGAAGGGTTAATAATGTTGAAAAAGGGCAGAAAATATTATTTCCTATAAAAATATTAATATATTAGAAAATTACTTCTACCTTAGTATTTGTATCTGGTTGTAGTTCATTACTGTGTACTAACATCCTTGTTTTTCTTGCACAGTCTCAACACTAATTAAAGAATAATTCAACTTCTTTATTTTGTTTGAAATACTTGAAATACATGACCTCAACAAATTACATGAAAATGTTGACAGATGGCACTGATATTATTACATAAAACTTGCAGCAGCAGTAGCAGAGTTTAAATTCCCGTTCTCTAAAGAAAGTATCATTTGCTTTTCCCCATGTTGGTCTGCTTTAATATTTACATACCATGGGTAGGTGTGCTATTAGACTTAGACATATAGACATACTTCTATATACCACACACATAAAGACAATCATACATTCAGCTTATAAGTCAACTGCTGACTGAAACAATTCATTCCCATAATAAATTCCAGCATACTAGCCCTTTACGATATTTGTTGAACTATTTATCCTTAAAGTACATTTATTGGAATAGAGTGGATGAAATAGGCTTGAAAGGGTCTGGATTGAGACAGCCCCTGAAAGTCAAAGAAACCACTTGACCACAGACTCTGCTGCTTAAGCAAATTAACTTCTTATTATTATTCTTTTTTTTTTTTTTTTTTTTTTTTTGCACCACTTTGTTTTGGATTCTCAGTCTCTAGAATAGAGATAGTCCATTGCCTGAGTATTCCTTAGCAATAAGAACATGCATGTAGGGGGGAAATCTCTAAGGGCTCTAGGATTTTTGTAATAAGACAGTAGAAAATGTTGTTCAACAATCCAATCAAAAGTGAGCATAATTTGAAGGCTAGGAGCGTTGGCTCATGCCTGTAATCCCAGCACTTTTGAAGGCTGAGGCGAGTGGATCACTTGAGGGCAAGAGTTCAAGACCAGCCTCGTTTTAGTAGAAACCCAGTCTCTACTAAAAATACAAAAATTAGCCAGGCATGGTGGTGTACGCCTGTAATTCCAGCTACTTTGGAGGCTGAGACACGAGAGTTGCTTGAACCCAGGAAGCAGAGGTTGCAGTGAGCCGAGATCACGCCACTGCACTCCAGCCTGGGTGACAGAGTGAGACTCTCTCTCTCAAAAACAAAACAAAACAAAACAAAAAAACGGCCAAATTTGAATGTCCTAATACCTAAAAGAATACCAGTTTGCTATTAAGAAAGGTAGATTGAGTATTGCATATCCAAAACAATAGATGTTTACAATATACCTAATTTCTACTTTTTTTCATTTTTATTTTGAGAAAAAATAGTTTTCACATTGGTATATTCTTTTTTTATGCTTAGAAACTATTTGAATATTTGTACCTACTTTTAGTTAAAAACTCTTGGTCTATATACTTATTAAGGCTTAGTTCTAATTCTTAGTAATATGGATAAAAATATTTTTATAAGGTTATTGTAGTAATGAAAAGAAATTGTATTTGGATAAAATAATATTAGAATTAGGATGATCATTTGTATTGGTGAGAGTTTTTTTGACACTTCTCAATTTTTTTGTCAAGATTTCAGCTTTGCCGTCTAGTTGTTTGATTTCTGATGTACATGGAATGGTCACCAATCAATAACGCAGAGTGTGTATGTTCCTGATAATCACTATAAAATATGAGCTCAAACTTTCTGCAAATCACATCATTCATTGAAAACTCTTTAAAAAGAGCAATATTTATGAAGTATTTTAGAAGAACATGCCATTCACTCTTTCTTCAACATTTGGCATTCTCAAGTTTTAACACCTATAATAATCACAATGGGTAAATCTAAATATGTAAACTACCAGGTACCAATCTAAGATAATTCGATTTAACAGGTCTGGGATCGGGTTTGGGAATCTTCTTTTTTGAAAGCAAGTCATCTGCATTCCATCTTTGAGAAATGTTTCTTTGGATATTATCTAGTGATTGGTTATCAATGGTGAGCATACCAGAGGCGTATATTGGAATCTCTTTTGAAAAATCTTCAAGTGCACTGACTCCAGCTTTGAGAGATCAGAATTAAGAGACTCAGGAAGGGAACATTGACCTGTACATTTGAAAGAAAATCATAATTGATTCTAATATACACATTCATAAAACGTTAAGAACTCCTCCTCCAAATAATCAATATTTTTCTATATGCAATTTATTAAATCAAATTTCTTACGGGAGTTATATCATGAAACAACAGCTACAGCAAGAACCTCCTAATGGGTCTCCCCACTTCCATTTTTGTCTCTTCTTTTTCCTCCACTAAATCCAGAGCAATATTTTTGAAATGCAAATTTGATCATGATCTGTTAATGAATTGGTGTGGGCTTCCATGCATGGGCTTACTGACACACACTTCATTCCCCTTGTCCTTTCTGTTTTAGGTCATTCTTCAGTTTCTCAATTCCTCCATCTACCTCAGATCCTTAAACATGTATTATCCTCTACTGGACTGTTTTATTTGCCACTGGCCTCCCTAAACACTCTCCAATCACCCTCCACCCCACACACAAACTCTTAATCTCCATTAAGTTAACACTTCCTTCTGATCTGAGCTCAAATTCACCTACTCAAGGAATCTTTTACTCACCTTCCTAAGAAGGTCAATTCTTATTAAATGTTCTCATGTACCTTCTACCTTTCAGTTGCAGCACTTATCACATTTTAATTTTAATGTATTAATTATTTATGTGATTATTTAACTAGTGTTTATTTCATCCACAGGGTAGTAAGGTAGTAAGCCTTCTAAATCAGGCATCATGTGTTCTTTAAGTTCAAAATTGTATTCCTGATGCTTTCTCACTACCTGGCACACAGTACTTAATAAATATTATTAAATTAAAGAAAAAAGTATGCAGTATTGCCACTTTTAGTGGTTGCCCAATTATTTTAACATTTTTATATGTTGTCATCACCTTACAAACTAGTTACTCTAGTTTACAGTCATAAAAATTTATAATCTCTAAAACTCCAATAAATGCATACCATTCCCAAAGTCAGAATGAAATTCAGAGACAAATATCCAGGTTATCTCAGAGCTTGTCAGTGTTGTCCCTAAGTTCCTCAAGTACTGAGATTTCAAAATTTCATTTCTTTCTTCAGGCAAATCACAAATAAATATTTTCTATTTGTGTTACCAAATAATTTTGTATTTAAAGGTTAGAATTATTGTAAGGGTTGTAATATAGTTGACTCTTGCACAACATGGGTTTGAACTGCATAGGTCCAGGCTTCCACAAATCCTTTTCAAGCAAAGGCTGATCAAAAATACAGTATTTACAGGATGTGAAATCAACGTACAAGGAGGACTGAACTTTGGTATATGCAGGTTCCAGAGAGTTGACTGTGGGAATTGAGTATGCATGGATTTGGGTATACCTGGGTGTCCCAGAACCAATCCTTCCTGTCTTTGTATAAGGGACAAATTTATAAGTATTTGGGTTTTTATTACTATATTTAATTTATGTTACTACAAATTGACAGTTGTTTTTAATACAGTTAGCATTTACCAGTCAGTTATCACTTGCCAACCTCTCACATTTCAATGCTTACCTTTCTTACTTTTTTCTGAAGTTTTTGGCATCACTGATTTCCTTCAAATGCTCTCTTTCTTTTATTTTCATGAAATACCCATCTTGCTACCACTCATCATTAAACCTCCTTTCCAGTTTCCCCTAGTTTTCCACCTTTCACTCATTAGGATTTTCCCCTGGCGAAGGTAAGGGTTGACCTCCTTACCTTCATTTTAACTCTAGTTGTTTAACCTATGCAATTTCATTCATGGCTGTGATATGTAACATCGATAATGCTCCAGTATACTTTTCTCCTGAGTACTAGATCAATATATTTAACTTACTCAGTTAACAAATATTTTGAGGATATTTCTATTTTCCTGGCACTGTTTCAGGTGGAGAAATAGTGTCTACAACATCATCCTTACATGCTTAGATAGCATTGATACCTGAAACTCAATTCACCCCAAACTGAATCTATCAGGTTGTCTTTCCTGGACTGCTACCAAGCACTCAAAATATTCTCTTGCTCTGATCACTGCTATGCCAAGTGTAGTGCTGCTTCAAATACATATCTATGTATCTTTTCTCTTACATGCAATTTATTATCAAAACCCCATTACTTCTTCTGAAGTGTCTAATTCCATCCTCACTGTCACTGCTTTATTTCAGCCCTTATGTATTGACTGGAATATCCCAATAGAGAGACTCAACATACATACAGACAACAGACAGACCTTGTATAAATATAGAACTCCCACTTGTAACCTATAGCAACCTGCCCAGCTAACCAACCCCCTACAATAAATACCACACAGAACTCTTACCTACAATAAATATCTTAGGAAGTCCGCCTACTCTAAGTCAGAGTTATAGAAAGTTAGACTCCTATCTCCAGTAACAAGCCAGGGAGCTAAACAATAGCCCCTGCAACAATTGGCTCAAATGGCCAGAACTTGATTAGTAACTGACAGCTTCCCTAATTTTTTCTTCCCTATTGCAATTTAAGATCCACCGGGGAAAGCCAAAATATGCAGTCCTAACCCATCACACAGGATGCTCCATTTCTAGTTAGCCCATCTGTAGCTTCCCCATGCCAAAACATCCAATCAGGGCATACCTGAGCTTTTCTTTTTTCCACTATAAAGCTTTCCCACTTCTCTACCTGCCTTTGAGTCTCTGCCAAAATACCAGTGATGGTGTCGACTCCCTTTCTATATATAACAAGCTCTGAATAAACAGCTGTTTCTTGTTCTCATTGGTTGGTCTTCATTTATTTCCACACAACACAGTCCTAACTAGTCTCTGCCCAGAGTCTGGATTCTTCCAATAGATGTCCCTGTAGAACCATAGTAATATTCTAAAACTCAGAACCTGTATGTATTGTCACAGATCTTCTTATTTTTCAATGCTTCCAATTGCCTTGGGGATTCAGCTCAAATTCTTAAACTGAGCACATAAGACTCCTCCTTAATTATTGAACTTCAATTCTTACCATTCCCTCTCATAAACTGTTTGCTGACCCATGATATACCTTACACTCTAATTTTTCTAATTGTTTGAGCAATATGATATCATTTCCTTTCATTAGTTTGCCTGCTTTATCTACCTGCTTATATTCTTTTTTGTTCTTTAACACTAGATTAACTATATTCTCCTTAAAGAGTCTTGTGCTACTTCCAAGACTTTTTTAATGTTTCTCTTCCCTATTCCAATAATATTCTGTGGTTAGTTTTACTTAGTAATCATGAAGATCATATTCTTTTTATAAACTTTTATGTATCTCCCATTATACTGTGAATCTCTTGAGTATGAAGTTTTACTCTTAATGAATTTTGTATCCATAGAAATTATACCAATTTCTAGATGATAGTAGGTTCTAAACAAATAATATTGGCTATTTTATTTCTGGCCTTGACTTATTTGGTACCCATATAAATTATAGAATAATTATAGAATTATTCATTCACTGATGCCTAACGGATATAAAGCAGGAGTCCCCAACCCCTGAGCCATGAACTGGTACTAATCTGTGGCCTGTTAAGAACTGGGCAGCACAGCAGGATATGAGTGGCAGGCCAGGAAGCAAGTGAAGCTTCATCTGTATTTATAGCCACTCTCCATGGCTCACATTACCGCCTGAGCTCTGCCTCCTGTCAGATCATCAGTGGCATTAGATTCTCATAGGAACGCAAGCCCTCATGTGAACTGTGCATGCAAGGGATCTAGTTTGGGTGCTTCTTATGAGAATCTAAGGCCTGATGATCTGAGGTGGAGCTGAAGTGGTGATGCTATAGTGCTGGGGAGCAGCTGCAAATACAGACTAACATTAGCTGAGAGGTGTGTCTTCACAGAGACCAAAATAAATCAATTGCCTGCAGACTCATATCAAAACCCTATCGGTGAGTGGCAAGTGATAATTAAGCTGCCTCTGATGTCAGGCTTTATAGTGGCAAGTGAGTTGATGTACTTCAATTGTACAGCTGCATCTGATGGCAGGTTTTAAGTCAGAATCCGACACTTATTTTAGTCTGTGTATGGCCTGCCTATTATTTTATTTACCACTTTCGTCCACGCCTCTTTCCCGAACTGTGCACTTGTCTCAGTCACAGTTTTGGTAAGCCCGCAAGCTAACCCTAGCCAAAACGAATAAAAAACAGCCATAGAGAAATTCTTTGAAAAGGGAGAAAGACCCAATGATGAGAAAGCAGAAGACACTAAAACTGCCAACAAAAAGAAAGCTGCATTTAAAAGAAATACGAAGAGTCCTACTTAAATTATGAGTTCATTGCAACAGGTGATTCACATTCTCCAAGCTCGCTTTGTATAATATGTGGCAACCGGCTATTCAACGAAGCTATGAAACCATCAAAACTGCTTTGCTACATGGAGAGCAAGCACCCTGCGTTAAAAGACAAGGCTTTGGAGTTTTTCAAAAGAAAAAGACAATAAATGTTTTTATCACAGAAAATGTAATGCACTTGAATCATCCCAAAACCATCCCTCCACCCCAGTCTGGTGAAAAATTGTCTTCCATGAAACAAGTCCCTAGTACCCAAAAGGTTAGGGACCGCTGATATAAAGTATTAATTTTATTTTTCAATATAAAAATCTTATATATTTTTATAGTCCTCATCAGTAATCATGTACCTATATCCTAATGGACAACATCAAAAAGATCAAGGAGAAACAATGTAGTAAACATGTCCTATGGTCTTTGTTGAATATTGAACACATTTCATGTGCTTCCTCCCATTCTCTCAGGGCCATAATTTCTCAAACCTTTAGCCACATACCTGCCTGGGCTGCCACTGAGCACGGCTTAGCTTCATGTGATTTTGCTACCCAGGTAGTACTAGATATTTGCCTAGTCAGGCTGGGTTCTCTTCCTTCCTATCTCTACAAATCAGAATAGTACACCACATGATCTTACTTTGTGCTTCTTCCATCACTTCCCAACTGCATAAGGCACCCATCATAAACCATGTCATCTGACTTCCTGGGTAACTAAAGAGGGAACAGAGCACAGATAATATAAATGAAATGGAATTTTTTTTCCTGTTGGGGAAATATTGACTACCGGGAAAGAAATCTAGAGACAATTGGACAAATGAATTTGCTGGGTTTTTTTCTCCCTCTAATTGGCTATCCAATGTTGTGAAGATATGCCCAATGTTACAGAGTGGGTAACCAGTTGAACGACTCGCTGTGTCTTCTTGCAACTGCTGGTGAGTCTGGTAAAATAAGTTTGCAGTGCTTTCCATCATTTTCTGCTCTATTTCAATTTTCCCTCATTCTAGTTGCCCTAGGATTGTACCTTCTCAATAGAAGACTACCAATACTCCGTGTCTCAGATTTTGTCTTCTAAGGATTCAGGTTTAAAATAGGATGTATATAAACAAGAATTTGTACATGTACTCTTATTCTTTTGTGCATAGCTTGCACTGAGATAGTAAGAAATCTCAATAGCTGTCAGCTAAGAAAAGTAAAGCTAGTAACGTGTTTATATTAAGTAACCAATTTAGAGAGATATTTCATTCCAAATATATTTGGAATAGGTTCAAAGGATAGGAAACCCAGTGATCTCTGATCCTGTGAGCCATATGTTAGTGTCCCAGACAGGGTCTGAGAACGTGAGTCACATGCACATCTCACTTTCCTCTTGCCCTTTTCTGTATGAGTCCTTGAGAACCTCTGACTTAAAGGCTTTGAGAAAAAGCATGAAGACAAGGCATAATCAAATACAGAAAAGCAGACATTTGCTGCAATTGATGCCTGACAAAGCCGTAAACTGTACATGAGCATTGGAGACATATGCTTGACACAGTAGGGGTAAATAGGTCTGCTAGTACAGATCCCATGAGGCAAGAGATCCTGTGGAGTCTTTTGAAAGTTCAATATAGAGAGGGAGTGTCGCTGTGTCCAAATATGTGCACTGGTTGCTTTTTATTTTTTAAATAGAAAACCCATCGTCTCTGCAAGAGTAGCTTGTTTATCAATATTGGCACCCTGAAGGTGCCTTAATCTGCTTGAAAATGACATTGAATTTGATGCTATGTTATGCTTCAAAAGAGAATCTCTGTACACAGAGAAGGGTTGCACCCAGCAATCCCAGCTTCATGTAGCAGAAAGAATTTAACTAAAGTGGTGGCATGCAGCTGTGCCTAGCTGGCAGATTGCACACTGTCATTTACATGGAGTGTACCAGGAAGAGAGAAGAAACAGAAGTGTATCTCCTGATGTTAATAAAGTCTTCCAAATCAGTGATCAATAAGATTTCAAGATACTCACCATTTTTCAAAGTTAAAAAAATGAAAATAAACTCTTCTATACAATAACTTCTATACAATAAACTCTTCTATACAAAACTAAAACAAATATTTTGGTATAATGTTTCTATTATAACACTAGCATGCTGTTAAAATATATTTGAAATGGTAATAAGATTTTAAAAAATCATTTATGTATTTTTACAACTACTGGTATTATTTGAAATCTAAAACCAGGTAGGTAGGTGAGAGAAAGTGACTAGCTGTATAACAGACATCACAGTGCCCAATAAATATTTATGTGCTGTTTTTAAAAAAGATCATTTACTTAATCTGTCATAAGATGCAGAAAATGTATATCAAGTCCATGGTTATTACTTCTCTGACACAGATTTTCCTGGAGATCATAATTGTGGAATTTTTTATTTTCACCTCTAAGTGAAAACACAAAATATACTGCAAATAACTTTTGTCATCCTGCAAAAAACATACTGTAGGTACCATAATTGAACAAAAAATCTTTAGAACTCAAATAAAAGTTTATGGTTTAATAGTCCAGGTGTGGCAGCTCATGCCTGTAATCCCAGCACTTTGGGCAGCAGAGCCAGGAGAGTTGCTTGAGCCCAAGAGGTCAAGACTAGCCTGGGCAACATAGTGAGATTCCATCTCTAAAAAAAATTTTTAAAAATAGCCAAACGAGCACTGTGGCATGCACCTGTAGTTACAGCTACTCAGGAGGCTAAGGTGGGATGATTGCTGGAATCCAAGAGGTCAAAGCTGCAGTGATCATGACACTGCATCCCAGCCTGGGCAAGAGAGCAAGACCGTGTCTCAAAAAAAAAAAAAAAAAAAGGGCTGTAGTTAAAAAGAAAAAAGATAAAACCTGTTACACGCTTTCATGGAGATTGTATGAGGCTTAAAGATTTTGAAAAATAAAATAAACACTTCATTAGATTAAATACAATATTTACAAATAAACTTCTACACATTCTTCAAGTTTTATTTTACACTAGCTGTTTCAGAATAAATAAAACAATTAATTAGCACAGCATATAAGGTCCATCAGAACCAGTCTCAAGATTATATTCTATTTTCAGCTCTCTCAACAGTGTACCCAATTCTTTAGCCAAATCATTGATTCCCAAATTCAAAGCATTTTATTCATTTTTGCATTTCTTGATGGTATTCCTTGCACCTGCTATTCCTTCTTCTATCCTCCTTCCCTCCTCTACCCACTCCCCTTTTTTTTTTCATACAACAAATATCTACTCATTTTTAAAGGTGACATCTTTTTTATAACTTCCTGAGATCATCTTCCTCCCAGTTCTCCTACTAGGCAGAATAAATTATTTCTGCACATGTATCTTATTTAAATTTTAATTATTCCTCTATATTAGCCCTTGTCATGTTGTATAGTTGTTATTTGTTATTGTGTTATTTTTAATGAGCTCCTTGTGGAAAACAATTGAATCTTGATCATCTTGCAATACCCTGCACCTAGTACCAGGCTTAGTACTTGTTTACAAGGCAATAAAAAATGTTAGCTTGATGAAGACAAACTTTAAAATTTTTTATTATTACTTATTTTTGGGTTTTATTGTGGAAAGAACATTTAATATGAGATCTACCCTCTTAGATTTTTAAGTGTACAACACAATATTGTACTCTTATCTATAGTTTATATATCTACATGTTTATTTATATGTTGTACAGCAGATCTCTAGAACTTATTCACTTTTCATAACTGATGGATTAATTGAACATACAATTCTAGGGTTTCAATATTTTTCTTTCAAAATTCTAGTAATAACTTTTACTGAAAACCAGAAGAAATTATAGGCCAAACATTGCTCTTGCCATGTTCAACCAATATCATTTTCATTTTAAAATTGTTGCTTTTCACCTCAAATGCTTTATTTAGGTTGTTAATTTGGCCATCATTTTCTCTAATATGCTTCTCTGTCCATTGATTGCTTCTGTGAATTTCTCATTAAATTATTCCAGTCACATTCCTCAACCATAGTTTTCTGTAAGCAACTTATAAATTTTTCATTACTATATGTATCTCCACACACAATAAATGCCCTGTAAAAATATGATTTTTGAGGGTTCAGGACTATGTATAAGTTTCCTTTCTGCATAAAGAAATATTCAAGTTAGTACTCTGCATATAATTACCTTTCAAAACAAAATTCTTCAACAAACAATAGACGAATGAACAATGGTTTGCCAATCATTTACCTTTAATATTACTAGTTTTATAAAAACTAAAATAAATTCATTATAAATGCATTTTTCTCATTTATAACATCATGCATCCCTTAATAAAATATAATTGGTTATGCTGAGTAATTATATTTTCTATTGTTGAATTGATGTTGAAACACAATAGTTAATCAAGACACTTTTTAAATTTAATTACTTGATGTACCAATCAAAATCCTTGTCTAATTTCCATGTTGAAATTATTTATTTATTAGAGCTCTGGAAGCCTTAGATGGTACCTTTTCCTATTGCTGGTATCTGGCTTGCATTCTGAACTGAAAAAATACATAAATTTTGTATTGGAAAAATGGATTATTTTATAATGATATGAGAAGCAGGCCTTTGTAATCAAGCACATCTTGATTTCACATTTATTACTTAGTAGTGTGTAACAAAGGATGTCAATCTCATACTTCTTTTCTGTAAAATGGAATATAGCATCCTCATAGGGTTGTTAGAATTCCATGTGAAAATGTAAGTAAGTAAATGGATTGGTATGGTGGTTGGCATAAAACATGTTTTTACCTAGTAACAAAGTGAAAATTTTATAATCAAATTAACTTTTTATTTGTAAAATCACATTTAATTGAAAATTAAATAAGAATAGTCACAGAAAACTAGAAATTCCCTCTATTTGTTAAAAAAAAAAAAAGGTCCTATGTGTTTAATCATTGTGTGAGGAAATTTGACATAAACAAGTAGTTTTATCTGTCTACTTGGTGCAACCCTTCAGGGCAGCTTAAGATATATTACAGGAATGATATTGGGAATCTAAGTTACTTCAGGATAGCTCAAAAAGGAAGGCTGAAGAGCTTCACAAATTTGGTTAAATCTAATTATATTTCTCTGTTTTACTAAATAAATATTGCTTCCCTGATCCTTTGTCTTCCTCCCCCATACTTAGGGGTGTTTCCAATGATTTGGCAATTTGATAGTAATAGTGAGAACAATATATAATCAAAACTTGATTTCATGCCTGATTTGATTACAAGGTACTGATTAAACTAATGCTAGCAAATTCCATTTAATTCAGTGATTAGGAGAGGGGCGTTTTCCCATACACCTTTTGAAAGACCAATCAATATAGGTAAGATTCCCTGTCCTTTATGATGGGAAGCCTGAATCAGGCTTTAAATAATGTATTCAGTTCATTTCTATGTAAATTTAGCAACAGGATTTTAGGTTTTTCTGAGAAAACTGAGACTGTATGTCCCCGGGTAAATGAAAGCAAAGCCATCTCCTTTCTCCTGGGTTTAATGACATTTATTACTTCAGAGTCTTGACAAGTCCCATTATTACATTTCACTTTTTGAGTAGTGGCAGTATGCTAAGCCTGGCACCTGACATAGCATTAGATATCTTGCCCAGTAGGTTTACACGTTAAACCAAATCATTTTCATTGGAACACTGGCCTCATGTGTTACTACTAGCACTAAAATAAATCATTTTATTCTATCCATTATGGTAAGTGATACATCTGATACGCTTATTAAGTTAAAATGTTCTCTCAAATTCTCATGTTAAATTATTTTTGTCACCACTCACTATGATGGTAACTCTCTCAGGAATCATTACCTATAAGGATAAATTCCTGACTTTGTTTCCTTGTTCTTGGTTTCCTTCACAGTTTGGCCAAAGGCTGCTTTTCCAACCTCATCACCTACTACTTTTGTACACAAATCATCCATGGCAACTAGGCTGCCCTACTCATAGTTCAAAGGTCTGCTAGGGACAGCGTCACCTGCACAATATGTCTCCCTCCAACCAGAAGGCTTCGACTCCTCTTTGTTTCATCAAACTCTACCCTTTTTTCCATGAAAAGATTCAACTCATTCTCTTTCATGAAGTTACCCTTCTACTTCTTATATATACCCTTCCTTTCCACGATATGTTCTACTGATGATAACCGTTTTGTTCTCGTCTTTACTGTGCTGTTACTTAACAGTTATCATTACGCAAATTTCTCAGGTGGGTGTTCCTTGGAATTCTAATTTGTTTTTAATTCTGTCTGAGGACATAAACCACTTTCTTATAGTTTTTTATGTTCATCCAAAATTTAGCATCGAATGCAGAGAGAACAGTGTTCACGTTCTGAAAATGTCTTAATACTTGCATATCATATTTTGACTGGTAGCAGAGGAGTGGTAATACATCTTTACCAAAAACACCCTTAATGAATCAGCTCTAGGTTCTTGACTCACATATTTGTGGTCACCCTTCTTATTTATTTGAATCCCCTGAAGTAATAACATGACTTAGACAATAATTGCTTCCAGCTACCTTTTCTGTAATTGTTGAAGAACATTCCCAGGCAAAGTGATATTTCTTAAATGCCTAACATATACAGAGACTTATATAAATCTTTAATTTCCAATTTAATTTTCGTTCTATGTGTGCTAATATCCCTTGAATTTTCTTGAACCACTGTAAAGTTCATTTTTTGTATGTATCAAACATGCTATTATGCTATCACTTGCACACTTTTTTTCAGCATTACAGTGCAGATGTTTTAAATGAAGTAGAAGCTATTGATTAAAGTAAAGGCACAGTTGAATAAATCATGGAGACTACATACCCTCCTCAATTTTTGACAACTCAATTTAGTGCTTATTGTCTGACAGATAGTGGTATGGTGCAAGAAAATTCTTGACCATGAATATACAGAACAGCTTCATTTACTAGCTTTCATTGGCTGAAAGCATAAGACAGAATAAAATGTATATTAATAGCACAAACTAATAGGTTGGCACATATGGAATATGTGTATATATGTACATGTATATATTTTACAAATGTGTGTTTGTACTACACATACATATTAAGTATTTAAGAGAAAAAAGCATGAAAATAGGTTTCCCAGGATACTGCAAAAATATGAGATGCTTATACTCAAAATTAAAGCAACAACATATACAGGTGAATGTGTTTGGATAATTGCCTGGCTTATATAAAACAGATGATTCGCCACTTCAATCATTCTCATGAGTATTCAGCATAATTCTGATAATATTTTTTAAAAATTTGCGATAGTTTAGTAACCAAGTATTCAAAATTTCACTCCTGGGCATTAGATGTCCATAATACTGGGGAAGAGAGGCATGGCATGTTATAAACATAAAATAATATTGACACCTAAACCCACATCTCAAATATACCACTTTGATGGCTTATTGATGTGTGAACTTTGCAAGGCTACAGCCCTCAGTTACTCAATCAAATACAAGTCTAGGTGTTGCTCTGAAGGGAATCCACAGATGTAATTAAAGTACACAACCAGTTGACTTTGAGTAAAAGAGATATTCCAGGTAATCTGGACAGGCTTAATTTAATCAGGTTCTGAAATGCCTTAAGAGCAGAGCTGAAATTTTTCTAATGAAGAAGAAATTTTACCTGTTGACAGTAGCTTCAGTCATGACCAGAAAGGTTTTAGCCTGCCTTTCTTCTTGACCTTCCCTGTGAATTTTGTACTTGATCAGCCAAGCCCTCATAATCATACAAGCCAATTATTTGCAATAAATATCTTAATATATAACTCCTGTAGTTGAACATTGCTTGACTGGTAACAACTATGCACACTGACTGCATGTGTACAAATATTTATAACACATACACAGATACACACTAAAATGTATTAATAGAGTGTAAATATAATCTATCTCTCCTAATAGGGTGATACTTTAAAGAGCAAAAATGAGGACAATTCTTGGTTACACCGGAATACAAGAGTAAACTAGGACTACTCAAGATAGGCTGGATATATATAATTTTTTAAAAAACAGACAAAACATTAATGAGATCAAAGGAGGGCTTCAGATAGTTCTTTATTCTTCTAAGTTGAAAGCAAAAAGGTGTGTGTGGAGGGTGGGGGTTTTTGTGTTTCGGCATATATGTTCATTATTTTTGAGTTTCCCAAAATGTTTATGGCTCTAAAAGGTTAAGAATCACTAAGTTTTCTTCTCTCATCTTCTGCAAATGCCTGTACTACATTATCTTACAGTGGGCTCAGTTTTTATCATTTTCTCTATTTTGTGACATGACTATTATATATACCCTAAAGATTTCATGTCTTTTTTTTGTACTCTAATTCCAAAAGGGTCATTCATTCACTGCCAAACATTTAATTAGCACCTATATTGTAACACATACTCTTCTATACCTTGGCATATGAAGGTAAATAAGGTTAATTCAGTAATCACAGAACTCACTAGCTAGTAAAAATGTAGACAAAGAAACAAAAAGAAAAAAAAAAAAAGCATGTTGCGTTTCTCCTAATCCTCTGATGTTCCACACACTTATTATAGTATGAATAAAACCATTAGCAATAGTGAGAACGTTCATCAATTTTGACCTTCAAAGTGGACTATATTATTTGTTACATGATATTAAGGTCCATTCTGTCAACAACAACTTTTCTTTCTGATCTTTATAACTGTACTGCTCATTTGCTACATATCAATCTTTATCTGTCCTGGCTTAAACTACCCATGATATTTGTCATATACAAGGAATTCCACATTCGATTATGACAACATATTTTCATAAATCCATTTTTCTATTGGTCTGCTCTCTCAGCATGTTGAGTGAAGGAAGTGGGTATTTATCTTACCTCTAAATTTTCCTAGAGAAAACTATCAGGTATATCACAACTCTCCACACACTGCCCTCACCTATTGCCATTTCCAGAATTACACATACATTTCTCTGTGGTAGCTTCAGTTTTCCAATTGCAGTCACCTCTGCATTTGTAGGAGGTGGTATCCAAAGTGATCTGTAAGCATGTTTTAATCCTTTAGCTCACCTCAACTTTGACTTTCACCAAATTACATTGGTTATAATTTTCAATTCTTTTTCTGATCTAAGAACAGATACAAGTCTTCTGTCCTGTCCTTGACTCTTGAATACATATCTGATTCACACACTAGTGATATAAGAAAGAGGGGTAGTTCTACTAAATAAAGACACAGAGTTCCACTAATCACTGCTTGCATTTTGTATATTATACTACGTTGCTATACCAAGGTGTCTTCATTTTAAGCCAATTACATACTAATTTTAGACTGCATGGTAATTCAGCATTGCCATGTTTCTGCGACTTTACCATTACTGTGGGACGCCTACACCCTAAGTCCATTTGATTCTGTTCCTGAAGAGTAGAGATATAAATTTTTGGTTTGACCTCTCAGGTATTTTAACAATTCTAAAAAGAGATCCTTGAAACCAAAGATCAAACTGTTATTAAATGAAACTTGAAATCTAAAGGATATGTGAAGCCTAAAAATATGAAATTTTGTAAGGAACAACCATCAATGGAATGGGACCATTTTGTGATTTCTACTGCTAAGATTAAAATAGCATTCTTCATAATTTTAAGAGAATTGGAGTCAAATACAGTGAAAGTATGTAAAGCAATGTGCATGCAAATTTCCAGGGAGACAATTTGATCTTAGAAATATTTTGATGGACTTCAAATTTAAAAATTCAATGCACACCTGTGATATTATGAAGATCAGTTCATATTTTAGAACCACAGTCTTTAAATTTCTTAAGAAAAGATGAGGTTCAAATCAACTTTGTGATTATCATCCACTACTTTGTAAACCTTGGATCTATCCTCAGCATAATGTAAGCCATTGTATATGAAAATTATAGCAGCTTAAAATTAGAAGCCATGTGTAGGTAAGAGTGCTTTAAATGTTTTAAACAAGTTTGTTCTACTAGCCAACATGAATTATCAAAATTAATGAGAGCTATGCAGTTTATCCAAGGTATCATAATCTTTTAGTGTGTCATTCCTGAGAGTAGACATTGCATACATTTTTTGCAATCTCTTGTATTAAACAAAATAGAACAGATTGAATTTTCATAGCAAACTCTTTCAGAAAATTTAGTTTTTTTGGTAAAGAAACTTTTTTTTTGCTTTTTCATCGTTTTTTTTTCTTAAACATAAAAGCATTCATTTTTTAAAAATAAGAACACAATAGAAAATTTCTGGAAGAAATCCTAAACAGGAATCTGAGCTTTCTTTAGAAGACTACAGTTTATAGAAGGAAAATATATACTTGAGAACCAAACTAAAACCACAACAGAATCTATTCAAACCAAAAGAAAAATTTAAAAATGCACATATTATACAAATCTTTCACTTTCCAAAATCCTTAAAAATGATTTTTCAATATTATATTTCCATAGTTCATAAACTATCTTTCCTGTATGAAAATACAACATTCTTATTTTTGCTTTACTCTTTGTTGTTTTTCTTTCTCACTGGTTTCTCCATCTTGCTCTGAAAGAATGCCCTCTGCAAAGTGCAAGACATGGCCATCAATTCTTTAAACTCTATATTTTGACCCTGAATAAAACTATTCTCAAAATTCTCAAGTATTGACTTCTATCTCCTACTTTAGACAAACCTTCAAAATAAATAATTCCTAATAATTCTTTACAGCCTAATATCAATTTCTTCTCCTGTCTAAAATGTACTTTCTCCTTTTCACCTATCTTATGGACAGAATTAAAATAATACTTAATATGATGCCTCACAGTTAGTATTTAGAAAATGTAGAATTAAATGGATCACAATTTTTGCTGCTGCATATACTGAAAATTCTGTTATTTTTGATGCTGTATTCTTTCCCTGCAGTAAGTGTCTTTAGCTTCTTCCAGTTTTTTTTTTTCTTGAGGCCTTCCTTTCATATTTATGGCATGAACTAATTATTTTAAATAACAATGAAGAAAACACTTTATTCATGTTATGTTTCTTCCCATCAATAGAGATTATAAACATCATATTAATCTTCTTAACCACAAATTTTGTTAAAATATTTTTATTCTGAAAAATTTTCAATGGTCACATAATACATCCTATTGGTTTTTCGCCTAGTAATCTAAATATTATACTCTTTGAATAGCGTGTTGGCTTTTCCATCTGCACCTGCTTTTGTTTGTAAGTGTCATAATCCCAACAAAGTTGATATTTCCACTACACTTTAAATATTTTATAGAGATTTCTATTTTGGGCAGGTATTTTGTGCTACCTATTGCTCCAAATCTTAATAACCTCTTTCCCATCTCTTCACATATTCAAATCTTACTAATGTTTAAAAACTCAACACACGTATTACCTATTTCAGGAGGATTTTCCTGAACATGCTAGCCCATGGTATTGCCTCCACTTAACTGAGGCATTAAAACATAGTAGACTTTGGAAACAAACAAAACTGCTTTTCAAATTTGCATTCTGTTACTAATTTGCAATCTTAGACAAATTTCTTAATTTTTCTATTTTTAAACTACTTAGCCATTAAAATGGGATAAGTAACTCATGATTTTACAAAGACTGGTTTAAAAATATACATATGTTTGTGTGTGTGCATGTGTATGTATACACACAGTCCCCTGTTTAAACATAGGAAGTGTTAAATAAATTGCACCTACAATTGTTATCACAAAAGCACTTTTAATGTTTTCCATTCATTTAACTATCAATCACATATTGGGCGAGTATACTCCACATTTATGGATGCTGTCCCCATTCTCTCTACTTTTGACCTTTATGTATGAGTTCAGTATTTTACCTACATTCAGCACCTCACAACACCAAATAGAGAAGTCACTTAATAGATGGGATAAAATTCCATCAATCTCTGGCTTGTATAATAAAATTTTATACATGGTAACACATTCTGAGAATGCACATAACTAAAATCGCAGACTCAGGAGAATTCAAAAATAGTGTTTCTAAATATTGATAACAAGAACATCCCAAGAATAATTCCTGGTCATAATATTGGCCTTATGTAGGATAAAGGCTTTGGATTAGAGTTAGTATAAAGCTCTTATTCACTGAATATTAGTTCAGTGATTTTTGGTCAAGTGACATAAATTCTGTAAGAATTCATTTACTCCTCTACAAAATAAAAATAACACCATTATCACACATAACTGAAAATCAATGAAAATAATACACATGAAAGTACTTTATTAAGCTACTCTCTACATAAAAATGTTGTCATAAGCACTTGAACATAAACCTAGAAAAAATAAGTTTTGTTTTCATTTGCAGCACTTTTTAACAAAATGTTGATGACTGTGGTCTAAAATTAATGAGAATGTAACATTTCCTTTGGAAAAAGGAATAGACTGTTAAACGTATTGGGAGAACTCAACAGAAAATAGACAAAGAAGAGGAAAAGATAGATGTGAATGGTCTTGTTGAGATGAACAAACCAAAATTAAAGAATGTTGGAAAATAACCCATTGAGCTCATTTACTAAATAGTAGGCATTTAGGTTCCAGACAATCAATAAAGTCTTCTTTTTTAAGTATACCCAGAAGGATAACTACGTGGCCAGAACCTCAGTGTATCTTCCAGATAGACAGCTATACATATATAGTGACAATTTTCCCAAGTCTAGGAACCGTGGAAGCTTAATATATCAACAAGAGAAGTAGTGTAGCATTTTGTGTTTCCGCCATATAAGCTGAATATGTATTTATTTATGGGTAATACTTATTAAACATTATCTAAATATAATAGGATTCTCCAAAGTAACATTTATGAAACCAGAGACAAATCTTAAAAAGTTCTAATCATGTGGCCTCTGGACCCAAAACGGACTGTGGAGATTCAAGGTGGGTGCTTAACCAACATCTCATCAAACTTAAAGCAATGGCTATTATGACAACATATTTATTTTAAGAAAGCAAATGAAAAATTATGAAAAGGCTTTGTCTGTTTTTAAACAGAATATTTATGTTCATTCACATTGTTCTATGTTATCTACTTTTAACTGTATAGAAAACTATTTTATGATTCACTAAAAATAATTTCTAACAGTTCCACCAGTACTTTTTGTCTTTTTCCCTTAACAGGGATCCTATAATAAAATGAACTGGATGGCCTGACTTTCATTATGATGACTCTGAGTGAAATATCTCAAACAAGCTAACAGAGGACCCCAAAATAACAGACTTTTGTGAAAATATGATATAAAATAAACAGCCTGATGGATCAAAATTTTGTTTGGGGTTAGAGAATTTCCACAGTTTCATAAGAAGTCTAGAAGAACTGTTTCAATAATGAAACAAGGAAATACTAGCCAGACTTCCAAATAACTTAGAAGATAGCAAAGAAGAATAAAACTAATTCAACATGTGACAAAGAAAAATGTAGCCCTGTAGGCAAGGCTCTGGCAAATCCTGATGTCAATAGTTTTAAGTGAAATTTTAAACCGAAGTTGATTGAAAGCCATTTTTGAACACGTATTGATACCTATTTAAGCATTCAAACAGCTATAACAAATAACTTTAAAGAGATCTCTCAAAAAATAAAAGACAACAAAATGGGAGACAGAGGGAGATGGATTGCAATTTATTCTACAAAATTTCAGAGCAAAAAATTGCAGGCAATAAAATATTAAGATTATATTTTATCAACAATATCAAATATCAAAACAGTAGATGCAAACATTTAATGTAAATGGTATTACTGGAAAATGATATTTATTACCAAAACGTATAACTAGTTCTACCCAAGATACGTGCCAAATATTTTAAAACAGTGCGTATCTTTTTTCTATATAGGGGAATCTGGAAATAATATTCCTCTGTGATGCTGCCCCACACTGATGGACACTTTCTGTTTTCCTGCACAGTGTCTCCAAATTACATCATTATTAGTACAAATATAGGTGGCTTTTTTGCAGAATATAATCTAGTTATCTTTGATAATGTAGCAATAATAGACTGAGTAGAAATTAACATAATGATTTTCCCTCTTTATCAATAAGACACAGAAATATAATAACCAAAGTGTTGAGAACTGTGTGAACAGATTCAAGTATTTCAATTTCAAATGGTCCTGGTTATAATTCTGAAATTCATACCTCAAAATCAAAGCATGCTTTAAAAATAACTCAATCAGTAAAGTATGGGCAAAACTGTAACCAGCTTTACCAATCAGTTAAATAAAAAACACAAACTAATTACAGATACTGATAGGTAAAATTTAAAAATATAAACTGAATTTTCATTGCCTACTAGTGAGAGAAACCCAATAGCTTGCTAGTTTGCAATGCTAATTCTATACCTCAATCCATTTATTTTGCACATTTTGGTCTTGATTGACTATTCTTTCGGTTATTGCTATAGAGCCCACTTCAGGAGCAGACAGATTCCCATGGCAAGTATCACCATTTCCTTGTTACTTTCACAAATAGATCATACTTCTCTAGATCCAACAACTCTGGTTTGTCCTCTGGTTTCAGCTGTTCTTTCTCCTCTCCCCTTTTGTGCCGTGACATTTTCTTTTACTTGATTTTCTTTAAACTCATCTGTTAGCACTTTATCTCTAATCCTTCTCTCTTTCATATATTACATCTCTCCTGCCCAGTTTTCCTTTCCCCAGCCCCCTTTCAAGTTTCAAGAACGCTACATGGTCTGCTCAAGTTCTTTCATATGCTCCCCTTCTTCTCAGCTTGGTCAGAAGGTCCATTTATCTTCCCTTCAGGAAACCTCCATCACAGAACTGTGAGAAGAAAAAGAGACTGGCCATTGCCACCTGGAGGGAGATTCTTGCTAAGAATCCAAACAAATCTATACTGGTTTCTGTTTCTTCAGTTTAAAGCAACATCCAATAGAATAAAAGCCACATATCAAATGTGTCAGCCCCAAGGAACAGCAGATATTGAGTTCAGCGTTATTTGAAGCATAGCAATTATTCTCTTATATTTCTCCTCTTTAATCTATTCTTACCTTAAATTCTCCTTGACAATGTCTCTGACAACAAGCTTCAAATGCATTGGCACAGGATCATAGACCCTGTTTTATCTGTAGGAAGAGGCAGGAAAGAAGATGGTGGTGAGAAGAAAGGAAGTGCCACTATAGTTAACCTCGGGACAGCGCTGGTAAAACTCTCAGTGGTACTCATGTGGTTGGTGGTTGCTGAAATCTATGTGTCAGAAACACTTTCCTGGCTGCATAGTAGACTCCAGGATACAATGAAGAAGAACCATATGTTAGAATCTTTATTAGAAAGATTTCATGTAAGAAACTAAGAATTAATAGGGGAATAAATGAGAGGGGGTGAGGGTAGGAGAAAGGAGAAACATGAAACAATGAAACAGATGAAAATGAAATGCCAAGTGTTCTAGCTATTTTCCTAAGACTTTACTGTTTGCTGATTACTAACACTATATCCTGTGAGTTAATTTAACATTGGCAATGGGATCACTTGAGGAGAGGTACACGCATACCTTAGAAATATTGCAAGTTCACTTTCAGACCAATGCAATAAAATGAATATTGCAATAAAGCAAGTCACACAAATTTTTGGTTTTTTAATGTCTTAATGCATATGACAGTTATGTTTACACTATATTGTATTCTATTAAGTGTACAATAGAATTATGTCTTAAAAACAGTGTACCTACCATAATTTAAAAATATCTTATCGCTAAAAAAATGCTAATGATCATCTAAGCTTTCATCAAGTCATAATTTTTTGCTTGTAGAAGGTTCACTGGAGTAGTACTTTTAATATTTGTCAAGAGTGTTTCCTTTGCATTCCCCACTTGGCTAACTCTTCGGCACAAGAGTCCTAGCTTCTAGCCTATTTGGGCTTTTCAGAAGCCTTCCTCACAAAGCTTAATCATTTCTAGCTTTTGATTTAGAGTGAGAGATGTGCAACTCTTCCCTTTACTTGAACCCCCTACAGGTCATTGCAGGATTATTAACTGGCCTAATTTCAATATTGTCATGTCTCAGATAATAGAGAGGCCCAAGGAGATAGAAATAAGGGGACCTGCTGGTCAGTGGAGCAGTCAGAACACGCACATCATTTATTGATTAAGTTAATCATCTTACATTGGGTGCCGTTCCTGGAGCCCCAAAACCATTATGACAGTAGTATGAAAGATCAGTGATCACAAGTCACCATCACAGATATAACAATCATTTAAAATTTGAAATCTTGTGAGAATTACCAAAATATGACAGGGAGACAGGAAGTGAACATATGCTGTTGAAAAAATGCTTGATGCAGCATTGCCACAAACAATTAATTTGTAAGAAATGCAGTATTTACTAAGCACAATAAAGCAAAATGCAATAAAACAATGTACGCCTGCAATTCTACTTGCCTATTTGTAAATAAGATTATTTTTTATGTCTCATACATAAAGGATAGGTAAAGAGACGAACAGGTCAGGACTTGAAAGAACACTTATTGGCTGTTGTAGTGGAAAGAAAAAAATGAGGGAATGGGTCTAGATCTGGCTTACCAACTGACTAGTGTATGAGCTTAGAATAGAAAGTGAGTTCCAGACATCTTCAGGCCTTCAAAAACAAAATAAAAATTCTCTATGATCTCAATTTCTGTATTTACGAAAGAATCTCATTGAACATGTTTAATGATAATACTATCATTCGAATTAACACTTTGTGCCAGGTGAATACTATGAATTATTCTGTTTAGATATAAATAAATAGAGGAGCTAAATAACTTAGCCAATATCATATACATAATATTTAAAATCTTAGCCCAGAATCCAGAACCTTAAACACCAGAGTATATATATTTTATTGTTTCCTGCTCAAATTTCCCTTCAAAAAGCAATGCCTTGGCTATCAAATTTTTCATCACATTGTGGCCATGTAATCTGGATTGTTTTAATCATATTTTGAAGATACATTTGATTTTCATAAAAGCTATTAAACAGTGTCACTGCTGGAATCATATGTATGTTATTTATACATATTACTTACTTTATATATATTTATATATTATCTGTTAGAATTATGTTTATAAAGATGTGAGGCTGAAGTGACTGCAGCGATTTTACTGCCATAAAGGTGGACTCTGAGTGAGACAGGAAAAAGAGCTAAGAAGATGGAAAAAAAAATTGTGATAGTTTTATGCTAATATTCAATTCTCAAAACTCATCAAATTATACTAAAGATCTATGCACTTAATGTGTATTAATTTAACTTAAATTTCAAAAGAAGGTGATATTCCATTCTGTTCCTGCTTACATCAGTAATATCTAGATCTACTATCCAATACTATGACTATTAGCCATATGTGACTATATAATTTTAAATTAAATAAAATTTAAAATTTAGTTCCTTCATTGCACTAGCCATATTTTAATCGCTCAGTAAGTGCATATAGCTAATCACTGCTGTATTCATCAGTGGAGACATAGAACATTTACATTATTGCAGAATGCTCTCTATCAGGTAGGACTAATGTAAAAAACATGCCATACACTCAATGATTTAGCAATAACCATTATTTGTTGCTAATTTATTTAGTTTATTTTGTTGATTGAGCAATAACCATTATTGCGAATTTATCTAGGTGATTTTGTTGATCCATATGACTACCCTCTTATTCCTTTCCTTTTTTTATTGACAAAATTTCCCATCATGTTTGCAAGTTTATCTTCCATTCTGTTCATTTTAATCTTAATGTACTCCAGTAGGACACAGGGGATCACCCTAAATACCCACACCAACCATAGCCTTGACTTTAAACCTACATATATCCTCTACTCTCCAAACACAATTAGCATAGGCTCATAGTGACCGATTACTCTCTTATTCAAATTACAACTTGAGTTTTTAGTCCAACTTCTTCAACTGAACATTTCTTTCTACCATGGTGCCTTTGAAACAGACCATATCCTAAAACAATGTTATAATCCTTTAGAAAAATGATTTCTATCTTGTTTCCTATTATCATCTCCTCTTTATTTTATTTCTATCAAAATAATCTTATGTATCCTTTTCTTTAATGTCCTTCATGACTACTTTGATCAACATTATACTTTCCATTCACTCAACAATAGCCACACCTGCTTTGGAACAATGCATTGCCATTGAATCATATTATGTCTTGAACTGAAATTAAATGTTATTGTGTAATTAAAAAAATAGTCTCTAAATGAGCATGTACTTGAATTATAATGCATACCAAAAATGTTAGCTGTCATCATTATTATGTATATATACGGCCTTGGAACCTGAATGATAAAGCCCTTAATAACAGAAAAAATATATCCAATAATTTTAGTTCATCTACAACATCAGTGCCTAATAACATTTTTATGCATATTTCTTATCTGTACAGCTTATATAGATTAAAAATGATACCTTGTTCCACACATATAGGTGATCAGCAAAATTGAAAGATTTTAATTACAACATATGCAAACAATTTGAATGCAAATCAGAACAATAGAGTATAATCCTCTACTAGATGAAAGAGCAATGTAAAAGAAATCAGCTCCGAATTTCTTAACATCAATGCATGTTGTTTATTTGATGTTTAACTCCCATGTAAACACTATTTAAAAGAAAACATAACAGCTCATTGTCAAATCAAACATACTTTCTTGAAACAAAGAGCCAGAACACAATGACACAATGAGCTGCTCATCCTACAAACCAACTGCTCTGAGCAGCCTTCTCTCTCCCCTTTGGCAGATGGTACTTGTAATGATTGCTCTCAAATGAGGAAGTGGGTTGAAGCAGGCTTGTATTTACAATTATGGCTCTCCCATAAGAAGGCTGACTAGGGTTCTAAAGCTAATTAGTTCTGTCCACATCTCAATATTTTATGTTCCTCTAGCCCACAATCATTTTGCAATTACGAAGAGGGGAGAACCTAGGGAAAGGGCAGAGAAAAACTAAAGATATAGATAAGCACCTTATAATGTTATTCTCTTTAAAATTTTAGGTAAAATAATAGTCTTAAAAGCATTGCTATTGTTACAAAAAGTCATGGGCATATGACAGTTCAAGATACAAGGAGACAAATATTTCTACACAAGAAATGAATATGTGAAATATCAGTTTCAAACCTATGCTTGTTCATATCATTCTGAAAACATATTAGAAAGGAGGTTTGAGATTATGCATTGCATTGAAAGTCCCTTAAGCACAGACAGCTGGAGCTCAGTTGGGGAGAATTTGACTGCTGCTATATCTGAGTGAAGAATTTTTTTTTTCAGTTTTTTAAAAAGGAACACTAACATAACAAGATATATGGCTATTGTAAAAGGCTGAGAGTGTGAGGACAGGGAAAATAAGTGGAAACTGACTTAAGTTTTGTAAATGGGAGCCGCATTCCTGAGAAAAGTTAAGCTAGTAAGCCAATCACCATCAATCTCCATACAGAATATAATTCAATCAAAAGCAAAAGTATATTAAAAAGTAAGTTGCTACATGTCATTGATTTTTAATAGTTGTCATATAAATAAAATCTCCATAATAAAGATGCAGTACACATATACTCTGCCAGGCTCACAAAAACGAAATAAAAGTCTCAAACAAGACATTTATATCCATGAAAGTATGGAACTTGACCTTCTAAAACTCAGTATTCCTCTTTCTCTCTCTCCCTGTATTGACTAGACTGCATTAGTAAACCTTCACTGTTAGCCCTGAGAGTGTCTTTATACTTAATTTTTAATTTTTGTAGTGACATAGTAGATGTATATATTTATGGGGTATCTGAGATGTTTTGATACAGGCATGCAATGTAAAATAAGCACATCATAGAGATGTCCCTCAAACATTTATCCCTTGACTTACAAACAATTCAGTTATACTCAAGTTATTTTAAAATGTACAATTAAGTTATTAATGACTATAGCCATCTCATTGTGCTATCAAATAGTAGCTCTTATTCATTCTTTTTTTTCTTTTTTTTTTTTTAACCAGATAGTGATCCCCACCTCCTGTCAGCCCCCTACCACTCTTCCCAGCCTCTGGTAATCATCCTTCTGCTCTCTGTGTCCATGAGTTCAGTTGTTTTTAATTTTTAGCTCCCACATATAAGTGAGAACATGCGATATTTTTCTTTCTGTGCCTGGCTTATTTCACTTAACAAAATGGTCTGCAGTTCCATCCATGTTGTACAAATGACTAGATCTCATTATTTTTTATGACTAAATAGTACTCCATTGTGTATGTGGACCACAGTTTCTTTATTCATTCATCTGTTGATGGTTACTTAGGTTGCTTCCAAATTTTAGCTATTGTAAACGTGCTGCAAAAATCATGAGTGTGGATGTCTCTTCAATATACTGATTTCCCTTCTTTGTGACATATAACCAGCAGTGAGATTGCTACATCATACGGTAGCTCAATTTTTAGTTCTTTGAGGAATCTCCAAACTGTTCTCCACAGTGGTTTCACTAATTTACATTCCTACCAACAGTATAAAATGGTTTCCTTTACTCCACATCCTTGCCAGCATTTGTTATTGCTTCTCTTTTGGATATAAACCATTTTAACTGGGCAAGATGATATCTCATTGCAATTTTGATTTGCATCTCTCTAATGATCACTGATACTGAGCATCTTTTCATATGCTTGTTTGCCATTTACATGTCTTCCTTTGAGAAATGTCTTCAAATTTTGTTCATTTTTATCAGATTATTATTTTCCTATACAGTTGTTTGCATTCCTTATATATTTTGGTTATTAATCCCTTGTCAGATGGGTAGTTTGCAAATATTTTCTCCTGAAAACTCTCATACTGCAAAATCCAAAGGATCCAAATGTGCCTCTTCCCTTCCTTGATTGTATCCATTGCTGCACAGAAGCTTTTAAACTTGGTGTAATCCCATGTGTCTATTATTGCTTTGGTTGCCTGTGCTTGTGGGATATTACTCAAGAAATTTTTGCCCAAACCAATGTCATGGAGATTGCCCCCAATGTTTTCTCATAGTAGTTTCATAGTTTGAGATATTAAAGTATTTAATCCATTTTGATTTTGTATATTGCAAGAGGTAGGGGTCTAGCTTATTATTCTGCTTATAGATATCCAGCTTTCCCAGCACCATTTATGGAAGAGTCTGTCTTTTCCCAAGTATATGTTCTTGGCACCTTTGTTGAAAGTGAGTTCACTGTAGTTGTGCGGACTTCTTCCTGGGTTCTCTATTCTGTTCCATTGGTCTATGTGTCTGGTTTTATGCCAGTATATGCTGTTTTGGTTACTATAGCTCATTAGTATAATTTGAAGTAGGTGGTGTGATTACCCCAGTTTTGTTTCCTTTTCTAAGGATAGCTTTCGCTATTCTGGGTCTTTCATGGTTCCATATAAATTTTAAGATTTTCTTTTTCTACTTCCATGAAGAATGTCATTGGTATTTTAATAGGGATTGCATTGAATCTATAGATTGCTTTGAGGAATATGGACGTTTTAACGGTATCAATTCTTCCAATTCATGAACATGAAATATTTTTCCCTTTTTTGGTGTCTTTTTCAACTTATTTTCTTTTAGTCTTTTATAGTATTCATTGTAGAGATCTTTCACTTCTTTAGTAAAATTAAATTTACTTAATTTTATATGTGAGTAGTGCAAATGGGATTACTTTTTAAATTTCTTTTTCACATTGTTCACTGATGGCATATAGACATGCTTCTGATTTTTGTATGCAGATTTCCTATATAGCAACATTACCGAATTTGTTTATTAGTTCTAATCATTTTCTTGTTGAGTCTTTAGGCTTTTCCAAACGTAAGATTATATTATCTGCAAACAAGGCTATTTTGACTTCCTCGTTTCCAATTTGCATGCCCTTTGTATCTTTCTCTTGTCTGATTTCTCTAGCTAGGACTTCCAGCACTATGTCGAATAACAGTGGCAACGGTTATTCGTCAGTGGACGAATAACAGTGGACATCCTTGCCATGTTTCAGATCTTACAGAAAGAGCATTCAGGTTTTCCTTATTTGGTATGGTAGTAGCTGTAGATCTGTCATATACGGCTTTTATTATGTTGAGGTATGTTCCTTCTATCCCCAGTTTTTTTGAGGGCTTTTTATCATGATATTGAGTTTTATCAAATGCTTTTTCAGCATTAATTGAAATAATCATTTGGTTTTTATCCTTCATTCTGTTGATATGAGGTATCACATTGATTGATTTGCATATGTTGAAGCATCATTGCCTCTCAGAGATAAATCTCAGTTGGTAATAAAGAATGATCCTTCTAATGTATTGCTGAATTTGATTTGCTAGAATTTTGCTGAGGATTTTTGGATTATTGCTCATCAGATATATTGGCCTGTAGTTTTCTATCAGGGTAATTCTGGCCTCACAGAATGAGTTTGGAAGTATTCCTCCCTCCTCTATTTTTTGTAACAGTTTGGGTAGAACTAGTATTTATTCTTAGATGTTTGGTATAATTCAGTGGTAAAGCCATCAAGTCCTGGGTTTTCTTTACTGGGAGACTATTTATTATGGCTTCAATCTTGTTAATTTTTATTTGTCTTTTCAAGTTTCGGATTTCTTTATGTTTCAATCTTGTTAGGTTGTGTGTGTCTAGGAATTTGTCCATTTCTTATAAATTATCCAATTTATTGCTATATAGTTGCTCATGATAGCCACTAATGATCCTTTGGATTTTGCAGTATCAGTTGTAATGTCTTCTTTTCCATATCTGATTTTATTTATTTGGATCTTCTCCCTTTTTTATAGTGAGTCTTGCTAAAGGGTTGTCAATTTATTTTAACTTTTTTAAAAACTGTTTTTTGTTTCATTGATCTGTTATATTTTTGTTTATTTCAATTTCATTTATCTCTGCTCTGATCCTTATTATTCCTTTTCTTCTACTATTTTTGGGTTTGGTTTGCTTTATTTTCTAGTTCATTAAAATGCACTGTTAGATTGTTTATTTAAAGCTTTTCATCTTTTTTGATGCAGGCACATTTAGCTATAAACTACCCTCTTAGTACTACTTTTGTATCCCATAGATTTTGGTATGTTGTATTTCTATTATCTTTTGTTTCAAGAAATTTTTCAATTTTCTTCTTAATTTCTTCATTGGCCCACTGGTCATTTAGGAGCATATTGTTTAATTTTCATGTGTTTGCATAGTTTCCAAAATTATTCCTGTTATTCATTTCTAGTTTTATTTCATTGGGGTCATAGAAGATGTTTGATATTATTTCAACTTTATTGAATGTTTTAAGACTTTTTTCTGACCGAGCATATAGTCTATCCTTAAGAATAATCCATGAACTGAGGAAAAGAATGTCTATTCTGCAGCCACTGAATGAAATATTTTGTAAATATCTGTTAGATCCATTTGGTCTACAGTACAGATTAAGTGAGATGTTTCTTTGTTAATTTTCTGTCTGGAAGATCTGTCTAATGTGAAGGTAAGTTGTTTAAGTCACCAGCTATTATTGTATAGGGATCTATCTCTCTCTTTAGCTCTAATAATATTTCCTTTATATATCTGAATGCTCCAGTGTTGGGTGTATATATATTTATAATTGTTATATCCTCTTTTTAATTGATCTTTTTATCATTATATAGTGACCTTCTTCATCTCTTCTTATAATTTTTGTCTTGATATATATTTTATCTAAGTATAGCAACTTCTGCTCTTTTTTTTTTTGGATTCCATTGGCATGGAATATCTTTTCTATCTCTTTATTTTCAGTCTATGTGTGTCTTTACAGTTGAAGTTTGTTTTTCTAGGAAATAGATCTATATTTCTTGTTTCTTCAGCCATTCAGCCAGTCTACGTCATTTGATTGTAGAGTTCAGTCTGTTTGCATTCAATATTATTAATGATAAGTAAGGACTTACTACTTCTGCCATTTTGTTATCAGTTTTCTGGTTGTTTTGTAATATTCTCTTCTTTCTTTCTTTCCTTTCTGCCTTCCTTTAGTGAAGGTGATTTTCTCTGATGATATGATTTAATTTGACTCTTTTTATTTTTTGTGTATTTGTTGCATGCTTTTGATTTGAAGTGACCAATGAGCTTGCAAATACTATCTTATAAACCATTATCTGAAGCAGATAACAACTTAATGCTGTTTATATAAATAAACATGTAAAACTAATAAAATCTCTGTGCTTTAACTTCATTGCCTTGCTTTTTCATTTTTTGTTGGTTTTATTTAATTCTTATTGTACTGTCTATGTCTTGAAAAGTTGTTGTAGTTATTTTTTATTGGTTCATCTTTTACTCTTTCAATTTAAGAGTACTTTACACACCACAGTTAGTGCTATAATAGTCTGTGTTTTCTTGTGTACCTACTATTGCCAGTAAGTTTTGTACCATCAGATGATATCTTATTGCACGTTATTATCCTTTGCTTTCTGATTAAACTACACCCTTTAGCATTTTTTTAGAGAAGTCTGGTGTTGATAAAATCCTTCAGCTTTTGACTCTCTGGGAAAGTCTTTTTTTCTCCTTCATGTTAGAAGAATATTCTTGCCAGATATACTATTCTAGGCTAAAAGTTATTTTTTCCTCCAGTGCTTTAAATATGTCATGGCACTTTTCTTGGCCTGTAAGATTTCCACTGAAATATCTGCTGATAGATGTATTGGAGCTCCATTGTATGTTATTTGTTTCTTTTCTCTTGCTGCTTTTAGAATCCCTTCTTTGTCCTTAACCTATGTGAGTTTGAATATTGAATGCCTTAAGGTAGTCTTCTTTGGGTGAAATCTGCTTGGTGTTCTACAACCTTCTTGTTTGTACTTGGATATTGATATCTTTCTCTAGGTTTGGAAGTTCTCTGCTATTACCTCTTTGAGTAAACTTTCTACCTCTATTTCTTTCTCTACCTCCTCCCTTAGGTCAATAACTTTTAGATTTGACTCTTTGGGGTGCTTTTCTAGATCCTGTAGGCATGCTTCATTATGTATTATTCTTTCTCCTTTTGTCTTTTCTGTGTATTTTCAAGGCTTTTCTTTAAGCTAATTCTTTCTTCTGCTTGATCAATTCTGCTATTAAAGGATTCGATACATTCTTCAGTATGCCAATTGTGTTTTTTAGTTTGAGAATTTCTGCTTGTTTCTTTTCAGTTATTTCAATTTATCTTATAGATTTCTGAATTTCTTCTCAGTGTTATCTCGTTTGAATTTCCTCAATGCAGCTTCTTATTGAGAATTCTTATTTTGAATTCTTATTTTGAATTCTCTGTCTAAAGGCCACATATCTGTTTCTCCAGGATTGTGTCTGGGTGACTTGATTGGTTTATTTGGTGAGGTTATGTTTTCCTGGATGGTGTTTTGATGCTAGTAGATTTTCTTCAATGTCTGGGCATTGAAGAGTAACATATTTATTGTAGTCTTCACTATCTAGGTTTAGCCATCCTTCTTGGGAAAGCTTTCAAGATATCTGAAAGGACTTAAGTGTTGTGATCTAAGCTGTATCTAATTTAAAGGACACCTCAAGCCCAGTAACACTGTGGTTCTTGCAGAGTCAGGGAGATACCACCTTTATGGTCTTGGACAATATCCAGGAGAATTCTCTGGATTAACAGGCAGAGACATTTGTTCTCTTCCCTTACTTTCTCCCCAACAGAATCTTTCTCTCTCTTTCTTTCTTTCTCTCTCTCTCTCTCTCTCCCCCTCCCTCTCTCCTGGGCCATCTAACATTGAGGGTGGATTGACACAATCACCCCTGTGGCCACCACCATTATTACTGTGCTGGGTCAGACCTGAAGCCAGCACAGTATTGGGTCTCACTCAGGGCCTGCTGTAACTACTGCCTGGCTACTGTCTGTGTTCACATCAAGGCCCTGAGGTACTACAATGAGCCAGTGGCAATGTCAATCAAGCCTGTGTCCCTCCTTTCAGGTCAATGAGGTTGCCTAAGCCCTGGGTGGATGCAAAGGTGCCATAGAATCAGGGACTAGAGTACAAAACCTTAGACGTCTACTTAGTATTTGATTTTATTGTGGATGAACCGGCACTCAAACCACAAGATGTAGTCCTTCCCACTCTTCCCTCCCCTTTCCAAAAGAGGAGAAGCCTCACTCCATAGCACTCGCCACCAGGCCATGAGGAGTACTATCAAACTATGATTTAGCCAATGTTCCCTTAAGGTTCAAGGCTGCCTGGCCTGAGACTCACTCTTCAGGGCAGTGGGCTTTCTCCTGTTCTAGGGCAGCGCCAGAAATGCCATCCAAGGGTCAAGTCCTGGAATCGGGGATCCTAAGGCATCGCGTGTTGCTCTACCGCTCTGTGCCCGTGCTGGTGTGTACAGTACAGGACAAACTCTCTTTTACTTTTCCTTCTGCTTTTCTCAAGCAGGAGTTTTACCCCATAGCCAACACAGCTGGGAATGTGCTGTGTCTCGCCAAAAGCCAGCAAGTCTCAGAGGCTCACCCAAAGCCCTCAACATAGTACCTGTGGATCGCTGCTGGTTATTCAGGGTCCAAAGCCTCTTCAGTTAACAAGTGATGAATTCTGCCACAACTGCATCCTTTCCTTCAAGGCAGCAAGTTTCCTTCTGGTCCAGGGTGTGTCCAGAAATGTCATCTAGGAGCTAGGGCCTGGAACAGGAGCCTTGCAGCACTGATGGTGCCCTATCATTCTGTAGCTGAGCTAGTATCCAAGATGCGAAGAAAGTCCTTCCCATTTTTTCCTCTCCTATCCTAAAGCGGAAGGAAGAGAGTCTCTTTTGGAGTGTGAGCTGTGCAGCCTAGGGTTTGGGGAGGGGTGATGCCTTGGCTGCACCAGCTGATGTCTCAGTATGTCACATGCCTTCCAATCCAGTGTCTCTGGACTTAGTTCAGCACTAGGACTCATCTAAGAGTTGTAGTCCTTATGGCCTAGACCACCTACAAGAAAGAAATGACAGTAAGTAGAAGAAAGTGTATCCTCTCCTAACATTCATCAATATTTTACTTTTCATAAAGCATAAACTTATCTCCTGAATATGTTACAATTGTCTTAAGAAAGTAACCCACCAGTCTTCAACTTAGTCTGCAGATACTCTAGTATTGTCATTATTTCTTAGTTGTAAAGAAATGTTCCAGTTAAGGACAGGGAGAAGATTTAGAAAGTAAGGAGCTACAAAGGAAGTACAAACATTTTAATGCAATATATATTTAGAAAAAATAGATTACAAAACAATTATAGTTTCAGTCAAGACAATGACATAATTGGTTCATTGGTCAAACTGGCAGACTTAAGCTTTGGGAATTGATAGTAAGTATTGTTGACAAAATTATTTCTAAAGTATATGAAACACTGAACTAATTGTCAACATTAATTGAAAAGCTCTGACATAAATAATAGGTAAAATCTAGTCTAGTGAAATAGGAATCAAACTAGGATTCTGCTAAGACTCAATCTCAAGTCTGCATTCCAAACTAAGAAATTTCAGAAGCTATACTCTGATTAAATTGGATAATTGTCATAAACCACCATATTTTAAATTGTCTTTTCACATAGAGAGTGTTGTTATTGTTTTTAAAATTAAAGATATCATGTACAAACATTTGGATTCAGCAATTCTTTGTCAATTGGGTCTCAGAATTTGACATATTTTAAATTATATTCTATAATTGTAAATGCTACATGCAATAGTCCAAAATACACAATTATAAGTTAAACAAATGCACCAAAGTGTAATTATATAATTTAATCCAGTTTCAAAGTATCTGCAACCTCATAGTACTTTATTTAAAGCACTTACCACAGTTGCCAGGGCAATGTTTTCTCCTTTGTAAACTGTTAATTTTATTCATTTTTCACATGTGCATAAATGCAATGGGAAAATTGATACTGATTGAATGGCAATTATGATTTCAGAATATACCACCAACTTGATATAAAAATCATACTGTATCATTATTATAAGATTTATTGAGGCAAAGAAAGAAATTACGGATATCTTGTATATTTTAACTAATAAGCATGGGCGACAAAACTTTATTGAATTAAGTAATCTACTTAAATAAAACATTGGAAGATATTTTTCCGAAGTAGTTTCTGAAAGCTTTTCTTTCTGTAAAGGAAGAATCATAGACTATAGGTGCCATGATTTGAATGTTTGTGTCCTTCTAAAATTCAAGTTGAAACTAAATCTCAGTGCAATAATATTAAGAGGTGGAGCCTTTCAAAAGTGTCAACAAGTCTCATCAGGTCTCAGCTCTCAGGAATAGATCAGTGCCTTATAAAAGAACTGGAGGGAACTAGCCTGACCTTTTCCTTTCCATCCTTCCTGTCATATGCGGACACCTAAATGGTGCTGTCTATGAGGAACAGGCTTTCACCAGACATAGAACCTGCCAGCATCTTGATCTTGGACTTCGGGGACTCCAGAACTGCAAGAAATAAATTTCTGTTGTTCACAATTTATCCAAAAAAGTATTGTTATGGCAGTACAAATGGACTAAGACAAGAGGTTTCCTAAGGTGCTTCCTATCTAAAAACCTTTGATTATATGACTGTGTCTGTATGCATCTACACATCATACAGAAACTCAAGCTAGGAGAAGGGTATGCCAATTCTGTGTAAACGATGCCTTCTAGTTAGCCAGGTGAAGCACTTTGGGTCTACTCATGATTTATTATCAGAGTAGTGTGTATATATACATATATATGCATACATATATAAATGTATGCATATGTGTGTGTGTGTACACATATATATGTGTGTATATGTGTGTACACATATATATGTGTGTATATGTGTGTACACATATATATGTGTGTATATGTGTGTACACATATATATGTGTGTATATGTGTGTACACATATATATGTGTGTATATGTGTGTACACATATATATGTGTGTATATGTGTGTACACATATATATGTGTGTATATGTGTGTGTACACATATATATGTGTGTATGTGTGTGTACACATATATATGTGTGTATGTGTGTGTACACATATATATGTGTGTATGTGTGTGTACACATATATATGTGTGTATGTGTGTGTACACATATATATGTGTGTATGTGTGTGTACACATATATATGTGTGTATGTGTGTGTACACATATATATGTGTATGTGTGTGTACACATATATATGTGTATGTGTGTGTGCACATATATATGTGTATACGTGTGTGTGCACATATATGTGTGTATGTGTGTGTGTGCACTTATATGTGTGTATGTGTGTGTGTACACATATATGTGTGTATGTGTGTGTGCATATATATGCGTACACACACACATATATACATGTGTACACACACACACATATATATACACATATATATATATGTATGTATTAGGGTTTAGAGCCCAAGAGTTTAATTTTGGTCCTGGGTTGAAAACTCTTTAAAGTACTAAACTGGATTCAGGGTGATTATAGCACACTTAATTCTATGAACAGACTGAAAGGAAAAATAAAGCCTTGAGCTTCTGGGAAGATAATCTATATAACTTTCACAGAGCAAAAGCTGAGGATTTTATGATAAATAAAAACACTTTACCAAGTGGTACAGCTAAACACTCTCAATATAAGAAGGAAGGACAAAATGTTGAGTAGATTGTCTGATTTCTCTGAGCATACTTTAGGTTTTCTCAACTTATTAGTAGGAATAGAGTTGGGAAACTGCCAAGACAGCATCTATAACACTTGCTTGTTTAGACTCCCCTACTCATACCTTTTAGAAAAATCCTGCAAAGTCTTTGATACCATCTTTGGAGGCTTCTGAAGAGTGGGCATTTTGTATCCTCTTGCCTAAGACTGTTGGAAGAATAGAGTTAAAACAGGTTGGTAGAATCTGGTGGCCTCCTTGCTTCAGGAATGTAATTGGCTAGTAGTAGTGGTGAGATTTGGGGTGTAGAAGCAGGAGTAGATGCAACTTGTTGGGAACCTACACTAAGCCTTTTATCCATTCTAATTCAGTCTTCTGCACAATGCTGAGTTAAGCTGTTATTCACATTTTTAAAGGTGAGAAAATTTGAAGGTCAGAGACACTGAGTAACTTGCTAAAGATTATAGAGCTAAGAAATGTTGATCTTATACTTTATCCTAGATAGGTCTGCCCCTCAAGCTTCTTCACTTTCTATCATACTTTGGTAAATGATAAGACAGCCCAGGAATTTTGGAGTTTTAGCATAAAAGTCTATGGGAAATACCGCTGTAAACTTTCCATGCTGGCCAGCGTGAGAAACAGTTATATAATTTTTACTAGCTACAGGCCAGTTAACATTGAAATGGTATGGCTTTCCTAATGACAAAGATGTCAGTCAAAATTAATTAATTCAATGTCTACATCTGTACATTTCAATCTACAAGCAGATGTTGAGAATGCCTGAAGTTAAGCATATACAGAAAGAAATATTCAATCAGGTAATTGCATTACATATATATTTCTAAATAAACAGGTGTTGTGCAATTTTAATTATCAATGAGATAAATTACCTTTGTTATTTTCCATTATAAAATTATGAAATTCTTAGTAGAGGAAAATATAAAATATAGACTATTTAAAGCAAACAGTGCAAGCTTTAGGCTGTATTTTTTCAGTGATTATATTCTATGCATTTATAAAATCCAGGTCATATCAGAGAGGTTAAGGTCATCGTCTCTTGAGTTAGACTCCTGGACTCTGCTGGTATGAGTTCTATATCCTTTGGCAATGTACTTCTTCTTTCTGTGCCTTTGTTTCCTCATTATTGAAATGATACATACAACATAGGTAGGTTATGTTAGTTACATTAATTTATATTAAATAAATGAATGCATGTAATATGCCTTGTGTATATTAAGTTTTCAATAAATGCTAGCTAGATATTATTGATATTATTGCTACCCTCACACAATATGTAGCATAATGTGTATTTTTAAAACTTTTTACATATTATTATACATTTGGACTTTTCTGTTACTCTATACTATCTTCATTCAACCATTGTTAATGATGGCATAAATTTAAAAAATACATTATTGAAGCCCACAATTTTCACAGCATTATTATAATAGGTAAAGTCAAACATGTATTAATTATTTTACCTCACTTTTAAAGGCTCTTTTGAGGTTATCCATATTTGTGGTGGCAAAAATCAGATATAAACTGTGCAAGAAAGGAATATGGTCACTTTGATGAAAATCAAACAGAAGGTCAAGGAAATTGAGATAGATGACCTACTGCTAAGCAGGCATTATGTAAGCATTATTAAAAGGACAGGACATAAATCACCACAGACATATAGAGTTTTTTTTTTCTAATTCTGCCTCTTAAAATGACCATAGTTTTAGTTTATAATGACAGTGCAAAGAATATATTAGAATGAAGGACAAGAGAGTTTTGGGGGTGGGGGGATGGTAACAAAAAGAAAAGGTCCATGTGACTTCATCCTGATGCATGCACAATAGTCTAATCTTTCTAATGATATAAGAGAAAACACAAAGGAGCCCACAATGCCACAGGAAAGGGCAATTAACTATCTGTGGACTTAGAAAGTATTTAGATATCTGCTGTAGACCAGGATTTTCAAACCCAACTGCACTTTGGAATTACTTGGAGAATTCATAAAAACAATGCTGTTAGGCTCCATTCCCTAGAGATTCTGATTCAATTTATTTGTGCAGTGCAAGGTGTCAGTATTTTTTCAAAGTTTTTCAAGTGCTGTAATATGCATAACAGAGCTGAGAACTACTGTGGTAGATTCATTTTCCTATCTATGAAAAAACATGTATGCATATTTTTAGTAACTTCTTGCCTTAAAATGTTTATCTCAGCATAAATTTTAGTCAAAATACTTATGATATTTTAAACAAACACAACAGTTTGTTTAAACAGTTGTTTCCATCTTTTGTATGAAATATTTCCATTGGTTACTATATCCTTTAGCATCTCATTTGTTCCTTATATACAAATCCCTGCAATCCTTAACAATTTTAAGCTCCATCTACAGGCAAAGTTTTAAACTCCCTCTAGAACAGGATTTGTCATCTTCAGTACTATTGAAACTTTGGGCTAAATTATACTCTTTTTTGTTCGGGGGAGGGAGGATGTCGAGTGCTTTGTAGGATGTTTAGCAGAATCTCTGGTCTCCAATCTCTAGATGTGTAACATTCTTTAGTACTGACAATTGAAAATAGTTCCAAACATTGTCAGGTGTCCCTAGTTGAAGTCACTTCTCAAGAGTTATTCATGTCCTTAATCAGTGTCTGGGTAAAGAATCCTGGTTAACTGTGATGGACCGAACATTCATGATTTCCTGTACTCTCTGAAAAAAAAAAAACAAAAAAAAAACACTCAATAAAATAGCATATAAAGATTAACAAGGCACAAAGTAACAGGAAAAAGAGACAAGTAGGATAGGTTGAAAATATTTATATGCAGCAACTAGCCTCCCAGGTCAAGTTTTATAAACCTCCATAAGAATACAGGATCCAAAAGGTAGAAGAGGGAGATGAAGTGATCGCCTAGTTATTATAGAGTATCTAGTCACCTATTTCACAAATTCCTGAGAATTCTGGCATACAGGCTTATTTCCCCTAGGCAAGAAATTAGAGGATTCATCTCTGGAGAAAATAAAAGAAACAATTTGCAAATACAGTTGACCCTCGAACGACATGGGTTTGAACTGCATGGGTCCACTTATACACAGATATTTTTCAGCCAAACACAGATCAAAAATACAGCATTCCCAGGATGGGAAACCTGCATGTAGGAGAGACCGACTTTTTCTGTAAGTGGCTTCTTGGGGTCTACTGAGGGACTTGGAGTGCTCAGATGTTGAGTACATGTAGGGGTCCAGGGAACACTCCCATGTGTACAAAGGGACAACTGCAGTTTAGGTTTTTCAAAAAAAAGAAAAAGAGCATCCCACAATGAAATCAACCAGTTGAAACCAACCACACTTCCAGTTACCTTTGTGGTGCCTCACTCTTAAATATGAATGTACATCCAAAGATTACCATTCATCCAAGCAAAACCTTTTAAGATATAAGATGAAAGAGGAAAAGAGAGAAAATGTAAAAAGCAGAAGAAAATTTAAAAAGAAAAAAAACTATACCAATGAAACTTCAGAGATAAATGAAGTGACTAAGTGATTAAGCTAAATGAAACAAAAGAGATAATACAAAACATCTGTTAAAAAGTAAAACTATAATATGAAAATAAAATGAATATTTAAAAATAAAGCCAATACATCCTACTAGAAAGGCAAATAAAAATACAAGGAGAAAGAAATTGGAAATAAAATATTAGGAAATTACCAATGATTAAGAAATACATCTGAGAGGAAAAGAACAGAGGAACTGGATGGAAAGTAGACTATCAAGAAAATCAAGGAAATGTCTCAGAACTAAAGGGCTTAGAATTGTCTTCCGCTGCAAATTTATGTTGAAACCTAATCTTTACTACCTCAGAATGTGATAGTATTTGAAGATAGGGCCTTTAAAGAGGTGATTAAATGATGAACCATAATAAAATTTGACTGGTATCTTGAAAATAAGGGGAAATTTGGACACACAACAGAGCAATGAGGATGTGAGGACACAGCAAGAAGAGGACCATCTGCAAGCCAAGAGGAGAGGCCTCGGAAGAAACCAAACCTGACAACCACGAATTTTGAACTTTTGGCTTTATAGCAGTGAAAAAATGAACTTCTATTGTTTAAGCCACCCAGTCTATGGTATCTGGTTATGTCAGCTTCAGCAAACAAATACACCAAAGGGTGAAAAATGCACTTCTCATCAAAAAGAACATCATAGTGAAATTTCAAAATACAAAGGTCAAATATTCTCAAAAGCTTCCAGAGAAAAAGCCCTTACAAAACATTAGAAATCTCAAGTATTATGCTTTATAAACGCAGCCCTGGAAACCAGAAGGCAGTGAAATAATGCCTTGACAATTCTAAGGGGAATTAATTTCCCAGCTAGACTTCTATATCCAGCCATCTTATCAGTCAAGGATGGAATAAAGCAATTTTTAGTAATGCACAGTTTCAAAATATTTACCTCCCATATGTTTCTTCTCAGAAATATGTGGAAAGATATGTTCTAACAAAATTGGCAAGGTACTCAGGAAATAGTACAACGTGGGATCAAGAAAAATAGAGATTCAACTTAAGAGAGAAGAGAGGAGAATCCTTGGGGTGATAGTGAAGCGCTCAGAGAATAACCACGACTTTTTGGTTCTGACAATAACCATTGAAAGGATAAATATTTTAGAAAAATATTTCCAGATACCAATAAAGAATGATGCCAAGAAATGAAACTAAAATCAAACAAAATCTTTTACTAAAAAAACATTGACTTGCACTGTTGAGAGTGAATTCATGATAGAAGTAGAGAGACTAAAGAAATGAAAAATTAGGCAATCTTTAATTTTAGCAAAAAGAAAAGTTGCATAAGAAAGAAAATTTAATTTTTATATACTGAAAGTCTCAATTATGAATGCTCACACAGATAAAACAATGTATGCCTGGGATAATAATTTTAAAGCACTAACTCTTGGGAGGATGGATAAAAGGGAAATGGGTGTAGAGATAAGTGCTGGCCAAGTGTAGGAAGCTATATTCTCATCTCCTCTAATACAAAGTCAATAGCTAAAACTAAAACAGAAAGTTCACATAATATTATATAAGCATTCTACTTAGAAATATGGAAGTGATGATTAGGAGAAATGTTTAAAATAGCTGCCTCCATGAAGCAAGAATCAGAAGTGGAGAGGGATAGGGCAGGTGTTGCTTGTCATTGCTGTTATAAACTGGTAAAAATTTTTGAATTTTAAAACTCTGTGCATTGCACAATTTGAAAAAAATAATAATTAAAAAAATAATAAGTCAGGCTAGGTGCGGTGGCTCACGCCTGTAATCCCAGCACTTTGGGAGGCTGAGGCGGCTGGATCATACTGTCAGGAGATTGAGATCATCCTGGCCAACGTGGCAAAACCCCGTCTCTACTAAAAATACAAAAAAATTAGCTGGGCATGGTGGCGCATGCCTGTAATCTCAGCTACTCAGGAGGCTGAGGCAAGAGAATCACTTGAACCAGGAAGTTGGATGTTGCAGTGAGCTGATATCGCACCACTGCACTCCAGCCTGGTGACAGAGCGAGACTCTGTCTCAAAATAATAATAATAATAAAATAATAATAATAGGTCAGGTAATTTTGAGTCAAGTTAAACTTTGATTTGAGGTAATTCTGTTTTCTCAGCATTTCTACTGGTTGTTATGGCTGAGACCCAGCCTCGGGCTGAGTCATCATTGATTTAGGCCTCACCAGCCACAGAATCAATTAATATTGGGTTTCCAATAGTCTTTCACCCTGTGTCCCCTTCTAATATCCTTGGATCCTCTTTTCAGACAAAATGGACCTTGCAGATACTTGTGTTGGAAATTTGACCAGTTTCTTATTTTCTTCTTCCCAGCATAGAAGTCCAGGAACAAGACAGAAATCCATTTATTTGAATGGATGCCCTGGATCAGAAATGAGGACATGTCTTTGTGTCACTCTTCCAAATAGAAGTCTTAGAACAAATGAATAGTCTGAATAATAAAGTATTTCTCTGATTCCTGATTGCCTGCACCCCAGCTATTAAATACATAAACTCTGATCAACGACTTGCCCTTTACCTTTGCAATGGAAATCTCTTGAACTTTGTTGCTGGTTGGAGTCCCCTTATGTTCATTCATTCATTCATTGAGTCAGTCAGTCAGTCTTGCATTCAATTATTCATGCAACACACAGTGCCAGTTTATCTGTCTACAGACCTCGCTGATGACTGACTGCCTACTCACATCCTTTCTTAAAGGGGAACTATAAAGTATCTGCCTCTATAACTTCTGCCTGGAAACCCAGCAACCAGCTTTGCTTATTTGACTTCCTAAACTTAGTAGTATCCCTTCCTTTCAGCACTAGTTTGAGTTTTTCTCCCATAAACCACTTATTAAAGTCACTTTAGATTTAAGATACCTTCCTTGAAATGAGCATAGTGTTACCTTGCCTGCCTAAAGACAGAAAAGCTTGAAAAAATGCTCTTGACATTTATTCTATCTTCAAGAATCTTTGTTTTTAAATTCTATTGGCCTTCTCAGATATAGTTTACTCTGAAAGCCTCCTATTTTAAAAAGTAACACAGAAGCAAAGAGGTTTTTAAAGCCTCTGACAATAACCATTGACAGGATAAATATTTTAGAAAAATATTTCCAACTGTTATTCTTTGATTATTATTGAGAAACAAACATTCAGAAACAGACAGAAAAGGTTTTTGGCAATTAAGCTCTTGAACAAAGAAAGCTGATGGATTTCTCAGTGGGGAAATAAGAGATACATGGTTGGCTCCATTTTAGGTCTTGTAAGTACATTAATGAGGCTTGTTCTAGGGTTTCTATGAATATAAAACTCTCATTGACTTGAATGTACTTCAGTGTTCCTGGACTACTATTGGAGTTTTGCCTGAAAAAGGACACAGAATGAGACTCCTGCACCATAGGTCCTTAGGGACAGGTAGCCCCAGATTTTACACAGATCCTCTATAAATGTCCCACTGTGATAAACACTGACATTACAGAATCATTTCTTAGTTTTTGTCTCAATTTTTTTTTTATTTTCATAAATGCAATTATCATCTGTGTGTTATTTTTCAGTATATTTCTTTAACTTTTCCAGGACATGTCTACAGACTGGCAGCTGCCTGCTTTTCAGATGAGTGGGTGCCTATAAGACAGCAAAGAGAACAGGGCATTTTGACTTGCAAAAGATAAAAGTTAGCACACATGTACTATTAGAGATTGGAATAGCTAAAATCCCATTTCACCACTTCTCTGATGGCCATGTGTTCAAGTCCTGGCCAATGAAACAGAGCTCTGCTGCTTTTACCTCTTTGAACTTTCCATGGGATACCTGGAGGAGTGGCAGCCATTACTAAAGATGATAGAATGGAGGGTAAGAGACAAAAGATGATAGAATGGAGGGTAAGAGTCTACATTTTGGCTAGAAACTTGTGTTTTTACTAGCTGCAGAACATGGTTTATACATGCAAATGTGGCCTAGTATAGAAATGAATGGAAATTCGTGGTTTGCAGCAAGGCCACATTCTACCATCTGAGTGTTCTATCCTCAAAGCCCATGGCAGGCCTTTAGAAAAGAGACGTAGTCTTTACAGACCTGTAAGGTCAGTTTACCAAACTCTACAACACACCTTTGACAGTATATATTTGAGAGAAAATTATCTCATACTTTCTTCCCTATTTACTCCACCCTCTAACACAATATGCAGTCTTAACACTTCAGGGTGATTTTAAAGATATAGTTTTATAGAACTATTCCAGAAAGATCAACAGTGTAGGTGTGATTTCTCCAAGTTAGCACAAAATTTAGATAAAAATAGATTATATTAATGCATTAATACATATACCTGGTGTATAACTGTTATATAGGTTAAACATAACTTTTTCCATAGAAATTTAGTTTATGGTCGCTGCTCATTACATAAGCTGATGTTAATTCTACTGCCCACCAGGAAGCAGAAATTCTTTGAGCTGTTATTTAAGCATATATCAAAGGGAGAAGATCACAGAGCAGGATTTCTCCCCACCTGCCTGTGTTATTTCCTGCTGGGGGATCACCTCTCATTAGTAGCTGCTTAAAGAGCAGAGATTTGCAGTAAAATAAATTGATAAGCAGGGACTAAGGGACTGAGTGGAAAATTTTCAACCACTAATACACTACTAGCTGATTTTGTACTTCTAAAAATGTCAATATACATACTGAAATACTAAGTGACGACTTCTGAGAACACACAGGAACACACACACAAACACACATACATACCAATACCAAGTAAAATGAGGGTGAGTAGGGAGAGGATTCAGTGTTTCTACCCTTTTGTAAGACAAGGCATGAATATATGAATTAGTATTGACATAGAGAACAGGCACTTGTACTCTTGTGGGTTAAAGTTCCAATGAGTACTAATGAGCATGCCTTCAGCACTTTCTCATTAGACTCCAATTCTTTTCTTTCAGTTTCTGAACTCTTTGCTTTATAAACTCCAAATTCAATTAATATTAAAATATTCAGGAATCACTATTTTCAGAAAAAGTCAGCAAACTGCATCATCTTTAGTGTTTTCAATAATACATTGCACAGTGACTTTCCTTCACAAATAATTCATTTAACAGCTAAGATGTCACATTTTGAAACTAGGGATGTAACCTTAAGAAATCTTCCACAAAGATACTGCAAACAAGAGGAAGCTTTCCAGAAAGCTGTGGCAGTTAATGTGTATGAGATATATTTTCTGAGCCCATACAAAGGAAGCATGAGTTAAATAAAGACTTTCTCACCCAGCACTGAAAACAATAAGTGATGACAACTTCAATTATGGGTAATGAAAACAGCTAACATGTATAGAGCACTACAGAATTCAAAAAGAGTTTATAATACATTGCCTCATACAAACTATCGTTATTCTAATCATTGTTTTGCCAGATTCCTACAAAACAGGTTTCCTTAGGGTGTTTCACTATGTCAGGCTAAAAACACAATGATTTGTGACAGTTGGTCAGGTTACAAGCTGCAGGAGATAACAGAAGAGTTTCTAGGTTTTCAGTTTCATTGTCAAAAGAAGATAGGATCTCTAACTCTACATCTAGGCAGCCCCTTTAAACCTGGTCTGCAGTGTCAGTGGAAGTTACCTTCAAGAGTAGTAAACATCAATTAAGCTGCAGAACTTTTTTTTTTTCTGCACCCCAATTACTGACAGAAATTCTAAGTCATCTTAGCTAAATTAGGAGCTGTTTAAAAATTTTCCCAAGGATTTTTAGACTTGTCAAAGTGGAGGAATTTCTGACATTTAGACAGATTTAAATCATAAGAACACATTTACAGTTTAAAAATTAAAAGGTAGTTCTCAAAGAGTCCCATATTACGTGATGGCTATATCCATTTTGGTGGGTGCGAGAGTGATAGGAGGTTGTTTAAGAGATGGATAAAATGCACAAATCAAGAAGACAAGTAGAATGATGATGGCCCAAGGAGATTTTCCAGGCTTGCTTTTAAGGTTGGCTTCCCAAACTCTACTCTCAATTCTGTTACAGAAGAGTAATTGAATATTTACTCCAATTATTTTTCCAATTTCATTATTTCTTTTTGTAGGAAACATAAGGAGATAGAACAGCAATCTTAAACCTCAGATCCAACAAAATCAGCCTACTTTATCTTGTACAGATGTTATCACCTTTATTGTTTTATTCCAAGAAAAGCAATCCTTTTCAAATGTCTCTTTATTCTTTCTCTTCCTTGGATTAAAATGAAGGAATTTCTATCTCTTGAGGGAACTAAGTAGTTAATAAAGAGCAAAAGGGATCATGTTGAAATACGGGATTGATATTCCAATCTCTTTTGTCTATTGACCTGCGAGCCAAGAAGTGATATTATATTTATTCTTTCAACAAATATTTCTTAGTGTATACCATATATCAAGCATTATTTTTAGACCTTATAGATTTACAGCAGTGAATAAAGCAGACAGAAGTCTCTGCCCATGTGGAAATTACATTTTAAGGCCACAGTATAATCAAAAGGAACATGTGGAATGTTCAAGGGTTTCTCTGTAAAACAAAAGAAAAAAAATAGTACCTGATTTTCACATCAAATTTTGAATTGAAATTTGTCTATGATAGCATTTATTTTTAACTATAGAAGGTTATTTTTTGAAATTTCAGTAAGTTCATAGTTCATGTTTGTGAATTGAACATTATTTATCTTTAGTCAATATATACAGAATACATTATTAAAAATACATTTCTGTGCAGTACTAAATAATTAAAATAATAGCGTTCATTAACTAAAATCCTCGAAGACAAAATATATAAGGAAACTGTTGGGAACTCTTAGAGGCAATAGTTTCTCATCAAGACTTCTAAAAGATTCTTTATTTTTCTGAATAGTGTTTGTGAAGTTTCTTTTCTATTATTACTTTAAATTTCTGCTAGTCATTTCAGTCAATATGCTTAGAATATTCTAAGTTATATTCCAACAATGATGATAAAATAATCAAATGCCTTATAGTTCAACTACAGTATTTGGAAATATAAATTATTGTATCTTACTGTTAGTATAGATGTTGCTATAGCAGAAACATGCATGGGTAGAAGGTTTCAAATCCGTTAGCTGGGGACTGTAATAGAAAGATCCAGAGAGTCCCCTAGAGTGTTCTTAATACCTGTCACTACTGAAAGAATTTTGTTTAAGTAGCATGTTTGGGAAGACTGAGTTAAAAATGCTCTCAATAAAGAATACTGGAAATGCAATGGATTAAAATGCAATTCTTGAGTGTCAAGGGCCCAGGTTTTTTATTTGCTCTGCTACTGCCATGAAATGTCTATCCTGGGGCAGAATGTGGAAATAACCACCTGAAATTATTATCACTAAATTTCTCTTTAAAAAATATGACAATGAAATTTTTATTGTTGGTACCTTGAAAAATATTTAACAAAAATTTTTCACCCTTAAGTAGAGGCAACTAAGGAGATTAACAAGAGAAAACTAATTAATTGTTAGATCTGTGTCTTGTTTTTGTTTGTTTTTGTGTAGCAATCATTGGCTTCTAGCCTAGAATAAATATTTTGGTTTCCAACTTCTATCACTTTTATGATGACCTCATGATCTCTTATACATTGAGTGAAATCTCTGCATTACTGCATTAGTGTCTATGAAGTCAGAAGCCCAGGAGCAATGGGGTGGGGGCTGGGGGGAAGGGGAAGTGTAGTTATCTGAAACCCAGTCTGTTACTATGATACAGATCCTAGCTTTGGCTCAATGTCTGCTCTTTTCAGTTACTACCAAGACAGATGGGGAAAGAAAGAGAGGAAATGATTATATGTACATCAATAATTTAAATAAATTTTAAAAAGTTTTGGAAATTTTAGCATAAACATCATTATCAAATGAACATACATAGAGAAAAATAACAGCTTTGCTTAATAGCGCATAAACAAAAATATGGTTAATGAATTTTCCAAGGCCATAAGCCAAAAATGGTTATTTTATTTAATAAACTGTATTTTAAGTGTCTATGTTTTAAGTCAAAGTTACAATTATCAATAGATCCATATCCTTAGTGAGTTCAAAACCTAGGAGGATAGAGACACTTATAAATACCATGTAAAACATGTTATAATATAAGAATATATTGGAAGGCTCTCTACTTAGGTAGCAGTTCCAGGGCTGAGGAAGAGGATAAAGGATTAAAGTATGAACAGCAGTTTCTCAGTTGATAAGGAAGAGAGATGCATTTCAAACAAAGAACAAAAGATGTGCAAAGGTAAAATCAGGCTTTTTCAGAAAAAAAATGTAAACAATTGAGTATGATTCAATGAGAGGTTACGTATTGAGGAATGGCTGTGTCTCCTGTCATAGAGCCACTTGTATCCAAGAACAGAAACTCAAACTTTCTTCTACAAGACATGGAGAGCTCATTATGGCTTTTAAGTAGAACTAATATTAACTTTCTTTTTAAAATCACAAGATAAGTTGGGAAGTGGAAAAGAACATAGTGTTTAACCCACAGGTTCAAACTTAGGCCTTGCTATTTTGTTACAGAACCACTGTAGGTCTCAGTTTTACCATCTGTAAAACAGGGATAAAATGGTTACCCAACAGGTTGAATGTAAGGATTAAATGGGATGTGTATATAAAGTATCTGGCAGATAGATATATGGGTTAGATTTCTCTAAGGTGAAGTTGTAGGAGACAGGAAATAAGACAAAAGGAAAGAAGGTATAATGCGAAGAGAAAAGAGTTTATAGATGTTCTGAGCAACAAAGTGGAAAGGTTGGACAGGATAAGATGACTCAACAAAAGAAGCAGGGATAGTGTAGTCTGCACAGCAAGATGGAAACTTGAGAAGTACATATTAATAAACAGCCAATGAAGACTACTCATTCCAGGAACTCAGCCTACGAAATAAAGTGAGAGACATATTTTATACCATATTTTCTAATTGGACAACTCCCATGGCAAATGTACTATGATTTGAGTGTACATAATCAATGAGTTAGTTATCTTTGTGGGGATCTCTGTTGGAACTAAAGGTAGGCAGCATTGTTTCAGAGGTATTTCTGTAGAGGACTGTCTGAGCTACTGGTAGTGTTCACTTTAACACTTAAAGTCCCTGCCTTTACGGTGAAAGCTACTGTAGTCTTAGGGCCAAACAAGCTAATATTTGGATTATACACAAGGTGTACAGTCCTAAATGCACACATAGATCCGTGGAAATAAAATAGTACAATTTCTGGGCCCTCGCCTCCCGCATCCCAATATGGGGCTATACCAGTTGGATGACTCAGGTTGTCTTCACCATGTCCTCTCAGGTGGCTGGTAAGCCTTAAAGTTTCCAATTCTGTTTGGATAATTGAGTCTAGTCATTTTCTTTGGAAGGACTGCTTGAGAGCAGTCAGTGTAACTTATCCCACTTTCCACACTACTAACAGAATATTGGGTGAAGTGTTCAGTTTTGATCTGAGCCCTGTAGCAGGCTGTTATGGACTGAATGCTTGTGTCCCTCTGAAATGTATATGTTGAACCCCTAATCCTCAGTTTGATGGAGTTTGGCCATGTGGTCTTTAGGAAATAATTAGGGTTCGATGAGGTCATGCATGTGGCACTCTTTCTGATGGAATGGGGGCTCTTATAAGAAGAGATAGCAGAGAGCTTGCTCACTCTCTCTTCTGTCTACCATGTGAGTACACCGCAAGAAGCTGGCTGTCTACAATCTGAAGGAAGAGCATTCTCCAGAAATCGACCTTGTGACACCTTGATCTTGGACTTCCAGTCTCCAGATCTGTGACTAAATAAATTTCTGTTGTTCAAGTCACTAAGTCTACATTATTTTGTTATGGAAGCCTGAGCTGACTAATGTATAGGCCAATAATCGCATTTCCAAATAAATGTATCTGATAAAAGATGGTATCTGTAGGAGACATAATGAATCCAAACCCTAAGGCTACCATCTCCAGTTTGAAGCTGCCTACTTTTGACAAAGGCTACAATTGGAAAAATTACCAGTTGAAGACCTGTATTTTCTTTCTTTTTCTTTTTTTTTTTTTTTTCGAGACGGAGTCTCGCTCTGTCGCCCAGGCTGGAGTGCAGTGGCGCAATCTCGGCTCACTGCAAGCTCTGCCTTCCGGGTTCACGGCGTTCTCCTGCCTCAGCCTCCTGAGTAGCTGGGACTACAGGCACCCGCCACCATGCCCGGCTGATTTTTTGTATTTTTAGTAGAGACGAGGTTTCACCATGTTAGCCAGGATGGTCTCAATCTCCTGACCTTGTGATCCACCCGCCTCGGCCTCCCAAAGTGCTGGGATTTCAGGCGTGAGCCAGCGCGCCCGGCCAGACCTATATTTTCAAAAGGCAATTTGGGTTTTGTGTCCCCGGTGAATGATTAAATTTTGCCATGGGTTAATGGAACACTTATCCTGCAGCCTAATGGTTTGGGCTCCATTCAAAAGATTCTATTTGTGAGTTAGTCCACATATCTTTGATACTCAAGAATACTGTGCTTCCTTTTTGGTAGGTTGAAGATAAAAAGATGTAGTTTTACTTTGATTGCTGCATTTAGTGTTGCAAATCAGCTCACCTAGAACTTGACTTTGTGGGAAGTTCTCTGAAATTTACTGAGGATATTTCTGTTTTTAAATTACCCAAATTAACAATCCAAACCTTAGACGATAGAAAATCCCTAATGATATTTGTAGTCATGGTACATATTAAGAACTAGTTTGAAAAAATTAACATAATCATAATTATAAGAAAAGTCAGTATATTTACTTCTAGTTTAAAAAGTGGAATAAAAGAGTACTATTTTAAGAAAGCACTGTTAATCTAATTGTATAAGTACATTTAAGGAGAGAAAAGTGTTGTAATTGATTATTGGCAGTCAAAAACACTGTCCAAAAATATAAAGGTAATCAGACATAATATTTTCTATATAGAGCACAAGTATGTATTAGTGATTATTTATGAAAAGATGTCTAAATGTAACCTTTGGATTAACTTCTCTGTACAAACTCCCCCAAAACATGTCAAATTAAAATGGAAGCATGCCCAGCTTCTCAGCTTCAAGGGTCTACACTGGAAGGAAAAATAAAGCAACAAAACTATTAATGTCTGCGCTAGTGAATACAGTAATCCTACTGGGACAGTAATAAGGAGAAAAATGACAAGAAGGACTTCTTAATGTGGAGTGCCAATTCCAAAACAGGTACTTTACCTTCATTGTCTCTAATCCTGGCAGCAATCTCTCAAGGTGATTATTAGGATCTCAATTTCACTGAAGGAAACTGAGACTCAGAACGGGCCAATTACTCACCCAAGGCTATGCAGGGAGCAAGAAGCAAGCCAAATTTAAACCTAGTTCTCTCTGGATTCCTGTCTCAGAATCTTTCTATGTGACTGCCTCACTTTCACAAATTAAGAAAGGAACAAAATGGGATTTGAGGGAGAACCTATGTTCTCCCTCAAGGAAAGCTCAAATAGCAGGAGGATTTCAAAAAGCGTTTGGGTAAAAGGCAGTGGACAACAGGCTGGCAAGGAATAAGGACAAGATAAGAAAAAAAAAACAGAAGGAAAGAGTTTAAACAAGGAAAAAAGTGGCATATGTCTCCAAATAAATGCATTTTTCTGACTTCTCAATGAGAGAAGAGAAACCTGTCAGGTAAAACACATATAAAGGAAAAAATGGAGAAAAATTCAAAGGGAAAGAAGGTAAACAGTCCATCAAAAACAGAAATAAAATCAAATGTGGTGTGGGGGGGGCATGCAGAGAGAAAAAGAGAGAGCAATTTAAATCAGAAAATTTCATTATAAATACAATTTAAAGGAAATGAGTTCATGGAAGCTAACTTAAAAAAAATAAAAAGGAGTTCTGCATTTCAAACCAAGTGAGAACCGAATGTAACCAAATTACATACCATACATACACACAGGCATGCAAGCACATGTCCACAGTCTCACTCTATGATTAGCTAAAGGCATAATTTCAGCAGCTGTTGTAAAAAGATTTGAAATTTTGTTATGAATTCCAGGCAGTCAGAGGCCTATATGTTATGTTTGAATGGTAGAGAAAAGTCCCATGTTTTCTAGTTTGAACCAACTTCTTTGATAGGTGTAGCAAATCTAGTAAGTAATGGGATATCTATTTTTATATCTTTAAAACCATCAATTTGTGGTTGTAAAGTGATCATACCTGAACAAAACGGGTTATGCTCCTGTACATTTTTTAAAGAGAAGGCATTGCCCCGCTTAATTAATTTCCGTTGGATCTATAATTACTAATTCTTTTGACTGAGGCCAGTGAGGGCTTTCGTGCTCTCTATAAGATCCCTCAACTATGTGCAGTTTACTATATATTTATCTATGCACCAAACCACTTGCATGGACTGAAAATATTTCTTAAGTGAACATGGGACTGAAGAAGTCTTTGGACATTGTTTTTAATTTTAAACCACATTTTTAAAATGTTGATCAAAGTTCTTTGCTTTAGATATTCAATGCCACATGGGCTATGGTACTCTGCCTATTAAGTACTACAACTGGAAATACACAGTGTCTTACTATGGACTTACTGACCTTTAACACTGTACTTTCAAGGCTAACTATTCTTATCTGTCTGTTTACCATTTGATGTGGTTTGGATCTGTGCCTGTACCCAAATCTCACGTTCGATTATAATCCCCAGTGTTGGAAGTGGGGCCTGGTGAAAGGTGATTGGGTCACGGGGGTGAACCCTTCATGTATGGTTTAGCACCATCCCTTTGGTGCTTTCCTCATTAGAGTTCTCACAAGATCTGGTTGTTTAAAAGTGTGTAGCGCCACCTTCCTTTCTCTCATTTGCTCCTGCTCTGGCCATGTAAGATGTGCCTGTTTCCTCTTTACCTTGCGCCACTATTCTAAGTTTCCTGAGGCTTCCCCAGAAGCAGAAGCTACTGTGTTTCCTGTACAGCCTGAGAACAATGAGCCAATTAAACTTCCTTTATTTAGACATTACCTAGTCTCAGGTATTTCTTTACAGCAAGAATGAACTAATACACCATTTTACCTTCAACATGTAGGTTTTTCTGCTGAAAAGATGTAGAATAATTTCTTAGCAATAAAATTCAGAAGCTCTGACTTCCTAAAAGGTGTCCTGTATTCAACAACCAATAGTAAATATTTGAGCAGTTTCTAGGTTTTATATTCTGTGTTAGGTGCTAAAAATATGAAGAGCAACAGAGACATGCTCCATTAACAAAGATTACATTATAATCAGACATAGGATACATAATAATGACATATTTTGAAAGTGCATAAATTAGAAGTATATAGTTTAGTGGAAGTTCATATCAGAGGTATCTAAGCTGTGCTTGCAAAGTTGAGAAGTCTCCTAGAAAGAAAATACCTAAAAGTTGAAACATTCAGGGTGAATAGGCATTAGCTAGATGAAGAATATAAGGTAAAGTTTGTTAGATAGGCATATCTCAGGGATATAAAGAAACTGATAATAGCTCAGTATGATTGCATCATAGTTGCAAGTGGTAAGATAGAAATCCAGAAAGGCAAGCAAATGAAAAATTACTAAGGGCCTACTAAAACATGCTTAGAATTTTGATATTTACCAAAGAGCAATAGAAGCAATAGAAGCTGAAGAAAGAATAAATCACAATAAAGATGAGTTCAGCACCATCACTGCACACAGGGGAAAGGATATGCCATGCAGTTTGCTCTGTCTGGAAGGCTGCCTCTTCAACCCTTGAATAACTTCTATTCTCCTCCATTTACTAAAACACAATTATATATGGCAGACAATATGCGAAGCACTCAGGATACAGTAGAGAGTAAGACACAAAAGTCCTAACTTCATGGACTTCACAGGAGAAAATGGATTTTTGAAATGGCTGCATTATCATTATGCCAAATGGGAAAAGGGGAAGTACTTAGGATTTTTTTAACTTCCACAAAGGCACAGATATACACATAGTGTCCTTTCCTTTGAGTTCCCTTGAGTGAAAACCCTGCCTTGTACCTTTATAGCAATTATTGTAAATATAGCCTTTAAACTAGAGTAGTTTTACTGTGTGTATATAGATGTTGAAATATATGAAAATTTTACTTGACATTTTATAAAATTCCAAGAGTCAGCATGGAAAAATCTCATGGTTCTAAATTTGTATATCATCAAGAACAGACATGAAAGAAAATGTAAGGCTATCATGCCATTGCTACACTTAAGACAGTTTGAGTATTGAAAGGGTATTTCAACTGAATCTAGAACAGAAAGTAGACTAAACACCAAATAAAAGCCTATTGTGTTAGAGCCATTCAATAAGAATACAAGTTTAAATATATGTGTTTGAATAAAAATGTTAACCGAATGCAACATACTAAAGAAGATATAAATGGATAACAGAATTGAAACAAACATGATTTTAAAATCCTACCATTGTCAATTAAAAATAGAACAGAGCCCTCAGAAATAACGCCGCATACCTACAACTATCTGATCTTTGACAAACCTGAGAAAAACAAGCAATGGGGAAAGGATTCCCTATTTAATAAATGGTGCTGGGAAAACTGGCTAGCCATATGTAGAAAGCTGAAACTGGATCCCTTCCTTACACTTTATACAAAAATTAATTCAAGATGGATTAAAGATTTAAACATTAGACCTAAAACCATAAAAACCCTAGAAGAAAACCTAGGCATTACCATTCAGGACATAGGCATGGGCAAGGACTTCATGTCCAAAACACCAAAAGCAATGGCAACAAAAGCCAAAATTGACAAATGGGATCTAATTAAACTAAAGAGCTTTTGCACAGCAAAAGAAACTACCATCAGAGTGAACAGGCAACCTACAAAATGGGAGAAAATTTTTGCAACCTACTCATCTGACAAAGGGCTAATATCCAGAATCTACAATGAACTCAAACAAATGTACAAAAAAAAACAAACAACCCCATCAAAAAGTGGGTGAAGGACATGAACAGACACTTCTCAAAAGAAGACATTTATGCAGCCAAAAAACACATGAAAAAATGCTCATCATCACTAGCCATCAGAGAAATGCAAATCAAAACCACTATAAGATACCATCTCACACCAGTTAGAATGGCAATCATTAAAAAGTCAGGAAACAACAGGTGCTGGAGAGGATGTGGAGAAATAGGAACACTTTTACACTGTTGGTGGGACTGTAAACTAGTTCAACCATTGTGGAAGTCAGTGTGGCGATTCCTCAGGGATCTAGAACTAGAAATACCATTTGACCCAGCCATCCCATTACTGGGTATATACCCAAATGACTATAAATCATGCTGCTATAAAGACACATGCACACGTATGTTTATTGCGGCATTATTCACAATAGCAAAGACTTGGAACCAACCCAAATGTCCAACAATGATAGACTGGATTAAGAAAATGTGGCACATATACACCATGGAATACTATGCAGCCATAAAAAATGATGAGTTCATGTCCTTTGTAGGGACATGGATGAAATTGGAAATCATCATTCTCAGTAAACTATCGCAAGAACAAAAAAGCAAACACCACATATTCTCACTCATAGGTGGGAATTGAACAATGAGATCACATGGACACAGGAAAGGGAATATCACACTCTGGGGACTGTGGTGGGGTGGGGGGAGGGGTGAGGGATAGCATTGGGAGATATACCTAATGCTAGATGACGAGTTAGTGGGTGCAGCACACCAGCATGGCACATGTATACATATGTAACTAACCTGCACAATGTGCACATGTACCCTAAAACTTAAAGTATAATTAAAAAAAAAAATCTTCTTTTCTCACTACGTAAGTAAACAAAACTTGGAAAACTTTGGATTATTTAGAGAGAGAAGAAATATTTTTAAATTGTTGGAGGGATAATCAGGAGAAAACACTCATTTGTTTATGTAGTCCATAAGACAGTGGGCTACACTAGACACATGAACAAAGTTTGACAGAAATTAGGAAGAACAACATTTCTAACCAATAATTGTTTTGCATTTGCTTTATTAACTAATGGAAAGTAGAGAGCTTTTAAATAAGGCAAAAAGAGAATAAGCATGGATCAGAAAATGAATTAAAGGCATTTTTAATGAAGAAGAGGAAAATATATAAGGAAGAGAGAAATTCAAATCTGTGTGGAAAACCTAATAAATAATAGACCTTCCATAATATATGAGGAGAAAAAAGAGTAGTGGTAAATTTCCAGGAGAAAATATTCAGCAAATTTGAGAAACTACAAATAATGAAAATGTTATACATGGAAGAGTTACAGGAAAAAGAAAAAATGAATAAAGAACAATGTCAAGGACTCCAGCTATTACCAGGACACTATTCTGGAGATGTCAAATCTCAGGTAGCGTGCAGTGAATTCAAAGAACCTGTATTTCTGGATTCTACAGGACTCAACAGTTGTGCAAGCTTTATTCTTTTCTTTTATTTATATTGATAGCAAAAGAAAAAAATGAAAAATTTAAAAAGATGAATAGCAAACATAACAACTAATAGTGTGTATGTCTCTGAGGAATCTAAAATACACACATACAGTGAGAGAGAGAGAGAAAGAGAGAAAGAGAGAGAGGTGCCTATTGTAGAGAGAGAAAAAAATTACAGACTAGAAATACTGTACAATATTTAAAACAACACTACTATGCTCTCGACATTTGTTAGGTGCTTGGAATAATGGTCAAAAAGATACGTAAAGCATCTATGTGTATATTTTGTGTATCTTATTGCAGTATTTTTTGTCCCTATTCACTGTGTCTATAAGTACAATTGCACTCAGGAATCAATGCCTGGTGCTTTGAGCTCATCAGATTCTTTAAGAAAGCCATACTCAGTTTCTTTTGTTTTTTTTCTTTCTTCCTTGAAAGGTACAAAATATTGAACACCTCATTGGCCTTCCAAGTTATCGAAGGGGATATTTTACTGAAAGTTTTACTTTTGTATATATTACTTTTTTTTTTTCCAGCCCTGAGTAATAGACTCTTTTCTGTGCACTTAATCCAAAACACGCAATGTAGTTTCCTGGTACATCACATCCTTATTCCTGGTCTCAATTTCTGTTGTCAGTCAGGAAGATATAAACTATTCTTCAATTACCAACAGCCTGGATATCTCAGTGGTTTAAAACTACAAAGTTTGTCTCTAGTTCCCACTGCATGTTTACCAGGTAGTAATGAGATCTGCTCATTTCATTCACTGAAACCATCAGGCTGACAGAGTCTCTATCTCAGCTTGAGCTTTCATGTTCAAAGAGTGGGGGCAAGACTTTATGAAAAAACACACACTGGCTCCTAATACACTTCGGAATGACACCTCTTACTTGCATTTATATTTCATTGGACAGAGCAAGTTATATTTCCATTCCAAACACATGGGAATTTATAATGTCACTTTAGGTTGAGCATCAAAAATATCTTTAAAAAATAATACAGTCTACCACATTTGATTCTCCTATACAACATATCTGTGTACATGTTTACCTTGTCTCTCCAATTATTTGAGCCCTATATCACTTTTTAATAAGTGGTCTGGCATCTCAATTTTAAATCTAATTATTATCCCCCTTCTGGTTTAACTAGACTGAGGTTATTGCTGGATTATCATCAGTATATGTTTCCCTAACTTTATTTTATTCTGCATCTTTATCCCGTATCAGTCTCTGCTCCTTTAGATCACACTTACCAAAAATGTTCTGATTCCCTTCTCCTTCCTTGTTTCCTGGAATGTGTTATTTATGATAGCAGAGACCATGCAATGTGTTTTATTAATTTATATTTCTTTCCTTCTTCCTGGGCACAAAGGTAGAATCAATATTTTAGCATTCATGCTTGTAGTTAAGCGAAGGCTGTGCGATGGAGTTCTGGGAAATGACATATTTGTAGGACATATATAACACCTTGGATGCTTGGGCCTAAAACCTCCTTTATATGCCTTCTCTTTCCTTTTCGTGGTAACACTAGAACTTAAGTATTTAAGAAGGTAATGTCATAGAATGGAAGACGTCATTGAGGATATTGAGGACATCCATACAAGAATAGATTTTAAAGAGAGCCACTAAACCTGCACTGGACACAAGATGAGCAATAAATCTGTGAAGTTCATTCCTTGAGATTGTGGTTCTTTTGTTACTGCAGTATAGACTATCCTAATTGCAACTAATAAAAATATGAAAAAGAATCAAGAGACAAATGTTGTTGGAATTATAATACCTATGAAAAAGAAAGGACAACATTTTTCTAGTTGGATTAAAATTATATATAATTCCATAAAATTTAAACTTTTAAATATAAAACTGATGATATATTAAGAAAATAGTGTGAATAATACGAATTAACCATACATATTAGTTTCAGAGGAACTAATACTTGAATGAAATGTGGAAAGATGAAACTGTTTTTTCTCTGGAGAAATCAAAGAATATCCCGCATTCAGAAGAATTGGAAGAATTGCAATGTATATAGAGACTCTTAGTGTGAATAGGCTTAGCCCTAGTTTCAAATTGCTCACATAGATATAGATGAGTTATAGATATGTATATAGATATATCTATATATATATAGATATGTGTATAGATATGTATATAGATATATCTATGGATATAGATATGTGTATAGATATATCTATAGATATGTATATAGATATATCTATAGATATAGATATGTATATAGATATATCTATAGATATGTATATAGATATATCTATAGATGTATATAGATATATCTATAGATGTATATAGATATATCTATAGATATGTATATAGATATATCTATAGATATGTATATAGATATATCTATAGATATGTATATAGATATATCTATAGATATGTATATAGATATATCTATAGATATGTATATAGATATAGCTATAGATATATCTATAGATATGTATATAGATATAGCTATAGATATATCTATAGATATGTATATAGATATAGCTATAGATACAGATATATATTTCCTGAGCCTAGTTGATCACTGATATCTCAAAATTATTCTCTCAGCCAATTATTCTGTAAGTCCTATAAAAAACCATTATGTATAATTAATCTTAATACCAAATCCAGCTTCAAAAAGTATGTGATAAAGTGTCTCTCAAACAAATTCCAGACAATTGCTGAGCTTGACTCAATTTAGATTGAGTTCAAAAACATTTCAGTCTCATCATACACTAGTGTTCTGAATGACCACAGTCTCACATGACTCCACCTTCCCCAATCTTTTCCTTCAGTTTTCTATACATGCATATCTCCCACAGCCCAGCACTACTCACACCTGTAACTCATTATCATCACCACTTAGTTTCTTTCTTTCATTTAAAAATATGTATTTATCCAAGTAACTACAGCAATTTTCACTTAGACATATTTTTCCCTGTAAACGCCTTCAAATTCTAAGTGCTGTTTCATTCATTATGCTAAAAATCCTGTTGGGCATCATGTATGGACCCACTCCTACGCAAATCCCAAAAGTAAATCAACTAAGACCAGAGTTCGGAAGCTGGAAGGAATTGAACTTAGAAGTCATTTGAACCAACCTACCACCCAACCACATCACAGAATGTGAGGTCTACCTTTTGCTTAAAATATTTTGCAAATGAGAACCTCACCACTTTTTAAAGAAACCTAGTCTATAACTAGTAAATTATGCTTATTTATATTGAGCTGAAATATCCCTACTTAATACTTTAACCAGATTATCCAGTTTGTCTTCATGAACAAAAGAAAATCACTCTCTGTTTTACAAACACATTTAAAAAATATTTTCAAGATAGCTTCTCTGTCTCTTTTCTCCAAATATTTTCTCCTACATGGTAACAAAGCATACATTGCAGCAATGTATGGTGTTGTTCATTTGTTTGTATTATTCATTCTGATATGGAATTAATGTTATATTCATATTATTCAATTTATAAGTGTCATCTCTAGATGACAGAGTAATGACGATTGTGATGTGATAATTATATAATAAAGATAAACCATCTTGACTATTTCTAGGCTTAAGTTACCATGCTATAAATTGTATGTGTGTATATATATATATATATATATATATATATATATATATAATCTTATTTAGTCCTCAGAATATTGTATTATGGAATGAACTGTGTCCCCCCCGCCAAAATTCATATTTTGAAGCCTTAACTTCCAGTGTGACTGTATTAGGAGCTGAGCCACTATGGAGGTAAATAAGGCTAAATGAGTTGATAAGGGTGGGATTCTAATACGATGTGGCTGATGTCTCTATAAGAAGAAGAGATAGCAGAAATATGCATACAAGAAATGTGAGGACACAGTGAGAAAGTGACCATCTGTAAGCCAAGGTAAGAAGTCTCAGCAGAAACCAAAACTGCTGAAATCTTGATCTTGGACTTTCAGATTCAAGAACTCTGAGAAATAAAATTCTGTTATTTACGCCATCCAGTCGGTAGTATTTTGTTATGGCAGCCCAGGCAGGCCAGTATAGTTGTTAATACCTCAGTTTCACAAATGGAAAAAGAATTGTTGTTTGCTCTACTAGGAAGTGAAGTCTGCTAGGCTACAGAGTAATACAGGATGAGTAGTCTAAAGCTATGCTTATCAGCCTTTTAAAAATAGTTACATTTTAATTAATATTAAAGTAGAAAGATTTATATCTTCTATGTAATTAAAAAATGAGTAAATAAAGGATAAAAAGTAGATGTTTCAGCAATGTTACAGGAAGTAGATAAATTGCAACTTATAAAACTTCAAGGCTTGTTAATGGAGCTAAGTTTTGTTTTGTTGAAATTTATTCTTTATTTAATATTAAAATAGAATGGCTGAAGTAGTACTCCATTCATTTGGTGGTATATGAAGTAAGTGAAAGTAAGATACATCAATAAATTTGTTAGAAAAGAAGAGAGCTATGATAGCATAACAAATATTTGAAAAACAGTGAAGAAAGCACAAATTTTGAGTGTCAATAAACACAGAATATTCAGGCAAGAGAGGAATAAACAGCGGACAGGAAGTATTGAAGATATGTTTGTTTTAAACGGGTAGATTCTAAAATGCAGGATAAAAATAACATTGTCTTCTCTTTTTTTGGAAAACATATATACTTACTTTTTTTTCTCAACTTTTAAGTTCCAAGATCATGTGCAGGATGTGCAGATCTGTTACATAGGTGTGCCATGATGGTTTGCTGCACAGATCATCCCATTCCGGTATTAAGCCCAGCACCCATTAGCTGTTCTTCCTGATGCTCTCCTTCCGCCCACCCCCACACCCTACACAGGCCCCAGTGTGTGTTGTTTCCCCTCACGTGTCCATTCATTCTCATCGTTCAGCTCCCACTTATAAGTGAGAACATGCGGTATTTGTTTTTCTGTTCCTGTGTTAGTTTGCTGAGGATAGCGGCTTCCAGCTCCATCCACGTCCCTGCAAGGGACATGGTCTTGTTCTTTTTTATGGCTCTATAGTATTCCATGGTCTATATGTACCACATTTTCTTTATCCAGTCTATCATTGACAGGTGTTTGGGTTGATTCCATGTCTATGCTATTGTGAATAGTGCTGCAATGAACATATACATACATGTATCTTTATAATAGAATAATTTATATTCCTTTGGGTATATACCCAGGAATGGGATTGCTGGGTCAATGCCTCTAGATCTTTGAGGAATCACCATGCCATCTTCCACAATGATTGAACTAACATACACTTCCACCAACATTGTAAAAGCATTCCTTTTTCTCCACAACCTTGCCAGCATTTGTTGTTTTTTGACTTTTTAATAATTGCCATTCTGACTGACGTGAGATGGTATCTCATTCTAGTTTTGATTTGCATTTCTCTAATGATCAATGATGTTGAGCATTTTTTATATGTTTGTTGGACACATATATGTCTTCTTTCGGGAAATATCAGTCCATGTCCTATTCTCACTTTTTTAATTGGATTTTTTCTTGTAAATTTGTTTAAGTTTCTTGTAGACTCTGGATGCAGGACCTTAGATAGATAGATTGTTAAATTTTTCTCCCATTCTATAGGCTGTTCACACCAATGATAGCTTCTCTTGCTCTGCATAAGCTCTTTACTTTAATTAGATCTCATTTGTCAATTTTTGCTTTTGTTGCTATTGCTTTTTGCATTTTTGTCATGAAATCTTGGCCTGTGCCTATGTCCTGAATGGTATTGCCTAGGTTTTCTTCTAGGGATTTATAGTTTTGTGTTTTACATTTAAGTCCTTAATCTATCTTGAGTTAAATTTTGTGTAAGGTGTAAGGAAAAGGTCCAGTTTTAGTTTTATGCATTTGGTTAGCCAGTTCTCCCAGCACCAATTATGATACAGGGAATCCTTTCCCCATTGCTTGTTTTTGTCAGGTTTGTCAAAGATTAGGTGGTTGTATGTGTGTGGCTTTATTTCTAGGCTCTCTAACCTGTTCCATTGGTCTATGTGCCTGTTTTTGAACCCGTACCATGTGGTTTTGGTTACTGCAGTCTTGTAGCATAGTTTGAAGTCAGGTAGCGTGATGCCTCCATCTTTCTTCTTGCTAAGGATTGTCTTAGCTGTTCGCGCTCTTTTTTGGTTTCATATGAATTTTAAAGTAGTTTTTTTTTCTAATTCTGTGAAGAATGTCAATGGTAGTTTAATGGTAATAGCATTGAATCTATAAATTACTTTGGGCAGTATGGCCATTTTCATGGTATTGATTCTTCCTATCCATGACCATGGAATGTTTCTCCATTTGTTTGTGTCCTCTTTGATTTCTTTGAGCAGTGCTTTGTAGTTCTTGAAGAAGTCCTTCATTTCCCTTGTTAGCTGTATTTCTAGATATTTTGTTGTATCTTTAACAATTGTGAATGCAAGTTTATTCATGATTTGGCTCACTGCTTGCCTTTGGTTGGTGTGTAGGAATGCTTGTGACTTTGGACATTGATTTTGTATCCTGAGACTTTGCTGGAGTTGCTCATTGGCTTAAGAAGCTTTTGGGCTGAGATGATGGGTTTTTCCAGATATAGGCTTATGTCATCTGCAAATAAAGATAATTTGACTTCCTCTATTTCTATTTGAATATGCTTTATGTCTTTCTTTTGCGTTATTGCCCCGGCCAGAACTTCCAATACTATGTTGGATAGGAGTGGTGAAAAAGCATTCTTGTGCCAGTTTACAAGGGGAATGCTTCCAGCTTTTGCCCAATCAGTATGATATTCGTTGTGGGTTTGTTCTTATATGCCTCTTATTATTTTGAAATATATTCCTTCAGTAGCTCATCTATTTAGAGTTTTTAACATGAACAAAGTTAAATTTTACTGAAGGCCTTTTCTGTATCTATTGAGATAATCATGTGGTTTTTGTCTTTAGTTCTCTCTATGTGATGAATTACATTTATTGATTTGTGTATGTTGAATCACCCTTGCATGTGGGGATGAAGCCAACTTGATCATGACGGATAAGCTTTTTGATGTGCTACTGGATTCAGTTTGCTAGTATTTTATTGAGGATTTTTGCATCAATGTTTATCAGGGATATTGTCCTGAAGTTTTCTTTTTTGTTATATATCTGCCAGGTTTTGGTATCAGGATGATGCTGGCCTCATAAAATGAGTTAGTGAGAATTCCCTCCTTTTACATTTTTTTGGAATAGTTTCAGTAGAAATGGTACAAGCTCTTCTTTGTACCTCTAGTATATTTCAGCTGTAAATTTGGTTCTGGGCTTTTTGCCTTTGGTAAGCTATTTATTACTACCTCAGTTTTGGAACTGATTATTGGTCTATTCAGAGATTCAATTTCTTTCTGGTTCAATCTTGGGAGGATGTATGTGTCCAGGAATTTATTCATTTATTCTAGATTTTCTACTTTATTTATATAGAGTTGTTTATAGGATTCTCTGATGGTTCTCTGATTCTCTGTGGGGTCAGTGGTGATATCCCCCTTGTCATTTCTGATTGTGTTTATCTGATTCTTCTCTCTTTTCTTCTTTATTAGTCTAGCTAGTAGTCTATCTATTTTATTAGTGTTTTCAAAAAACCAGCTCTTAGATTCGTTAATTTTTAAGGGTTTTTCTGTGTGTATGTGTCTCTATCTCCTTCTCTTCCATTCTGATCTTGGTTATTTCTTATCTTCTGCTAGCTTTTGAGTTTGTTTGCTCTTGGTTCTCTATTTGTTTTAGTTGTGATGTTAGTTTGTTGATTTGAGATTTTTCTAGCTTTTTATGTGGACATTTAGTGCTAGAAATTTCCCCCTTAACACTGCTTTAGCTGTATCCTAGCAATTCTGGTACATTGTCTCTTTGTTCTCATTAGCGTTAAAGACCTTCTTGATTTCTTCCTTAATTTCATTATTTACCCAGGAGTCATTCAGGAGTAGGTTACATGATTTCCATGTAGTTGTGTGGTTTTGAATGAATTTCTTAACCTTGAGTTCTAATTTGATTGTGCTGTGGTCTGAGAGACTGTTTTTTATAAGTTCAGTTCTTTTGCATTTGCTGAGAAGTGTTTTACTTCTGATTATGTGATCAATTTTAGAGTAAATGCCATTTGGTGATGAGAACAATATATGTTCTGTTGTTTTTTAGTAGAGAGCTCTTTGGATATCTATTAGGTCCACTTGATCCAGAGCTGAGTTCAGGTTCTGAATATCTTTGTTAATTTTCTGTCTCAATGATCTGTCTAATATTGTCAGTGAGGTGTTAAAATCTCCCACCACTATTGTGTGGGAGTCTAAGACTTTTTATAGGTCTCTAAGAACTTGCTTTATAAATATGGGTGCTCTGGTATTGGGTACATGTATATTTAGGATAGTCAGCCCTTCTTGTTGAATTGAACCCTTTACAATTGTGTAATGCTTCTGCCTTTAAAAAATATCTTTATTAGTTCAAAGTCTGTTTTGTCAGAAAGTAGGATTGCAATGCTTGCTTTTTTTCTGCTTTTCATTTGTTTGGTAAATTTTCCTCCATCCCCTTATATTCAGCCTCTGTGTGTCTTTGCATGTGAGATGGGTCTCATGGAGACAACACATACCCATGGTTCTTGGCTCTTATCCAGCTAGTCATTCTGTCTTTTAATTGGGTCTTTTAGCCCATTTACATTTAAGGTTAGTATTGTTATGTGTGAATTTAATCCTGTCATCATGATGCTACCTGGTTATTTTGAAGATTTGTTTATGTGGTTGATTCATAGCATCACTGGTCAATGTACTTCAGTGTGTCTTTGTAGTGACTGATAATGGTTTTTCCTTTCCATTTCTGGTGGTTTCTTCAGGAGCTCTTGCAAGACAGGCATGGTGGGGATGAATTTCCACAGCATTTGCTTGTCTGAAAGGGATCTTATTTCTCCTATGTTTATGAAGCTGTTTGGCCAGATATGAAATTCTGGGTTGGAAATTATTTGAGAATATTGAATATTGGCCCTCAATCTCAACTGGCTTGTAGGGTTTCTGCTGAGAGGTCTGCTATTAGTGTGATGAACTTCCCTTTATAGGTGACCTGGAATTTCTTCTTGGCTTCCCTTAACATTATTTCTTTCATTTCAACCTTGGATAATCTGATGATTATGTGTCTTGGGGTTAATCATCTCGTGGGGTATCTTACTGTGATTCTCTGCATATCCTGAATTTGAATGTTGGCCTGTCTTGCTAGGTTGGGGAAGTTCTCCTGAATGATATCCTGAAGTATGTTTGCCAACTTGATTACATTTTCCCCATCTCTCTCAGGTACCCCAATCAGTGTTAGGTTCAGTCTTTTTACATAAGACCATATTTCTCACGGGTTTTGTTCATTCCTTTTCATTCTTTTTAATCTGTTCTTGTCTGCCTGTCTTATTTCAGAAAGATAGTCTTCAAGCCCGTGGATTCTTTCCTCTGCTTGGTCTATTCTGCTGTTGATACTTGTGACTGCATTGTGAAGTTTTCGTGTTGTGTGTTTCAGCTCCATCAGGTTGGCTATGTTTCTGTCTACCCTGACTATTCTGGTTATCAGTGGTATTGATTTATTAGGATTCTTAGCATCTTTGCCTTGGGTTGCAACGTGCTCCTGTAGCTCAGTGAAGTTGGCTATTACCCACCTTCTGAAGCCTACTTCTGTTAATTCATCCATCTCAGCCTCAGCCTAGTTCTGTGACCTTGCTGGAGAAGTGTTGCGGTCATTTAGAGGAGAAGAGGCACTCTGGCTTTTTGAGTTTTCAGTGTATTTGCATTGATTCTTTCTCATCTTTGTGGGCTTACCTACCTTTGATCTTTGAGGTTGCTGGCATTTAAATGTTGATGTTGTTGTTGTTTTCTGTTTGTTTGTTTTTCTAACAGTCAAGCCACTCTTCCACAGGGCTGCTGCAGTTTGCTAAGGATCCACTCCGACCCTAGTTGCCTCAGTTTTCCTGTACCTGGAGGTATCACCAATGAAGGCTGTGAGACAGCAAAGATGGCCGCCTGCTTCTTCCTCTGGGTGCTCCGTCCCACGGGTGTACTGACATGTTGCCAGCCTGAATGCTCCGGTAAGAGGTGTCTGGAGACCCCTGATGAGAGGTCTCACCCAGTCAGTAGGAACAGGACCAGGAACCCACTTAAAGAAGCAGTCTGGCTGCTTTTTGGTAGAGCAGCTGTGCTGAGTTGTAGGGGGCCCCTCCTTGTCCAGACCACCTGGACTCTCCAGAGCTGGCTGGCTGGAATGGCTGAGTCAACTGAACCACAGAGACAGCAGCCACACCTCCACCTGGGGGCTCCATCCCAGGGAGAGATCAGAGTTCTGTCCATATAATCCTGGCTGGAGTGCCGAAATTCCTGCAGGGAGGCCCTGCCCAGTGAGGAGGAATGGAACGGAGTCCCTCTTAAAGTAGCAGTCAGGATATGATCTGGTATAGCAGTTGTGCTGTGTTGTGGGGGACTCCTTATCTGAACAGCCTGGACTCCCTGGAGCCGGCAGGCTAGAACAGCTGAGCCGACCAAACCACAGCAATGGTGGCCACCCCTTCCCCACAGGAACTCGGTCCTGTCACAGGCAGTCTTCAGCCTGTTGCTGCTGGCTGGCTGGAATTCCATGCCAGTGGGTCTTAATTTGTGAGGTGACGTGGAAGTGGGTCCCACAGAACGACACTGCTTGGCTCCCTGGATTCAGCCCTCTTCCTAGGGGAAGGTACGGACGAATCTCCCACCTTCCTGGGATTCCTAGGGATGGAGTATGTGTGCCTGAGTGGCTGACTTTGTGTGTACCTGAGTGGCTGTTCTGCCGAGACCCTACACAGCTCTGTATATGGCACCCAGGGCCCTGGTGGCATGGGCTCACAAGGGGATCTCGTGATCCAAGGGTTGCAAAGAACCATGGGAGAAGTGTGTTTTCCTGGTTGGTGTCATACAATCACTCACCATTTCCCTTGGCCAGGGTTGGGGGTTCCTTTGGCTCCATGTCACTCCCATGTGGGCTGTCATCCCATCCTGCTTTTCTTCATTCTCCATGGATCCAGTTGTCCACCTAGTCAGTCCCAATGAGACAGCCTGGATATTTCAGTTGAAGGTGCTGAATTCACTTGCCGTTTTCATTTCACTTAGTGAGAACTACTCACTGCAGCTGGTTCTAATGGGCCATCGTGGCCTCTCCCAAGATTGTCTTCTAAAGTATCAACAATATTACAGAAATCTGTATCAGCCATGACCCAATTATTGTCATTACATTTTTATTCTTCATTTTTTATTACCACCCCCCCATAGTTTATAAAGTCTAATGATCAAGAGTTTACAATGAACAGGAAATCTATTTGTATTTATCTCACAGGTACATCATCTCCCAGTTCTATGGAGATATAATCATGTGGAGATCACACAAGTATTCTGCCCTTCAGTTTCTATTTTTTTAAAAAGGGAATAAGAATATAACATCTCTTGGAAACTAGCAACATGAAGCAATCAAAGGTTAAGGTTAAGAGCTTGCATATGGGGGCTTGCTTTATTGCTGTTATAGTAATTCTAAAACCATTCATACAAATAGACGGGTCTAGGCTCTCAGGCTTCCTAGCCTTCCTAACTGAAGCCACCATAAACGAGTCAGTCCTAAATGACAAATCAGCTAGCCAAAGACACTCAGGCAAGCTCAGGCAAGATCAGTCAAACTTGGCCTAGATCAGAGAAAAATGCCCATGTGAATTCAATACAAATACCCAATTTGCAGAATGTAAGCTTTCATGGTCATTTTAAGCCTCTAAAATGTTGGAGTGTCATAAAGCAAAAGCTAGCTGATAAACTAGCTTATGACACACAAAGTTTTCATTCTTTATTATGCGTAATACTCCAGTTTGCCCAATGCCCTCCAACAAAATGTGGACTCTGGGTTGATCTATATTTCTGTAAAGCCTTATTAAAGTTCTCCATTAATCAAAAGCCATCTATTACATGTCTTTACTCCTTAACACCACAAAGAATTAACAAGCATTGAAACCATATTTTACCAATTAATCTCATAAGATTCTTAGGCAAGTTTCACCTTTCCAGCAATCACTATAAGTTGAAATACTGTTTAAACTTTTTTTTTCTAGAGAAAAGTTCCAAGGTCATATATTTATTATTTTGTTTTAATTTGTGTTCCAATAAAGTCTTCCTACATCCATGTTAACTTCTGATATATCCTATCAATTATGCAATATCTTTTTTAAAAAGTGCCAGATAATATTGCGTTACAGTGTCTGAGTCTTCCAAAACTTAGTTGTCACCATTCTCCTGTCGCTAATGCAGAAAGAAATCAGTTAAGTTGTCTTCAAAATTCCAAGAAAATGTAAGCTCAAATAATCTGCTTTAACTTCTATTCTAAATGAAGAGGAAAAAAATTTAAAACGGAAACCTGTTTTTATATGTCATTTTAAAAGGCCTTCATACAATTTTATCAATAAACACTATGGATAAGAAGCTATTATGAAGTTACAAACACTCTTGGCTGTAGACACCAAAAGGTCATATGTGCGTGTATTCAGTCAGCCCAGTTTGAAACTAAGCTCAATTTCTTTCAGACATCACAGCTGGATGCAAGGTACTAATAAGGAAACCTATTATTTCAAGATGTGCACTGGCAATTGTAATTTTATTGTTTTGCATTCCATCTGTAGCACAGGCAACTGCCTGAATATAGCCAGTACAGTGGCATAGGCTGGTCCTTATTTCTGGATTTAGTTTTGTCTTTTGTGCATGCTATTTCAAACTGTGCTACTACCAACTCAATACAGATCTATTGACCTGCAAATATAATTACATATTTGATCATTAAATTGACAAAGTAAATTAACTTTTAATGGGTGACATTATTCATTGTACATTAGAAAAATGAAAATCTTGACAAAAATGTGTTTCATTCTACACTGACTTCTTGTTAAATTGGTATTTTGACCAACCAACACAATCCTTTCGTTGCCAAGGAATACTGAAACTGCATGACATGAGTCACTGTCTAAACTAAAATAAAAGAAATATTATATAATTAACTCCATATGGCTTTTTTCTTGACTCATTTGATAAAGGCCAAATTCTTACACTTTTTGCAATTAAATATCTCAAAATAAATAACCTTTAAAGAATTATAAAATTAACCTGCAAATTCAATATAAGAATATTTGGAAATATGTAGTCAAGAACATTCTGATAATAATACTTATTTATTAATAATTTATCTATAAAGTCACAACTACAGCAGAGTTAATAACATTGTTTCAAGTTCCAGAAAAACAAAGAAATAAGGGCTTATATATTTTAGTAGAAAATGATGCAAATTTTCCACAGAGCTTTAATAATATCCTGGATTTTAAAGAGAATTTCTAAAACATTCTTAAATATTTGATAATAATTTATAATCTTAAATAAAACAGAAACTAAAAATGAGAAGTCTTTGGTTTAATTCCTACTTCTGTTACCAACTTAAATTTTTGTTTATGTAATAGTGACAGTGATGATTTCCAGGTATTTTAATTTTCTAATTAAATATAATAGCTGTTAGGATACCTTTATCATAGACTGTTAATCATCTAAATCACATTTAGACTTTCTATACAGTTTTAGTTAACACATTTTAAACTTTTTCAAAAGGGATTTGTAGAGACAAGTCGGTCATGTCATGTTCCTTCCATATTTATAATTCTGATAGTACATGATATAAATGCCTTAAACTATTTCCGAACTGAAAGCTAAATAAGCAAAAATGTTTACTATGTAGCATTCTAGTGACTTCAAACTTTCTTAATCACATCCTATAAATAAGAAATACTTTTTAAATACTGAATCAGTACACACATATATACATGCACACACACACAGAGCACATACATATAATGTATACTATACAAAAGTAAAAGGTTTCCAAAATAATATTTAAACTGATCACATTCAATACATTCTAATATTGTCTCCTCTTTTCTATTATGGAACATTGTTTAAATGCTGTAGAGATTCACTAAATATATGCTAAGACTCAGTAATGGATCAAGACAAACAGCTTGACAAATAATGATTATTTTTAACATGAACAAATTTGCATGCTTGACATATCCTCTTACTCTTAATCCTTTTTCCTTTCAACATCCTTTGTGTCTTCACCTTTTTGTGTTCTGTATTATCAACTGACAAATGCCTTTCAGGTTTTATATTTTTCAGTTCAACAAACTTTAGTTCTGCCTTATTATCCAAGCTCCATTTAGATGCAGTAGCTCCAAATGAGTCGTCATAATCGATTAAAAAGAAAAGGATGGACTTCCAGTTTCCAGTCAGGCATATAAGGTTCTTGGAATTCATCACTATATCCTAACAAGTAAATCACTCAAAAATAAACAGAGAAGTGAGGCCACAGAGCAAACCACTGTCCCCCAGATTGGAAAGGCACAAAGTGGGGTTGGGGTACAGAGAATCACAACTTACCAAAGCAGAAAATGATGAACAGAAACCTCTATGAGAACCAGTGCAGGGATAGGGAAACCGAACTGTAACTGACAAATTACTGGAGGCTCACTGTGGACTGACTCTGAGATTTTAAAAATCCAGGAAGGCCCATAGGGTGGGAGTTGGGGGAGGGCAGCACACTTTTGTGATTTTTACTTCCAGGAACTCTAACAGATTCTGTCATGCATCCTGTAGGGGGAGGATAAAAGGAAACTTTTGAAATTTGAAATTTGCCAGAACATTCTGTTTTTCTTAACAAAGTCTGCCCTCAGGAAAATTTATTTTACTTGAGCCTAAATTATTGTATTGTTTTTTATCAAAGCCTTACCAACCTTGAGAAGGGAAGTATCCCACTTCAGCCCCACAGCCATCCTGTCCCACCTATGGGACAAAGCTGCAGAGGACTATGAAGCAATTTGGAAGTTTACAGCCAAGGGTCACAGCTCACTAAAAGACTGAGACCTAATCATAGGACCTCAGAACATTACCTTCACCCCACGCCTTACCACCACTCCACTACATGCCTAAGTACTGAAGTTCCTTTTACTCAGTACATCATGTCCAGCTTTGAACGAAAAATTACAAGGCATACTAAAAGACAAAAATAACAATTTGAAGAGACAGAGCAAGCAGGAGAACCCAACTCAGATATGGCAGAAATGTTGGAATCATCAGACTGGGAATTTAAAACAACAATGATTAATTTGCTGGGGTCTTTAATGAAAAAAGTGAACAACATGCAAAAACAGGTGGGAATATAAGCAAAGAGATTTTTAAAATCTAAGAAAAATAAAAGAAATGCTAGAGATTAAAAAGAAAGAACAACACAAGTTTTTATCCAATATTGTGGACTGAGAAATTATTAAAACATAGTTTTTTTGTAGAGCAGGTTAAAATAATACTTCAAGGAGAACTCACAAGCTACATTTAAATTCAAAGAACCATAGATATTAAATGCATTCATAAAAGGAAAATTTGTACATGCAATGTAATAATGCCATGTTACTAAATGCTGAGAACTATGACTGAAACATGCTTAAAAATGAAGAAAACAATAATAATTTTTTTATTATACTTTAAGTTTTAGGGTACATGTGCACAACGTGCAGGTTTGTTACATACGTATACATGTGCTATGTTGGTGTGCTGCACCCATTAACTCGTCATTTAGCATTAGGTGTATCTCCTAATGCTATCCTTCCCCCCACCCCACAACAGGCCCCAGTGTGTGATGTTTCCCTTCCTGTGTCCATGTGTTCTCATTGTTCAGTTCCCACCTATGAGTGAGAAAATGCAGTGTTTGGTTTTTTGTCCTTGAGATAGTTTGCTGAGAATGACGGTTTCCAGCTTCATCCATGAACCTGCAAAGGACAGGAAATCATCATTTTTTATGGCTGCATAGTATTCCATGGTGTATATGTGCCACATTTTCTTAATCCAGTCTATCATTGTTGGACATTTGGTTTGGTTTCAAGTCTTTGCTATTGTGAATAGTGCCACAATAAACATACCTGTGCATGTGTCTTTATAGCAGCATGATTTATAATCTTTTGGGTATATACCCAGTAATGGGATGGCTGGGTCAAATGGTATTTCTAGTTCTAGATCCCTGAGGAATAGCCACACTGACTTCCACAATGGTTGAACTAGTTTACAGTCCCACCAACAATGTAAAAGTGTTCCTATTTCTCCACATCCTCTCCAGCACCTGTTGTAGAAAACAATAATAATTAAGAAAAAGATGAAAATGGCTAGTACAATGTCAAATAGTTTCAAAATACTCCTAAAGGGTGTCATAATTATTCACCTACACATCTATCCTTTCAAGATTAGAGGTCAATTTTTCAGAATTAGTAGTAACATCTTATAATATATCAGTTTTCATAAACAGAACTTATAACTTAAAAAATTTATATGCCTTTGAATATAAAATAGGAGAAATTGCAGAAACTTGAGGAAAATATGATTCAGTGCAAAAGACATCAAAGTGTTTTGTCATATTTGTTTCAGTAAAAGAGTTCATGAAAAAGGATGCAAAGTGAGAAATAAACTCTTGTTTAAACCAATAATGATAAGCTTTCTACCCAATGTTATTATAAGGACTTACGACTTAATCTAATCTAATCTTCACCTTATGAGGGGTGGCTAATGATGTACCTACTCTAATTTTCCTCATTTTACAGAGAGAAAAACAGAGGCATAGAGAGTTGATAACCTGTTCAAGGTCACAGACCTAGTAAGTGGTTAGAGCTGGGTGGCAACCCAAATTATCTGACTCCAGAGCTTATACTGCTAATCAGCTCTATCTTTTGCTGCCCTCAAACCACTGAATTATTCCTACATCATGGTTGAATTCCCTCTATTTGTTCATCTTTCTCTGAAACTATACAATTTAAGAAAGTTTTAGGCACCTCTCAGTACTTAAGTTTTGGATTATCCAGCTATTGCTGGATCACTGTTCTTTCTTAACTGTTCTTCTTGCCATGAGCACATGTGTTATCTGATCCATCCTCTACCAGGTCACAGGAATAATTTAACTGATTAAGTTATTCTTGCTTAAAATTCTTCAATGATTTCCATTGCTCTGCAGGAAAAACAATCCAGAATCAGTTTGTCCCAATGAAAATAATTATAATGCTTTGCAATAGTACATTGCTAAAGATGTTGCAACCACATCCTGGCTTCATAGAAATAATTGATTATATCATAAACTTAAATTAAAAGCTGCTTGGGTAGGGTGCATATTAATAGAAGATTCTACACAAGAGAAGCTTCTGCATTCATTTGCACTTAATGTTAAATTTTGCTTTGTATTCTAAATATTCACATCATGAATGAATGTTAAATAACCTAGTGAGCGAATTAAAACATGATATATTTTAAACTTTAAAAATTCATATTAGTAAGTATTCAGGTTATATGTGATATATCCATATGCACATTTAAATCTTAATATTGTGAGATGAAATATAATTATTAAGCAATGGCTTTAAAAATAAAATATTTCAGAGTGTCTTGAAAAGTTATCATGGAAGGGAAGAAGGAAAAACTATCAAATGACAATTATTTTTTATTTTAACAGAGAGGGACTGAAATTTAAACATATACGGAAATCTCTCTTAAAGAAAACAGGGAAAGACAAATCTCTCTGTAAAATGGACCATTTGATCTTTAAAGATTCATATTATTTATTAAAAGGATTAAATGTAAAAACAAACAAACAAAAACAAAACTTAAAATCAGAATGTAAAAGAGTTTGAACTTGAACGTCTGGGCTGCTTGATTGGCAACCTGAGGTGAGAGAGGGCCATGGGTGAGAAACCTGCAGTCACAGTCCAGTGACTGTTGCTTTCATTATGGAAGCAAAGACTTTGAGCCAAAGAAATAAGAGGAAGAACAGGAAGCAATGTGAAAACTGTGGAGAGTTATTAGAAAACAGAAACCAGGCCAAGTGTGGTGGCTCATGCCTGTAATTCCAGTACTTAAATAGGCCAAGGTAGGAGGATCACTTGAACTCAGGAGTTCAAGACCAGTCTGGGCAACATAAGGAGATCCCCGTCTCTAAAAAAAAATAAAAAATTAACCGGGCATGATGGTGTGCACCTGTGGCCCCAGCTACTTAGGAGGCTGAGGCCTGAGGACCACTCAAGCCTAAGAGATTGAAATTGCAGTGAGCAGCAGATCACTCCAGCCTTTGTGACAAAATGGGATGCTGACAGAAAGAAAAGAAAGAGAGAGAAAGAAAGAAAGAAAGAAAGAAAGAAAGAAAGAAAGAAAGAAAGAAAGAAAGAAAGAAAAGGAAAGAAAGAAAAAGAAAAGAAAAGAAAAGAAAGAAAGGCAAATGCTACAAGCCTTTGATAGAAAGCACATCTAAGCTATGTCAGGGAGCTGTGACAAAAGGGTGAGAGAAAAGTTTCAAAAACAAATAGAATCATTCATTGATGAACACACCTGAAACTACAGTCATGCATTGTTTTTTGTTGTTGTTGAGACTGAGTCTCTCTCTTGTCGCCCAGGCTGGAGTGCAATGGTGCGATCTGGGCTCACTGCAATCTCCGCCTCCCGGGTTCAAGTTTCTCCTGCCTCAGTCTCCTGAGTAGCTGGGATTACAGGCGTGCGCCACCACGCCCAGCTAATTTTTGTACTTTTAGTTAGAGACAGGGTTTCAGTATGTTGGCCAAGCTAGTCTCAAATTCCTGACCTGAGGTGATCCGCCTGCCTCCACCTAACAAAGTGCTGAGATTACAGGCATGAGCCACCACGCCCGGCCCAGTCATGCATTGTTTAGGGATGAGGATACAGCCTGAGAAATGTGCCTTTAGGAGGTTTCAACCTGTGTAAACACTGGAGAGAGAGCGTGCCTATGGAAATCTAGATGCTATAGCCTACTACACACCGAGGCTATATATGTTACAGCATATTGCTCCTAGGCTACAAACCTATACAGCGTGTTACCATACTGAAAACTATACTGAATACAGTTGTAACACAATGGCAAGTATTTTTGTATCTAAACATATGTAAACATAGAGCAGGCACAGTAAAAAATACAGTATAGAATATTAAAAAAATGGTACACCTGTATAGGGTGCTTACATGAATGAATCTTGCAGAACTGGAAGTTGCTCTAAGTGAGTCATTGAGTGAGTGCTGAGTGAATATGAAGTCCTAGGACATTACTATATATTCCTGCAAACTTTATAAATGCTTAGGCTACACTGAATTTATTTAAAAAATCTTTTTCCTTCTTCAAAAACAAATTAACCTGGCATAATCTATTTTAATTTATACTTTTTATTATTTTTTAACTTTTTGACTGTGAATGTTGAAACATCATTTTGCAGCACAGGAATGTAATTAATTATCTTAAAACATATATGCCCTAGCTGAAGGCTATACTTCTATCAAAGGACAATGGTAAAACTGTGTGTGCGTGTGTTGTTAGACAGATAAAGCCCAATAATTGTATGCTCTTAGTAAAAAACCGTAGACTCCATCACCTTTCTGAAAAAAAAAAACAGAGCATTTTAAATACTTAGGTAGAAAAGCAATACTGAAGTGAAAATTTACCTGTCATCATTTCTAATTGACATACTGATACACTATACATTTAAATGATAATAAGCTTAAGAGTATATTTAAAGCAAAAGAATAAATGTTATGCCATAAAAAGATCATCAAGACATCGAGTTTGTTTAAACTCTCCAAAAGCATTGTTTTCTTTGATGTTTTAAAAAAATTGATCCCGAGTGAGTTAACATAATTTTATGTAATACAATAACACCCACTCTTCTATCATTCTGTAAATGTGAACATCTCATCTTCCACATCCTGATTTACACATCAGCCTAATCCTTCTATAGTAACTGCAGCAAACTAAATCAGTTGCCTATTCAACATCCATTCCCCGTTTTTCTTATGCATAGGTCCTAATTTAGTTGGATTGGGGAACAACATGCTCTGTATCAGGCAATGTGAAGTATTTGGTCTAAGTCAACTGTAATAATCTCATTCCTCTTTGCAATACTAGGAGTAATCAAATGAACAATTTCTGGTCAAGGGGAAAAGGGGCTTAGAAAAAGTTTTATCTTTGACATAAATGGAGAAAGCAAAGGTAAGCCATTCCTCTCCCACCCCTTTCCTTTCTATTTGTGAAATAGTTTTGCCAGGATGCCGTGCTTAGGGTGTCACTGGGGGCAGAGTGGAAATATTGAAGAACCTAGTCCCCTGTTTTCATGACTGTTTCTGAATGAACTCTGTAACATGCTTACCTCACACTTCACTGTTAAGTGAAGTCATACATAACTATATTATTGAAGTTACATTTTAGCTAGTCTATTACCTAAACCTGAAGGCATAATAATTGATATTACTACAATATCCCTTAAAAAAAAAGGTGAATGGAGAAAAGAAAACTTTTTATCCACGAATTACAAATTTTGTATGTATATTTTTAGGGAATCCAAATAAATCATTATCGTGTTGGCTGAAAACATCAATGATAATACATTTCACTATATTGCTTTATTAATTCACAATTTGTTTCCCAACTCCAGAGAAATAAGGCTTTTTCTGCTATGCTATAAACTTCAGGAGATCAGGAATTGCAGTTGGTGGTGTGGTGCACTGCACAGATGATCCTTTACAAACTGAGACACTCATTCCCCCAGCTGTTGGAAAAACTGCAGTCTGGCAGTTCATCCTAAGAATCTCCCTTGGCCAAAAGGGAGCTGCCTTCTTCAAGCAATGCCCCATTCCTAGAGGGCAGCTTGCATCCATGATTGGAAGCAGAACATCTCTGAAAAACCATCCCAACTTCAGTGTTCCCTGTAGGATCTGCTGAAGCCTGTGCTGCCTTTGTATCTAAGTTCAAATTCTTCCTCATTTCAATCCTGCTTCTCTCCCTCTCTCATGGGTGTTGTTCTCACAAGCACACTGGAATAATCCTATTCCCAGATTCTGATCCCTGAGGACTCCAGCCTACAACAGTTGGTGCCAGGAATTCTAAGAGGCAGATTCAAAAATAGAATTTGGGAGCTAGATTGCCAGCCACTCAGCTAACAATGAAGACCACCTCCCTAGTAGGGGGAACGCTGATAGCCATTGGCAGGCAGAAGTGAAATTGCTGCAGCTTTCACTGATGATTAACTGGATTTTTTCATGAATACCAACATAAATGATTGAAATGGCAGGTATAATATCTCAGGTAAATTTATGAGGGTTGCAGTACAAAAGTATGTATAAGAACTGTGGAATTGGATGATTATTTTGGAGGGAAAGACATACACACACACTTTAGAGAAGGACAATAAAAGAATGAGAGTGATTATTACCAACTTAAAGTAAAATGTGAAGGTGGCATTACCTCCTTAGATGCTTGTTAAGGAGATTATTATCTCCTGCAGAACAGCCAGAGTGCAGAGAAACCCCAAAGATCTTGTTTGATATTTTATTTTATGGGCAGTGGAGATGATAAATTAAAATTACAGTCCTGACTAGAATTCAATGGGACCCTAAGATTTTTGATAGAGGCATTGATACGATTTGGCTCTGTGTCCCCACCCAAATCTCATCCTGTAGCTTCCATAATTTTCACATGTTCTGACAGGGACCTGGTGGGAGATGATTGAATCAAGGGGATAGGTCTTTCCCACGCTGTTCTCCTAATAGCGAGTGGGTCTCACGTGAGCTGATGGTTTTAAAAACGGGAGTTTCTCTGCAAAAGATTTCTCTCTTTGCCTGCTGCCATCCATATAAGATGTGACTTGCTCCTCCTTGCCTTCTGCTATGATTGTGAGGCCTCTTCAGCCATGTGGAGCTGTTAAGTCCAATAACTCTCTCTCTTTTGTAAATTGGCCAGTCTTGGGTATGTCTTTAACAGCAGCATGTTAATATAGTAAATTGGTACCAGTAGAGTGGAGTATTGCTGAAAAGATGTCTGAAAATGTGGAAGCGGCTTTGGAACTGGGTAGCAGGCAGAAGTGGGAACAGTTTGGAGGGCTCAGAAGATAGGAAAGTGAGGGAAAGTTTGGAACTTCCTAGAGACTTGTTGAACAGTTTTGACAAAAATGCTAATAGATGTTCCAGTCCGAGGTGGTCTCAGATGGAAATGAAGAACTTGTTGGGAACTGGAGCAAAGGTGACTCTTGTTATGTTTCAACAAGGAGACTGGTGGCATTTTGTCCCTGCCCTAGAGATTTGTGGAACTTTGAACTCGAGAGAGATGATTTAGGGTATCTGGTGGAAAAATTTTTAAGCAGCAAAGCATTCAAGAGGTGACTTGGGTGCTGTTAAAGGCATTCAGTTTCAAAAAAGAAACAGAGGATAAAAGTTTGGAAAATTTGCAGCCTGACAATGCAATAGAAAAGAAAATTCTATTTTCTGAGGAGAAATTCAAGCCAGCTGCAGAAATTTACATAAGTAAGGAGGAGCTGAATGTTAATAACCAGGACAATGGGGAAAATGTCTCCAGGGCATGTCAGAATCCTTTGCAGCAGGCCCTATCATCACAGGTTCAGATGCCTAGGAGGAAACTTGGTGCCCTGCATCCCAGCTGCTCCCACCATGGCTGAAAGGGACCAATGTAGTGTTCAGGCCATGGCTTCAGAGGGTGCAAGCCCCAAGTCTTGGCAGCTTCCAGGTGGTGTTGAGCCTGTGAGTGCACAGAAGTCAAGTATTGAAGTTTGGGAAGCTCTTCCTGTATTTCAGAAGATGTATGGAAATGCCTGGATGCCCAGGCAGAAGTTCAGAGTAGGGGCAGTGTCCTCATGTAGAACCTCTGCTAGGGCAGTGCAAAAGGGAAATATGGGGTTGGAGGCCCCACACAGAGGCCCTACTGGAGCACCACCTAGTGAAGCTGTGAGAAGGCCATCATCCTCCAGACTCCAGAATGGTAGATCCATGGACAGCTTGCACAGTGCACCTAGAAAAGCTGCAGACAGTCAATGCCAACCCATGAAAGCAGCTGGGAGGGAGGCTGTACCCTGCAAAGCCACAAGGCTGGAGCTGCCCAAGACCATGGGGACCCACCTCCTGTATCAGTATGATCTGGGTGTAAGACACGGAGTCAAAAGAGATCATTTTGGAGCTTTAAGATTTGACTGCCCTGATGGATTTTGGACTTGCATGGGTCTTATAACTCCTTTGTTTTGGCCAATTTCTCCCATTTGGAATGACTGCATTTACCCAATGCCTGTACCCTCATTGTATCTAGGAAGTAACTAACTTTCTTTTGATTTTACAAGCTGATAAGGGGAAGGGACTTGCCTTGTCTCAGATAAGACTTTGGACTGTGGACTTTTGAGTTAATGCTGCAATAAGTTGTGAGCTTGGGGGACTGCTGGGAAGGCATGATTAGTTTTGAAATGTGACAATATGAGATTTGGGAGAGGCCATGGGCAGAATGATAGAATTTTGCTCTGTGTCTCCACCCAAATCTCATTTTGTAGCTCCCATAATTCCCACGTGTTGTGGGAGGGACCTAGTGAGAGATGATTGAATCACAGGGGTGGGTTGTTCCTGTGCTGTTCTTGTGATAGTGAATGGGTCTCATGAGATCCGATGGTTTTAAAAATGGAAGTTTCTCGCACAATCTCTCTCTTTGCCTGCTGCAATCCATGTAAGATGCGACTTGCTCCTTCTTGCTTTCTGCCATGATTGAGAGGCCTCCCCAGCCATGTGGAATGTAAGCCCAATAATCCTCTTTCTTTTGTAAATTGCCCAGTCTCGTGTATGTCTTTATCAGCAGCATGAAAATGAAATAATACAGGCACTGAGATTATCACAGTCAAATCTTTTCAAACTCTAAGTCCCTTTGAACCCTCTGGAATTACAGTAGTGACCCAATTCTGTGAGTTAACAGTAGTATTCTTTCTTCCTCAAAGATGGAACAGAGGCCTTTGCCTAAACAGACAACATGTTATACCCCTAGGTATTTACCCTAACCTTTCATCTTGACCCTTAAACCCATACCTAGAATGAAGTAGCAATATAATTTGTTCAGAAAAATGTCATAAGGCCAGAATACCTACAAGCTGACTAACATGCACAAGAGGGCCAGAGCACACTCCTTCTACTACAGAAATGAGAAACGCTCCACGGAGGACAGAAACTTCATTGAATAGCTCAATAGGGCTTGTCCTCTTAGGCTAGAGCTGAAGGTAGGAGATGCTGTTTCAGGTTTTCTAGAGGAAGAAACAGACTCTACCCTAAAATAACTCCAGTATATGTACGAGCAAGAGTAAAGACTTGGAAATTGCCACTAAAAAATGCTGAATCTAGGAGACTGGTATATAAAGTTGGATAAATGAGAATTTTTCAAAAAATGTGAGCACTCTCCCATAACGTAGAATTTGAAAACCCGGCGAGGCCCCAGGGGAATGTGCTAACACACAGCTGGGATGGCTCTCAGAAGCAGGGATAAATTGATGACCCACACTATAGGAAGTAGAAATACCAGAACTGCCATGGCAGAGAGTGGAAGAAGAGATCATAAGTCAGAATGGATATAAAACATAAGGCCAGAATACCCAGAAGTTGACTAATACGGACAAGAGGGCCAGAGGACACTCTTTTTACTACAGAAATGAGAAATACTCCAGGGAGAACAGAGAAACTTCACTGAAAAGCTCAATAGGGCCTGTCCTCTGTAGGCTAGAGCTGAAGGTAGGAGATGCTGTTTCAGAACTGACCTCCCAAAAAGTAAAAATCAAGAGAGGCAGTAATGATCAGGCATACTTAGTGGATGAGTGGCTGGGTAGGAAGGCAGCCAGGGGTAATTAAAAACACACAGAGTTGTGGAGATGATTAATAGAACACACGAACCCTAGGAAGAACCTAGAGGGGCAACAAAGGTGTTAATCTACATAATAAATAGAAATCAAGGTTGAATAATCAGGAGCTTAGAGCTGCTGACCTTTAAAAATGTCAAAGACCCGCCGGGCGTGCTGGCTCAGCACTTTGGGAGGCCGAGGCGGGTGGATCACGAGGTCAGGAGATCGAGGCCATCCTGGCTAACACGGTGAAACCCCGTCTCTACTAAAAATACAAAAAATTACCCGGGCGAGGTGGCGGGTTCCTGTAGTCCCAGCTACTGGCGAGGCTGAGGCAGGAGAATGGCGTGAACCTGGGAGGTGGAGCTTGCCGTGAGCCGAGATAGCGCCACTGCACTCCAGCCTGGGCGACAGAGCAAGACTCCATCTCAAAAAAAAAAAAAAAGTGTCAGAGACCTTGAGCCAATTTTCAGTCTTAGAATTCATTGCCTGAGAGACAAGATTCCTCAAGAACAAGGACCTGCAAGACCACAGTAAATATGTAACGTAATAATTTTATATTCCTAGTGAGATTTATGGGCCATTTATTCATATAACTGTGCACTGAAAAAAAGGGTGAAGAGAATATTCCAATATTACAAAGATTATTGGGCATAAAGTCTGAGTTGAAATTGATTTTCAGTGACCTGAAGTGTCAGGAAAAGGTAGGTTGCTATTACACCATAGGGGAAAGGAAGGATATGCTTGCCATGTATGTGACCCATTGGAGCATCTATTAGTATTTTAGTATTCCCCTACCCAAGGTTTTATACAAATTTATCTTCCTATTTCCAGATTGTGATTCTTGGGGACTCTAGCCTACAGCAGTTGGTGCCAGGAATAATTCTAGGAGGCAGATTCAAAAATGGGATTTAGGAGCTGGATGTCCAGGCACTCAGCTAACGATGAAGGCCACCTCACTAGCAGGGGGAATGCTGATAGCACCTGGTAGGCAGTAGGATAATTGCTGAGGCTTTTACTGATGATTTAACTGGATTTATTCATGTATACTAATGTAAATGATTGAACTGGCAGGTTTAATATCTCTGGTGTTTGTGAGGTTTGGGGTACAGCATGGAAAGATATTAGATACATGAGAAGACAGTATGTACAGCATGAGAAAGGCATGATAAGTGGAGGTGCAGACCCATCCCACAAAGTAAAGCAACTAGGCCATTGGAGTTTCTAAACAAAGATGAGGAAAATATAGACTTGTTTGTAGAGCAGCGAGGTGATAAAAGACCAACTGTCATCAGTGACTAAGACCAAATGCAATAGGTGAGTTATAGTTCGTCCCACTAAACTTCCTCCTGTAAGTTTTTACAGAAATTGAGACTAATAAGAATTTCTGAGAATCTGTTCAAAGCTGAGGCCCATTTATTTCATAAAGTAAATGGATCTTAGTCACACAAAAAGTGAACTGCAGTAGATGCTGTGCTATAAAGCTCCTTTCAGATAACCCTTAGGATTGAGGCTTTCATTCTCCAAAAATTGATATCAATCAAAAGGAATTGCTTCACTGGAGATTGTTGTCTTCTCAGGGGTAGTATTCATCCAGTGGTCAATGCAGGGATATAAAATCCAGACCCCTTTACCTGAAATAAAGATTTCTCAGATTGAGAGCTTTCTACATAGCATTACAACTTTCTCATTCCAGTCCTTCTTCCCTCACTCCATAATAGGTGTTGATCCTGAGAGCACTCCCTAACAAACTACAGGCAAGCAAAGCTCCATCTCAGAGTCTGTTTCCCAGGAAACCCTACTTATGACAGGGTTTATTTATTTTTACTTTTAAAATTCTTAGAATATTTTTGGACATACTGTCATGTAGCTTGTCCGAAGGAGCCCTAAATACCAAAGCTTAAATGCATTACAGATCCTTTCCATAGTCACACAATCAAACCATATTTTTAAAAGTTCAAATAACATTTTCTTTGACACAGAGTATAACCAATATCTCCAACAGCCATCAGTGCACCAACTTGGGTCTAAATTATAGTTAAAATTAAATCTCAAACATCTTTAATTATGCTTAAGGATTGATTCCTTTGTGACAGTAAGTATGATGTATACCCAGTGTCAAGAATTTCTACCATCATGTCCTGGTTCTAATAAAAATGATAAGATTTTTTAAAAAGGAAGGAATGAGATGTTGCTAGTTACACTGAACAGAGTAAAATCAAAGAAAGGATATACTCACTAACTGCAAGTAAATTTAGCAGAAAAAGGAAATTATGAAACCTGAAATTTACTTCCCTTCCTCTGCTAAGAAGCAGGATCTTGAGCCTATCCAAATGGAAGGATAAATGCGTAACCTGAAACAGAAGCTAAAGATAATTGAGGAGATAGTAAAAGAACACATGTATACTCTTCGGTGAATGCAACTTTCAGCCACAGAAATAATTCCTAACAGACTACTGAGGAAAGTTGTAGTAAGATTATAAAAGCATTGGTAGTAATTTTTGAGTAATTATGGCTAGCTGGATAGTGATAAAGGAAAGATGGAACAAATGACATCCTAATTGTGGAAAGGGCAAAAAAGGTGGGAAAAAATTACCAACCAGGGAATCTGTAATTAGACCAAATCTTGGATTATTTAAAGCAGTGTTTGTGTTTGGAAAGGGAAATAGTTATAGCTGGATATCAGGCATGTTAGAATGATATCAATCTCTTTATTGATTCAAATATTAGAAAACCAGATCATCTGGACCCATACATAGAGCACTTTAGAATTTCAGCAAGACATTAACAAAGTCTCATGGTAATCATCTGTATAAGAAAAAATTAATGAGTAGGATGATGGCAAAGTTTGAAATTCCGTAGAAAAAGAATATAGACAATACACTCAGGTCAACTGAAGGTGAAGTCCAGAGGACTATGGCTGCTAAGATCTATAAAACATTTCTTAATATTTTGTACAGTTATATAGATAGCCATCAATACTTTTTTTTTTTTTTTTTTTTTTTTTTTTGTTGGTGAGACGGAGTTTCACTCTTGTTGCCCAGGCTGGAGTTCAATGGTGTGATCTCAGCTCACTGAAACCTCTGCCTCCTGGGTTCAAGTGATTCTCCTGCCTCAGCCTCCTGAGTAGCTGGGATTACAGGCGCACATCACCACGCCCAGCTAATTTTGTATTTTTAGTAGAGATGGGATTTCTCCATGTTGGTCAGGCTAGACTCGAACTCCTGACCTCAGGTGATACGCACGCCTCGACCTCCCAAAGTGCTGGGATTACAAGCATGAGCCACTGCGCCCAGCCTGATGGTCATCAATACTTCTGAGGATAATTGAGAAGACAAAAATCAGAGATCCAAAAAATTTCCTACATTATCAGATGATATAAACACAAGATGAATTCATGAATAGTAAGCCATATATTTAAGTAGCAACAATCCAGGATGATAAGAACACTAGCTTACTGCTGCCGTTTATGTGAAAGAGACTGAGGTTTCCATTGATTAGAAATAGGAGGAGACATTGCAAAGGGTTGCTGTATTGATAGCAGAATTATTATACAAGTCATCAAAAAATGATAATCACAACTATGGGCTTCTGAAAGTGAATCTTAAAGTCTGTCCAGAGTTCAAATTGTTATATATTAAGGGGAAAAAATGGCAAGAAAGAGCATCAACATTAAACAGCATTTATTGTATCCCAGGCACTATGTTAATTACACCAGAGCAGCCAATATTTATTTTTTCAATTAATTTTTCACAATAAGTATTTGACATAGATAAAATTATTCTAGTTTTATAGCCAAATAAATCCAAACTCAAATTGTTTAATAAATCTGGCCAAGCAAAAACAACTGTAAGTGGAGGAAGTGAGCTTTAACCAAATTCTGTCAAACTCCAAAACTCTTCTAACTCAGAGTTCCTGATAGAAACAAAACCCTTAGGTCCTTAATGAAGAAGCTCAAGTTCATGGAAGGTGTGGCAGATATAACAACCTATAATAATGGACCTTTTAGCACTACTCTTACTCATTATCACTGTGACTAAATCAGAAGAATCATAATTCTCTTGGTCTAAGTTTTGAAGATATTTTCCTTTGTACTATTTTTTTTTCTTCCACACAGCCTCTCTGTCTTCTTTCTCTCCGTGAGTATAAATGAATGCTAAAATATTATTTATAACAACTGAAAACACAGCACAAATGCATATGTCCCTAGCTCTTTCCAACTCACTGAGATTCTTATCTAGAGGTGAATGGTTATTTTCATTTTATCACATGGTTTCTTAAGTAAGATTATTCTATACATTTTTAATATCACACAAACGGAAATACATTGCCATAGATTCCTTCACATTATTTATTGCAAATATTTTGTACCAAGTGATGTCTTAAGGGTGCTTTGTATAACTTTGCTTACACATACACACAAAAATTATCTCACAATTGTGTTTGAATTGTTTCTTGAGTCTTACCAAGATCATGATAGTGCAAATCTGCTGGATGTGACAACAGTGGTGAGAATTTTCCAAAGCCAAATGGCTATTCTCTAGGCCAGACTTTTGGTTGATCAAAGATAATTGAGAGCCATTTTAACAGCTAGCTAGTAATGATAAATAGATAGATTTTTAGATTTTGACTCTATTTGCTTAAAAGAAAATGTAAAATCTGTAACAGAAGACATTCATTTTTGGCATAAGGTCTCTTGACTCATAAGACTATAGGCTCTGAGAAGGTTACTTCATTTATATTTGACTCCATTCCATGATATACTCTTGTAATCTTTTAAGGTTGTTTATTTTTAGGCCTTGGAATACAAGGGCCACATGTCTTCAATTTGGGCTTACTACCTAGCTTCAGGATGCCTGACCTACAATGTTCTACCATGTTATTTACTATTTTGTCCTTTGCATTTTTGTAGATATTCCCCCACTGTAGACCTGAGGCATTATAATTGCAGCAATATTGTCTGGTTGACTCAAGAGCAATAGTTTTCAAAATTTGTATATTTAAATTCTGCTACTTGCTAAGAATAACTTTTAAAATGTTTGCTTACTTATTTATATCTTGTCTAGAGAAGCTTCCTTTATTTTGATATGGTAGAGAATCTGATTTGTAATTAACTCAGGGCGTATTAAGCTCGTACTAAAATATTCAAACACTACATTAAGAAATATATCCTGGCTGGGCACAGTGGCTCATGCATCTAAGCCCAACGCTTTGGGAGGCCAAAGCAAGAGGGTTGCTTGAGTCTGGTAGTTTGAGAGCAGCTCAGGCAACATACCAAGACCCTATCTTTACAAAAAATTTAAAAATTAACCAGGAGTGGTGGTGCATGCCTGTAGTCCTAGCTTCTTAGGAGGCTAAGGCAGGAGGACTGCTTGAGCCCAGGAGTTAGAGGTTACAAAGAGCTGTGATGATGCCATTGTACTATAGCCTGGGTGACAGAGTGAGACCTTGTCACTTAAAAGAAAAAAACAATGTGTGTCCCATTTCTAGTCTGAGAGTACAGTTTAGAAGGTAAAATGGCAATGCATGACCTTATGATGACATTAATGATATTATAGTTTTCAAAACTAAGTTACCAAGAGTGGTATCCAAACTCAACTATTAAAATCCTAATCCTTAAGGAATTCACATTTGGAATGAAAAGTTTGTGTGATTTACTGAAGAAAAGAATTATTAAATGCCTAAGTATAGAAAGATAGTGAAATAACTGTCTAAACTTTAATCACGTTGTGTTTATATTGTTGTGGCCTGTAATGTTTTATTTATTAATGATTTATGTTTATGAATCAGAGTAAGATACTCCAATCTTTTAAATATGAATTTAAATATTATCTCTTCAATTTATGAGAAACAAAGGCAGAGAAGCATATGAAGCAATATTGTTTTATTTTAAAAGGAAAAGACAAAAATTATGAAAACTTACAGTGTTTCTTAAAAGTAGATTGAGATCATTTTTCAATCTTAAAATATTGCTTGTATTCTGGTATAAATTGTTATACTCAATATAAATAATAATTTTAACTTATTACAACTTGTGTAATTCTTACATTGCTTGGTTAACTATAGCCCCATACATGTTAATGTATTTAGAAGTTGCTGTCATTCACACCACATAGGAACCATATGTGGTATCAGCTATGGTGCCATAACTGAAATGTGTTAACAGCTGTTGCAACAGACCAAAGAAATCAATGTGAATTAATACCTGCCTTGAATTGTTTTTTGTTTTTTGTTTTTCGTTTTTTTTTGTTTTTTTTTTTTTTGAGATAGAGTCTCGCCGTGTCGCCCAGGCTGGAGTCCAGTGGCGCGATCTCGGCTCACTGCAAGCTCCGCCTCCCAGGTTCACGGCATTCTCCTGCCTCAGCCTCCCGAGTAGCCGGGATTACAGGCGCCCGCCACCACACCCGGCTAATTTTTTGTATTTTTCGTAGAGACGGGGTTTCACCGCGTTAGCCAGGATGGCGTCAATCTCCTGACCTAGTGATCCGCCCGCTTCGGCCTCCCAAAGTGCTGGGATTACAGGGGTGAGCCACCGCGCCTGACCTTGAATTGTTTGAAAGTGAAAATTATTACAGTGATATTAATGATGAGTGTACAAATCTAGACCCATATACAACATTCTACATATATATGTAATTAGATAGACATCGATAGATAGATTAGATAGATAGATAGATAGATGCTACTAAGTATTGATTAGTGTTAATAAAAAGCAAAATTAATTGAAGTACCAATCATGTGCCTCACTGTGCTAGGCCTTTAGTCCTAATAGGAACTTTATAAGGTAGGTAATTTTATAACTCTGTATAACAGATTAAAAGACTGAAATTAAGAATTTAGGTAATTTTCCCTAGTAGTCAGCCAGCAGATAAATGGAGTCTTGACTCGTTAACATTTGGAATGTGAAGGCCAAAGGTGTTGACTTTAGCACTTCAGTTCTTGAATATGCCTTTATTTTATTTTAAACAGATTCTTTTTTCTTTGAGAATCTCCATACTTGGAGATTTTTAAAAAGAACATACATATATGTATAAGTGTGTGTGTGTTTGCATAAATCATAGCTACAGCAAAAAACCTCCTCAGAAAGAATGATTTAAGTTATATTCAAAATGGGGTGATTTAGAATAAGTCTATAAATATAAAAATATAAAATCTAAACTTCAACAAAAAAGCTATGTCACGGTTTTCCATGGTACATTAATTCAAAGAAAACGTATTTATTTTGCTCCCAGTGAGCTACCTTGAGAACAAACAAGGATGAATCAGATACCAGGCCTATTACCAAAAATCTTATAATAATAAAGAGGCAATGTCTTACACAAGAATAAGAGCAGAATTTATTAATGAAATGCCATAAGAAAAGCATAAATAAAACAAATCCTGAGGGGGTTATAACAGGGGAGATGTCTACTTGGGAGATGAGCAGTTTCATTAGAAAAAAATAAGAGGGAAAATTACATTTCAGCTAGCTGTGAATATTGACATATCAAACTGGAAGAAATAGAAGGACCAAAAAAAGAGAGGCTGTATAAAGGCAATATGTCTGTTAAGCAAGATATGTTAGCAGAAAAATGGGAGGTAATATTAAGGAAACCTAGAGACTAGGAGGCTGAGTTTTAAACTTTTTTCCATTACTGGGGGGAGACCTTATAAAGATGTATGTGCAGGAAACCAACATGTTCAAAATTGGACTTCAAGGGCATCAATTTGTAAAAAGGATCAGAGCTAAGAAAGTCTAAAGCCTACCTGATAAGGTAGCTACTGCCATATTCCACTTAAATGTCACCTACACTTTGGATTTAAAGGCAGATACCATATTACATAGAGGTCTACACATATCTCTGGTAATAAACAAAAGTACTAGTACATTTTTGTCATCAAGGGCAAAAATCAACCTATGGGACAAATCCAGGTGCCATAAACAAAATATAATGTAGCACCTATTTTTTTTAAATAAAATACAGTCATGCTCACTCATTTATGTCTTTTCTATGGCTACTTTTACTCTGCGATGGCATAGTTGAATAGCTGCCACAGAGACCGTGTGGCTATACCAGTTTTTTCAAATGTGGGAAAAAGCATTTTAATAGAAACAGGAAGTATTTTGAAATACTTGTCTCAACATAATTGTTGGAGAACACACTTTTTACATAAATGAAACATATCTCCATGTGTTTAATATGTAAATATCTTATGTGTTTGACTCATTTAATTTGCCTATATAGTCTCATAGGTGTATAAGTTGTCAACTACTGTGTCTACCTATGTTTTAACCTACAGACTTTTCTTTAACTTTTTTTTTTGACTTTTCTTTTTTATTATACTTTTAAGTTCTGGGATACATGTGCAGAACGTGCAGGTTTGTTACATAGATATACACATGCCATGGTGGTTTGTTGCACCCATCAATCTGTCATCTACATTAGTTATTTCTCATAATGCTATCCCTCCCTTAGCCCCGCAACCCACAGCAGGCCCCGATGTGTGATGTTCCCCTCCCTGTGTCCATGTGTTCTCATTGTTCTACTGCCATTTATGAATGAGAACATGCGGTATTTGGTTTTCTGTTTCTGTGTTAGTTTGCTGAGAATGATGGTTTTCAGCTTCATCCATGTCCCTGCAAAGGACATGAACTCATCCTTTTTTATGGCTGCATAGTGTATATGTGCCACACTTTCTTTATCCAGTCTATCATTGACAGTCACTTGGGATGGTTCCAAGTCTTTGCTATTGTGAATAGTACTCCAATAAACATATGTGTGCATCTGTCTTCACAGTAGAATAATTTATAATCCTTTGGGTATATACCCAGTAAAGGGGTTGCTGGGTCAAATGGTATTTCTGGTTCTAGATCCTTGAGTAATTGCCACACTGTCTTCCACAATAGTTGAACTAATTTACACTCCCAACAAGAATGTGAAAGCATTCCTATTTCTCCACATCCTCTCCAGCATCTGCTGTTTCCTGACTTTTTAATGATCACCATTCTAACTGGCCTGAGATGATATCTCATTGTGGTTTTGAATTGCATTTCTCTAATCACCAGTAATGATGAGCTTTCTTTCATATGTTTGTTGGCCACATACATGTCTTATTTTGAGAAGTGTCTGTTCATATCTTTTGCCCACTTTTTGATGGGGTTGTTTGTTTTTGTCTTTGAAATTTATTTAAGTTCTTTGTAGATTCTGGATATTAGCCCTTTGTCAGATGGATAGATTGCAAAATTTTTATCCCATTCTGTACGTTGCCTGTTCACTCTGATGATAGTTTCTTTTGCTGTGCTGAAGCTCTTTTGTTTAATTAGATCCCACTTGTCAATTATGGCTTTGGTTGCCATTGCTTTTGGTGTTGTAGCTATAGAGTCTTTGCCCATGCCTATGTTCTGAATGGTATTCCCTAGGTTTCTTCTCAAGTTTGTCTGGTTTTAGGTCTTACATTTAAGTCTTTAATCCATCTTGAGTTAATTTTTGTATAAGGTGTAAGGAAGAGGTCCAGTTTCAGTTTTCTGCATATGGCTAGCCAGTTTTCCCCACACCATTTAATAAACAGGGAGTCCTTTCCCCATTGCTTGTTTTTGTCAGGTTTGTCAAAGATCAGATGGTTGTAGATGTGTGGTATTATTTCTGAGGCCACTGTTCTGTTGCACTGGTCTCATACCTGTTTTGGTACCAGTACCATGCTGTTTTGGTTACTGTAGTCTTGTAGTATAGTTTGAAGTCAGGTAGCATGATGCGGCCAGCTTTGTTCTTTTGCTCAGGATTGTCTTGGCAATACAGGCTCTTTTTTAGTTCCACATGAAATTTAAAGTAGTTTTTTTTTCTAATTCTGTGAAGAAAGTCAATGGTAGCTTGATGGAGATAGCATTGAATCTGTAAATTCCTTTGGGCAGTAAGGACATTTTCATGATGTTGATTCTTCCTATGCATGAGCATAGAATGTTTTTCCATTTGTTTGTGTCCTCTCTTATTTTCTTATTTCCTTAGTTCTCAGTTCTATGGAATCAGTGGTGATCTCTATCATTTTTTATTGTGTCGATTTGATTCTTCTCTCTTTTCTTCTTTATTAGTCTGGCTAGAAGTCTATTTCTTATTTCCTTAGCTCTCCTTTCAGAGGTGCTTAACATCGCCTATAAGTTGTATTTCTAGGTATTTTATTCTCTTTGTAGCAATTGTGGATGGGAGTTCACTCATGATTTGGTTCTCTGTTTTTCTATTATTGGTGTGTAGGAATGCTTGTGATTTTTGCACATTGATTTTGGATCCTGAGATTTTGCTGAAGTTGCATATCAGCTTAAGGAGATTTGGGGCTGAGATGATGAGGTTTTCTAAATAGACAATCATGTCATCGGCAAACCGAGACAATTAGACTTCTTCTCTTCCTATTTGAATGCCCTTTATTTATTTCTTTCTCTCGATTGCCCTGGCCAGAACTTCCAATACTATGTTGAATAGGAGTGGTGAGAGAAGGCATCCTTGTCTTGTGCTGGTTTTCAAAGGGAATGCTTCCAACTTTAGCCCATTCAGTGTGATATTGGCTGTGGGCTTGTCATAAATAGCTCTTATTATTTTGAGATACGTCCCATCAATATCTAGTTTATTGAGAGCTTTTATCATGAAGGGTTGTTGAATTTTATCAAAGGCCTTTTCTGCGTTTATTGAGATAATCATGTGGTTTTTGTCATTGGTTCCATTTATGTGATGGATTACATTTATTGATTTGCACACGTTAAACCAGTCTTGCATCCCAGGGATGAGGCTGACTTGATCGTGTTTGATAACCTTTTTGATGTGCTGCTGGATTCGGTTTGCCTGTATTTTATTGAGGATTTTCACATCGATGTTCATCAGGGATATTGGCCTGATATTTTCTCTTTTTGTTGTATCTCTGCCAGGTTTTGGAATCAGGATGATGCTAGCCTAATAAAATGAGTTAGGGAGGAGATCCTCTTTTCCTATTGTTTGGAATAGTTTCAGAAGGAATGGTACCAGATCCTCGTTGTACCTCTGGTAGAATTTGTCTGTGAATCTGTCTGTTCCTGGGCTTTTTTTGGTTGATGGGCTATTAATTACTGCCTCAATTTCAGAACTTGTTATTGATCTATTCAGGGATTCAACTTATTCCTGGTTTAGTCCTGGGAGGGTGCATGTGTCCAGGAATTTATTCATTTCCTCTAGATTTTCTAGTTTATTTGCATAGAGGTGTTTATAGTATTCTCTGATGGTAGTTTGTATTTCTGGGGGGTCAGTGGTGACCTCTTTATCATATTTTTATGTATCTATTTGATTCTTCTCTCTTTTCTTACTTATTAGTATGACTAGCAGTCTATTTTTTTTTTTATCTTTTCAAAAAACCAGCTTCAGGATTCATTTATTTTTTTGAAGGGTTTTTTGTGTCTCTATCTCCTTCAGTTCTGCTCTGTTCTTAGTTATTTCTTGTCTTCTCCTAGCTTTTGAATTTGCTCTTGCTTCTCTAGTTCTTTTAATTATGATGTTAGATTGTCGATTTCAGACCTTTGACTTTTAATTTAGGTTCAGGGGTGCATGTGCAGGCTTGCTACATGGGTAAATTATGTATCACTGAGGTTTGGTATACAAATGATCCCACCATGTATGTAATAAACATGGTACCTGATAGGTAGTTTTTCAATCCATGCCCCCTCACACCTTCCCACATCAAGTAGTCCCAGGTGTCTATTGCTACCATCTTTATATCCATGTGTACTCAATATTTAGTACCCTGCTTATAAGTAAGCATATAACATAACTTTTTCTATGTTAATTTGTTTAGGATAATAGCCTCCAATTGCATCCATGCTACTGCAGAGAACATAATCTCATTCTTTTTATGGCTGTGTAGTATTCCATGGTGTATAGGTACCATATTTTGTGTATCCACTGCACCGCTGATGGACATCTTGGTTGATATGTCTTCGTTTTTGTGAGCAGTGCTGCAAGTGACATATGAATACATATGTATTTTTGGTAGAATGATTTCTTTGCCTTTGATTATACACACAGTATTGGGATTGCTAGGTCAAATGGTAGTTCTGTTTTAAGTTCTTTGAGAAATCTTCACACTGTTTTTCAGAGTGGCTGAAATAACTTACATTTCTACCATCAATGTCTAAGTGCTCCCTTTCCTCCATAACCTTGACAACATCTCTTATTTTTCTTTTTTTACTTTTAAAAATAGTAATTTTAACTGGTTTTAGATCGTATCTCATTTTGGTTTTGATTTGCATTTTTCTAATGATTAGCGATGTTGAGCATTTTTTCATATGTTTGTTAGTGACATGTATGTCTTCTTTTGAGAAATATCTGTTCATGTCCTTTGCCCACTTTTTAGTGGGGCTGTGTGTTTTTTTGAGTGATGAGTTGTTTAAATTCCTTATAGGTTCTGAATATTAGACCTTTGTTGGATGCAGTTTCTGAATATTTTCTCCCATTTTGTTGGTTGTCTGCTGATTTTGTTAATGGTCTCTTTTGCAGTGCAGAAGCTCTTTGATTTAATTTGGTCTCACTTGTCTAAGTTTGGCTTTGTTGCAATTGTTTGTGGGGACTGAATTATAAATTATTTGGCAAGGCTAATGTCCAGAATGGTATTTCCTAGATTTCTTTTGGTGGGTTTTATTGTCTTACATTAAGCTTTTAATCCATCTTTGGTTGATTTTTGCACAAGGTGAAAGGAAGAGGTTCAGTTTCAATTTTCTACATATGGCTAGCCAGTTGTCCCAGCAACATTTATTGAATAGGGAGTCCTTTCTCTGTTGCTTGTTACGTGGATTTTGTCAAATGTCAGATGGTTGTAGGTGTGTGACTTTATTTCTGGGTTCTCTAACCTGTTTCATTGGTCCACATGTCTGTTTTTGTCCCAGCACTAGGCTGTTTTGGTTATTGTAGCCTTGTAGCATAGTTTGAAGTCTATTAGTATGATGCCTCCAACTTTGTTCTTTTACCTTAGGATGGCTTCCGATATCCAGGCTCTTTTTTGATTCCACACGAATGTTAGAATAGTTTTTTAATAATTAGGTGAAAAAAGACATTCTTAGTTTGATAGGAATAACATTAAATCTGTAGATTGCTTTGAGCAAAATTGCCATTTTAACAATATTGATTCTTTCTATCCATGAGCATGAAATCTTTTATCATTTGTTTTTTGTGTATCTGATTTCTTCAAGTAGTGTTTTTTTGTAATTCATATTGTAGAGATTTTGTTACATTGTTTAGCTGTTATCCTAGATATTTTATTCTTTCTCTGGTTATTTTAAACGAGATTGTGTTCTCTATTTGGCTCTCAGCTTTAACGTTACAGGTGTATAGATATTTTACTAATTTTTGTGCATTGATTTTTGTATCCTGAAATTTCACTGAATTAGTTTATCAGTTCTAGGAGCCGGTTGGCAGACTCTCTGGGTTTTCCTAGTAATAAATTCATATTATCTATTAAGAGAGATACTTTGGCCTCCTCCATTCTTATTTGATTGCTTTTATTTCTTTCTCTTGCTTGATTGCCCTTGCTAGGGGTTCCAGTAATATGTTGAATAGGTATGGTGATAGTGGGCATTCTTGTCTTGTTCCAGTTCTCAAGGGGAATCCTTCCAGCTTTTACCCATTCAGTATGATGTTGGATGTGGGTTTGTCATAGACGACTTTTATTATTTTGAGATATTTTCCTTTGATACTTAGTTTGTTGAGAGTTTTTAACATGAAGCACTGTTGAATTTTATTAAAAGCCTTTTCTGCATCTGCTGAGATAAGCATGTGATTATTGTTTTAAAATTTTGTTTGTGAGGTGAATTACATTTATTGATTTATGTATGTTAAACCAACTTCACACCCCAGGTATAAAGCCCACTTGACTGGAGTGAATTAACTTTTTGATGTGCTGCTGCATTTCTTTTGCTATTATTTTGTTGAGAATTTTGCATGTATGTTATTTAGGGATATTGGTCTGAAGTTTTCTTATTTCAATGTGTTTCTGCCAGGTTTTGATACAGGCATGATGATGGTCTTATATAGTAAATTGGGGAAAAGTCCCTCTTCCTTGACTTCTTGAAATAACTTCAGCAGGATTGCTACCAGTTTTTCCTTGTATGTCTGATAAAAATTGGCTGTAAATATGTCTTGTCCAGGGTGTTTTCTTTTTCTGGTTGGATTCTTTTTTTAAAAAATTACTGTATTTCTTTAATCCATCTTGAATTAATTTTTGTATAAAGTGTAAGGAAGGGATCCAGTTTCAGCTTTCTACATATGGCTAGCCAGTTTTCCCAGCATCATTTATTAAATAGGGAATCCTTTCCCTACTGCTTGTTTTTGTCAGGTTTGTCAAAGATCAGATGGTTGTAGGTATGCAGCATTATTTCTGAGGGTTCTGTTCTGTTCCATTGATCTATATCTCTGTTAAGGTACCAGTACCACGCTGTTTTGGTTACTGTAGCCTTGTAGTATAGTTTGAAGTCAGGTAGCGTGGTGCCTCCAGCTTTGTTCTTTTGGCTTAGGATTGACTTGGTGATGCAGGCTCTTTTTTGGTTCCATATGAACTTTAAAGTCGTTTTTTCCAATTCTGTGAAGAAAGTCATTGGTAGATTGATGGGGATGGCATTGAACCTATAAATTACCTTGGGCGGTATGGCCATTTTCACAATATTGATTCTTCCTACCCATGAGCATGGAATGTTCTTCCATTTGTTTGTATCCTCTTTTATTTCATTGAGCAGTGGTTTGTTGTTCTCCTTGAAGAGGTCCTTCACATCCCTTGTAAGTTGGATTCCTAGGTATTTTATTCTCTTTGAAGCAATTGTGAATGGGAGTTCACTCATCATTTGGCTCTCTGTTTGTCTGTTATTGGTGTATAAGAATGCTTGTGATTTTTGTACATTGATTTTGTATCCTGAGACTTTGCTGAAGTTGCTTGTCAGCTTAAGGAGATTTTGGGCTGAAACAATGGGGTTTTCTATATATACAATCATGTCATCTGCAAACAGGGACAATTTGACTTCCTCTTTTCCTAATCAAATACCCTTTATTTCTTTCTCCTGCCTGATTGCCCTGGCCAGAACTTCCAACACTATGTTGAATAGGAGTGGTGAGAGAGGGCATCCCTGTCTTGTGCCAGTTTTCAAAGGGAATGCTTCCAGTTTTTGCCCATACAGTATGATATTGGCTGTGGGTTTGTCATAGATAGCTCTTATTATTTTGAGATATGTCCCATCAATACCTAATTTATTGAGCGTTTTTAGCATGAAGCGTTGTTGAATTTTGTCAAAGGCCTTTTCTGCATCTATTGAGATAATCATGTGGTTTTTGTCTTTGGTTCTGTTTATATGCTGGATTATACTTATTGATTTGCGTATGTTGAACCAACCTTAGATGTTAGACCTAAAACCATAAAAACCCTAGAAGAAACCCTAGGCAATACCATTCAGGACATAGGCATGGGCAAGGACTTCCTTTCTGAAACACCAAAAGCAATGGCAAGAAAAGCCAAAATTGACAATGGGATCTAATTAAACTAAAGAGCTTCTGCACAGCAAAAGAAACTACCATCAGAGTGAACAGGCAACCTACAGAATGGGAGAAAATTTTCACAACCTACTCATCTGACAAAGGGCTAATATCAAGAATCTACAATGAACACAAACAAATTTACAAGAAAAAAACAAACAACCCCATCAAAAAGTGGGCGAAGTATATCCACAGACACTTCTCAAAAGAAGACATTTATGCTGCCAAAAAACACTTGAAAAAATGCTCATCATCACTGGCCATCAGAGAAATGAAAATCAGAACCACAGTGAGAAAGCATCTCACACCAGTTAGAATGGTGGTGATTAAAAAGTCAGGAAACAACAGGTGCTGGAGAGGATGTGGAGAAATAGGAACACTTTTACACTGTTGGTGGGACTATAAACTAGTTCAACCATTGTGGAAGTCAGTGTGGCGATTCCTCAGGGATCTAGAACTAGAAATACCATTTGACCCAGCCATCCCATGACTGGGTATATACCCAAAGGACTATAAATCATGCTGCTATAAAGACACATGCACACGTACGTTTATTGCAGCCCTATTCACAATAGCAAAGACTTGGAACCAACCCAAATGTCCAACAACGACAGACTGGATTAAGAAAATGTGGCACATATACAACATGGAATACTATACAGCCATAAAAAATGATGAGTTCATGTCCTTTGTAGGGACATGGATGAAACTGGAAACAATCATTCTCAGCAAACTATCGCAAGGACAAAAAACCAAATACTGCATGTTCTCACTCTAGGTGGGAATTGAACAGTGAGAACACTTGGACACAGGAAGGGGAACATCACACTCCGGGGACTGTTGTGGGGTGGGGGGAGGGGGGAGGGATAGCATTAGGAGATATACCTAATGCTAAATGATGAGTTCATGGGTGCAGCACACCAACATGGCACATGTATACATATGTAACAAACCTGCACATTGTACACATGTACCCTAAAATTTAAAGTATGATAATAATAAAATTTAAAAAAATTACTGTATTTATTTTTGAACTCATTATCGGTCTAACTAGTATTTCCATTTTTTTCTAGTTGAATCTTTGGAGATTATGTTCCCAGGAATTCATCCATTTCTCTTGGGTTTCTGGTTTGTGTGCACAGAGGTGTTCATAATAGTCTCTGAGGGTTTTTGTATTTCTGTGGGGTTGGTGGTAATGTCATCTTTGTGATTACTGATTGTGCTTCTTTTGATCTTTCTATCTTCACTAGCCCTGTTATCAGTTTATCAATCTTGCTTATTCTTTAAAAAAACAGTTTTTATTTTTGATGATCTTTTGTATGAATTTTTACATCTCAATTTCATTCAGTTCAGCTCTCATTTTGGTTATTTCTTTTATTCTGTTAGCTTTGGGGTTGTTGGCTTTTGTTTTTCTAGGTCCTCTAGGTGTGATGTTAGGTAGCTAATTTGAGATCTTTCTAACTTCTTGATGTAAGTGTTTAGTGCTATAAAGTTTCCTTTTAACCCTACTTTAGCTATGTCCCTCAGATTCTGGTATATATCTCTGTTTTCAGTAGTTTCAAATAATTTTTTGATTTCATCTTTAATTTCATTCATTGCTCAAAAGTCACTCAGGAGCAGGTTGATTGATTTCCATGTAATTTTATAGTTTTGAGAGATCGTCTTAGCATTGCTTACTATATTTTATTGTGCTGTGGTCCGAGAGTGTACTTAGTATGATTTTTATTTTGTTAACACTTGCTTTATGGCTGAGCATGTGGTCAATCTTAGAATATATGTTGTGTGCAGATGAGTAGATTTCATATTCTGTTGTTGTTAGGTGGAGTATTCTGCAGATATTTGCTAGGTCCATTTGATCAAGTGTTGAGTTTAACTCCTGAGTATCTTTACTGGTATTCTACCTTGATGGTCTGTCTGATACTGTCAGTGGGTTGAAGTCACCCATTATTTTGTCATTATCAAAGTCTTTTTGTAGGTATCTAAAAATTTGTTTTATGAATTTGGATTTCCAATGTTGGCTGAGTATACATTTAGAATAGTTGTCTTCTTGTGGAACTGAACCCTGTATCAAAATGTAATGCCTTTCTTTGTCCCTTTAAATCATGGTTCGTGTAAAGTCTGTTTTGTCTGATATAAGGATTTCAACTACTACTCACTTTTTGTTTTCTGTTTGCCTGCTACATCTTTCTCTATCTCTTTACTTTGAGCCTGTGTGTGTAATTACGTGTGAAATAGGTCCCTTGAAAACAGCAGACAGGTGAGTGTTGCCTCTGTATCCAACTTGACACCCTATGCCCTTTAAGTGGGTCATTAACCCCTTTATATTCATGGTGAACACTGATACGTAAAGATTTGACCCTGTCGTCTTGTTGTTAGCTAGTTGTTATGTATACTTGATTGTATAGTTGCTTTATATTGTCAGTGGTCTATATTAAGTATGATTTTGTGGTGGCATTTATCAGTCTTTTGTTTTCATGTTTAGCACTCCTGTATGGACCTCTTTTTTTTAATTTTATTATTATTATACTTTAAGTTTTAGGGTACATGTGCACAATGTGCAGGTTAGTTACATATGTATACATGTGCCATGTTGGTGCGCTGCACCCATTAACTCAACATGCAGCATTAGGTACATCTCCTAATGCTATCCCTCCCCCCTCCCCCTACCCCACAACAGTCCCCAGTGAGTGATGTTCCCCTTCCTGTGTCCATGTGTTCTCATTGTTCAATTCCCACCTATGAGTGAGAACATGTGGCGTTTGGTTTTTTTGTCCTTGCGATAGTTTGCTGAGAATGGTGGTTTCCAGCTTCATCCATGTCCCTACAAAGGACATGAACTCATCCTTTTTTATGGCTGCATAGTATTCCATGGTGTATATGTGCCACATTTTCTTAATCCAGTCTATCATTGTTGGGCATTTGGGTTGGTTCTAAGTCTTTGCTATTGTGAATAGTGCTACAGTAAACAAACGTGTGCATGGATCTTTATAGCAGCGTGATTTATAATTCTTTGGGTATATACCCAGTAATGGGATGGCTGGGTCAAATGGTATTTCTAGTTCTAGATCCCTGAGGAATCGCCACACTGACTTCCACAATGGTTGAACTAGTTTACAGTCCCACCAATAGTGTAAAAGTTTTCCTATTTCTCCACATCCTCTCCAGCACCTGTTGTTTCCTGACTTTTTATCACCAGCATTCTAACTGGTGTGAGATGCTTTTTCACTGTGGTTTTGATTTGCATTTCTCTGATGGCCAGTGATGATGAGCATTTTTTCATGTGTTTTTTGGCTGCATAAATGTCTTCTTTTGAGAAGTGTCTGTGCATATCCTTCGCCCACTTTTTGATGGGGTTGTTTGTTTTTTTCTTGTAAATTTGTTTGTGTTCATTGTAGAGTCTGGATATTAGCCCTTTGTCAGATGAGTAGATTGCAAAAATTTTCTCCCATTCTGTAGGTTGCCTGTTCACTCTGATGGTAGTTTCTTTTGGACCTCTTTTAAGGTAGGTCTAGTGGTAATAAATTCCCTTAGCATTTGCTTGTCTGAAAAGGATTTTATTTCTCCTTTACTTAAGAATCTTAGTTTGGTAGGATATAATATTCTTGGTTGGAATTTCTTTTGTTTTTTTTTCTTTTTAAGGATGCTGAAAATAGAATATGCTCCTTGTCTCTTCTGGCTTGTAAGGTTTCTAGTGAAAGCACCACTGTTAGCTTAATGGAATTTCATTTATAAGTAACTGGCCTGTTCTGTCTAGTTGCAATTAATATCTTTTATTTTCCCTTGACCTTGGAAAATATGATAACTATGTATCCTGTGGTGCTTGTGTTGTTTATTGTCTCACCAGAGTTCTTTGCATTTCTTGAATTTGCATACTGACCTCTCTCATGACATTGAGAAAAATTTTATAGATTATATCCTCAAATATAATTTGCATGTTGCTCACTCTCTCTTCTTCTCTTTCAGGAATGCCAATTAGTTGTAGATTTGGTCTATTTACATGGTTACATATTTCTTGGAGGTTTTGTTAATTTATTAAAATCTTATTTTCTTTATTTTTGTCTGCCTGTGTTGATTCCAATGAGTGGTCTTCAAACTCTTTGATTCTTTCCTCAGCTTGGTCTACTCTGTTATTAATGTTTCCAATTGTATTATGAAATTCCAATAGTGAATTTTTTAATTCTAGAAGTTCAGTTTGGTTCTTTCTTAAAATGGCTATGTCATATTTTAACTCTTGTATTGTTATACTGTTTTCCCTGAATTGGATTTCAACTTTCTCCTATATTTTCATGACTTTTCTTGCCATTCAGATTCTGAATTCTGTCTGTGATTGCTATTTCAATCTGGTTAAGAAGCATTGCTGGGAGCTGGTTTGATCATTTGGAGATAAGAAGAAAATCTGGCTTTTACAGATGTCAGAATTCCTGCATTGGTTCTTTCTCATCTGTGTATGCTGATGTTTCTTTAACCTTTAAATTGTTTATCCTTTGGATGGGGCTTTTTGCTTTTACATCCTTTAATAAACTTGAGGGTTTGATTGTGGTATAAGGTGGATTTAGTCAATTGGCGTCATTTCTGGATGCTTTCAGAAGGCCAAAGCTCAGCTCAGCAACCCTGGGCTGCATGCTCTAACCACTGGGGACAGTCCTGCAGGAAAGACAGCTCCGTTCTCTCCAGGTCCAGCAGTTAACAAAGGTTAATGCCATCTAAAGGAGGACAGATGGCCATGGGGGATGGGCAGCTATGGTCATGTTCCACTGCAGTTGTCCCCATGTGAAACCCTCTGGGCTCTGTGCAGACTCAAGTTATGCCTCTGCTGACTCTCTGGGCTGTTCCTCCACACAGTAAAATGTCCATGGGGCTTGTGGGGTTTCCTGCAGCTAGGACCCCAGAGGGCAATGGCAGGTGTGCAGCATTCCACAGTTATTTCACTCTCCTCTTCCTTGGGAACTGTTCAGGGCCAGAAATGAGTCCTGGCACTTGGCAACACTATGCATGGTTCACAGCTTCCTCTCTCATCAGCCTTGGCATCTGTGTTGTCTCTCCTTTCACTTTAAATGCATTTTCTCAGAAGATCTGTTTGGACTATGTCAGTCTACTCAATATTCTACTCTCTCAGTAGGAGAAGCCCTTCCTGGCTACTTCAAATCTGCCATCTTGGATCTATATATCCCTTGGACTTTTAATGCTTAAGACATTAGAGATATTTTTCAAAAGACATAAGAGTCACATGTAGCTAATCTCAGGCATCTTCCTGCTATTCTATATCATATTTCTTTCTTAGGTACTAAACCACCCAAATGAGTTTTTTTTTTTTCTTTTAGAGATTGTGTTGGTTTCTAAAGTTGCATAATACATTACCACAAAATTGGTGGCTTAAAACATCAGAAACCTGATGTTTTACTATTTCTGATCCTAAATATGTCCCTTTTCTGTCCCTTTCAGTACTGTTTGACAGTTTTTCTGCTGTTATAACATTGCCAAAAACCTTGTTTGTCTTCTTTCAATATAAAGGCAAGACATGACATTAAACATTAGCGTTCTGTACAAATCCTTCCTGGATAACTTTGTTTCTATTTCTAGATCCTACTGAGATGGTTGTTAGATCCATAAGACACACATCTACTTATATGCCTAAACTATCTTAGTATACAATTGTGCAACTACACCCTTGACCCAATTTCCAGAGCATTTTATTTGGATGGACTGAGAACTTTCAAAATAATCAGTGCTCATTCATTTTTACTTAATAGTTTATATCCTAATTTATCTCTTTCCTGTCACAATTATAATAAAGTAACAATGAGAAACTAGGTTGTTCCTTCCACATTTGACTTAGAAATCTCCTCAGCTAACTATCCAACTTAATCAGTTAGAAATTACATCTTTCACTCAGTGGCTGCAAAAAATTCAGCTCAGTTTTCTTACACTTTATGACAAGAATAGCCTTCCCTCCAGTTTCAAATAGTGTGTTCCTCATTACCAGGTAAAATATCACCAGAAAAACTGTCAAAGCTCATAATCTAGCAACATTCTATTCATAATATATGTATTCTCTAAGATAGTAGAAGCTTTCTCTCTAGCTCTCCTCATTACTTTCGGAGTCCTCACCAGAATCAACAGTAATGTCTGTGTGTCCAAGTATTCCCTTCAAAGCAGTTTAGCCTTTTTTATCATGTGCCTCCAATCATTAATAGGCTCTACTCATTACCTTTAATAGAACACTTTTTTTTTTGAGATGGAGTCTCACTCTTTAGCCCAGGCTGGAGTGCAGTGGGGCAATCTCAGCTCACTGCAAGCTCTGCCTCCTGGGTTCAGGCTATTCTCCTGCCTCAGCCTCCTGAGTAGCTGGGATTACAGGTGACACCACCATGCCTGGCTAATTTTTATATTTTTAGTAGAGATGGGGTTTCACCATGTTAGTCAGGCTGATCTCCAACTCCTGACCTTGTGATCCACCCACCTCAGCCTCCCAAAGTGCTTGAATTACAGGCGTGAGCCATGGCATCAGACCTAGAACATATTTTTTGTATAAATAACAAATATCTCCTTGTGTTTAAATAGCCACTTTCCCATTCTCGTGCATTTGTTATAGCAGCACCTAACTTCCCAATACCAAAACCTGAATTTGTTTCCTAGACCTACTGTACAAATTGCCAAAAACATATCTATTAAAACAATAGACATTTTTGTCTCACAGTTCCAGAGACTAGAAGTTCAAAATCAAGTTGTAAGCAAGAACATTATCCCTCTTAACCTGTAGGGGAAAATTCTGTTGGTTATAAGCAATCTTTGGTGTTCCAATTTTCCCATGTCCTTCTTCTCTCTGTGTCTATGTGTCCCAATTTTCTGCTTATTATAAGAACAGAAGTCATATTTAATTTGGGTCTACATTAGCTCAGTTACATTTTCCAAGATCTTATTTCCAAATAAGATTCTGTTCACAGGTTCTAGGTGCATATGAATTTTGGAGGAATGCTATTAAACTCACTATAGAGTTAATAAACTGTTTTGAGAAAAACATGGAAATTCCTTTTGCAATAGCCTATATCTAAAATCTATATCTTTCCTAGCAAAATAATTTAGATAACTTTTGTTAACACTTATTAATCTCTTTTCAAAAAAGATATTTTGGGCTTTATGTAAGTCATAAGTCATGTTTAGGTTTTTACTTTTATGGAGGAGACCCAAATATGAGACTTTAGGAAACCAAAAATAGAATACCTTAGTATGTAAAATGGGAAAAATGCTTTTAATGAATAAATTTGCAGCAGAATTGATATATGCAACAAAAACCTAAATTTAATTTAAAATAGGAAGCCATTTATTCTTCTGATGGCATCAATTATCATTTAGACACAAGCTTGATTAAACCAAACAAAGGAATACAAAACATGCATTCTCTATTCCTCTTTTAAGCCATTTTACTGCAGTCATTGATTGGCTCTAGGGTTGGTGCCCCTGTGCCAAGGGTCTTTGTGTAAACATCAGGTTTTGTTAAGGGTCTACATGCCAGCAGATCTCCTTCCTTTACAGGTGATTGTTTTGGCACCCGGATATAAGCCGCTTTCATCAGTCACAAATCAAACTCCAATACCAATCACACTGCATAGTCACTAAAGGTAGACTTCCTGAAAGGAAAGAATTGGCACATGATGTGCCAGATAGGTTGCCAATACCCTTGTTTTATTTCTATGTATCATTTTATGCTATTCCATTATAATGTGTGACTGGTCACCCAGAGATTACATTTCCCTTTCAGCATATTCTACTTCAAAACGAATGTAAGACTGGCATTCTACAAACACTGTGGAACTTTACATATGATAATGCAAGAGCAAATAGGTAAAAACAGAGAAAATCATTTATAGTTATCTAGAATGCCACTGACCCATTTATTTATTGATTTGTTCTTTACTAATTGCATGATTACTATTTGCCAGGTATCTTTATCTGCATATAAAGATGTTAAAAACTGATTTTACTGTTCTTAAAATTTAGTTTTATTAGAATAACAGAAATTTTATTCTATAGGACATTTAACAGCTTTACATAAAACATGAACAAGGTGCTTCATTAATCTACCTTGAATAAATAATTTCAGCAGGCACATTCTTCATGCGAGTAGACTAAGGGTTTCTAGAAAGTTCACTGACAAAATGCTTATGGTATATATTGTCAATGAATCATAAATGCAAAAATCACTTCATAAAATAAAAATAATTTACCTTTCTCATAGTAGTGGTCAATTCAATTCAATTCAATTCACTTCAATTCAACCTTCAGGAGGTGTATTAGTCCCTTCCCAAGCAGCTAATAAAGACATACCCAAGACTGGGTAATTTATAAAGAAAAATAGGTTTAATGGACTCACAGTTCCACACATATGGAGAGGCCTCACAATCGTGGCAGAAGGTGAAGGAAGAGCAAAGATAGTCTTACATGGCAATAGGCAAGAGAGAGTGTGCAGGAAAACTGCCCTTTATAAAACCATCAGATCTCTTGAGACTTATTCACTATCACAAGAACAGCATTGGAAAAACCCACCCCTGTGATTCAATTACCTCCCACGGGGTGCCTCCCACAGCACAGGGGAATTATGGGAGCTACAATTCAACATGAGATTTGGGTGTGGATACAGCCAAACCATATCAGAAGGGCCTACTACATTGCCTATCTAATGGAAGTTTCCACTAAGAGTAGATCAACCATTAAAGCATTATCCTTCTTCTCCAAAATAAAATAAAATAGTAACTTCAACTATATACATACTCATCTATCTTCTTTTGTTTGTTATCCTGTTATGGTGATTGTGTGTCATATGCCATGCTAATTTGTTCCTGTACTTTAAAAAAATCCAAAATACATTAAACTGGTGAACAAACTCACAATTTGCTAATTAGCATCCTAACAATTATTATAATATGTCAAGGAAAATCAAACAGGAGTAACATATAATCTTAATTTATTATAGTGTGAACAGAGTATAACTGACACTTACCCCTGCAAGAAAACCCTCTAAAGTGATGTCTGGGTCTATAGGAAGTTCTTCCTTCCTACTTCAGTAACATAAGTTAAAACTTGGGTTGAAACAATACTGCTGTCTTTCAGTTATGTACTTAAAGAACAAAATCCATACCAAAAAAGAAGAGAAAGGGAGATATCAAAATTTACAGGGCATCAATACAGAAATTTCACCTCATTTAATCCTATTAATTAATTTTCTACACGATGCGATAAATCAAAAAATTGACTTCTTTCTTCATTGATGTGTATTGTCACCTTCAAAATGCTGTCAATCTGTCTCACATCTCTGCAGAAATCCTTAGGACTAAATCACTTTGTTTACACTTCCAAACATAAAACAGTGTAAATCTCCTCCATTTATTTCAGTTCACAAAAGGCTTTTTTTCTCTCTCTTTTTTTTCTTTTTGCCTATGACAATGTATTATAGGTAACGGTAAAAAAAAAAAAAGAAAGAAAAGTCAAAATAATGGGCCCTAATTCAGAATAGGTAATTAACTTATTTAGTTAAATGGAGGACAACAGTATGAAAATATAATTCCAAATTTTCATTTTTAATTTTTATAGCTGCCATAAGAGAAAAAACTTTGATAGCAGTTGAACATTGAGAGTGGAATCAACTTGCATTATTGTAATTCAGCCTCTTTACTGAATTGTTGTCCTGAAGGCTTTAAGTTATGTTTTATAGCACAGAGTTAGATCTTTTAAATATTTGTATCTGGTGGTTTTTGTTTTTAGTATTTCATTATCATTATATTTGAAATCAGCATTCAAAAGAGTTCTTGTTTTTCATTAAAATGTCTCCAATTGTGTGTGTGTCATTCCAACTTATCTCTTTAATTCACCAGGTTTTACTAATACTATTTGTATTTACAAGGAAAATGCATTTTATTGAGCTAGGCTGCTTAATGTTTTGAAATAGATAAATGGAGAGAGAAAAGTGGAATGTTTTCATATTAACTGATGTAATTTTTCTTTAACATTTGTGTTTTCTTGTTGCTCCATTTTTGTATATAATGTCTCTTCTCCATTTATACAGGTAATTTTCTATAATTATTATCATAGTCACAGTTTTTTCTATTATATTCCTGTGCCTTATTTAAAAAATTAATTTCTATATAGTCATTGTATTTATTGTTCAGTGGTGAATATCTTATGTTTTACCATTTACTAATTATTTCTGGTATTTAAAAATGTAATTTTTATATTGATCTAATATTTAACATAATTATTAAACTTTTAACTATAAAAGTTTGTCAGTAGTAATCTATCTTTCTGACAATCATACAATATGGCAATATTAATTTCTTATTATTCTAGTCTTACATCTATTTTCTTGTCTTGTTGAGTTGGCTAACAACTCTAGGCAAATATAGACTAAATACACCGATAATTGCTATCGTTTTATATTTCTTGATTTTGTAGATAATTCTTCTCTTTGATTGTGGCCTAGACTTGATTGACCACTTGCTGTTAATGAATAGAATATTGCAAAAATGATAGGATACCATTTTCAATACTAAGTTCTAAAAATATTGTAACTTCCATCTCATTTACTCTTATGTGCATTTCTGTCTTAAATACTTTGCTTTAGATGTGTGTTGTGAGCAGCCTTATGCAGAGAACCACATGGCTCCATTCATGAGAGTTCTTCTCTTATGACCTAATAACCTCTTAAAGGCCCTGCTTCCATATAGCCTCACATTGGAAATGGGATTTCAACATGTGAATTTTGGAGAACAAATGCATTCAGACTACGGCAACTACTTATTTCTTAATATTCTGAGTGTCATATACATTCTAAGCCATCTAGGACTTGTGTTTTTTATCCGGGAAAATTTTAAATTCAGACTTATTTCTTTACTTATTATAGGAATTATTTGAACTAAATTTTCTTGTCAGTTAATTTATATTTTTCTAATAAGCATATAAACCATCTAAATTTATTTTATTATATTTAAATACCTTCTGTCATTGAAGTTACATTTTTATTTGTGCTGTATCTTTTTCATGAATAATTTTAAAGTTTTGTCAATGTACTAATCTTTTGAAAGAACCACATTATGTGAGTTTTTAAAATGTTGTTATATCTTGATTTTCTATCTCATTTTTCTTATACTTCCTTTTTATTTTCTTTGTGTATACATTAGTGTTCATTTTGTAAATGCATAAGGCAAATGTTTTGTTTATTTGTTTAGTCTTTCTTTTTCTTAATATACGCACCTTAGACTATAAATTTACCTCTAACTACTACTTTACCAACATCTTGCAAGTGTGATAAGTAGTATTTTAATTGTTAGTTTAATTTCCATTTTTATTTAATCTGAACTCAAATATTATTTAGAAACTTATATGACATATAAATTTGTGAAGATTTATTTTTTCATCTTTTTGTGGTTTTTGATTTATAAAAATCCTGTTTTGATAAGAAACTGTTCTGTATAAAATCTTTTCTTTGAATTTCTTTGGCTTATATTTTAATTCATTATATATGCTTAATTTTACAACTAGTCTGTGCATGCTTTAAATGTTTATTTTGTAATAATTGGCAGAAGTTTCTATATGGCAATTATATTTATTGATTGCTCTTCTATAATTTTAATAAATATGTACCTGCTTGATAAAATACTAGAATAAAAGTGTTCCAATATAATGGTGGATTTATTTATATTTCATTGCGATTGTATGATATTTACTTTACATATTTTGAAACTTCATTATTAGGTTTGTAAAAATTTGTCGTATTTCTTTCTCTTGACTGATTGCTTTGGCTAGGACTTCCAGTAGTATGTTGAATAGGAGGGGTGAGAGTGGGCATCCTGTTCTTGTCCCAGTTTTCAAGAAGAAAGCTTCTAGCTTTTGCCTGTTTGGTATAATGTTGGCTGTAGGTTTGTTACAGCTGGTTCGTTTTATTTTGAGGTATGTACCTTTGATGCCTAGTTTGTTGAGGGTTTTTAGCACGAAGGGATGTTGAATTACAACAAAAATCTTTTCTGCATTTATGGAGATGATCATGTGGGTTTTTTCTGAAGTATTGCACACTTTCAAATTGATCTACGTTTTCAAATTCTGATACCTAGTTCTCATTTTTACTGGTTAAGAAGATATGCATTTTCTTTGTATTCTTCAGGTAGTTACTGTTGAAATGATAACCTGCAATGTTAGCTTTACAGTGTCTTCTCTTAATAATTTATTCTCTTCTCAAGACAGGAGGATCATAAACTACTATAATGCCAATCATATTTCTTTCACTTTGCTTAAATACTATAATTCCCAGTATTTAATGTATTTTTAAACAACTAAAATTAGACAACATTCAAATATTTTTATGCACTATATACTTGTTTAGACACATACAAGCATTTATCATTACCTTTACTTAACATTTCTTCTTTTTTTGACCTTTCTTCAAGAATCAGCTCCCATTTATCAAAGTAAGTTATTTAAGAATTTTCCGCACATGTACCCTAAAACTTAAAGTATAATAATAAAAAAAGAATTTCCCATACGTTTCTCTTGACTGTAAATTATTCATTTTTTTCACCCTTATTTTTGAAAAAAGAGAAGTTTTACTAAATACACAATTTTATTTGACTGAGATTTTTCTACAGTATTTTGATTACTATCTGTATTCCACCGGTGCCCTTGAGAAGTCACCTTTCACTAGAATACTTTATTTCTCCTTTGATTCTGATTATTTTTAAAGTTTCCTATTGGTCTTTAAAGTTTTATTGTATGACTAGAAAATTTCTACTATGCATATTTATCTTTGTCAATTATTTTGAAAAATATTTGCTATTACCGCTTTATTACCTCACATTATTGTCTTTATTATCTCCTTTAGATCTTGATTAAGAAATAGCTTTTGAATCTTGTCCTCCTATCCTCCTAAGAGCAGAAGATTTTTTTTAGGCTTTTATTTCTTTCAGTTTTTCCACAATCAGACCACAGCCAAAAATCAATCTGTGGAAGCTACTAAGTTACTTGGATCTAAATACGTGCTCCAAAAGTACCCAGTGTTCATCACCATATGATTTACCTGGCTTGGTATTTATAATTTGTTTTCATCCTTCAAGTGATTCTATTTACTTTTTGTAGGCTTCACCATTAATTTAAAAATATCCATTTTTAAGTGTATAAATGTGTCTGTGTGTGCATATATATATATATATATATATGCGTGTGTGTGTGTGTGTTGTGTTCATACAGTCTGTAACTATATAGTCAGGAGATATCCAGAAATTATATTTCTGGGAAGATATTTTTTGACTTTTTTTCTCTTTTACACAATCATACTTAAAACTCAAAGTCCAGGTGTCTTTTTAAGCCCACCATAATTCTTTCAACTGGGGTTAGTCACACATTCCTCTTTGCTTCCAAGGCATTTTGCACGTCTCCAAATTTTAATAACTACCAATTAAGTGTGAGGAATTACAGTCTATCATTAGAGATAAGTTAAATGAGAAATAAGCATTGCTCGTCATTAAAAATGTCACATGACCCAATTGAAGTTACAATTCACTTGTCCGTGTACTAATAAGAAAATGGAAAAAAAATGTCATTGAAGAAGAACAAACAGATTTTCTGCAGTTCATTTTTAGTCAACTTGTTAAAAGTAGTTTATGAATTTGGCATAATAAAATTTTAGTTCCAAATTATAGATACAATTCAAAATTTTAAGGTACTGGTTGTGTTGGACAATATTTGAACACTTGGATAGAGTTAGGATTTCAAAAAGATTTCAGCAACCTAATGATACACTGGATAGCTACTATTCCATTTTAGCCTCAAGAGGAGAAGCAGTTTATTGTGTAATAATATGCCCAATTTTTTTGCAGAGATTATTTTATAAACTGAAATTAAGTTGTCTTATTTAAACGTGAGACAGTTGGATAAATCTAATTACCAAATCTAAATTAGCAAAATTTTCCATTTGATCAATGCATAAAGTCAAAAACATATGAGAACCTAAAAGGACACACCTATTAAATACTCATCAAGGGAGTGTCTAAGCTCATTAGTCCAAAAGGAGAAAGATATGCTGAGCTGAATATATATATCAGCATAAAAGCAAATCTGAAGGCATATTTAAGAAATGCATATTGCAAGTATTTTAAGCACTAATAATGAAAATGATAATCCTTTTGTAAATAAAGGAATTAATTAGAAATAATACATATAACTGATTGCATTTATTAAATCATTTACTAAATGTTTATAGTAAAAACATATTAGATATCCTATTGTCTTTTAGCTACAGAATCTTTCCTCTTTACAGGTTACTCTGTGTTCCTATAACAACCTAGCTCAGTCTTCACAGTTAAACCATCATGCCAATATTTTGTATTTACCTGCTTATTTTCTTTGCCAATTGTAAATTTAGTGAAGGCATGAATTTCATTTATCTAGTTCATTGTGATAACTATGGTTTCTGGCACAAAGTCTAATGTACAAAAAAGGTCACACTGAATGTATTAAACTAAACCCATTATACATAGTTTAGGCAATTGCAGAAATAAACAAAAACCAAGCAAATGATAACAGACATAGGCTATTTATTCAGAGCTTGCTGTAGCAAGGGAGTCAGCCGCCACCCCTTCTGGTTTTGCAGAGAGTCAAAGGCAGGCAGAGTAGTGGGAAAACTTCACGGTGGAAAAAAAGGAAAGCTTTATGTATGTTCTAACAGGAGGATGTTGGCATGAGAAAGCTGTAGGCAGATTAAATAGAAATGGGGCATCATAGGTGAGGGTTGTGTTTTTGGCTTTTTCTGGTGGCACTAAGTTGGAAATAGGGACAAAAATTAAGTAAGCTGTCGGTTACTAACCAAGTCCTGGCCATTTGGGTCCCATTGTTATAGAGGCTTTTGTTTGGCTATCTGGATTGTTTCCTAGAGACAGTGGTTTGATTTCCTACAAGTCTGACTTATAGATAACAGGATGGTTTCCTGAGTTGGTTGCCGCAGATTGTAAGTTAATCATATTTTTATATATACTTTGACTATTTTTTCTATATTTAGTCTCTCATAAGCATGTAATTGAGAACATAAAGAGTTTAATGGTTATTGTCATGGTTTTGTGAAGGATATACAATATATACTTTTGATTTTGTGAAATATATATACTTCACAAAAAACCCTCTTCAAAACATATCTGTATAAAAGCATGAAGATGCATAAAAATAAAGCATAAAGCCTCTCAGTATCAATATTCGATCTAACCTCAGCTGAATATATAAGCAATTTAAAAATTCTATTTTAGACCTGTTTAAGATCACGAATCTTCAAATATGTCTAAAAGTAGATGAGAATAGATAACTGTTTCAGATATAAAAATAAAAACTGTAACTATAATTGAAGGAGAAAAGGATATTGAACTAGTACTCATCAATGCTAAATCAGATATAAAACTTACAGACAGACCCTGATGTCGAATACAGTAGTTTACTATGATTCATTGGTAACTAACTGAAATGACTTTAACAGATTCTAGAACAGCAGGAAAAGCTGGTTTAGCAAATCTCGTCATCATTACCAAACCACAGAGGTAAGTTTGAAAAATATTGGTTCTATTACTCTGTTGATGTTTGGTGACCAGTGAGCAAGACAAACTTTTTATAGAGGTCTACATTTGATTTGCAAATCATAGATAATTATAATGATTGACATAAATTGTATTAATATACAGTCTCTCAGCTAAGAAGTAGATTTAGTAACAATGAGCACAGATTAACATAAGACTTTAAAACCTTCCTCATCAATAACTCATTGATATTATAACAGATACATCATGGCAAAAATCAAAAAGTGAGCTAATTTCAACAATACAGAAGAAAAATTAGTTTAAATATGGTATTTAATGTCACCGAATTTTAGAAGACTTTAGTGGAAAAAAAAACAAAACAAAAAAATATACCTTGATTACAGTTTATATTCATGAAAATGTGTATAGAATTTAAGCCACAGGAGACAATAATAAACAACTTCCCCAACCTCTGATGAAAATCCCAAACCCATTTGGCTAACCAGAAATAATGCAGGAAAATTTCATTTTCAGTGCACCCTACTTAACTTGATTTATTTCCTTCCACTTTGATCTGTGCCTCATCAACTCTTGCTGACCTAGGTCTTCTTAAAATGTCCCAGCATAGACCAATCCTTTAGAAACTCCCTTCCTGTGCTCCCTAAATTATCCTTAAATTATCCAGGCTTTTACTAAGACTCTCCTCTAACAAAATATAAGAACTGTTCCACTTCCACTTATTCTTTTAAAGTACAATTATTTTGTTATCTTATTCAAATTCAGTAAGTAAACATGATTAAGGATAAACATAATTCATTATGCTCATATCTTATGAACAAACATGATTACTGCCATCCTGGAATCTGATAAACTTACTTGAGCTACCATCAATAAATCATAATAAACTACCATTCCATGTCAGAGTTTATCTCTATGTTTTGAAAGTAAAATTATAATTAGCCTAATATTTATTGACTTCATACAATGTACCATCCACTTTATTAGGTGCCTTCAAAAATTATCTCATTCACTGTTTACTTCTGGAGGAATAGTAATCTCTATTGAGTAGATGATAAAACTGAGTGTGTGAAGGTTAATTGCTTTGTTAAAGGTTGCACGGGGAGTACACAGTAAAACTGTGATGCAGTCCACTTCTTTTCTGATCTGCTGATACCAAAGCCAACATTCTTTATGCCCTCCCTTCTGGCTCAAGCTATAACATGGCAATGTGAGATAACTGATGAAACTAAAACACGGCCTGGAAGGAAAACATATTAAAAACAGAACAATATTTTCTACTATCCTTCCATAAAGTTTATTGGCTTTCAGATATAGTAGAAACATTAAACACTATATATGTCAACATATTCTTTTCCTTTTCAGAAACGAAACCCAAAATTATGAGTCTTTCTCAAGCTCCAAAAGCTATTATACACACAGATCCAAAGCTAGAATACTTCTCACCTGACACAGATACTATTCTGAATACCTCAAGACCATATTGAAATCACATTTAATTGTGTGATATCTCACCTGTGTCATTTTAAATGCTCATTTGTTAATATAATGTTATTCAAATTTACAGAGGTGTGATGGGAAGTTAGACCCAGGGACAATCCATGTGCCTTCAAATATATCTTGTTAAGTGCTTGTTTATATATTTAATAGTAAACCACTTAAGAGTTTAAATAAACTCAATTTGGAGAATTTCTGGAGAAACAGCAGGATGAGGCCAGTAAACTTGTTTAGAAATTAAAAAACAAAGATTTTGTTTCCCTCTGTTCTTGTTTGTTCAATGTAGCAAACTTTACATAATCAGAAAGAGTAACATTTTTATGCCAAAGAAAAGATGGGGCAGGAAGCATTTATCTCAGAATTAATCAAAAGTTTTCTTAAAATTCAATAAAATCTGTCTCTCTTTTGTTACATTTAGTATGTTCATAAGGAATTAATGACCGAAATTAAATTATTTTAAGGTTGGTTAAGCAGAGGCACTTAAGAGTAAATTTTGTTCTTGGTAGAAGGATAATAAATGCCAAGCTTTATCTCCTGTCATAGTGAGATTTTAAAAGATGATAGAATTTTTATGACTACAGATTCCAATATCCTCTCATTGTAGAATCATTTAAAAATAATTTATTATTACTTTCTATAGTACTACATATACCCAATAGATCTACATGATGCCAAAACAGTTTTTAAATGTGGAAAGTTTAGTTGACTTTTTAGTCTGAATACTTCAAACAATCAATAATAATTAAATTGTATCCCTTTGTTTGTACTGATCAGTGATACCATCCTGGATACTTCAGAAAAATAAACATAAATATTCAAACACTTGAAAAAAAGTTTTCTACAACATATATCATTAAAGGTATATTCCTATAGATATCCATTTCCAAGTATCTTTTTCTAGTATGATAATCCCAAGTATATTTGCTAATGCCACATCATATGACACTAAGTCAATGTAAAGAAATGTAATTATTTTTACTCTCTGATTATGGAGTATACACTGGGATTACGAATATACTAATAACGTTTAATCAAAGGTATTTATAGAAGTTAGGGTTGCATTTTGCAGAAAATTATAAGACACACACATATACACAAAACTTTCTTTAACGAATTAGTTAGTTTTTCCTCCTCATTTAATGGGTTCAGAGGAAGGCAGTGCAAGGCTGGCACAGTGGTTTTATGATATATTCACTGTCCCAGATAACTTCTACTGTTTCTGTTCGGAATCTTCAGACTATGCATGTCAGAAGATGATTCTCTACTTTTAGCATCCCATTATCATTCTGGAAAAGTTATATAGGAAAAGAGAAGGTGATGGCAAATGACCATGAGACAACAGACAGCCTACCTTTAAAGGGGTTTCCTAAAGACCCGTCTAGTGTCTACTGAGTTACATCTCATTGACAATAACTACTAAGGAAGTAACATAGCTTTTAGTGGGCACCTTCCCCTAAATAGGAGTTCTGCTTTTCCATGCAGAATATAAATATTGAATAGGTAATTACCAGTCTCTGCCACAGTATTCTGTAACTTTGCTGCACAATGATAAAAAAGATTTAATATATCCTAAATAAGTCAATCTAACTGAGTAAAAAAGACATCAAAGCATTCATCATTTCATCCCCTCCACAAAAGAAATAACATAGTTATTGATTAACTAAACTTCATTAAGTAAGTAATGAAACATGCACGAAGCATACTGTCTTATGAGCAGATATTAAATGATGAGGAAATGGAAAAACAGCTATGAACAGAAAACCATGAAGGTGTACATGACAGAAAATATACTTTGGATTCCATATTACATTTAGAGTAAAAAGAGAATAACACTTGAGCTCAGTAAATTTACATAATATAAACCACACTGTGCTTAAGAGCTAAACTTTTCTGTACCCTAATGCTGCAGTGATGCAATTCTAAAGCATTGGAGGAACAAGAGGGCTTGGTAAGAAAATCTATGCGTACCAAGAGGATCACCTGGATGATGAAAGAATAAGTCTTTTAAATTAAAAAAAAATGTTAAACTAATTTGAGTTGGCTAGAGAGGGCATCTCCTAATCTACAATAAATTCAAGGTCATGAAAATAATGAATTTCAATGGTTCTAGAAAAGAAAATCTATACTAATGATTACAAGTGAAGACTCAAACAGGCTTAAAACTTTTAATTAGTGACAGTTATTTAACCATGACAAGCAATACCACAACAGATTTTCATGTTTAATTGATCAATGACAGATCACTATGGTGAACATTCTGAAAGCAAATCAATTGGTAGCTGCCTCACATTTTGAAAGTCAGCTGATCTGTAGTAGATTCACTCTCATCAACAAAATTTAAGAGGTAACTTCAATCCCTTTTTGCCTTTGAACTAACACAAATACACTTCTACAGCAGAAATCAACTGAGTCTTTCCTCAATAGATATCACATTTCTGGAACAAACATTCTCCAAAATCTCTAAGTTTGGCTGGGTTCTGAAATAGGTATTTTCCAAGAAATGTGAAGGTATTTTCTTTTTGTTTTTATTTCAATCCACTCTTTGGTTGTGCTCTGGGTCAAAGCTACAGCAGAGTACATCAGGGGTGATTCAGATCTTCACTATTCTTATTGACTTTCTTTGAAAAAGCTTTCATTTGCAGAGAAATCTAGTCTTACTGTTCAAATGTCATTCAGAATGACTTCACCATGTCTTTGTCTTTGAGTCATTTGTCTGAATCCTTTGTAGAGGCAGTGAGCATAAAGATGCATTTTAAACTCAGAACAAGTGCCATTGAAAAACTCTGTAAAAAACAAACATAATGAATGATGATAGGTTTTACCATGATGTATTAATGTCTGAATATGGTGTTAGATTCTGTTGCTAATGTTTTATTTATAATTTTTGCATCAATATTCATTACTAAGCTTTGTGTATAATTTTCCTTTGGGGGTTCCATTCATCAGGCTTAGATATCAACTTTACGTATACTCTGGAACAATTTATGTGGCAATGCAATTTTCTAGCCTTGTTGCTAAATGCTGCTAAACGTCCCCAGTGAAATCATCTGAACTTGGTACATTTCTGTAGGGTTTAATAATTTTCCTTATATCTTCCACAGAAATTTTATGTTTATTTTTTTTCTCAATTTTAATCAAATTTGACTACAATCTGTGTAGTACAAATCCATGTATTTTCCTCAAAAATTTATGCATTTCAGCAACTTTTTTTTATTATATCTTAAATTCTGGGGTACATGCGCAGAACGTGTAGATTTGTTACATAGATATACATGTGCCATGATGGTTTGCTGCACCCATCAACCCGTTATCTACATTAGGTATTTCTTCTAATGGGATCCTTCCCCAAGCACCCCAATCCCTGACAGACCCCAGTGTGTGATGGTCCCCTCCCTGTGCCCATATATTCTCATTGTTCAGCTCCCACTTATAAGTGAGAACATGTGATGTTTGGTTTTCTGTTCTTGTGTTAGTTTGCTGAGAATGATGGTTTCCAGCTTCATCCATGTCCCTGCAAAGGACATGAACTCATCCTTTTTTATGGCTGCAAAGTATTCCATGTTGTACATATGCCACAGTTTTTTTATCCAGTCTATCACTGATGAGCATTTGGGTTGGTTCCAAGTCTTTGCTATTGTGACTAGTGCCCTAGTAAACATATGTGTGCATGTATTTTCATAGTAGAATGATTTATAATCCTTTGGATATATATCCAGTAATGGGATTGCTGGGTCAAATGGTATTTCTGGTTCTAGATCCTTAAGGAATAGCCACACTATCTTCCACATGGCTGAACAAATTTACACTCCCACCAAGAGTGTAAAAGCTTTCCTATTTCTCCACATCCTCTCCAGCATCTGTTTTTCCTGACTTTTTAATGATCGTGATTCTAACTGGTGTCAGACGGTATCTCATTGTGGTTTTGATTTGAATTTCTCTAATTACCAGTGATGATGAGCTTTTATTCCTATGTTTGTTGGCTGCATAAATGTCTTATTTTGAGAAGTGTCTGTTCTTTGGGCAAAAATAAATAAAAAAAATTGAAAAAACAGATCTTCAAAATAAAAGATTACAAAGGAAAACTAAACATTGCAAAGAAAATTAACTAAAAGAGACATTTTATACATTTCATTAAAAATGTTTTGAAAATTTTTGAAAATTTTGAAAATGTTTAATGAATTTGTGCAAAATGTCTGTTTTTGTTTTGTGTAAAATGTCTTTTTTTGTTAATTTTCTTTTGCAGTGTTTAGTTTTCCTTTGCAATCTTTTATTTTGAAGATCTGTTTTTTCTATTTTTTTCATTTATTTTTGCCCATTTCATTAATTTTTAATAAACATTTTGATTTATTGATTGCTCATTATCTTTTTATTTGTTGTCTCAATCTTGTGTTTCCCTTTGATTTACCTTATGCTTTTTCTACCTTGTTGAGTTGATTTGCATGTGCATTCTTAAATTTTCATTGATAATGCCCACCTCTTTAAAATGTATTCTATTGGTATTAACTGTTTATATTGTCATATTTTACAAGTTCTACAATTTGGATTTATATTTTCCCTTTCATTTTGGAGATTTTCAATAGAAAGTTTTCAAATTTCCAAATGGAAAGACTTTTTTGAATTTTTATTTTGAATTTCTAGTCTTCTTATATAATTTTATCAGAAACAATTTGTAATTTCTCTATGGCATGGAACTTGATGTTGTTTTTAAGATGTAATGTTTGAACAATTTTTTGTTAAAGTTCTTTGAGTGTTTGAGTGAAGATATATTCTTTCTCACAGGGTAAAATGTTTGAGACATCACCTAAACTTTTATGTTAAGGATTATGCCATTTACAACTTTTATTTCCTCATTTTTGGTTCACTTGGCCTATATTTAACTGTGAGTGCTGTATTTAACTCTCTTATTAGTGTTTTCTGTTTGTGTCTTCTTGGGTCTCCTGTAGTTTCTGTTTATGTAGATTATTATTATGTCACTTTATATGTAGATATTGGTAGTTGTTATACTTCATTGTGAATTGGGGCTTACACAATATTGAATCATCTTGTTTGGCATATTCAGTTCCTTTTTGTCCTGAATTCCTTTGTCTGATATTTGGAATGCAACTTCTACTTTCTTGATATTTAAACATTTCTCCTAAGTACATATTTGCCTCTTTATTTTGAGGCTTGAGTTCTTTAATTTTAGGCCTCTTTTAAACAGTTCAGAGTTGTGTTTTGTTTGTGAGCCAATTTGAAAATCTTCTTTAAGTGAGTTAAACCCATTTACATTAATTTATATGACTGAAACATTGTGTTCCAACTCCATCATCTTATTTTGTTATATTTATTGTATGTTTATTTTATGTATTATATTTCTTTCTTTATGTGATCTAATTCCTCAGATTTCTTAATTTATTTTAATTCCTTTTGATATGTAGATTGATGTTTAGATTGATTTTATTATTATGTATTATTTATTTTATGTTGTTTTCCTTTTTCTTCCAGGTACTCTAATTGAATATGTTATAGATTTTCATTACCCCTCATTATGTATGCATGTGGTGTTTTTGTTCAAGATTCTTTCCTGAGTTTAATTTTTGTTTTATAACTTTGTTTTTCATATATGTCTTTCCTGTTTTTGAATTCCACATTTAAGATATTTCTCTTACATGACAATTCTTCAAGTACATTTTATTCTGGTTGTAGTGTTGTGATGCAATTGCCTTGATGCCTTGAATTTATATTTGGTGAAAGAAATTTCATAATTTGAAATGTTTTCTGAGTTTTTCTTCTTTCTGAACCATTGTATCGATGCTATCTTCTACTTTCTGTTCACTTCCCAATTTTATTTCCCCAGGGACCAGCAATACCAGTTATTTCACTCATACGAGAAAGAGTGGGGGTCTAACTAGGTTTCTTAGTTCAAGACTGCCCTCTTCCACTGGCATAGAAAAGTGCAGTTTCTTTAAATTTATTGTGTTCTTTTATTTGGATAGGGAAGCAATGCTGTAATTTTGAATAATGGGCCCCAAATATTTTCATGTTCTTATCCCTGGAACCTGTGAATGTTACTTTATATGGCGAAAGGGAGTTTTGTTATTAAATTTAGAATCTTGAGATGTGGCAATTATCCTGGATTGTGCAAGTAGACCCAATATAATCTAAACAGTCTTTATAAAGAGGAAGCAGGAGGATCAGAGACAGAAGGCAATGCAATGATGGAAGCAGAGATTTGAGTGAAACACTTTGAAAATAAAGGAAAGGTGCATACGCCAAGGCCTCAGGCAACCACTAGAAGCTTAAAAAGGCCAGAAAGAGACTCTTCACTAGAGCCTTCAGAAGGAAGCAGTCTGGCTAACATCTTGACTTTAGCCCAGTGAAAATGATTTCAGACTTCTTGTTTTAGCTACCAAGATATGGTAATTTGTTATAGCAGCAGTAAAATAGAAAACGAATAAAGGGCGTGACTTATGAATTTATAATTTCCTTGTATTTCAGCAGGATCATTTATTTCTTATTTCTTTAAATTTATATTTTAAGTTCAGTGGTACAAGTGCAGGTTTGTTACATAGGTAAACTTGTCTCATGGTTGTTTGTTATACAGATTATTTCATCACCCAGTATTAAGCCTAGTACCCATTAGTTATTTTTCCTGATCCTCTGCCTCCTCCCTCACTTCACCTTCTGCCCTCCAAAAGGCTCCAGTGCGTGTGGTTCCCCTGGATGTTTCCCTGGGTCATCATGATTTTGCTCGACTTACAAGTTAGAACATGTGGCATTTGGTTTTCTCTTCCTGTGTTAGTCTGCTAAGGATAATGGCCTCCAGCTGTTTCTTTTCCTGATATTTCTTTTTCTTTACCACCAAATCTCCAAGAGATGATTCCTCCTTCCATGTTATCAACTTATCCTAAAGAAGTGGCGCCTTCTCAGTACAGGTCCCACAGCCTTTCAAGGTTCTCCCTTTCGATTCCTCAATAGCTATCGCTCTAATGTATCACATCAGATTTGCTCTCAGTATTCTGCATTCGGCATGGAATCTGTCTTTCTGAAGTTATTGTATCTGTGTTCCATCACAGCTAGGTATGCAGTCTGGAGCTGTTTCTGGTGAATTGGTGTGTGTATTTTCCATATGTACAGGTAGTTTGAAGTTCCTAGTACTGTCCTTCTCATAGTTATGATGAAGATGTGAGTTTTAATTTTTTTGTGAGAATATTTGAATTGAGATTCTACTGCCATCATTTTATGATAAACCAGAAACCAAAACTGTATCTATTGACTCCATAGGAATGATGAGGATTTTGCTATTTTCAAAATTTGCTCTCTTTAAATTTGGATTTTTGATATGTCTGTTATTATTTTTCTATTGGTCATATTTATTATTGTAAATGATATTCTTGAAACTCCATCAATGTTTGAAAAGTTTCTTTTCAAAGGATATTTGACAAAATATCCTTTGTCAGATAAGGATATTAGTGAGCAACACTAATTTGTTCCCCCTTTTCACTGCCCAAGTTCTTTCAGCTACACATCTACTTTCACTTTTACTTTTGCATTGCTATGATGATTTTCATTTACTTTTTGTTGTCCAATAACTTCCTTTTTCTTAGACTTAATCTGAAATTCATCTCCCAGTAAAGTATATTTATATGATTTTTTAAATCTTTTTTGATATCAGGTTGTGAGTTAGAATTATATTTATTTATTTAGCAAATAACATGAGCCTGTCCTTCTAAAAGCACATTGTATCTAGGATCAAGGTCAAGTGGAAACTTTTATTATTCTTTTTAAGTCATGGCATATTTCAGAAAGTTAATACTTCTTGTAATTACTTTTTCTAAATTCTTCATTTTTCTTATCATATCCTCATCTTTCCTTCAGCTCTTACGTATTGGATTTTTGTGTCCCATGCATTGTTCTTATTGCTTAATTCATTTATATATTTTTACAATAATTTTTAATTCATTTTATTCATTTTTACAACAGTTTTATGATTTTAATTGCACAGATGAAGAAACTTAAGTACAGTGGTTTTGATGAACATAAGCTACAGAGTTCATGACTTTTTAATGAAGCTTACTATCCTGACGTTAAATCACGTAATCACATAATCTTTACTTTTTTTTTTTTTTTTTGAGACGGAGTCTCGCTCTGTCGCCCAGGCTGGAGTGCAGTGGCGGGATCTCGGCTCACTGCAAGCTCCGCCTCCCGGGTTCACACCATTCTCCTGCCTCAGCCTCCCAAGTAGCTGGGACTACAGGCGCCCGCCACTACGCCCTGCTAATTTTTTGTATTTTTAGTAGAGACGGGGTTTCACCGTTTTAGCCGGGATGGTCTCGATCTCCTGACCTCGTGATCCGCCCGCCTCGGCCTCCCAAAGTGCTGGGATTACAGGCGTGAGCCACCGCGCCCTGCCTCACATAATCTTTTCTTTTCAGTCCTCCTCACCCTTTACACTGACCTTCTCCCCGGAAAGCTCCCATTTAGAGCTCTCTCTCCTGCTGCTCCCATCTGTAATGCTCACAGTACAGGCCTGCTGACATGTTGACCTGTGACTCCTTGCCTTCCTTACACTGCTCTTCTGGATTAGATCCAGAGGTAATTATGTGACAAGTGCGAAAGCAAATCTGCTGGCATCCAATCTGATTGGTCCATGCTTAAGTTCTACAAACTGCCCCTGGTTTATTTCCTAGTTTTCCTGGGGTACATCCCAAAAAAAAGTTTTCTAAGAATAAGTACATATCAGGTGAAAGTATTAAGTCCAAAATGTTTTAAGAACATCTTATGATATCTTAGCAATTAATTCACAGATTATTCAGACGTGGATGATAGGCGACATTTTTAAAATAATTTTCGAAGATGTTGTTACAGTGCCTAAGAAATCAGTTTCATGCCATGTTTAGCTTTAAATCTGCTAAAACCACGATTTGTTTTTCCTGAATATCCTAATAAGAGAAAAACTAGACACAAGGGACTGATATTTTTTCTACTAATAGAAAAGCCTGAACTCTTTTTATAGACCTCAGTAAGATTAACACAGTTCGTTAACTTATTTTCCTACAACAGTCTATAGATTAAATAAACATTGAAATGTTTTGCAATTTAAATAAGACCCTTTTTGCACTTATCTGATATATTAATAGCAATCTCATTTTACCATGTTCCTGAGGTTATAGAGTTTAAATATCTCTATCTTACCAGCATAATAATATTTTATTCTTAAGGCTTATCAAATACTTTTAAGACTGTGGTTTTAACCAAGGTGATATTATAAGTTGAGGTGATATTACAATACATATAAATAGTTAGGTGTTTCAATTTGTATTAGAGAAGATACCAGTTAGAAAGCACCTCTAAATAAACCATTTTACTGTAAGGGAAAATTAACAACCTATTTCTTTTGTCTTCCATAGACCTGAAAGTGATAAACAATACAATTCTTAATTTGAAAGATTGCTTCATTTCACCGAGTAGAAGAATTTAATAATGCTGTTTTTCAAGCACTTGTCTACCATGGAAATACCGTGAAGGAAAATTACTGTGAGTAAATTTTCTGAGAACATTTGTTAATTTTCTTGTGGTTTATTCCTTGATCCATTGTGTTCTACACTTGAGTATTGTTGACAATCTGTGGAAAGATAAGGTTCTTGTGTTCAGCATGATAAAATAAAAGCCTTCCTTTGGTGTACAAATACATATATGCATACATTGAACCCTAATGCTACATGCAGTATCTTTTCTGGGACATTTATTTTTTTCCCAAATGTTACATCATTATGAAAATTTCCATTTCAAAGTAAAAAAATAATATTATACTGTCGCTGAAATATAAGTGCTTTGTCAGGAACACATTATATAGTAAAAGTGCATTATTATATGTTCAAACAAACAAAATAGTAAACCTAGTAATTATTCACTTATTTTAGAAGGAAGTAGTATTAGGCATTTACCAAAATATTCAACCACAGCATCCAATATCACAGCATTTTATTTTACAAAGAGATGGCCCTTTGAGTAGTGTTTGACAAACTGATCATCTCATTTGCCACAGTACCATGCATCCAGACAATAAATCCTCAAACATATTTTCCACATAAAAAATATTGGCAAACATTTCCAAAATTTTGTCTCCATTTATTCATGTGGATGCTCCCTCTCAACAACACTTTTTTCATATTAAGAGTTTTACAAAATAGCTTAATCTAGAACACTAGTACCTTTGTGTACCAACATAGAGAATATATTTAACTAAAGAATTTTGGCTCACATCTGTAATCCCAGCACTTTGGGAAGCTGAGGGAGGCAGATCATGAGGTCAAGAGATCAAGACCATCGTGGCCAACATGGTGAAACCCCGTCTCTACAAAAATTACAAAAATTAGCTGGGCGTGGTGGCATGCCCCTGCAATCTCAGCTACTCAGGAGGCTGAGGCAGGAGAATCGCTTGAACCCGGGAGGCAGAGGTTGCAGTGAGTCGAGATTGTGCCACTGCACTCCAGCCTGGCCATAGAAGACTCCATCTCAAAAAAAAAAAAAAAAAAAAAAAAAAGGAAAGAAAGAATTTCAATTATGCTTTTAAAAGAAGTGTTCTTTATAGTGTTGTTTAAATAGAAAATCTTTGTGTTTCAGAAGTGAGAAATCACTTGCTTTAGCAATGATTTATTAAACACAAAGAATCATATATTAAATATCTACTAGAAAAAATTTTAGTGTAGAATTTGATCATAAAAATGACTTTTATAATGTATAAGTATGTTTATTAGACTATACCTTTTTGTCTAATTACAAATACTTTGTTTCTTTGTTTTTTGATCTTTTGAGACAGGGTCTTGCTATGTTGCCCAAGGTGGAGTACAGTGGCAATTCACAGGTGTGATATTAGCACACTGTAGCCTAGAATTCCTGGGCTCAAACAATCTTCCTGTCTCAGCCTTCTGAGTATCTGGCACTACAGGAGTGTGCAACCACACCAGCTCCCTAATTATAAGCATTTAAAAAATTATGGGGATGTCTGAATACCTATCTTCTCTAAGTAGAAATTTAAAAGACAGATGTTACTGTACAACCCTTATGTGCACTCTTAAGTTTTTGCCAAAGTATTTCCAATAAATAATTCACGAAGATATTAACTAGTTAGGTGAATTGTGTTACTTTAATATGCTAATAAACTCCCCTTTTTGCCATGTAGAAAAATGAATCTTTTCTGGTCATAGAGATTGATATGGTTTGGCTGTGTCCCCACCCAAATCTCATCTTGAATTGTAGTTCCCATAATCACCATGTGTCTTGGGAGGGACCCGTTGGGAAGTAATTGAATTACGGGGATAGTTTCCCTCATGATAGTGAGTGAGTCCTCACCAAATTTGTTGGTTTTATAACCATCTGGCATTTCCCTGCTGACACTCGTTCTCTCTCCTGCCACCCTGTGAAGAGGTGCCTGCTCCCATAATTGTAAGTTTGATGAGGTCTCCCTAGCCATGCAGAACTGTGAGTGAATTAAACCTCTTTTCTTTATAAATTACCCAGGCTCTGGTATTTCTTCATAACAGTGTGAGAACAAACTAATACAGTAAACTGATACCACAGAGAGTAGGGCACTGCTATTGAAATGGCATACCTATCTCGATCCCTACATGGAACATGTAAAGGGGTTGGCTCATTTACTCAGCCCACAGCTCTCAACGTGTCACAGGAGGGGAGATACAGGTGATCAGGTGCAGTGGCCAGGAAAAGCGATTCTGGATGCTGGCAGGAGTAGAATTCTGTGCAGCCCTGCAACAGCATCTAAGGGAATACCTGTGACCCCCCACAGCCCCAGGAGCATGTGATACAATGTGCCCATTTAGCTTTGCCATCCATGGATGGCTTGTATGTTTAAAAGCTCAGTGGAGGGTGATGGTGATGGCCTTTTGCACACTCCCTTGGCACCTGAGCTTTTGTCTGACATCCAGGAATAATCAGGCTGTGTGAATGAATTGAAGGGTGGTAAATGTGGAGGATTTTATTTAGCAGTGGAAGTGGCTCTCAGCAGGAAGGGGAGCTGGAAAGGGAATTAAATGAAAAGGTGGTCTTTCCCTGGAGTTTGGCCATCCCTGGAGAAACTCTTCTCCAAAGTCCCACCATCAAGCTGGCCCTATGAAGTCAAGCTGCTTCTCTCTGACACCCAGCTGCTGCTTCTCTTCTTTCCTTCTCTGCCAGTGGTGCCTGGAGTTTTATAGGTACAGAAGTAGTACCTATAAAACAGTAGTATTGATATCAAATCTGATAGAGGCCTAGTTTAACAAAATAATTAGTATTCAAGATAGTCAAGTTTAAAAACAATGGCTTTTAGTAGAGAATACAGCTCATAATGCTTGAGAAATTTTCTTTGTGAATGCTAAGTTAGGACTATTTCAAAGAAATAAAGGGTTGTTTAAGTATGTGTACCATGTGGCTCCTAATATTTCCTTATTGCCATCAAATATAATAATCTTTACAGCTTTCTGTGCAATTGTTATACAAGATCATTTACCCCGAAAAAAAACCTTAAGATCAGAAAGGAATAAGGAAAACATACAACCTTATTAACTTATTTTCTGTGCTTGATGTTTTTCTGTAATTTTATTCTGTGCTATCTTTTTAAGAAAAATGACAATACATTTGCTCCTAAATCTATGCCAGTGTTTTCTCTTGAAGAGTAAACTGTAGACAAGTATCTTGTTGGGTTGAACTTCCTGGATTTTATCCACTTCCATTCATCAATTGCTTCCTATATGAGGGAATAATTATGAAAAAAAATCCTGTGGGCTGATTTTCTTGCACATTATGGGTACATATGAAAACAATAAACAAAGTGTGTGAAGTGTTTTGTAAACTTTGAAGTGCTGTACAAATTTGTTTATTAGAAAATATAACTGGGGATGAGTTCTCTCACTTTCCTACACATTGCCATCTGTTTTGAAAAATATTTTCATGCCCTCTTTTGTGCCATAATCAAGAAATCAAAATTTTGTTGGCCTTTTGTTTCCATTAAGAATTTTTATAGTAAATATTGTTTCAAGTGTGTAATAATATGTAACACTCTTCTAGTCTATTATCCCGTTACAAATAGACAGAATTATGACATAAATCATTTGATTATTCTTAGTGACTGCTCAAAATATCCCGAAATTCTTCCTTGTATTGACAATTTAAGTAAATATTGCAAAGTTGAAGAGATTAATATATTTTAACAACCCTATTAATTTGCTAAGAATGTTCAGTAGAAAAGATAACTACATTCTCCATATCTTATAAGTTTCTAATGATTTTGTAGACAGAGATGATAAAATTTCTATAGATGATTTGTTTCTACTGAAAAACGTAGAACAAATTGGTGATGATATTCAAAGATTTTACTCCTGCATGCATCTTTATCAGGATTTATTAATAACAGAGTCTCACATTTGTATAGTCAGCATTACCTTCATGTTAACTTCAAAGTTTTTACTAGGTTGGTGCAAAAGTAATTGCGGTTTTTGCTATTACTTTCAAAGGCAAAAACCGCAATTACTTTTGCACCGACCTAATATTTTCAAAAAGATGCAAAAAGTAGTCCAATGTCATATTTTCTGCTCTGAGATCAAGGCTTTTGTATAATGGCACTGCTTAAGTGATATAAAAATAGTCACTCTGATACATAGTAAGGATAATATTTTGCACATACATCATACTATATCCCATAGTCCCTACATAAGCATTGAGCCCTGTATCAGTCAGGTTTCTTTAAAGAAAAAGAAGTAATAGGATATGCATCCTATTTTAGAGAAAGAGAGAAATTTTTAAGAATTGACTTGCATGACTATGGGGACTGGCAAGTCAAAAACCTGTAGGGCAGCTGGCAGGCTAGAAGGTAACAATTGATCTTGAGTCCAAAATCTACAGAATAGACCTGCAGGCTGAGTACTCACACAGCATTTCTGTTATAATCATAAGGCAGGATTATTTCTTGTCTGGGAAGCCTCAATTTTTGCTCTTAAGGCCTTGCACCAATTGGATAAAGCCTAGCCACATTAGTGAGAGTAATCTGCTTGACTTAAAGTCAACTGATTATAAATGCTAATTACATCTACAATATACCCTCACAGCAAATTCTAGACTAAGAGTTTCACCAAACAACTAGGCACAATAGCCCAGTCAAATTGAAACACAAAATTAACCATCACAAATTCTAAAACAACCCAGTCAATATTTGACTTTTCTTTTAGATTCTTACTCTTGAATTTAAAATATGTTGAAACATATTATTTAGGGTCCATGAAGGCATAACAATAATATATTACATTTTTATTTAAAATTGGAGCTAATGTTGGCTGGGCACAGTGGCTCATGCCTATAATCCTAGCTCTTTGGGAGGCCGAGGTGGGTGGATTGCCTGAGCTCAGGAGGTCGAGGCCAGCCTGGGCAACACGGTAAAACCCCATCTCTACTAAAATACAAAAAATTAGCCGAGAGTGGCAGCATATGCCTGTAGTCCCAACTACTCCGGAGGCTGAGGCAGGAGAATTGCTTGAACCTGGGAGATGGAGGCTGCAGTGAGCCAAGATTGCACCATTGCACTCCAGCCTGGGCAACAAAGTGAAACCCCATCTCTCCCAAATAAAAAATAAAATAAAATAAAATAAAAATAAATAAAATTGTAGCTAATGTTTATTGGAACCTAACTGAACTAGTTATACCCAGTATTGATACATTATTAATGATTTGTTTCAAAATTGTGTGAAGTCACTAAACTAGGGCATGACGTGGACAGGTACCCACTCCTAAAGGGAATTATTTCTTATTTACCTTTCCATGACAGCATAAGTAAAGACATGTGCAATTCATCACATTATGCAAAGAAAAGCAATTACATGTACCAATAGTTATGTTAACTTTTTATACAGAAGATAAGTAAATGTTGCTTCCATTTGGCAGAAGTTATTTACCAGCTTGATAATTTCATGATTCATCTATTTCCCTTCAGAGCTTATTTTGTTATAATATTGGTAGATGTACATTTCAATCTTTCCTGGAAGGTAGTGTTTCAGATATTTTACTTCTATCTTTTCAATTCTTGCATGATACTTTTCTATTTCAGAAAAAAAAATATGCTGGTGAAAATCCAGCCAGAGAACTAAGCAGTAAAAGCAGTAACTGCTTCTCATGTGGCACCTAACAACCCATCACCCTCTTTCCTCAAATGTTATTTATGTAATCTTTTTATTCATCTCCCTTTTAACAACTCTCTTTCACCTTCTAGTGGAGATAAGACTTAAAATATGAGGACACATTAGATCTTCTTCAGTTTAGTTAAAGTCAAACTGAAGATTCAGAAATCTCTGTGAAGATTTTAGATTTTTCACTACTTGGACCATGTCAAAATATGAGAAATTAAGTTGACAGTTTAAAGCCTTTTACAATATTTATAATTCCACTAGTTTTTTTGAGTGCTATCTTATTTACTATCATTTATAAAGGTCATTTGAATAGCTCTTTAGAAACTGTTAAAGATTTTAAATATGACATCAAATCTCTCACTCCCCATTAGACTTTTCTTTCTAAATAGATTCACTGTGGCTGTTTATAAACATTCAGGTGACTTTCAACACTGAATAAATTTCATACACAGGCCAGTGCAGCCTAATATCTTGAGGACTTTTCAAAAATGGTAAATGCACAAACTAATCCTTTGAATATCAGAAAATAGGGCCAATAAGTCCTACTAATTTGCATATGATAAGTTTTTCTAATTACTTTTTAGTTTTTTTCTTTTCAGACAGGATTTCACTCTGTCACCCAGGCTGGCATGTAGAGGCACAATCACAGCTCACTGTAACCACAAACTCCTGAGCTCAAACAATTCTCCCACCTCAGCCTCTCAAGTAGCTAGGACTACAGATACATGCCACCACACTCAGTTTTATTTTTATATATATTTTTTATGTTTGGTAGAGATGAGGATCTCACTATGTTGCCCATACTGATCTTGAATGCCTGGCCTCAAGTAATCCTCATGTCTCAGCCCCCCAAATTGCTGGGATTATAGGCATAAGCCACCATGCCCCGATTAATTTCTATTCATTTATCTGTTTTTTTGTCAATTTTTTCAGGTCTTTTTTTCTCAGTTACTTATAATTTTATGAGAAATTGACAAATAACATGATAATACTGTTCTATTTTAACATCATCATTAATATTCTTTTCTGGACCATTGCTCTGTTAGATTTCCCCCGGGTATGATATCTTTGTAAGTGTTTTTATTATAATCTTAAAAACCATTATAAACAATAAATTCATTCTATATTTGATTTTCTACTTCAATGTGCTCTCTTAAATTATATGTAACTGTTTATATTCTGTTTCTTTTTTTCTGTTTGTTTCATTTTCAGAATGTCTATTCCCCTTTCCTTCTATAGCAGCTTTTCGTTGTTACCTCTTTTTCAAATAGAACTATAATTTCACCTACTCTTATTGTAGTATCTTCTTATAATACAGCATCTTTCTAATTTTTTTAGATTTCCATACTTAATTTTTCCTTGTTAAACCTTAGTTCACTGAACTTTCTCTAACTGAAGTGAAATATCATTTCCCATAGCACTTAAAAGTAATATTCTACTATATTGAAACAAAGTAATTTCTGGTGCAAGGCTAATTTTAAAATTTGCAATAAAGATTTCATAATCATAAAAAAGTTTTTTATGTTTATATTTAATATAAACTTATTAGAGTGGTCTATTTTGGTTGAATTCTATATTTTCTGGTTCATAAGTTCACTCAAAGTGAAATTTAATAATCTATTTGGTATAGTAGATTTAGCTGCATTTGTTATCTAAAAATACCTGATACATTATTAAATTATAAAGTATTATAAAGTATTGTAAACAGCTTAAATAGCAGTCCAAATAAAGTATCTTCAGAAGTTGCTTGTGTTTCACGTGTTATTGTGTCAACTAAATAAGAGACAAGAACCACATGGGTTATTTATTATGCCATTTATGCATTAAGCAATTATTTTTTCATTATATGCTGGGCCTTGGTCTCCATTTGGGACCCAAATGGGACACCAGACAAGGCTCCTAATTTCACAATGCAGTGTAGAAAGGCAAAATAATCAATAAAACATCAAATATGTGATTTAATGAAAAGAAAGTAGTGTGAAATAATAGAAAGTAACCAGGGGACTTCGGAGAGGAGGTGTTTAGGGAAGGCTTTTAGATGACATGCCATTTGAGCTGAGGTTTTACTAATAAATAGGAAACTGTCTTATAGGAGAGCTTCCCAGGTAGAGAGAAAGCTAGAATTAAAGCTCTATATCCCAAAAGGCATGGCGTGACAAATTATCAGAAAACAAGCTGTGCAGTAGAAGCATAGAGACTTGAAGGCAGATGAGGTACCATACATTTGCCCTGGTTTTGTTATCTGAAGTGATATGTTCTCTCTTTGAAATGGCATTTCTTTTAATAGTTGGTTATAAGAAACATTTCCAGTTAATCAGTATCTTTAGGTACCAGAGTAATAGAGTAGTGATTGATGAAGGACAGTTGTTTGGTCCTAAGAGCAATTTAAAGTCTTGCCTACCTTGTGAGAGTCTCTGGATTCTGCCTTGCAAGCAAGAAGAATATGTGAGTGGCTGCAAGGGTCAGAAGAGAGGAAAAACTCTCAGATTTGAAAAAGGAGGACATTTTCATAGGATGTAAGTTAAGCCATATGAATGAATCTAACATCATAGTAGGACCTGTACAATGCAGCAGATGCAGCAGACACCAATACCCAATACGCTTGTCATGCACAACATTCTTGTCATGCACAACACCCTTGTCATGCACAAGACAATCTATATCTGAGAAGTGGCCAGCAGAATACACTCAGGAAAATCCACCTCCTACATTACTAAATGTTGCTTTAATACGTGAACTTATGCTTGAAAACTGAAATCCCCTTGGGAGAAAGAAATGAGGGGGAAAAAAAAGATTCCTGAACTAGATAAGTATTCGCCTGGGTAAGTATTCAATTGGGAATTGATTTGCCTTAAGTCAGCAAGACATGTTCCAATCATAAGTTGATACTGGGGGAAGTAGAACTAAGCTAAGTTAAATTGTAGGAAGCTAAGGTTGCATACTTATACATCCAAAATTATAGCTATTAAAACATTTAACTTTTTCTCTTGCCTATGGGCAGGACCAATGACTTCAACTAACAGAATAAGACACAGTTGATGGGATGTCATTCTTGTAATAGATTATGTTATATGTCAAAGAATTTCACTCTCATGATTGTTTTTAATAGGTAACTTTTTGTTTGTTTGTTTCTTTGTTTTTTGAGATGCAGTCTCACTCTGTCACCCAGGCTGGAGTGGAGTGCAGTGTCTCAATCTCGGCTCACTGCAACCTCCCCCTCCTGGGTTCAAGTGATTCTCCTGCCTCAGCCACCCAAGTAGCTGATATTACAGGCTCCCACCACCACTAAAAATTTTTGTATTTTTAGTAGAGACGGGGTTTCGCCACGTTGGCCAGCCTGGTCTCAAACTCCTGACCTCAGGTGATCTGCCCACCTTGGCCTCCCAAAGTATTGGGATTACAGGTGTGAAACATCAAGCCCTGCCTCAATAGGTAACTTTATATGGCAAAGGTTGTGCGATGTCATTCTCATAATTATGTTACCTTATATAAGACTTTATCTTGGCAGAGTAGAGTCAGAAAGACTCTCTTCGTGACTTTGATGAAGTAAATGACCATGCTGGAAAAGCCCTTGTGGTAAGGAACTGCAGGTGGCCTTTAAATAATTGCAAGCAACCAAGTGATGTCAGCAAGGTGGCAGACTAGGAAGTCTCAGCCTCCACTCCCCTCTACAGAAAGTTCAACTAGCAACTAGCAACAGAATAGAGCATGCTTCTGAAAATCTCAACACTTGGAAACAAGCCTGAGATACTCATGTGGTGCACAGAACTGAATGAAGTCTGAATTAGTAAGGTAAGAATGGTTTCACTACAACTGCACCTCTACCCCCACCAAGCCAGCACAATGTCCGATAGAGGGGATTTTCCTGGGCCCATAGTTTCTACATGAGGAAAGAAGAATTGAGAAAGTCATCCAGCTTCCCTAGCATTCTGAGACTCTTGCCAGGAGTCCCACTCTAGTTATACCTCACATGGGGAACACTGGAGGAAATGGCATAGATAGACCACCCCTCCTAGCCATGTACAAACAAAAGAAGGCAGAGGTCATAGTGACCAGCATGCAGATCTTGGTGGTAGCTCTGTGGCTCTGTGTTTCTGCCATCTGCAGCCCAGAATCAGAGACATCACCCTACCTCATAGCCCACAGCAAAACTGAGTGGTGGCCTTCAAAAGCACAATGGGAAGTGCAACCTAGCTTGAGTCCCCACATTGCTAGTCTTCCTGCCCAGCCTCAGAACCCACCCTAATGACCTTGCCCAGGTAGGAAAACTAACACCTCCGCACATTTCAAAGAAGCAGAGGGGTTACGCCTCTTGACCCAGGAGGTCAAGCAGCCACTTAACTCAACTAAAAGCCCACCCCACAGCTCCACCCTGACAATAAGGCAATGCGTAATTGCCCATTCTTATTCTTTCATCCTTCATATTATTATTTACAATGCAAATTATAAGACACAATTAATTAGATTGAAAATATAGATAATTGAATATTTCAGTAAAATATCCTTATTTATCTCACAGAATGACCCATAATAAAGGCAGATGATGTGTCCTCACCTTTTGTAACCAAACCAGATACCTAAAAATAAGTTAATTGACACTAAAGAGCATATTTAAATGATAAAATAATTCATCTATAAGTATAAAATTTAAATATTTTTTAGATATGTTGCTAATGGCTTTTTAAATCATTTTTATTTTTTCTATTAAAATTTTGCCAGATTGAATGAAAACAGAATCTACTGTATTTTCACTTACATCAGCATTACTTAAACATCCTATAAATAGAAGCAAGTTTTTTATTGTTTAAATTCTGCATAAAATGCAAGACTGCTATATTATTTTCAGAAAGATTGAAAAAATCTCAAAGAATAAGCCGAATCCCTTATAATTGCTACCAAATTCCCAGTTCGAATGTAGAGAATATTTTTGAGTCTAATTTTTATCTGACTTTCTACGGTAACGTTACCATGGCCATATTAATTCATTCAAATTGACAGAGTCTATACTCAAAGATATAATATAATGCAATAGAAAATAGTAATGTAGCCAAAATTTCAATATTTTAGAGTCAAAGAAACATGCTTTCATAGCTACCTAGTGGAATGATTAGAGATATTTTCCAATTTCTCTGAGGCTGAGTTTACTTTTTCAATTGGAAATAAAATAGTGTTTGTATTTTCTTATTTTTGGTAAGAAATACATACAATATTCCTGTCATATAGTTGGTACACAAAAAAATGACAGTTGGTATCATTAAATATAAACATCACTGATTAGGAAAACAAGATGTCAGTTCATGATGAGTTGAGAAGACCTAACATAATTTTCTAACCCTAATTAGAGAATAAACATTGAACACGCAAAACACCAAAAAATTATATTTAATGATACTCTTCCTTATTGCTTTATTTTTTCTTCTCTAGTATCTATTCACTAGTATCTTATTCTGTAATTACATAATTCTGAAAAGTTAAGCTTCTACATATTGGTACTACATAGCTGCTTGATGAAGAAGGAAAATGTCAGCTCTTCTGTCACTCAAAAAACACAACATATAGAAGCTAACCAAATCTTTTTTAGCTCCATTGAGATAAAAACAAAACAAAACAAAACAAAAACACTGGTATATTAAGCAGTTCATCACTAGGAGAAAGAATTTGAGCACTATTCCTATTTCTAACTCAAGTGATGTGCATGATTCTGGAAAAAAACACCTCATTCATCAGGTACAACATGTAAAAATGTATGTAAAAATAAATGTGTTGGTTGACGTAGTCTTTCTTATTAACTTTAAACATTTTTCACACCAAATGAAAGGATTTTAAGCAACATCATATACAATTTAGGTTGGATGAGAATTTCCTTATTGTAGCAGCAATCAAACATTAGAATGACATATAAAATATACTTTGACTGTCTCTCACAGCAGATTAGCAGTTAATTACATAAGCAGTTAATTACATAATCTAAATCGGCAGCAGTTAATTACATAAGCTTATGTTAAATAATTTTCCAAAATTATGTCTACCTATAGCATTACAAATGTTCAATAATTTTTAAAAATAAATTACGTATGCTCATTTATAGGCACTTTAGTTACTTAGACTACAAATAGTAATAAAAATTAGCTTCTAAGAGAACTATTCATTTCTTCTTCTTCCCATTGTAAAGGATGTAAAACAACACCTATAAGAACAGTTACTTAACAAGAACCGATTTTAAGTTGTTTGTTTGTTTGTTTTCTAAACACTGACAGCTGTCATTGGGAATAGGAAAGGTACTAAAATCATATGGCTGACACATGTTTGAGACAAAAGCCTAGATATCACCAATTTTAGATATTCTTTTTAATATACAGTTAGATTTGCAACAGTAACTTAGTGTTTGTCTTCAGTGCATTCTGTATTTAGCAATGCTTATATAAATACAGTGTTCAATCCTTTTTTTTTTCCAACTAAGGTGTGCACATATGATAAGAAACTAATTTTTCTATATGCCTCTGCCCTCAGTTGCTGAGGGCTACTCATGATTGACTATAATCAAATGTAAGCCTGTCACAAATTAAACACATAGTATTGTAGTATTTAAAAACGTAGTATTGTAATATTTAAACATGTAGTATTGTAGTATTGTAGTCAGCCTTAACAGAAAGCTTCATGCACGAAAGCAGGCTTTTATGTATTTATTTGCTTTAATAAAACTTTGAAACTACAGATCTTTCTACTCTTGTAGTCAATATATACAAGACTTCATAAGGATTATTTTCACAACCATGAAGAAGTAGAGCAGTAGAATTGATGGCTTTATAATGTTCAGCTAAATCTCGCTTTTTTTCTAATAAGAAAAACACTCCATTACCCTGTCAGCTAGGTTGCATGTCAAACACAAGTCAATTTAGTAATTATATTTTTTAAAATAAACTATTAAATCATCAAATGTGTAGAGTAGTTCATATAGCAAAAGCATTATGCTAGGAACTCTGAACAGCATAAACTAGAATTGTACACCAAGTGACTGTATCTTTCGAAATTAAAAATGATAAATATAGTTTTAAAACAAAAACATTGGAGAGTTAAACAGCAGCTGATTCATAGTAATGGAAATATTGAAGGAGTTCTTCAACAAAGAAAATTATTCCAGATTTATCCATAGAAGGAAAGGAAGGAGAGAAGAGAAGGGAAGAGAAGAGAAGAGAAGAGAAGAGAAGAGAAGAGAAGAGAAGAGAAGAGAAGAGAAGGAAGGAAGGAAGGAAGGAAAGAAGGAAGGAAGGAGGGAGGGAGGGGGGAGGGAAAGAAGGAAGGAAGGAAGGGCAATAAAAGGTTGAATATGTGATTAAATCCAATATGGGGGTAAATCAATGGTTAGACCTATTTGCTAATAAATTAATAATAATAATGACTTCTAGAGTTTTAATATATTTTAGAATTAAATTACATAGCCACGATAACTGAAAAAGACAGGAATGAGGATAATTAATGTTTCCAAAGTAATGCTTTTCAATTTTAATGTACATAAAATACACCTAGAATTCTTATAAAACTCCAGGATCTGATATAGTAAGTCTAGGGTGAGGCCCTGAGCATTCTGCACTTTTAGCAAGCACCCAGGTGATACCAATACTATTTGTCTGTGGATAAACTTTGAGGCACATGGGTCTGTTTTATCATCATCTGGAATATAGTTAATATATTATTGAATACAGTAATTTAAGTAAGTTAACATTGCCTATTGTAATCCCCAAGATACTCTCAAAATAGTAGTTATAGAATGTATAAATAACGAAGTAATAAAAGGGAAAATATTTAACAGAAATCCTAATTAACTCTAAATAAGGTCAAAAAAGGAGAGAAAATTGAGTATGGAACAAGTGACACAAGCAATAAGAAACAGTAAGATTGTAGCTTTAAACCCAAACACATGTAAGTGGACAAAACAAAGACAAAGATTTTTAGGCTGGATTTTAAAACAATGCCCTGTTATATTCTTTTAAGAGACATCTCTTAATTATAATACATTTTGCAAACTGTAAGCCTAAGGAAAAATATATAAAATAAACAACTAATAGAAAGAAAATTAACTTTAAAGCAAGGGTCATTAGTAACAATAAAGAGAAATAATTTCTTAATGATATAGGAGCCAGTCCACTAGGGAGATACATAAATTTTAACATCGAAAATCATATTCTAAATATAAGTAAGTTAAGAATTAAGAGAGCTAAAAGGGCACATATGTAAATGTACAACTTGTTGTGGGCTAATATATCCTTTTCAATAACTGAGTAAACGAGAGATAGATGTAGAATATTTGAAAAAGTTTATGTGACTTCACCTAATTGACTTATATGAATGCTTTACTCACAAATTTCAGGATGAAAATTATTTTCTTGTGTTTTGGAACATTTGTATACATTGGCACATTGCATGTTCAAATAGCAAACGTTAGCAAACTTCAAGATCATGCAGAAAACAATAAAATTAAGCAAGAAAAAGGTAAGATAATAAAAAAATCTCTAAATATTTGGGAAATAAACAATATAGTTCTAACCCACGCATCAAGGAGAACTTCCAGTGGAAATTTCTTAAAAGTATCAGAACAATCAAAAGTTGCGGGATCTAGCCGAACCTATGATTAAAAAGAAACTTGTACCTTTAAAAACGTATATTAGAAAATAGTTAAAACCATAAAACAATAAGGTAAGAAATATCTAATAGAAAAAATGCCTAAAGTTAGGAAACAATAAAATTGTAAAGACCCTACTAAGAAGCACCAAGAGAAAAAAAGAAAAATATATTTCATATTATGAATGTAAAAAGGATAGCACCAGAGATTCTACAAGATACTAAATTTAGTGAGAGAATTTAAGTAAATTTCTGCCAATAAGTTTGAAACTTTAACTGAAAAGAAAAACATTTCTTTAAAAAGTACAGAAATTACCAAAACTAACAAAGGAATAAATTTTAAAAATATGTTAGACCTTTATTTATTAATGAATTTAACAATTCAATTTCTTTTCACCAAGTAAACACCATGGCCAGAGGGTTCCACTAGTAAATCCTTACATTTAATAAAGTAAAAACCTAAACGCAGAGAATAGGAAAGTAAGAATTACTTCTACTCCCTGAGAATAAGTAAAAGAGAATCTATTTTCCAGCTTGTTTCAAAAAGCCACATAACAGTGATCTCAAATGAAGCGATATTACAAGAAAAAATATTATATGCCAATCTTTGTCATGAATGTTAAAATTATAAATGAGTTTTTAGCAACTAAATCCATCAATATTTTTTAAAGTAAGATAATCAATTTAAATCAAATTGTATTTGTTCAAGGAATGCAAGCTCGTTTAACTAGGCAAGAATGTTCATTTGTATCACTTTCACTCAACCTTGCATTGGAGGGCAAGAGAAAGAAATGTAAGTCAGGAAAACTGAAAAATAAAAAGTAACACTGTCTTTCTTCATAAATGACATGATTGTGTACATTAAAAATTTAAAGATGTCTTAAAAATACTATTGAATTGCAGCAAATTCTCAGGATTCAAACTTAATTGATGAATAAGAAAAGGAAATGGTATATGCTGAATGAAGTACATTTAATTAATATTTATTTCTAAATTATTAGTAGAAGAAATGGAAAAATGGCACTGATCAAATATTGCAGAACTGTTAATATTGAAGCCAAATGATTACGGCAATGTTGAGATCGTTTTGTGAATATAAGTGCCTGGTAGATTTAAACATATTTGCTATTCATAATTTCTTCCAAAACTCATAATTTCTTTTCATAATTTATTCATAATTTCTTTTCATACTTTTGTCATCTAACTTCATATTCCTTTATTCTTTCTCCATTAGACTAATTCTGCCTAAGGGTATATTCAAGTTAGCTATATATTTTCACAAAAGATTTGACATACATTATACTGCCTCAAATGTAAGTAAACTTTAAAAAAAAAAAGTGGAAATGTTGCAAATAGAACTATAAGCCTAAGAAAATATGAGTGTAATGGGATTTTCTTATATTATATCATCACCTGTAATATCCAGAAATATACTCTATCAAATATTATATGTATTTGATCAATACTTGGAAAATAACAAATGCCTTTTAAATGATAGCCTTTTTGTCATAATCCAGGCTGATTCTCAAATCTAGGAAATTCAGTGCTTGTCTAGTCTTGTGAGGAATCTTTCATGAGAAGACATTACTAAGGCCAGTTGGTAATGTTATTTTTCATGAACTATTTATTAAATTTACATATAACATTTCAAAGCACAGGACAATCTCTGCCAGTTTTATTAATCTGTAAGTGCCAAACCACTTGGGCACATTAGTTTTGTGTCATTTTATTTATTTTCTGGAGAGTCTAAAGATACTGTTCTCTGAAGCCACTCCCTATGGCATGACATTCAATGTTCCCCAACAGTGTGAAAATGTTCTGTGTGCTGCAAAGTGTTTTATACCACATCCTAAATATTCACGCTCAAAATTCTATTTTTCTAGAAAGTTCTCTGAAATAGTTATGCCAGGAATAAGAGTATGGGGAAAAACTTCCTTCATGGTTTGTAAAAATTCTGCCAATTTTTTTTTTAATTAAATAATCTCCTCCCCTCCACTAAGAGACTTGGGCATTCCAAAAAGAAAAATAGTCACATAATTCCATATTTGTTCAATGCCCTCATATCAACATTGGTCAAATGGCTGAATTTCCTCCTTACTTTCAAGTTGCCATATATACTACCTCAACAGCAGTGGCCCAAAGATGTGACTGTTCCAGTGTACCCACCAAATACCTATACCTCTATACTATGTTGTTGAAAATCCTTGTCATTCATCTGCAAGTGTGCCTTTGATCTCTACCCCTAATTCGTTTTTCTCCCCAGGGAATTGGTTAGTGAGCTGCACTAATAAATCTTGGCTATGGGTTACGAAGGGGAATGTGAGTCTTGGTATTCTTTTTAGGTTATACTCTTAACCGGATCTCTGGTTTTTGGATATCACCACTGACCTCCAACCAGTGGTTAAGTATTATGGTTCTAAATCTTCCCATCATAGATGATTGGGATAAACTTGATTAGCGTTATAATTAATACACGAGCTGCAATTCTAGGGCCAGCATTCATTTAGTTAAGCAGGTGGTTCTGTTCATTATGCCAACTCTCCCTATTCTATCTTGAATCACATGCACTGCTCTTAATTTAATGGCACCTGAAAAATTCTCCTAAATTCTCAACTTACCAAATAGTTGGCCCCTGGTCCCTGAGCATGCTGAAATGACACCATCATTAATCCATACTTTTGGAGTGGACAGAAAAATAATCCTAAAGACACAGCAATGGCTATACTGAGTTCCTCTTCTTTCTTCTTATAGAACTGTCAATTTATTTTTTTTCCGAGTCTGGCTCTGTCGCCCAGGCTGGAGTGCAGTGGCACCATCTCAGCTCACTGCAAGCTCCGCCTCTTGGGTTCACGCCATTCTCCTGCCTCAGCCTCCCGAGTAGCTGGGACTACAGGCGACCGCCACCATGCCTAGCTAATTTTTTGCATTTTGTGGTAGAGACGGGGTTTCACCGTGTTAGCCAGGATGGTCTCGCTCTCCTGAGCTCGTGATCCACCCCCCTCAGCCTTCCAAAGTGCTGGATTTACAGGCGTGAGCCACTGCGCCCGGCCAGAACTGTCAATTTTAATCACACATTTAAGGCTTTGGAAAGTAACATCCTATTTTGAATTTGAGAAAGCGATTCAAATAACACTTTTAAAATGTGTATATTTTTTTCACATATGTTTGGTAGCTTTAACATTTATGTTGATGCTATATTACTTATATTTTCTTTTTGCATCATGACTTCTAAATATAAACTCCAGCAGAAGGTACTGACTTGCAGATCTGCTTATGTTACCACATTTCTTATTTCATTAACTCTAACCTCTTCAACCTGACATTCAGTGCCCACTTTCATTTGACATTGTCTTAGTCTTTCAGTTTTGCAAAGTGCTTAAGTCAAGGAACTAAAAGATTTGAGTTTAAGTATAGATCTTCTCTTAGTAAGCTGAGATTGCTATAACAATTTCCATAAACTAGGTGAATTGAACAGCAAACATTCATTTCTCAAAGTTCTGGAGGCTGGAAGTCCGTGTTCAGGGTGCATGCTTAGGTTCTGGTGAATACCCTTTTCCAGAAAATAGACTTCTCTTTGTATCCCCAAAGAGAAGATGGTAGATGAAGAACTAACGAGCTCTCTGGACCCTCTTATTAGGGAATTAGTTCCATCCCTGAAGGATCTACCCTTATGACCTAATTACCTGCCAAAGGCCCCACCTCCTAATACCAACGTATTGGGAGTAAGGATTTCAACACATGAATTTGTAGCGTGGGCGGGACACAAACATTCAGTCCATAACATATCTTCTATTTTACTATCTCTGAGACAAATTACATACAAGTAAATGAAATTATTCAATAATAGAATTGTTCATATTAAATAACTTCAGAATACTCCTACTTTCTTTGTGCTTGCTTATTCATTCCAAACACAGATTTTACTTTCAGTTCATTTCCATGCTACCCTTATGCCACTCTCCATTCTTGCTTTCCCTCATATCTCCCTCAATCTAACTTTTACACGATGTGCATGTGCAAATAATCTATGAATTTCTAAAGTCAATCAACAGTAATATTTCCCTTGAGTTTCTAAAACAATTATTTGAACAATATTTTATATTATCTACTAATATTTCTTGGAGTTAATATAAAAGTAATTGAAACTCCTGATGCAAGTAATACAGAGGTAGTCAGGAGGGGTACTTCTAATTTTATGAGCACTCAAATTTTGCTTTAAATAAAAAGTTCCCCAAGAGTGAGGACTTATTATTGCATCTTTTTAGAGCGCATGACAGAGCAGAGCACTTACGAAATACTTAATAGGCATTGTAAGTGAATAATTAGTTACAATGGATAACTTAATAATTGGCACACAGAAATTTTTAAGCAATAAGGTAATGTGAGTCTTATGAATATATTTGTTAACTATGTTCCATGTTCTTTCTGTACCTTTGGTTCCCATAATTTAAAAAGTTTATGCTTTACTATTTGTAGTGTATAAACACAACTTATATGTCTATATGAAGAAATTATATCAAGGAGACATTTATAAATTACAGTTGTGATCTGGAAGCAAGGTCACAAAAATATAGCTTCACTACCATTCAACTGTGTATAATTTCCTTATTTTGTTTACAATGCACCTGGACATCCATCAAAGCATGTATCTAGTACTAAGGTGGAAAAACTCACCTGAATGTTTACTTTGGCTTAAAGTTAAATCAATGCGATAATTTTAAAAGTCCCACTCATTCTTTCTTAAATGAAAGGGTATTGATACCCTTTACAATTCACCCTTACATCTGTTTCTTCTCCCAATGGCCTCTGAGAGTGCTATGGTCTGAATATGTCTCCCTAAAATTCATATGTTGAAATGTATTCACCAATGTGATATTGTTAAGAGATGGGGCTTTTAGGAGGTGATTAAGTCATGAGGGCAGTGCCCTCATGTATTAGTCAGGGTTCCCTACAGGGACAGAACTAATAGGATAGATGTATATTTAAAGCGTAGTTTATTAAGGAGTATTGATTCATATGATCACAAGATGAGGCCCCACAATAGGCCATCTGCAAGCTGAGGAGCAAGAACACCTGTCTGAGTCTCAAAGCGGAAGAAACTGGAGTCCAGTGTTCAAGGGCAGGAAGCATCCAGCATGGGACAGAGATGTAGCCCAGCAGACTAAACCAGCCTAGTCTCTCCACATTCTTCTGCCTGCTTTTATTCTGGCCACACTGGCAATTGATTAGATTGTGCCTGCCCAGATTGAGAGTGGGTCTGCCTTTCCCAGTCCACTGACTCAAATGTTAATCTTCTTCGGCAACACCCTCACAGACTCACCCAGGAACAGTACTTTGTATCCTTCAATCCAATCAAGTTGACACTCAGTATTACCATTACACCTCATTAGTGGTATTAATTACCATATAAAACAGGTGCAAGAGAAGTATTCACCCCCTTTTTCCCTTTTGCCATGTGAAGCTGCAGCAACAAGGCACCACCTTTGAAGAAGAGATTGAGTCCTCACCAAATACCAAACCTTCCAGTGCTTAGACCTTAGCCTTCCCAGCCTACAGAACTGTGAGAAATAAATTTCTATGGTTTATAAATTACCTAGTCTAAGGCATTCTGTTATAGCAGCATTATGGGACTCAGACAAGGACTCTGGGGTGACAGATACTGGGCTATGCATCTTTATGAGTTAGAATAAAGGAGACTTTATGCTGGACTTTGGTGACGTGCTGCTTGCATCAGCCAGTTTGCTTGACAATATCACTTGTCCATTTTTCATTGATTTTTCTGCCATTTTCTAATGTGGATTTGTAGTCTCTTTTAATTTTATGTATTTACTTTTTATTCAGTAAATGCTCCCTTCCAGACTTGATGTTCTCCTCCAGAACTGAACTAACTGGTTTCAGATATCAAAATCTGTAACTGTTTTTTTCTACCCATCCCAGTGGTCCAGAGGTACCCCAGCCTCCACTGCAGGGTCACCCCAGTCTGTCCACATGACACCACCACAGGCCTAATGGCTTTTAGCCCAGTACCCAGTGTCACAAACAAACACTTATTTTGGCTCAAGAGAGTTGAGCCAAACTCTCAACTCTACCCTGAAACTCTACCTTAGCCTAATCTCATCTGGATTGCATCCTAGATTAACGTAGAGAAGCTTGAAATGTGGATTCTTTTCATAATTTCCAGAAGCTGGAGGAGAATGCTAAACCACTGTATGCGCTTACTCCTCTCCTCATTTCCCCAAACATACTTTGTTCCTCTCAATCCAGAGTAGAAATGTAGAAATTCGGGATCTGCCTGATTATCTAATCTCTTATTTCTCTCTTCTTTAACTTTCATGACATTCCCTGGAGACAATGAAGAATTGTGCCCTCTTTGAACACCCTAAAACATCCCCTCTTTCCATCTCAGCTAAAATTTAAGAGGGTACTAGACTGTTCTCCTGCACTATGTACTTCTGTGCACTTAATATTATCAGCTAGGTGATAATTGAGATACTAAGTGGAGAAAAATTAAATTTGAGAGATCCTTTCTTAAAACGATATCTGGATTGAAAATGTATACAATTGTATAATTTTTTAATGTCAGAAGCTAAATATTACTAATATGCCTATTTCACTCTACATTACCTCTGTCACAAATTACAATCTCCTCTTGCCTCTTGCCCACTAATACTCTCATCCTCACAGATGGCTACCCCGATATTAATACAAAAGCCCTGTACACTTTACACAGAAGGACAATGACAGTAAAATATATATTAATATATTCTATAAATAATTTGCATTAAGTATTATAACCAATCAGTTTACACTTAGAAAAATGACTATAACTGCATTACCTCTTGCTACCTTTTCTATTTAAGGTATAAAATATCTTCATACATATATATAGAGAGAGCTAGAAGTCTTATTTAAATTTATAACTATGTGAGCTATAAAAAGAATTTTTGACATGTACTTTTTAAAACTAGAAGATGCTCAGTACTATTCTTGTGCATGTAGAACCAATTGTCTTCAGATTTTGATATATTTATTCTTAATAGAATGCTATTACAGTTATTAACTATTTTCTTTTCTGATTCTTTATGTATAAATTTGAAATAAATTATCTAATTGGTATTGATCTTTTTAAAAATCATATAAATATTTTACATTCTTCATTTAAATTCCAAGTCATCGCATGTTCTATTTTAAACCTCTATTTACATAAAATATTATGTTCTTAATTAAATTGCTATGAATCTATATTACTGAGTCCTAATGCACTTGCAGACAAGGTTTTTATACTTTATAAAACTATGTATAGGTTTTACTGTTCAAAATGAAAATATAATACAGCAGGTGTAATGTCTTCATTTAAAAGCTATCTGAATTTTTTTCAATATATTATTTGGATACTAACATTTGGGTCACAAATTCTAAGTTCAGATTCCTTTTCAAGTTTTTACTATAATTAATAGTGACCTTGTGAATGCTATGTCTCTGCAACTGTGCAGGCAGGCAGGCGGTCATTATCCAGTTGGTAGTCCAAATGGATTAGTTGTCGAGGGAGTATGGAATTCAGCATTTCCTTCTGCAGGGGCTGTTTGTTTCAACTTGGGCTTAAGGCACAATTCCAGTCTCAAGGAACTATTTATAAAAGAATTGGGCCAGGTGTGGTGGCTCATGCCTGTAATCCCAGCACTTTGGGAGGCCGAGGCAGGAGGATTGCTTGAGGTCAGGAGTTCAAGACCAGACTGACCAACATGGTGAAACCCTGTCTCTACTAAAAATACTAAACTAGCCAATTAGGAAACCGAGGCAGGAGAATCGCTTGAACCCGGGAGGCGGAGGTTGCAGTGAGCCGAGATGGTGCCATTGCACTCCAGCCTGGGTGACAGAGCAAGACTCCGTCTAAAAAAAAAAAAAAAAAAAATTAGAATTGAAATAATGTTATAAATCAGAGGTCAGAAAACTATGGCCTATGGTCCAAACATGATGCATGATCTGTTTTTGTAAATACATTTTATTGAAACACAGCCACACCGATTTATTTATGTATTGTCAATGACTGCTTTTGTCCTTTCATAGTAGTGTCAAGTCATTGCAACAGAAACCCTACGGTTTACAAAGCTGAAAATACCTACTACTTGTCCCTTCACAAGAAAAGTTTGCCAAAGCATATCCTCAATTAGATAGATTGTAACTATTTAAAAGCATATCAATTCAGAAATGAAATGAGTGACCTTGTGATGTAAAATAATTATTACATGGCATTTACCATATGTCACCTATGATGAATAATTTTGCTATATTAACTAATCAAATCACCACAATAATTTAATGAGACAGTCAGGGGGCAGAATGGGGATTTAAATTAAAAAAAAAATATCTGACTTCAGAGTCTGCTGTTAACCTGCAATTTATACCAGCCCCTGTAAATGGTAAATTTCTCATTATTGGAGATGTTCAGCCAGTTTAATGAAAGCTTGTCAGAGATTGTAAGAAAAAAAAGTCCTTTTAAGGTCATCTTCCACAGTACAATCCCAATAATTTGTCATATCCGAATCAACAAAAAGCAATGCAGAGAAAAAAAAAGCATTTGATTTCAAGAAGATTCACTGAGAGTTATACGATTCAATAACAATGAGATATTCTTAAAATTAGAAAATAAGCTAAGTATTCTAAAAGTCAAGTATTTGAGCTTTTAACCCCCAAAAAAGAAGAAAAAAAATCAGTTCCAATGAAGAGATGGAGTATGAAAAGAATTTTTCCACAGTTTGCTTGGTCTCTGACTTACTGATGACTATTACTATGTTATGTGGAATCTTCCAACATAAAGTCATTAAAACAATAAAATCTGACGTATTGGCCCCTGTTGCTGTTAGCCAAAAACAAATATCCTAGTAATATGCAGGATTACTTATGGTTCAGACACATTGAGGATGCATTTATGTCTGAGATCAACTCACTCTGTTTTTCCAATTAGACTTATACCAAAGTCCTCATGGAAGAACCCTTCATTCCAGTCACTGTCCTGCCCAAGTTACTGTCAGAAGAGATGTTTAGAATGCTGGATCACAAAATTCATCCCCTCCTGACTTACTATGTCTTTCTTAGGAAAGGAGGTCTAGAATGGCAAGATGGTCTTATTCTCTCTCTCCTGGTCTCCATGTAGTTCCAAGTCCAGTCCTCACTCTCCTCCTGCTCCATCCCCCTATCCCAGTGGCCCAGAGGTCCCCCAGCCTCCACTGCAGGGTCACTCCAGTCTGTCCACATGACACTGCCACAAGCCTGTGGGCATCTGACTCTCCTTCTCTGATGCTATGGAAAGATGAGTAAGCCTGAAATGAGAGGACTTGGTATGAGCCTGATTCTTAATGATTCAGTATGTGTCCATGCAGTGAATAGTGGCTCACTTCTTTTTGCTTACTTTCATTTTCCCCATTAGAAACAAGACACAAGACATAACAGCAGCTTTGTATGATTTGGAGAAGATAAACGCAAAGGTTCTGTAAAACTAGCATAGACAACTGTCATGTATTATTTGGTATTCGGTGTATATTCAGTCTGAAACTAAATGATCAACAAATGCTGAGAAAAGTTATACACAAAGTCACTTCACATCTAAAAAATATATTATTTAGAGTCTAATGGTGAAGATAATCTTAGGTCATAAGATTTGATTTTTTTCCAATAGATTTTGGATGAAACTAAACCTCTTGCCTGTATGCATATTTATCTCACATTTGTATGTGCATAACATTATTTTCTATTGCATCTAACAACACCATATGATTTTCCCAAATATTTTTATAATAGTTACTTTAAGTCATGAAGCAGAGCTGTGGAATGCTGGGGAAAAAACAGTTAAGATCAGACAAAGTCAATCCTGAGCCAAAAGCAATGGCCTGACTCATTTCAAGCGAATGTGTATTTCAGTAGAGGCTGGAACCCAAAATGTAACAGAATCTAAAAATAATGATGATCAAAAATTGTGCACAGTGTTGGCTTCTAGTTATAATTCGGTCTTTTTGGACACACTGATCTTTAAATAATAAGGTATGGGGCTGACTGTTACCATATGTTTCTTTTAAATTTTCAAAAAATATATCAAGTTAACTTCTCCTTCCATCCATGGACAAGATTCAGCTATTCTGAGTCAAATAATATTTCAACTATATGATCTTCTTTTGATGCTACATAATTCACTAAAGGATTAAAAAGAATGGTAGGTATATCTTATTTTCAACATCATCCTCTTCATTTATCACAAAAATTAGTAGAATAATGGAATAACCCAAAGTCCTTTTGCTTTGGAACATCTCGAAAACAAATATACAATGTAGGCTCTGACTGATATGTAGACTTTGCTGGCATTATGCATTATTAGTGTTCTACTACTAAAAAAGGCAGTCAGGAATGAGTACGTATCACATATTTTTGTACTTCATAAATACTTACTTTATTTTCATAAATAATAACCTTATAAACATAAATTATTAGCACCAAAGCTGTAATTGTTTAAGAAATTGTGCTAAGGAAAATTAGCTCTTATGAGGGTAAGCTTAGGCAGCATAAATGAAATCTCTTTGAGAATTTTTACCAAGTATTTTACTTTGAAATTATGTTCCTATTAGGAATAAGAAAATAATATCTCTGCCTAGTTAGCATATTAGCAGAAGACTGTTTCATATCATTGTCAATTCAATTATATGCAGCATTTATTAATGTTTATCATTAATACTGGCATTTCACAAACATTAATTCAACTGTCATAGACTGTCAGATATCTATCAATTCTTTCATTACAATTAATTTATACTACTTTATATGATACATTCATTAAAGCATGAGACTAGTCCATAAATTTAGCTATGAAATTATTTTCTAAATATTATGTTAGGATATGTTCAGAGATACATGTTTAGTATATCTTTTAAAAACTGTTATAAACACATAGTTTTTTTTATGACATTTCTTTGATCTTGTTTGGATTATTTTGACCCTCCAACTCCCATTTCAGGTTTGTTGTTGTTGTTGTTTGTGGTTTTGTTTTGTTTTGTTTGAGACAGGTTCTCTGTCGCCCAGGCGGGAGTGCAGTGGTGTGAACTCGGTTCACTGCAAACTCCACCTCCCAGGTTCAAGCAATTTGCATACCTCAGCCTCCCAAGTAGCTGGGATTAAAGCGCCCATCACCATGCCTGGATAATTCTTGTATTTTTAGTAGAGACGGGGTTTTGCCATGTTGGCCAGTCTGGTCATGAACTGCTGACCTCAAATGATCCACCCACCTCAGCCTCCCAATGTGCTGGGATTACAGGCAGGAGCTACTGTGCCCAGACTCAACACCCATATTTTAACAGGTTATTTTTACCTGTAGTCCAAAAAAAAGTTCCCAATAATACACAAACAGCACAGATGCTCCTCAACTTATGGTGAGGTTATGTCCAAATAAATCCATAGCAGTTTGAAAACACCAACAAGTCAAAAATGCAGTTAATGTAGCTAACCTACTGAACATCAATTATAGCCTAGCCTATCCTCCCTTAAATATACTCAGAACTCTTATATTAGTTTACATTGAACAAAATCATCTACAATAAAGCCTATTTTAAATAAAGTTTGTAATATCTCATGTAATTTATTGATTACTGTAATGAAAGTGAAAAACAAAATGGCCATACGGATATTCAAAGCACGGTTTTGACTGAACGTATGTAGCTTTTGCAGTATCATAAAATCAAAAAATTTTTAGTTAAACCATCGTAAGTCACGGACTGTCTGTACATTGAAAGCAATATAATTTACACTTTAAAGATTTTGTGTTATTTTATTATAGTATAATCTTCCTGACTAATTATGTCTCTATGAGCAAGTAATATCATTATATCAGAGAATTCTATGGCAGATGTTTTCTAGTAAGACCTATGTATTAACTAGTTAAATACATATTTTACAAAATTCTTACCCCTTTGGCTTCTCCTATGACTTTTACTTGGATCTACAGAAATCTCCCACCTGCAGGCTCAAACCAGAACTGTTCCTGTCTGAAATGGGAAATATATCAGCAGCCTCAGTTTCTCAATCTTATAGAATTTAGTCATATCATCAGTTCTGGCATTTCATGGGCAATGACTGTCAGTTTCTTTATAACTCCTACCACTATCGCCTGCTACCCCCATTAACTTTTGTCCCGAGAGCCCAGGTTATGGTTTATACAGAAAAACTAATATGTTCTTGAAATCCAGACATTCTCAAACTCTGCTTCCTCAATAGGGGAACCTATTTCTCACAATATTCTTATTGTGAGAGTTTCAAAAGGTATGCATCACAATCATGTTTATTTCATGCGAACATAGTTCCCTGGCTCCGAGATATGTGGAAACTCACTGTACTAACTTTATAAGTTTTCCATTATTTTAAAACTGTTCTAAAATTTCCATTAATCTAAAACGGTTCTAAAATTATTTTTTAAATGCAGCCCCCTGGGTTCTATAATATATCTGCTAAATTACAATTCCTAAAAGTGACATGATGGGGAGCTTACTTTAATAAACACCTTAACTGATTCTTATGTACACCAGAGTTTCTGTACTGACCAGGAACAGGCTTACGCCCTCTGTACTCTCTTCAGTATTGTCCAATTGGCCGACAAATCCACCTTCAAGGAGAAACTGGAACCCAAGATGCTATTATTATCACCCAGTCTACCATTCATGTTCTTGTCCTGTGTCTACTGAGGGTAATAACTTTCTAAGCATAGAAATTAGCCTGGAAGTACTTGTAGGCAGGTCAACATATCAAGTAGACCTCCTGGATTAAGTAATTTGGCATAAACACCAAACTCCCTTCATCAGGTTCAACTTGAAGTCCTGGAGTAGTCCTCCCTCCCTTGCTAACTCCCTTTTCTTAGATCATCAGATGTCTCCTCCCACTGACATGTTCCTGAGTTAGAATGGAAGCAAGAAAGAGAATGATGAACACTGTTTTGGAAAGCAAAAAATGCATCACCAAAACAAAATTCTAAAAAATAAGCACAGAGGTGCAGTCAATGAGAGTGTTTAATATGTTTCTTCCGGCTTTCTAGACTCAGAATTCTATTATTTAATATTTATACTATTTAAATATATTTATATACTACTTATTTATTTTTAAATAACTTTTACTTTAAATAACCTCAAAATACAAATGTTACTTCCAGTTATCTAGTTGTACTGACTGATCAACTATATCACAATTGCTGAATCCACTCATCAGAATTTGTTAAGATAAAATTTGTCACATTAGCTTTGCATGAAGGATTCTTATGAAATCCTGAAAACAATTTTGAGAAAATAACCAGATCACTATTAAGTCTTTTAAAAATAGTCTTTACTACACTTTTCTTTCACAGGAGCTGAAAAAATAAAATTAGTATTATTTTAAGGCACAAATTGGCCACCTAATACTTCAACCTCTCATTTGCTTATTAAGATCATTTTCCATACTTTTCAATTTCCATATGTAGCAGTAAAGTCTCCTGAATAATTGCAGAGAGTTATGTTTGTAATAAATTTCTTAAATTACTTGATTTCAATCTGGTCTGCTTTTATAAGATTTAAATTAAATTAATGAAGAGGAAGTGTCTCTGTGTGCCTAAGTAGAATAAAAGCCAAAATATTAAAAGAACATGTCAAAACCTGAGTCACATCATCCAGCGCTGGGAAGCTGGTATCAGGCAGCCTGAATCCCTGTGCTGCTTTTGTCCAGTGGAGACCAAATCAGAAACAACAAGTCATTGTGGAGTATTGTTTAAAAATGAATGTGCTGAAGATTTTCTGATTTGTATTTATTATCCACTGACCTGTTCTCAATGGATTTCACAAAGAGAAGCAAAACTAATTACCTCAGGCCAGGCTGTCTGGAAAATAATGACATGATGATTTAGAGGAAAGGATTCATTCTTTAGAGGTCTTCTGGAATAGCGTATTTTTTTAAAGTTAAATATGACACCTTTTTGAAAATCAAACTTTTGCATTTGAGCTAATGCACCATCATTTCTTTGAATTAAAAAGTCAGTGCTAAACAATGAAGACCTTTGTATACTAAATATTAATAACATTAGTTTACTTCATCTTAAGTGATTGTAGCATACTTGAAAAGAGACTTGCACAATACAGAAGATTATATGGGAGTGCTTTAGAAATGAAGAGAGAAAATAATATGATAACCTATTAAGAAGTCTTAGAGCACAGGAGGTCATCACTTAATGTGGTTGATAGGTTCTTGGAAACTGCAACGTTAAGCAATATATAGCAGGCACTCAAAATCATTTCATTAAGACGTTGATGAGAAAAAAAAATTGTTTCTTTTATATGTTGTTTTACTTAAAGTCATAGTTTCCAAGAATCTACTGACAACATTGTGAGGACTTATGCATATGTGAATTTGGTGCATTCTGGAAAACTGTAGAGGTCACAAGACCTTAGAGAAACATAACTAAAATAAAAAGGTGAATCTGTAAAATGATTATACACTTATGACCACAAAAGTAAAGCTAATCAAAAACACAGTGGAAGTTTGACCAAGCAGGCAATATAATATCCACTCCCAGAAGCCCTAATTATGAAGTGCTCTTGTGGTTAGGGAATAATCATATGAAAATTAGTAAAGAGGAGCTAGAGATGGAACTTCAGTGATCCAATTGGTTCCACTTTGGGTAAGGTCTAGAAGGGTTTGGAAGAGAATTATATTGTCCAGACATATCTCATTTTATTGTGCTTCACTTTATGGTGCTTGGCAGGTATTGCATTTTTTTACAAATTGAAGATTTGTGGCAACCCTACATTAATCAAGTCTATCGGTTCCATTTTTCCAACAGCATGTGCTCACCTTATGTCTGTGTGTCACATTGTGGTAATTCTCACAATATTACACAATTTTTATGATTCTTAATCTGTTATCATCATCTGTGATTAGTGAACTTTAATGTTATTATTGTAATTGTTTTAGAATGCCACAATGCACACCCGTATAAGAGGGGAAACTTACTTGATAAATGTTTGTGTGTCGACTGCTCCACTAACTGGCCACTCCCCCATCTCTCTCTCTCTCTCCTTGGGCCTCCCTATTCCCTGAGACTCAGCAATATTGACATTAGGCCAATTAATAACCCTACAATGGCCTATTAATGTTCAAGTGAAAGGAAGAGTTGTACATCTCTCACTTTAAATCAAAAAATAGAAATGATTAATCTTAGTGAGGAAAGCATGTCAAGAGCTGAGATAGGCCAGAAATTAGGCCTCCTGTGTCAGTTAGCCAAGTTATGAATGCCAAGGAAAAGTTCTTGAAGGAAATTAAAACAGCTACTTCAGTGAACACATGAACACTAAGGAGGTGAAATAACCTTAGGACTGATACGGAGAAAGTTTTATTGGTCTGATAGAAGATCAGACCAGCCACAACCTTCCCTTACACCAAAGACTAATCCAGAGCACTCTATATATCTTAAATTCTATGAAGGCTGAGAAAGATAAGGAAACTGCAAAATATAATAAAGGTTTAAATCTAGCAGAATTTGGTTCACAAAGTTTAAGAAAATAACCTGTCTTCAAAACATAACAGTGCAAGGTGAAGCAGCAAGAGCTGCTATAGAAGCTACAGCAAGTTATCCAGAAGATCTAGTCAGGAACATTGATGAAAGTGGCTACACTACACAACAGGTTACCAATGAAGGCAAAATAGTCTTACACTGAAAGAAGATACCATTTAGAACTTTCATAACTAGAGAGAAGTCAATGTCTGACTTCCAAGCTTCCAAGGACAGGCTGATTCTCTTGCTAGGGGCTAATAAAGCTGGTGACATTAAATCGAAGCCAATGTTCATTTACCATCCAGAAAATCCTATGGCCCTTAAGAATTGTGTTAAACCTACTCTGCCTGTCCTCTATAAATGGAATAATAAACCCTGGATGATAACACATCTGTTTACTGCATGGTTTACTGAGAATTTTAAGCCCAATGTTGAGACATAGTGCTCAGAAAGGAAGATTCCTTTCAAAATATTACTGCTTATTGACAATGCGCCTAATTACCCAGGAGCTCTGATGGAGATGTACAAGAACATTAATGTTTTATGCCTGCTAACAACATTCATTAGGCAGCCCAGGGATCAAAAAGTAATTTGGACTTTCAAGTCTTATCATTTAAGAATTTTATTTTGTAAGGCTGTAGCTTTCATAGGTAAATTATTCCAATGAATCTGAGCAAAATAAATTGAAAACCTTATGGAAAGAATTCCCAATTCTAAATGTCATTAAGGACATTTGTTTTCCATGGGAGGAGGTGAAAATATCAACATTAATAAGACTTTGAAAGAAGTTGATTTCGATGCTCACAGATGACTTTCAGGGGTTCTAGACTTTGGTGGAGGAAGTAACTGCAGATGTGGTGGAAATAGCAAGAGAATCAGAATTAGAAGTGGAGCCTGAAGATGTGACAGAACTGCTTCAATTTTATGACACAATTTTAATGAATAAGTAGTTGCTTCTTATGGATGTGTAAAGAAAGTGGTTTGTTAGGAAGGAATCTATTCCTGGTGAAGATGATGTGAACATCGTTCTAATGACGACAAGGAATTTAGAACATTATATAAACCTAGTTGATAATGTAGTGGCAGATTTTAAGAGGATTTACTTCAATTTTGAAAGAAGTTCTACTGTGGGTAAAATGATATCAAACAGCGTCACATGCTACAGATAAATTGTTCTTGAAAGGAGGGGGTCAATCAATGTGGCAAACTGCATGGCTATCTCATTTGAAAAAATTGCTCAGATAGAAGACATAACAATACTTGTCCAGAAAAAAAAGTCATTGTATTAAATTCGTTTTTATAGTTGTATGAAATTTTTTGTACTTCTTATCAAATTGGGTATCATAAATAAGAGCCCAGGACCAGATGGATTCACAGCTGAATTCTACCGGAAATACAAAGAGGAGGTGGTACCATTCCTTCTAAAAATATTCCAAGCAATTGAAAAGGAGGGACTCCTCCTTAACTCATTTTATGAGGTATCATCCTGATACCAAAACCAGGAAGAGACACAGAAACAACAACAACAACAACAAAAAAAAAAAAAAAAAAAAAACCTCAGGCCAATATCTTTGGTGAACATTTATACAAAAATCTTCAACAAAATACCAGCAAACCTAATCCAGCAGCACATCAAAAAACTTATCCACCACAATCAAGTTGGTTTCATCCCTGGGATGCAAGGCTGGTTCAACTTATGAAAATCAATAAACATAATCCATCACATAAACAGAACCAATGACAAAACCACAGATTATCTCAACAGATGCAGAAAAGGCCTTTGATAAAATCCAATATCCCTTCATGTTAAAAACTCTCAATAAACTAGGTATTGATGGAGCATATCTCAAAATTATAAGAGCTATTTATGACAAACCCACAGCCAATATTATACTGAATGGGCAAAAAGCTGGAACATTCCCTCTGAAAACTGGTACAAGACAAAGATGTCCTCTCTCACCACTCCTATTCAACATAGTATTGGAAGTTCTGGCCATGGCAATCAGGCAAGAGGAAAAAAATAAAGGTATATGAATAGCAACAGAGGAAGTCAAATTGTCTCTGTTTGTAGATGACATGATTTTATATTTAGAAAACCCCATCATCTCTGCCCCCAAACTCCTTAAAATGATAAGCAGCTTCAGCAAAGTTTCAGGATACAAAATTAATGTGCAAAAATCAAAAGCATTCCTATACACCAACAATAGACAACCAGAGAGCCAAATCATGAATGAACTCCCTTTTGCAATTGATACAAATATAATAAAGTACCTAGGAATACAGCTAATAAGGGATGTGAAAGACCTCTTCAAAGAGAACTACAAACCACTGCTCAAGGAAATAAGAGAGGACACAAACAAATGGAAAAGCATTCCATCCTCATGGATAGGAAGGGTCAATATCATGAAAATGGCCATACTGCCCAAAGTAATTTATAGATTCAGTGCTATTCACATCAAACTACCACTAACATTCTTCACAGAATTAGAAAAAACTATTTTAAATTTCATATGGAATCAAAGAAGACCCGTATAGCCCAGACAATCCAAAGCAAAAAGAACAAAACTGGAGGCATCAGGCAACCTGACTTCAAATTATACTATAAGTCTACAGTTACCAAAACAGCATGGTACTCTACCAAAACAGACATGTAGTCCAATGGAGCAGAACAGAGACCTCAGAAATAACACCACACATCTACAGCCATCTGATCTTCAACAAACCTGACAAAAACAGGCAATGAGGAAAGGATATCCTATTCATTTAATGCTGCTGGGAAAACTGGTTAGCCATGTGCAGAAAACTGAAACTGGACCTTTCCTTACACCTTATACAAAAATTAACTCCAGATGGATTAACAACTTAAATGTAAAACCCCAAACCATAAAAATCCTAGAAGAAAACCTAGGCAATACCATTCAGGACAGAGGCATGGGCAAAGACTTCATGACAAAAATGCCAAAAGCAATTGTAACAAGGGACAAAATTGACAAATGGGATCTAATTAAACTGAAGAGCTTTTGCACAGCAAAAGAAACTATCATCAGAATGAACAGGCAATCTAGAGAACGGGAGAAAATTTTTGCAGTCTACCCATTTGACAAAGGTCTAATATCCAGAATTTATAAGGACCTTAAACAAATTTACAAGAAAAAAACAAACAGCCCCATCAAAAAGTAGGCAAAGGATATGAACAGATACTTCTCAAAAGATGATATTTGGCCATGCGCGGTGGCTCCCGCCTGTAATCACAGCACTTTGGGAGGCAGAGGTGGGCAGATCATGAGGTCAGGAGTTCGAGAACAGCCTGACAAACATGGTGAAACCCTAACTCGACTAAAAATACAAAAATTAGCCAGGCGTGGTGGCACATGCCTGTTATCCCAGCTACTCAGGAGTCTGAGGCAGGAGAATGGCTTGAACCTGGGAGACGAAGGTTGCAGTGAGCCGAGACTGCACCACTGCACTCCAGCCTGGGCAACAGAGTGGGAGTCCATCTCAAAAAAATGAAAAAGAAAACAAAAAAAAGACATCTATGTGGCCAAAAAACATATGAAAAAGAGCTCAACATCACTGACTATCAGAGAAATGCAAATCAAAACCACAAAGAGATACTATCTCATGCCAGTCAGAATGGTGATTATTAAAGTCAGGAAACAATAGATGCTAACGAGGCTGTGGAGAAAAAAGAAAGCTTTTACACTGTTGGTGGGGATGTAAATTAGTTCAACAATTGTGGAAGACAGTAGGACAATTTTTCAAGGAATTAGAACGAGAAATACCATTTGACCCAGCAATCCCATTACTGTGTATATACCCAAAGGAATACAAATCATTCTACAATAAAGACACATGCACACATATGTTTATTGCAGCACTGTTTACAATAGCAAAGACATGGAACCAACCCAAATGCCCATCACTGATAGACTGGATAAAGAAAATATGGTACATATATACTGTGGAATTCTATTAAGCCATAAAAAGGAATGAGATTATGTCCTTTGCAGTGACATGGATTAAGCTGGAAACTATCATTCTCAGCAAACTAACACAGGAACAGAAAACCAAACATCACATGTTCTCAGTCATAAGTAGGAGTTGTACAATGAGAATACATGGACACAAAGAGGGGAAACACAAACACCAGAGCCTGTTGGAGGGTGGGGGGTGAGGTTGGGAACTTAGAGGATGGGTCAATAGTTGCAACAAACCACCATGGCACATGTAAACCTATGTAAGAAACCTGCACGTTCTGCATGTGTACCCCACTTTTTTTTTCGTAGAAGAAATAGAAAAAAAAAGATTATCATTATTTCTTGCTTGTTCATTTCTGAATATTAACTACCACAGAAGAGACTCTCTCATTTGCATACCGTTACTCAAAATACTTTTGTAGCGTCTTCCTTGACACCCTACTGTAGAATCCACCACCCCCTGTATCTATGATCTGATAACCTTGACTTAATATTTCTATTACTAAAATTATCACATTACACTATAATTGTAGATGTGCTCTCCATACAGTTTTTAGTTGAATGCCAAATAGTTAAATGTCAAAATCAATATTTAGAATAGGACAACTAACACCATTCTACATTGAACTTATTGGACTTCCAGAAAAATCTGAAAATGTTCCCGAAAATGTAATTACGATTACAATTTTACTACTAAAAATGTTAAAAGTCAATTCTAAGAGTTTTAATATTAAGTCAGAAAAAAATTTCTCCACTCACTTTTAACTGTGGATATTGGGTATGCAAAAGTTTTGGAGTAACTGTGCCAATATAGGCTACTCTGTGGATAGTGACATTGCCACTAAATTTGAAAGTTTTCAGTTATTTAGGTAAATATTTCAATTCCTGTGAGGTCATAACATCAATTTCTCAAATGGAAGTTTTTCTTACTGATTGAAGAAGATTCTGCATATTTTCAAAACTGTCTTCACATATTATTTTATCGGGAATATTTTTATTTAGTTGTTGCCTTACACTTACTTAAGGTAATTTTTTTTTCACTCTTGGATTTAGCAGTCTAGCAATGGAGATATTTAATTGGTTTCTGTATAACAAATCTCTAAATTCCCACCTGTACCTCAGGTTTCATTCCATGCACACTCATTTCAGCATGCTCTGTGAAGCAATACGTTGGAAGATTTTTTGTTTTTATAGCAAGCATAATATAAGAAATACTTCTGTCCTCAAGTCATACCAGTTTGGTTATTTCTTTAGCAGATTCTAATAAACTGTTCTTTACAAGAAAGCTGTCTTGTATGTTAGTACTGTCATTGATGTAATACAGTGTTAAAGCTTTCTTACATTAATCTTTTTTAAAAGTGTTATATCTTCAATTCCATCTTGTTTGAACATCTGATATCTGGCAAAGCAGTTCCGTTATCTTTCTTATGTCATGTAGATTATTTTTGGATAAGGTACAGTGATAACATGAAATCACTATTTTTCTGCTTAAGGGCAGTATTTCTGTTATGTTTTTTGTGCTACAATTAGTTTTCCAACACATACTAAAGGATGTGAACTAAATATCCATCATCTGCTTATTCCCATGTCACTCACAGTCTTCACCACATTTGTTTCATTGTCAGTCACAACTATATGACATTTTGGTTACTGATTTCCCATTCCATAAATAGGTCACCAGATTCACTCAGTTGTTAGCTTTGTGAGACCCAGAAAATTCTCAAGCAGAAGAATAATTAAAATCTTCATTGGTTCAGCATATCTCAAACTTAAAGATTTATGGTTATATCTTTATATCTAAATATGTAATTATAAAAATGAGAAAAGTACTTATTCAATAATATCACAAACTTTTGTTGGTGTATACAACAGAAATAAATCAAGAACAAGCTTTTTGGCAACATGTCTTCTAGGCAGAATTCTGTTGCTTAGAATTTACAGCTTGAATAAAAATAAAAACTCCTTGATATTCTTTCACAGAAACTGCTTGCATTCTATTGCATTCATTTTAATTAGAATTTCCTCCAAATTTTTGCCTCTATAGGCTTAAAATAATAATTTAAAAAAATTTGGAGTCTACAGCTCCCAGTGTGAGCGACACAAAAGACTGGTGATTTCTGCATTTCCAACCGAAGTACTGGGTTCTTCTCACTGGGGCTTGTCAGACAGTGGGGACAGGACAGTGGGTGCAGCCCACTGAGCATGAGCCAAAGCAGGGTGAGGCATCTGCTCACCCAGGAAGTGCAAGGGGTCAGGGAATTCCCTTTCCTAGCCAAGGGAAGCGGTGACAGCCTGCACCTGGAAAATTGGGTCACTCCCACCCTAATACTGTGCTTTTCCAATGGTCTTAGCAAAAGGCACACCAGGAGATTGTATCCCGTGCCTGGCTTGGAGGGTCCCACACCCACAGAGCCTCACTCATTGCTAGCACAGCAGCTTGAGATCAAACTGCAAGGCTGCAGCGAGGCTGGGGGAGGGGCGCCCTCCATTGCTGAGCTTAAGTAGGTAAACAAAGCAGCTGGGAAGCTCAAATTGGGTGGAGCCCACCACAACTCAAGGAGGCCTGCCTGCGTCTGTAGGCTCCACCTCTGGGGGCAGGGCATAGCCAAACAAAAGGCAGCAGAAACCTCTGCAGACTTAAATGTTCTTGTCTGACAGCTTTGAAGTGAGTAGTGGTTCTCCCAGCCAGAGTTTGAGATCTGAGAATGGACAGACTGCCTCCTCAAGTGGGTCAGTGACCCCTGAGTAGCCTAACTGGGAAGTACCCTCCAGTAGGGGCAGACTGACACCTCACATGGCCAGGTACCCCTCTGAGATGAAGCTTCCAGAGGAACAAGCAGGCAGCAACATTTGCTGTTCAGCAATATTCACTGTTCTGCAGCCTCCGCTGCTGATGCCCAGGCAAACAGGGTCTGGAGTGGACCTCCAGCAAACTCCAACTGACCTGAAGCTGATGGTCCTGACTGTTAGAAGGAAAACTAACAAACAGAAAGGACATTCACACCAAAACCCCATCTGTACATCATCATCATCAAAGACCAAAGGTAGATACAACCACAAAGATGGGGAAAAACGGAGCAGAAAAGCTGAAAATTCTAAAAATCAGAGCACCTCTCCCCTGCCAAAGGAATACAACTCCTCGCCAGCAGCGGAACAAAGCTGGACAGAGAATGACTTTGACAAGTTGAGAGAAAAACGCTTCAGACTATCAAACTTCTCCGAGCTAAAGGAGGAAGTTCGAAACCATGACAAAGAAGCTAAAAACCTTGAAAAAAGATTAGACAAATTGCTAACTAGAATAACCAGTGTAGAGAAGACCGTAAATGACCTGTTGGAGCTGAAAACCATGGCACAAGAACTATGTGACACATGCATAAGCTTCAGTAGCTGATTCAATCAACCAGAAGAAAGGGTATCAGTGATGGAAGATCAAATGAAAGAAATAAAGCAAGAAGAGAAGTTTAGAGAAAAAAGAATAAAAAGAAACAAACAAAGCCTCCAAGAAATATGGGACTATGTAAAAAGACCAAATTTATGTCTGATTGGTGTACCTGAAAGTGACGGGGAGAATGCAACCAAGTTGGAAAACACTCTACAGGGTATTATCCAAGAGAACTTCCCCAACCTAGCAAAGCAGGCCAACATTCAAATTCAGGAAATACAGAGAATGCCACAAAGATACTCCTCGAGAAGAGCAACTCCAAGACACATAATTGTCAGATTCACCAAAGTTGAAATGAAGGAAAAAATGTTAAGGGCAGCCAGAGAGAAAGGTCGGGTTACCCTCAAAGGGAAGCCCATCAGACTAACAGCTGATCTCTCGGCAGAAACTCTACAAACCAGAAGAGAGTGGGGGCCAATATTCAACATTCTTAAAGAAAAGTACTTTCAACCCAGAATTTCATATCCAGCCAAACTAAGCTTCATAAGTGAAGGAGAAATAAAATCCATTACAGACAAGCAAATGCTGAGAGATTTTGTCACCACCAGGCCTGTCCTACAAGAGCTCCTGAAGGAAGCCCTAAACATGGAAAGGAACAACCAGTACCAGCCACTGCAAAAAAGTCCATATCATAAAGACCATCGAGGCTAGGAAGAAACTACATCAACTAACAAGCAAAATTACCAGCTAACATCAGAATGACAGGATCAGATTCACACATAACAATATTAACCTTAAATGTAAGTGGGCTAAATGCTCCAATTAAAAGACACAGACTGGCAAAGTGGATAAAGAGTCAAGATCCATCAGTGTGCTGTATTCAGGAGACCCATCTTATGTGCAGAGACACACATAGGCTCAAAATAAAAGGATGGAGGAAGAGCCACCAAGCAAATGGAAAACAAAAAAATTCAGGGGTTGCAATCCTAGTCTCTGATAAAACAGACTTTAACCCAACAAAGATCAAAAGAGACAAAGAAGCCCATTACATAATGGTAAAGGGATCAATTCAACAAGAAGAGCTAACTATCCTAAATATTTATGCACCCAATACAGGAGCACCCAGATACATAAAGCAAGTCCTTAGAGACATACAAAGAGACTTAGACTCCCACACAATAATAATGGGACAGTTTAACACCCCACTGTCAACATTAGACAGATCAATGAGACAGAAAGTTAACAAGGATATCCAGGAACTGAACTCAGCTCTGCACCAAGAGGACCTAATAGACATCTACAGAACTCTCCACCCCAACTCAAAAGAATATACATTCTTCTCAGCACCACATCACACTTATTCCAAAATTGACCACATAGTTGGAAGTAAAGCACTCCTCAGAAAATGTGAAAGAACAGAAATTAAAACAAACTGTCTCTCAGATCACAGTGCAATACAACTAGAACTCAGGATTAAGAATCTCACTCAAAACCACTCAACTACATGGAAACTGAACAACCTGCTCCTGAATGACTACTGGGTACATAACGAAATGAAGGCAGAAATAAAGATGTTCTTTGAAACCAATGAGAACAAAGACACAACATACCAGAATTATCTGGGACACATTTAAAGCAGTGTGTAGTGGGAAATTTATAGCACTAAATGCCCACAAGAGAAACCAGGAAAGTTCTAAAACTGACACCCTAACATCATAATTAAAAGAAGTAGAGAAGCAAGAGCAAACACATTCAAAAGCTAGCAGAAGGCAAGAAATAACTAAGATTAGAGCAGAACTGAAGGAGAGAGAGACACAAAAAACCCTTCAAAAACTCAATGAATCCAGGAGCTGATTTTTTGAAAAGATCAACAAAATTGATAGACCACTAGCAAGACTAATAAAGAAGAAAAGAGAGAAGAATCAAATAGATGCGATAAAGAATAATAAAGGGGATATCACCACTGATCCCACAGAAATACAAACTACCATCAGAGAATAAACACCTCTATGCAAATAAACTAGAAAATCTAGAAGAAATGGATAAATTCCTGGACACATACACCCTCCCAAGACTAAACCAGGAAGAAGTTGAATCCCTGAATAGACCAATACTAGGCTCTGAAATTGAGGCAATAATTAATAGCCTACAACCCAAAAAAAGTCCAGGACCAGACTGGTTCACAGCTCAATTCTACCAGAGGTACAAGGAGGATCTGGTACCATTCTTTCTGAAACTATTCCAATCAGTAGAAAAAGAGAGAATCCTCCCTAACTCATTTTATGAGGCCAGCGTCATCCTAATACCAAAGCCGGGCAGAGACACAACAAAAAAAGAGAATTTTAGACCAATATCCCTGATGAACATTGAAGGAAATATCCTCAATAAAATACTGGCAAACTGAATCCAGCAGCACATCAAAAAGCTTCTTCACCATGATCAAGTGGGCTTCATCCCTGGGATGCAAGGCTAGTTCAACATACGCAAATCAATAAACATAATCCATCATATAAACAGAACCAAAGACAAAAACCACACGATTATCTCAATAGATGCAGAAAAAGCTTTTGACAAAATTCAACGGCCCTTCATGCAAAAAACTCTCAATAAATTAGGTATTGATGGGACGTATCTCAAAATAATAAGAGCTGTTTATGACAAACCCACAGCCAATATCATACTGAATGGGCAAAAACTGGAAGTATTCCCTTTGAAAACTGGCACAGGACAGGGATGCCCTCTCTCACCACTCCTATTCAACATAGTTTTGGAAGTTCTGGCCAGGGCAATCAGGCTGGAGAAAGAAATAAAGGGTATTCAATTAGGAACAGAGGAAGTCAAATTGTCTCTGTTTGCAGATGACATGATTACATATTTAGAAAACCCCATCATCTCAGCCCAAAATCTCCTTAAGCTGATAAGCAACTTCAGCAAAGTCTCAGGATATAAAATCAACGTGCAAAAATCGCAAGCATTCTAATACACCAATAACAGACAAACAGAGAGCCAAATCATGAGTGAACTCCCATTCACAATTGCTTCAAAGAGAATAAAATACCTAGGAATCTAACTTACAAGGAATGTGAAGGACCTCTTCAAGGAGAACTTCAAAACACTGCTCAACGAAATAAAAGAGGACACAAACAAATGGAAGAATCAATATTGTGAAAATGGCCATACTGCCCAAGGTAATTTATAGATGCAATGCCATCCCCATCAAGCTACCAATGACTTTCTTCACAGAATTGGAAAAAACTACTTTAAAGTTCATATGGAACCAAAAAAGAGTCTGCATTGCCAAGACAATCCTAAGCCAAAAGAACAAAGCTGGAGGCATCATGCTACCTGACTTCAAACTATACTACTAGACTACAGTAACCAAAACAGTATGGTAATGTACCAAAACAGAGATATAGACCAATGGAACAGAACAGAGCCCTCAGAAATAATACCACACATCTACAACCATCTGATCTTTGACAAACCTGACAAAAACAAGAAATGGGGAAATGATTCCCTATTTAATAAATGGGACGGGGAAAACTGGCTAGCCATATGTAGTAAGCTGAAACTGGATCCCTTCCTTACACCTTACACAAAAATTAATTCAAGATGGATTAAAGACTTACATATTAGATCTAAAACCATGAAAAACCTAGAAGAAAACCTAGGCCATACCATTCAGGACATAGGCATGGGCAAGGACTTCATGTCTAAAACACCAAAAGCAATGGCAACAAAAGCCAAAATTGACAAATGGGATCTAATTAAACTAAAGAGCTTCTGCACAGCAAAAGAAACTACCATCAGAGTGAGCAGGCAACCTACAGAAGGGGAGAAAATTTTTGCAATCTACTAATCTGACAAAAGGCTAATATCCAGAATCTACAATGAACTCCAACAAACTTAGAAGAAAAAAACAAATAACCCCATCAAAAATTGGGCAAAGCATATGAACAGGCACTTCTCAAAAGAAGACATTTATGTAGCCAACAGACACATGAAAAAATGCTCATCATCACTGGCCATCAGAGAAATGCAAATCAAAACCACAATGAGATACCATCTCACACCAGTTAGAATGTCAATCATTAAAAAGTCAGGAAACAACAGGTGCTGGAGAGGATGTGGAGAAATAGGAACACTTTTACATTGTTGGTGGGACTGTAAACTAGTTCAACCATTGTGGAAGTCAGTGTGGTGATTCCTTAGGGATCTAGAACTAGAAATACCATTTGACCCAGCAATCCCATTACTGGGTATATACCCAAAGGATTATAAATCGTGCTGCTATAAAGACACAGGCACATGTATGTTTATTGTGGCACTATTCACAATAGCAAAGGCTTGGAACCAACCCAAATGTCCATCAGTGATAGACCAGATTAAGAAAATGTGGCAAATATACATCAGGGAATACTATGCAGCTGTAAAAAAGGATGAGTTCATGTCCTTTGTAGGGACATGGATGAAGCTGGAAACCATCATTCTCAGAAAACTATTGCAAAGACAAATAACCAAACACTGCATGTTCTCACTCATAGGCAGGAATTTAACAATGAGAAACTTGGACACAGGAAGGGGAACATCACACACTGTGGCCTTTCATGGGGTGTGGGGAGGGGGGAGGGATAGCATTAGGAGATATACCTAATGTAAATGATGAGTTAATGGGTGCAGCACACCAACATGGCACATATATACATATGTAACAAACCTGCACGTTGTGCACATATACCCTGGAACTTAAAGTATAATAAAAAAAAATCTGTTGCTAAATCTTTTGTGAAAACTCTGTATTGTAGTTTGATAAATGAAAACAAAGTTGAATTTTATACATTTTTCCCTACCTTTTAAAAATTTTCTTTTTACTGCTTATTTTTATATCATAGTTGATTATGATTTATTGGTGCTATTTTGGAGTCTTGGAATCTCATGAAATTTTGTAGTGGCATTCTGGTCTTAATTCATTTTCCCAACTTGTACAAAAATTCCCAAAAAAGGAATACTAAGGCCAAAGCCAAATTTTCATGCTTCTCAAAATATGTGTTTATGTGAATATTCTCTCCATTAGGCTATGGGAATCATTGAAAACATGCATTTTATTTATCTCTCCATCTCAGTGTCAAAAATAGGGCATGACAGATACCTGGCACTTGATGAACACTTATTAACTGAAAGAATATATATTCAAAATGAGGCAGCATGTTACCTCATTTTAAAAGTAATTTAAAAGTATTACATTTGTGTTCAGAAAGATATATTTTCATATATGATAGCATTGTAATATTGGACAATTTAATAAACATCTTTGAACTTAAATTTCCTTATTCACAGAATACTCCTTAAACTCCCTTTTTATGATACTTATGGGTGTATTTTAAATCCCAGCATAATACCTATTATCCAGTAGGTCCTCCATATGTAGACTAATAGGGAGGAAGGAAAAAAGTTAAAAAGTACATTAATGTTTGCATTGATTAAATAACTATTTTTCTGTTCAATACATAAATAGACTTTAAAGATCTAATTTGCTAAACTGAATTTATTGAGCTGAAAAAATAGCATTCTACCATTAAAATTACAAACTTTTTTTTGTCAGTGGATGGTTCAAGGATAGATTTGAAACATAAGATATTTTCTTAATCTTAAAGTATATTCATTTAACTCCTCAGTATCAAAATTTCATTTCAGCATCAAAATTTCATTTTTAGTATTAGATCTCATTTGTCTATGAATGAGCGTTTCTGCATATGGATCATGTTTCTACCAAATTATAAGTAAAGCCCATAAATCATTATGTTATGTCCTCACAGTCTCCCTTATTTCTAGTAATTAGTGGGACTATTTCTTGGCTTGCAGCAGCAAACTCAAAGGAATCTCTACACTTATGTTAGCTCTGCAGACTTTCAGATTTATATGAGAAATGACCTCAATTACTCACATTCTTCACCCTTTCCAATTCCTTTAAGTATTGCAAAAGTATATTAAGCAGAATGATGTTCCAAATATTAATATTTCCATCAGTCATTTCAGTTTTCTCAGTCTTGATCACTGGTACTAATCACTCTTTGTATAAATAACGAATTACATTCAGGCACTACAATGTGCAAATTCTTTCGAATTAATGAAAGTCTATTATACCCAGTCTCTAGTTTTTCTCTAGTATTCAATATTTTCTCTATTGATATTTTGGTCACTGATTTTTTCCACCAAACGTATATGCTTCCAAGTAATTTTTTAGTGAAATTATGAGATTATAATATTTAGGAATTCATTAAAAATATTGATCACTTAAAATAAAGTTTTACTTTTCATTAAAGTAATACAGCACACATTTTTTTTTTTTTTTTTTTTTTTTTTTTTTTTTTTTGAGACGGAGTTTCGCTCTGTCGCCCAGGCTGGAGTGCAGTGGCGGGATCTCGGCTCACTGCAAGCTCCGCCTCCCGGGTTCACGCCATTCTCCTGCCTCAGCCTCCCAAGTAGCTGGGACTACAGGCGCCCGCCACTACGCCCGGCTAATTTTTTGTATTTTTAGTAGAGACGGGGTTTCACCGTTTTTTAGCCGGGATGGTCTCGATCTCCTGACCTCGTGATCCGCCCGCCTCGGCCTCCCAAAGTGCTGGGATTACAGGCGTGAGCCACCGCGCCCGGCCTACAGCACACATTTTTAAAAAATCAGTTTGACCTAGATTGGGAGCGGTGGCTCACGCCTGCAATCCCAGCACTTTGGGAGGCAGAGGGAGGTGGATCACCTGAGGTCAGGAGTTCAAGACCAGCCTGGCCAACATGGTGAAACCCCATCTCTACTAAAAATACAAAAATTAGCCAGACGTGGTGGCAGGCTCCTGTAATCCCAGTTACTCGGGAGGCTGAGGCAGGAGAATCACTTGAACCCAGGATGGGGAGTTTGCAGTGAGCTGAGATAGCAACACGGCACTCCAGCCTGGTTGACAGAGTGAGACTCCATTTCAAAAAACAAACAAACAAACAAACAAAAAACAGTTTAACCTAAAGATCTTATAGTGAAAAACAATATTTCTAAATCCCATAGTACCCTAGCCCAACTCAATTCAACACCCATTTCCAATTCTTTTAGCTGTTTCTATTGCCTGATATGTAACTACATAATCTAAACCAGGGGTCCACAACCCCTAGACCATGGACCAGTACCACTCTGTGGCCTGTTAGGAACCAGGCCACATGGCGGAGGTGAGTGGCCAGTGAGAATTTTCACCTCCTGTCAGATCAATGGCAGCATAAGATTCTCATAGGAGCTCAAACCCTATTGGGAACTGTGCATGTAAGGGATCTAGGTTGTGCAATCCTTATGAGAATCTAACTAATGCCTGATGATCTGAGGTAGAACAGTTTCATCCTGAAGCCATCTACCCCCACCACCACCCCCAACAACCCTGGCATGGAATAATTGTCTTCCATGAAACCATTCACTGGTGCCAAAAAGGTTGCAGACCACTGATCTAAACAATATAGCGATGTAGGGATTGCTCAGTGTTAGAACTTCATTCACTTCCTTTATGAGGGATGGTCATTTAGTTCTCTTGCAAACACTTTATCCTCAGCACTCTGTCTACACATTTATATATATATATATATATATACACACACACACACACACGCATAGATGTAGATATAGATATATAGATATACACACATATATACATATAAATGTCCATATAACTATGTGAAAATTGTTTTACATTATTAGTTAATATTTACATTCTTTATGGAAATATTGCCTTTCTTGTGCACTTCTTCATATTTTGTTTTTATTTGCTCTGCATATATTAGCAATGTTTTCCCCAACTCTATTAAATGTATATGTTATATTCAAAATAACAACTTATTAGTGTCTCTTTTCTTGCTCTGGGTATCCCTCTTTCATCATATCTCATCCTTCTGCTCCTGTCTGGCTTCCTTGTCCTGTTGCAGAATATATATATATATATATATATATATATATATATATATATATATATATATATATATGCACACACACACACACACACACACACACACACACACACATTTTCTTTTTTTTGAGACAGTCTCACTCTGTTGCCCACGCTCGGGCACAGTGGTGTGATCTTGGCTCACTGCAACCTCCGACTCCCAGGTTCAAGAAATTCTCATGCCTCAGCCTCCCGAATAGCTGGGATTATGGGTGTATGCCACCAAGCCTGGCTAAGTTTTTATTTTTAGCAGAGATGAGGTTTCACCATGTTGGCCAGGCTGGTCTTGAACTCCCGACCTCAGGCGATTCACCCGCCTGGGCCTCCCAAAGTGCTGGGATTACAGGTGTGAGCCACCACTCCCAGCCAAGAAAAAAATTTAAATTACACATTTCTAAAATGGACATTATTTGTTGATATTTTGATGAGGTAATATTTTTGCAGAATTATAAAAGTGTAGTTTGATGCACTTCTCATTTCCAATAATAGCAGTTAAGAATTTCCAATATCTAGTTTATGATTATTTGTACGAATCTATTCTTTTTTATTTTCCTGGAGACATTTAGTGTTCTCTTTATGACCTGCCTTCTTCAATTTGTAATGTCATCACACATTTTCAAAATTTCACATTCTATAACTCCTAAAATTTGAATGTTTCACATCCTGAATTCGTTTCATTTTTATGTTTCTTGCATTTACTTCTGTTCTTCTCTGTCGCATTTTTTGTTTTTATTTTCTCAAAATTTCTTCAATTTTAATTCAAAGGGACTACTAAATGCATAATTTTCAAGACTAATTTTTTTTCAAATTGCTTTTTCTCATTCTCTTTCTTCCTATTTTAATAGCCTGCTATTATTTATAGGTAAGATGCCTCATTTTCCATCTCTTCGTGAAGATTATGTTCCTGTAATAGTGAAGTTCTCTTCTGTTCTCTCTATTGTCTTGTTTTCCTTTTGGTTCCTTTAAATAAAAGAATGTTTAAATAAAGGTATGTTTTTTACTATCAAACATTCATATCCAGAATACACAAGAACTTTTACAAGTCAGTAAGAAAAGAGAAATTCCAAATTAATAGTGGGTGAAATACTTCAACAAAAACTTCAGAAAAGAGTATGCCCGAATACCTAATAAGCATATAACAATGTGTTCAGTGTCATCAATCATCAGAGAAATGCAAAATAAAACTGCAAAGTGATACACCTACACACACTCCCAGTGCCTAAAATTCTAAAATTCAAGATAGATAATGACAAATATTGACAAAAAGCACGGAGTAATTGAAAGTTGCGGTAGTAGAATATATCCCATTTGAGAAAGCCATGTCACAATTAAGTCCAGTGTATACTTTGTTTCTTTGTTTTACCTATGACCTCTTTTTGTCTACTTGTTTGCTGTTGCAGAGATGGTGGTAGTCAAAAACTCCTGCTGCTGCTGCTGCTGCTGTATATCTGTCATTTATGTGTTTTTAAGTATTTTTTACTTAATGTAACATGATAAGATAAAACATGTCATGTTCTCATATGTCATTTATTACAATGAACACTGTAATATTTTAATATAGACAGTTCCATTTATTACTATAAAATAACATTCTTTGCATAGTGTATTTCTTCTCAAATGCTTTATTTATCAGATATTAATCTCAACCCTGTTGCTTTGGACATAAATGTGCTTGCCTTCTAATCAACTTTATCCCTTTCAACTTTCTGTGTATCTTTTTTAAAACTTGCCTCTCATATGCAGCCTATCAGTGTATCTTTAGTACAACCTGGATAACATTTCCCTTCAACTTCTTTACCTTTAATTTCAACACTAATTGTGAATGTAAAGCTCCATTTATTAGCCTACCTATAACCACATAACCAAACAAAACATTGCTCTGCAGCTACATCTCAGAAAGATCTCTAGGCTATAACTTCATACCCTAAATAGAGATCACAATATCTGTCTCATTTTAAAAATTTTTAAATACATTTTTGGCTTTGTACATGGAATTCTCTTTTTTTATGCCAGCTATACAAGGTAGGCAATTGGAACTAAACTAACGCTCTGGCTTGGGATTCAGAAATGTTCATAATACTGCTTTCAGTTTTCTTCATCAGAGCTATTCATAGGCCAGGGTTGTGATGCCAACATAACCAAACTGAAACAGTTAAATATGGCGCCTTAGCCCAGAACAACTCTACTATGATGTCGCTTGTCCAGTTAGGATGGCAAATCATAATTGCAATGTTTGAAATACCTTCTGAAATACTCTTTTATGTGTCTAAGAGTGGTGTGTGAGTGTGTGTGTGTGTGTGTGGGGGGTCAGAGATCAAAAATGGTGAAAGTTTTTCAACCTATTTTTTTATCTATCCCAATATCCTATTCATTACCAAGTTTGTTTATTCCTATTATAAAAATATCAGCATAAACATCTTTATATGCATACTTTGCACATTTGTGTGAGAATTACAATAGGACTAACTTCTAGGGATTTAATGGTAGGTTAAAATGTGTGCACATTTTAAGGCTTTTGATTCATGTTTTCAGGTTGGCTTCTCAGGCAGTGCAGGAACATGCGATTTTCTCACCATATTTTTGCCAATTCTGGAAATCTCTGTTCTTTCTACCTTTGTTACTGTATTATGTGAACCACATTTTTGGGAGTATCAAAATTTACTTTTAACTAATATTAATTTACTTAATATTTGCTCCAAATTTTTCAGGGATATAAAGATCAAGGAGAAAGATAAGGATAGACTCCAGAATTTGCAGTATAAATAGAAACAGATTTATCAAACATATGGTATCAAAATCAGAACCATACAAATGCCCAGTCCATACTCATATATATTGGCTCAATTATCCTGAAATTGTGTCTGAGGTTCAGTAATGTTTTTTAAGCTCCCCAGATAATTCTAATGTGACGTTTGACCTAAAAACCATTGACTAGTTTATATTCTATGTTCATTTCTCTCAATAAATGTGGTATCCCTGATAAGAAAATAGAATCTTCTAGAGGCAAAAAATCTGGAATTGAAAGAGGGCCTTAATATAGGATATTAAGTAAATAATTTAAGTCTTTTCTCAGTTTTTATGTATAGAATCAGAAACTTAATAAATGCTCACCTCACAGTAATGTAGCAATATTTGAATAAGTATATATAATAAGATATATGATTTTTTCATTATAATAATAGCTACCTTTTGGTTATATTTTAATCAATTAATGTGTTTTTACATTAACTCAATAAGTATTCACTGAGCATTTACTATAAGCCAGATGCTGCTAATAAATTAGAAAACAAAAATAAACTTAAATTCGTTCCTAGAGCCTAGATTTTAGAGGGAGAACAAAAAACTATAAATAAGTAAATAGACTGATAGCTAGATAGATAGGTAATATAATAGTAAATAGCATTAAGTGTCATGTAGAAAATAAATCATAGAAATAAAATTAAGAAGTAAGAGGGCATGTAATTTTGATGTAGCTAATCAAATAACTCTGAGGGTGAAATATTTGTGTACAAGCCTGAAGGAAATAAGGAATAAGCCACTGGGTTATCTGCATAGAATATTCCATTTCGAGTTTACAATTAAAAAGTCCTAAGGTGGATATTGTGCTGTTGTTGTTGTTGTTGTTGTTTTGGGGTTTCGGGGGGGGTTATTTTAGACGGAGTCTTGCTCTGTCACCCAGGCTGGAGTGCAGTGGCGCGATCTGGCTCACTGCAAGCTCCGGGTTTTGGGGGCTTTTTTAAAACACTGTTTGTTTATTGAGATTAGCTAGTAAACCAGGGACCAAATAATGTAGTGTCTTATAATATAAATTTTCCATTTTATTCCAACAGTGAAAATAAATACTTTTACTTCTTTAAAAAAGGTAATGATGTAAACCAACTTTTTTTCATATCTGTCACCCAGGCTGGAGTTTAGTGGTGCAATCATATTAGGTTGGTGCAGAAATAATTGCAGCTTTTGCCATTGAAAGTAATAGCAAACACGGCAATTACTTTTTCATCAACTTAGTAACTCACTGCAGCCTCAAACTCCTGTCCTCAGGCAATCTTCTCATCTTGGCCTCCCAAAAGCAATTACTTTTTCATCAACTTAGTAACTCACTGCAGCCTCAAACTCCTGGCCTCAGGCAACCTTCTCATCTTGGCCTCCCAAAGTGCTGGCATTACAAGCATGAGCCATACCTGGCACTTTTTTAAAAGATCACCAGGGAGTGGTGTAGAAGGCAAGAGCGAAGGGGAAGTATGTAGTTATAAGGCACTTGCATTTGTTGTTAATTCCACTAGAGCTATATTGGTGAAGGTGCTGAGAAATGAATATTATATATATCTATATATATATACTTTGAAAGTCAAATCAGTTTGATTTGCTGATGGCTAAGATGTAGAGTTAAAAATAGTATGATAAATCCAAAATAACTCCAAGTTTTATTATATACTGAACAATGAACTTCATTCATATATATTATCTCATATATTATATGAACTTCATTAATATATATTATCTCATATTATTTAATCTTTTAAAAGGCCCTCAGGCTCAGTGGCATTATGCTGAAGAGGATCAAAACATGCCACCTCAAAATATGCTACTATTATGGCATATTGTTTATTTTGAGCTCAAGGCTATTGAGGAAAATGTAGGTACAGGAAGACTCTCTGATCTTCCCTTGCTACCTAAATGTGGGCATAAAATTTCCCATGAGAAACAAGCCCTCTCTGTACCAGGAAGCAGAGCATATTCTTATTCCCAGAGGTGAGAAGTCAATGCTGAGATAAATCAGTACAAACAAATCTACTAAATAACCTTTATCTTCCATCTCTCATATATTTCCTAGTCACTTTCCCACAAGTTGCTACCCTAGCCCAAAGCACCTTTTCCTTTGCCTTGACACATATCCACAATGTATGTTCTTTGTTACAATAGTATATAAGCTCTCAGGTCTATCACTTCACTTGGGTCTTTATCTCTTATATATGAAGGCCTTCAGGTACAGGTAAACCTATTAATATCAACATTTGTACACATTTATTCTGTTAATCTCTCATCAATTTAAGCCTCAGGTTCAGCCACATAAGCTGAAAGGGTAGAAGAGAAGTCTTTTCCCCACTACACTGCCCATTTTACTTAGAAAAGAGATTACAGAGAATTTTGTTTTTTGTACAACATACAAAGCATAAATTGTTTTATTTTTTATTTTACTCCACATTTTTGTTATTGTGAGAAGTTATGAAATGTTCTTGTATTTTACAAGTTTTTTCACTTACTTTCTGATACAATTAAAATCCAAATTTATTTCGGCATGTGATGAGATAGCAGTAAGAGTGGAGAAATCCAAACAGAGGTGGGAGTAGAGAAAGAAATTTGCACTTAGAAAGCATAAGTTATGAGCAGAAAATGATGAACAGTTTCTTATTTCTGGGTTACAATGCGAGAAAGGAGGTAGTAAAAGCATGATAAAAGGTGGATAGATGAGCAGAAGCTTCTTGGAGCAATTCACCTACCATATTGAGTAGCATGGACTTTACCTTCAACCAGAAATTCTCTCCAAACCATAGTCTTTAATGGCAAAGTTTTAAGTCAAAGGCCTTAAAATTACTAACCTTTCAACAAACTACAGAAAATCACACTACAATGAACTAATTCTTTAGAAGTGAGTATACACTTTACACAAAATAATTACTTTAAAACAAATTGATTAAAATAAATTCCTCTGGTAGCTTCGAATATAGCTAAAAAAAGTTGAAATAAAATAAAAATAAATCATAACTATTGCAACATTGTCATCCCCTGCCCAATTTAGTCTTTATTTTTTAAATTATTGGATTGGAATTGTAACTTACCAAATAAAAATTACCTCTAGTTATTTTCTTAAGTATTTAAAAAGCCAATAATTAATTACTATGAATTAATACATAAATTAGAGCTTTAAAGACCTTAAAAGTCTAGCAGTTTTATATTTTTTATGTTTAATTAGAAATAATTTTATTTTAATTTCTAGGAATCTGTCACTTTTTTGGATGTGGTTTAACCACCATGGTAACTGGCAACCAAGTCTGCTAATATAAATCAGAGAATTACAGCTAGTTGCCTGAAGAAAATATTTTTGACTGTCTTCTCTCTGTCTGCCTCTGTATCTCCATGACTTCAAATTATTCTGACAAGTAGCACATAATATCTTGATGGTAGATACCTTTTCAATAAGAAAATCACAGTAAAGAACATGAAAATAGTTGACAACAATGACCAGATTTTCACACATTCCAGTCTATTTTCAGATTGTTGCTGAGCTTCAGCTGGTTTTCTAGAGTATAAAGAAATGATTTTCCATTTGCATGGTTCTAATACCTCCTCCCACTCTCTCTTTTACTGTTCAAAGGAACTTAAGGTCTTACGTGTCATGGGTTGCGTTAATAGTAAACCTCAAAGTGGGCCGATGGGTGTTAAATTTTCTGAAATACTTTAGTATTTGGGAGTTTGGTTTGGTTTGGTTTGATGCACTATCATCTATACTTAGGAAACAGAAATTTTAAAGTAAATGACATTAACCACCATTTAAAAAGCTTGGCTTCAGGGATACTTCATAACATGAAAGAGGGAAATCTCTGAGATAGAGAGTTAGAACAATGGCTCATTGTTCTGTTGTAAACAGCAAGGGTTCCCCCAGTCGACCACCTGTATCACTATAATTTTAGAATAGTACTACTATTTGCAGCCCTCTCCAATTCTAACAGAGTTTGAGTTTTGGTCTTGGTTCAAGTAAAAAGTCATTTCATATTATAGGTGTTGATCTCATTCTTGTCGTCATTTGGTGGTAATAAACATTGCAACAAGTTGTATTGTCTCTCCTTCCTCCATTAACACCTTACTTCACGAAAGTTTTATTAGCTTTTCTGGACACAGCTGGTAATGTAATATGAAATAGTAGAGTTTTACTGTTACAAGATGATCTTGAATTGACTGCATGGAATACTCTAACCCTTCTCTCAGGCATTCTGGAAATGAGTTTAAGTGAAGGAACTAGCAGACCCGTGAAGATAGCATGACCCCTCTCCAGAAATCAGATGATCAATGAGGCTGAATAAGCCTATGAGAGAGAACATTATAACATGACACTAAAGAAATAAGCTGGAACCAGAGCTTGCAAGATCTAATCAAGCATGTTTAAGATTCTGTTCTTATTTACACAATACCAGGAAGCCACAAAAGGATTTTAACTGGAAGACGCATGGTCTTATTTTGGTTTTGGAAATATCATTTTGGCTGAAAAGGAATAAGACAAGAATATGTACACAGAGTCAAAACGAATAAATGGTAACATGAAGCCAGAATTGGGTCACCACAGGGACCATTCTAAAGTTGTTCCATACCGATCAAAATCTTCCTCTTCCTACAGAATGAAACGTGAAACTCAGTCAAAAGAGCACCCTTTGAACTTAAATCTTTCATCATATGTTAATTTACAAATATTCTTAGAGAGGATGTGAGTTGTAGTTTAGTGGGTATATGGTTATAGTTCGGCAAAATAAGAAGAGTTCTGAGGATTGGTTGCACAACAATATGAATGTGTTATACATTATGAATTCTACACTTTAAAAATGATTAAGATGGTAAGTTTTATGTCATGTATATTCCACCACAAATAAAAATTTTCAAAAATTACAAAAGTGTAGAGATATTTGTGAATCATTCAAATGTTTACAAAACACTTAATATGCATTTTAACAATTTGATCTATATCAAATGAGCAGTATGAGTCTCATTAATAATTTAAAATACTGGAACTCAGAGCAGTTAAATAAATTGTTTGACATTAAATAGATCTGTAAGTGGAGAAAGTAATTTAATTCATGACTTTTGACACATAATCCCATATTGTCTCTACTGCCCCCAAAAGGTTCTGAAAACATGTTTGATATTGAGAGAAAGTTGGGGTCTCTGGTTTTATCATTGAATAAAAAGTTAGAAAGAGTATGTCAGAAGTCAGACAAGAACAAATAATATTTTAAAACTCTGGGAGCCTTGCAGTCAAATTCAACTACCTCAGATTATATTTTCAACTGTGCTCCTCTCTGCCCTGTATAATATCATCCCATTTGTGGGGGAAAAAATACTAGTATAGAATGAAAAGACATCACTCACCTTATCACAAGTATCACAAGTATTAGGAAAACCAGTGAAAGGAAAAGGAAACAGGCTCAGGAAAAGAAACCAGTCTCAGGGAAAGAAGAAAAAAAAATCGTGTGGGGCCAAATGAAGACCATCTAAATGAGAACTAGCAGATGCAATTTATTCAGAGCTTGCTGTCCAAGGAAGTCAGACACCATCACTTACCTCTGGCAGAGACTCAAAGTCAGGGAAAGGAGTAGGAAAGCTTTATTGTGAACAGAAGGAAAAGACTTAAGCTGTGCTCTGGAAGTTGTTGTCAGAGTGGGATCCAGGCTACCTAGAAGCAGGACATGTGATTGGTTTGTGGAACATACAAGACTTTCTCTGGTCCTGAGTAACAAAAATTATGGCAGCTGATGGTCATTGACGAAGTCCTGCCTGTTCTGTGCTGAAGCTGCAGACTGTGGTTTGACTTCTTGGGCTGGTTGCTATAGAGATTATATGTATGATTTCTATTTTCATATATGATCCATTGTACATGCATTGTCTCAAGCACATGGGAAAGATTCAGAGATTTCAGATTAGAAATAAATGAGGGAAAATATGTAAAAAGTTCTCTGTGTGGCGGCAAAAGCTTCGATAAGAGTCAAAGTCCAAGGTAACCTAAAAAGCAAAGTATAATACCTGAAAAATATTGAACATTTTAAATAATTAAATGATACTTTAAGCCAATGTATACAGTCTTAGCCCAAGAAGAAAGAAAAAATAAAAATAAATCAGCAACAAAGTATGTTTTTTTTTTTCTAATTTCTCAATATATTAACCAAAAATGAATTCTAGAGTATCTCCTAAACACCTGTCAAGTTCTCAGTTTCTAACAACTAGAAATCTCCTTTATTCATTTAAGGAAGAAATCTTTCAGGCATACACAATTTACAAAAGGAAATTATGAAAAAGCATAAGTTGTAATACATTCAGTGTTTTCAATATAGTTATTCTGATGAAATATGTAGTCATTTAGTTATCTCATATCTACCTAGCTGCTTTTTTCTTCACTGTTAGAGAAGTCATACCATATAAGACTAAAAGCAGTCTTTTTAAAACCATAAAATTATCATTAGAATATTATAGTAAAATCATTCCAACTTAAGAATTAGTCCAAGGGAAACAATTTTTCCTTGTTTCCTCCATTCTTCCTCTGTCCTTTATTTTCTCTTACTTTCTCTTCATTTACCTCTTTTCCTGCCTCATTTTCATTATCCCTCTTCAGTTTCCCTCTCCCCCTTACGTCTTTCTTTCCTTCTTTTATTCTATCATAAAAACATTTTATTTTATCCTTTGTGATTGCATTAATTATGTTTTTTTCTTTCTATGTTTTTTGATGCTTTGACATCTTGGCCTTTCTGGCCTGGTAAAGACTGCCCCTCCCAAGGCAAACAATTTCTAGAGATAGTTATGGACTCACTTGCAAGTGTGGGTTTCATGCCTTTCAAGTGCAAACCAACCAATCTAAAGTCCATATGCCCCAATCACCTCCTTCACTGGGCTCTCACAAGGTTCTTACACTCCAGATCCCTATTTCCCTATTCTAATTTTCCTGGGTCCAGATATCAGACAACAAGAAAGAGCCCCTGTGTTAGCCCATTTGTTTTGAAATAAAGAAATACCTGACACTGGGTAATTTATAAAGAATAGAGGTTTATTTTGGCTCACAGTTCTGCAGGCTGCACGGAAAGTGTATTGCTGGCATCTTCTCCTGGTGAGGGCCTCAGGAAGGTTGAAATCATTGTAGAAGGAAAAGAGGAAGCCAGCACATTACATGGTGAGAGGCAGCATGAGAGAGAGGGAGGAAGGGCAAGGTTCTTTTAAGCAACCATATTTCACATGAACTCACACAAAGAGAACTCACTTATTACCTCGAGAACAGCACCTTTCCATTCATGAGAGAACCATTCCGTGAATAAAAGACCCCCCACAAGGCCCATCTCCAACATTGGATGTCACATTTCAATATGAGATTTGGAGAGGGAAAAAACATTCAAACCATATCAGCCCCTATGCCCAGAATCCACTGAAGTTATTTAAACTAGCCAATTTTAAACCCGTCTTACTTTGACTTTCTCGTGAAAACCACATTAAAGGCTCTTGCCTCATTTTCCTCCAGCTCCTGCTAACTCCTGCCAGTCCTTTGTGCTTCCCTGCATGGCCTTCCATGATATGGTGTGCCCCTCCCTCCTCTTAAAAACACTAAATTACAATCTTTTTAATAGTCATTGTCTCTTGATCTGTTGCCCTGACCATCCCTAAATAATAATAAAATGTACATTTTGAAACAGGGATATCTGATGGAAAGGAGGGCAGTGGATTGTTGAGTGAGAGGAAAAAAGTCAGCACAACAATTTTTTATAGACTTTCTTTGAGTTCAAACAACTGATTGGTGTTCTGATGAATTCTCAAGCCGTGCATGTATATAGTCCTTAATGAGCACTAATGCCCTGACCTTGTTTGATAAAAGCCTTCCGAAGTAAATTTATGGTAGATGGAAAATTACACTTAAAGCATCTGGAACACTTTTAATTTTCTTATCCTCAGAAAATAATAGAGAATTATCTGACTTACCCCTACAAATTGTTATTCATTTTTAGAAGAAATTGAATAGCCTCATTCTTCAAAATAGCCAACCTATAGGAGCACCCAAATAATTTAATCTTCTCCATCAGAATGAAGGATAAAGGCACAAAGACATTTAACTAGGGACACATACACAAGAAAAGCATTCCATAAAATTGCCAAGAATAGAGTGCATGTTAATAGGGAATATAAAGCTGGTTGGTGTCAAAATCAGTGTTCTCCAAAGATTTTTGGTGACCTATCTCCTCAATACAAAATCTTGACGCATTCTCCAATATATTAACTTATTTCTGAAGCATAAGTATGTGTGCTCTGTCAATCTACCAATTAAATAGTAGTGAAGCATAATTTATTTTCTAATTTCTAGATTGACACAGAGAAATAGAATATATTATGTTCTTTCTACACTTCGTTGCTTCATTTATGACAATCCCTCCGGTGAACAAGCCTCCTTTTAGAAAACGTTAGGAAATCTATAGCTTGCAATCTAGTCCAGATTACTGAAATACCCTGTACAGGGGAGAAAACATTTTTTTCAGGTTGTTAGTTGTGACACTATCCTGAAAACAAAAGTCAAATTAACAAAAGAAGCAGAAGTTTATTAACATTTTCTATACCCGTCACACAGTAGATGCCTCTGTCCAAAAGTATCTCTTTGTCAAGGCAATGGTTTAGGGGCCTCACTTAAATAGCATTTTAACAAGAATCATAAATCCTTTCTAGAGAGAAGAAAGATGCCTTCTCTGGGCCCATAATAAGTGCTCCAGTAAGGAAGGATTGATGTCCTGCCACCAGGCAATAGAGGCTGAGGCAGAGTGTTCCCCTGTGTTTCTAATGTCTTTAATTTAATAATTCTCAGTACTTGGGGTAGAAATATTTTGTTTTTGTTTTTTTTTTTCAGTTGCCCTTTTGAAACTTTACTTTTAGAAGGCTTTACATATGAAAAGGCAAGATGGTAGCTTTGGAGGGATTTGGTTTAGAGGTTTTGAGATAAGAGATTGGCAAAAAGAGAAACCATGGAAGCAGAAGAAAGAACAAATGTCATATATCCTAATGAAACAGTTTTTTAGTCTTGAGAATAGTAAGTTCAGTTGAGCAGTTGTGTTTTATTTCAGGAGGTGGTAGTGTAAGTGGGTTGTTGTTAGAGTTAATTCTCTATATGGTATAGGCAAACAGGTATTTAGTAAGAAACATTGCTATGGGAGCAAAAGAAAAACAGAGATTAATATCTGGAGCAACCTACAAACTAGGCTTGAGTTTTGGAGGGCAGTTAGCTGAGAAAATTTCAGATTTGTGTTTGAAATATCTACAATTGCGATGGAAGTAAACAGTGACAATCTGACAAATTTTCCTAGATAATAGTTTGTACCAGATGTTTCTGTGAACTTTTTGTCCATAAATACATTTATGTGTGTTTTCTCTGAAGTTAATATCAAGTTGTCTAACTTTAGCTTGTAGGGCTTCAGAAAAGCATGGTTTAAATTTTAGTGATTTTAAGTCAGGAAACTGGGAGATAAATTAAAAGCATTAGTCTAGAAAGTTGAGGCCAGATAATAGAAGAAACTACAACTTGAAATTTAGTTCAGAAAATGTTTTTAATAAAACCTAACAATGGAGAGGGCTAGAATCTAATAACAGGTATGCTGTAGAGGATTTTTAAAAAACATTTATGTATATATATGTGTGTGTGTGTATATATATATATATGTATACACACACATATATATATACACATATATATACACATATATATGTGTGTATATATATGTGTATATATATACACATACACACACACACACACATACATATGATGGCTTTTTTTTTTTTTTTGAAACAGAGTCTCGCTCTATCAGCCAGGTTGGAGTGCAGTGGCACGATCTCGGCTCACTGCAACCTCCGCCTCCCAGGCTCAAGCAATTCTCCTGCCTCCACCTCCTGAGTAGCTGGGATTAAAGGCGTGTGCCACCACACCTGGCTAATTTTTGTATTTTTAGCAGAGATGGGGTTTCACCATGTTGGACAGGCTGGTCTTGAACTCCTGACCTCAGGTAATCCGCCAGCGTCAGCCTCCCAAATTGCTGGGATTACAGGCATGAATCACCGCACCTGGCCCACATAGAAGATGTTTTTTTAAAAACATATATGATGTTATTATATATACAATGTGTTACAAAAATCATATATATGTGTGTGTGTGTGTGTGTACACTCAAAATTAAGCCAATTTTTACTAAGGTTTTTTTTTGTTTTGTTTTGTTTTGTTTTGTTTTTTAAGATGAAGTCTCACTCTTGTCCCTCAGGCTGGAGTGCAATGGCGTTATCTCAGCTCACTGAAACCTCCGCCTCCCGGGTTCAAGTGATTCTCCTGCCTCAACCTCCCGAGTAGCTGGGATTACAGGCGCCTGTCAGCACGTCCAGCTAATTTTTGTATTTTTAGTAGAGATGGGGTTTTACCATGTTGGCCAGGCTGGTCTCGAACTCCTGACCTCAGGTGATCCACCTGCCTCGGTCTCCCAAAGTGCTGGGATTACAGGCGTGAGCCACTGCACCCAGCCACTAAAGATATTTATAGTAAGACTAATTTAATTGTAAAATAAGTTTTAGCTTTAATATACTTGGCCTAATTATTTGCATAAAGTGAAGCAAGCATAGTGATTGGCCACATAGGCTCATTTTTCTTTAATCTACTTTGTTGGAAATTATCATAAGACATCTCAGAGTAAACCTTTAAAACTTCTTTAGGCTAGGAAGCCAAGCCATGGACTTCTCATCAGATTTTATCTGTGGTAACTGGGTAAATTATTCTTTTCTTGAGGTCCCATATTATTTTGAGGTTCCTGGGCCTGTCAGAAAGTGACATTTTTTACTTACCATAATGCTGAAGCCTTGCAGGGGAAATGCATAGACAAGGTACCAGGCCAGTTCTTTCAAGAATGTTAATGGTTCCTTAGCATTAATTTTAGTTTCTTGAAGTAGTCTAGTCGTTTCAGAAAATGTGACATCCCAGTCAAGGCCCCAGTAACATAACCTGTGTTTTAAATTGTTCCACTAAAGAAAGAAAAATTTTACTGAACTTATGAAATAACTATATTGTTTTAAAATATGAATACCCACAAATAGTTTTAAATTCTCAAGGAATCAAGTAGAGACAAAGGCAAATGTTTAAATTTTGCTGACAAAAGCATATTTTACCCAATTGCTGCATGCTATATGTAGCTTATTAGAAGAAAATAGTTTCCTTGACTCCAGAAAGAAATACATAAAAATAATCAATAATAATTTAAGCAAAAGGAAGTCCTGAAAAAATCATTTTATTCCTGTATCAAGTTTAGTCCTATGTGATTAAGTCATGTTCTTCTAAAAGTTGGGCTAGTAATCTTTATGAACCCATCAATGTTTTCATTTGAGTTCTTAAAATTTTTACACAGTCCAATGGTATGATCTACAAAGTTATCAGAAATCTATATTTAAAAGTATTTGTCATGATCCTTTTCCATTAATTTTCTTGAATAAGAAGCAAATTTTATACTATAGCCAATTGTAAACAGTCTTTTGAGAAGAATAAAAGTAAAACAATAAATGCCTGTGGATGACAAAACCCTTAGAATAGCTATGGCTAAGGATGCAATTGACAAGGAAATTTGGTAATTTCTAAGGCATACAACAATTTAATATAATAATCAGAATTTTGACTGGTAACATATACCAAGACGTATCATAATTTTTAAAAATCTCATACAATTTTGGAGCACATATTAATAACACATTTATATAAATATAACACAAATAAGGTTAAACATTATTTTTTATTTGACAATGCTTCCCCTATAATTTAAGATATCAAATAAGCCTAATATGTCTCTTTTGGACTTCTGTCTCTTTTTTTGAATGTCTAAAAGTTAGTTTGAGGTCAAAAAGACTTAATTTAGAATTTGAAATCTGATTTTGAGAAGCTTGTCAAATGTGTCAAAGGTACAAAACACTTTATCACAATAGGATCACAGGTCACTGTGAAATAATCATCATTTATTTAGTCAAAGTGATAATTAACAGATTCCAAAAAGTAAAAACCTTTACTCTCTGATTGGTAGGAGACAGAGTTTTTTGAAAAAAAGACCTAATAAAGATAGGGTGAAACAAACATTTCTCTCTGTTTTTATTTTTTTTTGTAGTTTTCTCAAAAGGAAAACCAAAGTCTTCTATTATCTCTTATTAATAATATACAAAAAAATCGTATTCAAAAGAGAAAATCAAATTCTATCTTTGTATCAGTTGTATTATTCATACTAAATATAATTTCAATAAAACCTTATAAATAAATCCATCCAATCTTAATTAGTTTTGACCACACAAGATTTCTCTAAACCTTTTACTATGTCTTATAATGTTTTTCAATTTTCCTTTTTCTCCAACTTCTATATCCACTTAGTTTATTTAATTGCTTCCTTTCTTCATTTATTCTAAAGTGACATATAAACTAGAAAAAAATCACTTTTTTAACAAAAACATAGTTTCAAATGTCATAATCTCCTTTATGAAAAAGTCTTACATTTATTATATATTCTGTATACAGAATTGTTTCCCTTTTTATTGCAACTTTTAGTGACCACATATTAGCCAGAATTTTAATTTTTAGGAATCTTTATAGTGAATACCTAAGAAGTGGATAATTTTTAATTGTCAGTCATGTACTAGCAATTTATTAATACACATTTTATGATTTTTAGAAATACAGCTTTTTAATGGAATTATTTTTCAACGTGGAACAGAATATATTTACTAATATATCTAAAGATCTTTTGTCTTTCTGAAATAAGAAGCCTAGATTTAGTAATCAGTGTCTTAGCATTTCATCTTTTTTGAAAATGATGTATATATTTAATGACTATCTATCATTTAACTTAGCTGAGCAAAATGTTTAGGTTATTGTTACCATAAAGAATTGAGAAATATTTTTCATTAAACATAAAAGCAATGATTAAAACTTCATTTATAAGCTTTATCTCACTTTCATCTATTTTATTTATTTAATCTTAACAATTATGGTTGGAAAATTTTATGAGACATTAGATAAATCTAGCCATCATCTCAAGTTAAATTTTCTATTCACCATTTTTATATTACCATATGTTAGGCAAGTACCATAAAATAAAGAACCTTAAAATTAAACACATGTGGCTGGATGCAGTGGCTCACGCCTGTAATCCCAGCACTTTGGGAGGCCGAGGTGGGAGAATCACGAGGTTAGGCGATCGAGACCATCCTGGCTAACACGATGAAACCCCATCTCTACTAAAAATACAAAAAAAAAAAAGAAAAAAAAAATTAGCCGGGCGTGGTGGCAGGCGCCTGTAGTCCCAGCTACTTGGGAGGCTGGGGCAGGAAAATGGCGTGAACCTGGGAGGCAGAGCTTGCAGTGAGCCGAGATTGCGCCACTGCACCCCAGCCTGGGCAACAGAGCAAGACTCCGTCTCAAAAAACAACAACAAAAAAAATTAAACACATGTATGTTTTGCTAATAGCTCAAGACATAGTTCTTTTTATTAAACCAAGAATTTTAAACTAGTCTTATTCATCAAAAAAAATGTATTCACATCACATGAGCTTGAAAAATATTTGGGCTATTTATTTTCTTTATGGGTACTTATCTGCCTTTGAGTTAATTTGGTACCATGTAGACAATATACAAATATGTGTATAGACATATACATACATGTAAATACAACATATAAAATACATATGCACATATATATGCATCTAAAAGCCAAAGAGATCAAGGAGTTTAATACAAAAGAGCAGAGAGCTTTAGATTTGTCTACTTTCAACTCTTGGAGTTGCAAGGAATCTGTCCACTTAGAAATATTGCTGTTCCATGAGAAAATAATGAAGTTTCCTTCCCAAAAAAAGGAAACCTCTCTGTTTTTCTTTGGCATCTTTTCTGTTTTTCTCAAGAGGTCCTAGTGTCGTTAGAAATCTTCCTTAGGTTTCCTCATGTGACCTCAGGGATAGCAACTGGAAGCAGGGACAGAGAAAAGTAAATGAAAGAGCAAGTCCTTGTGGCAAAAATTATGTCACCAAGAGGATAAACAGGCAGAGGGAGTTTATAGATTAATAGTTAGCAGGGATTTACAAAGAGAGGAATTTAGTCAACTGAGAAGCCTCTGTAGAGAGAGAACAGAAGTCTTAAGAATACACACACACAAACACACACACACACACACACACACATATATATATATAACCTAAATATATGTATACTATAGGTAAAATTTTAAATATGTAAGTCTTTAAAAAATTAGCAGATATTAGCTGGGCAAATGGCAAATATTCTTGTGCCTTGTTTCCTTGGCTTTTTCTTTCTGAAATGTAACTCTCTTTCAAATCTGATCTCTGCTAGAATACTACTTAACTGATCTCCTCTATGTTAACGTTTTAAAGCCGTGGTAGAATTTACAACTCCAAGGGACTGAGAAGGCTCTCTTTAAAAAAATACTTTTAGATACAAAAGTCCAAATTTTCAAAGGTATATCCACTTTTAATTGTAACTTAGCACCAGTAAGCCTTTTTTTTTGAGACAAAGTCTTGCTCTGTCACCCAGGCTGGAGAGCAATGGCACAATCTCTGCTCACTGCAACCTCCGCCTCCTGGGTTCAAATGATTCTCCTGCCTCAGCCTCCCGAGTAGCTGGGATTACAGGTGCACGCCACCACACCCAGCTAATTTTTGTATTTTGTTAGTAGAGACGGGGTTTCACCATGTTGGTCAGGCTGGTCTTGAACTCCTGACCTCGTGATCTGCCTGCCTTGGCCTCCCAAAAAGCTGGGATTACAGGCGTGAGCCACCACGCTGGGCCAGTAAGCCTTTTTATGGCTTACAATCCGATGCAAGAATAGCATCCCTAAAGAGAGTATAAAAACGTAGTGACCCCTCAAGATCTAAAGTTTCTTCCAAAGAGTATGGGTGCAGTGGCTCAAGGCTATAACCCAGTGCTTTGGGAGACCAAGGCAGGAGGATTGCTAAAGGCCAGGAGTTTGAGCTCATCCTGGGCAATATAGTGAGACCCCCATCTCTACAAAAAATTTAAAAATTAGCCAGGTGTGCTGGTGCATGCTTGTAGTCCTAGCCACTCCAGGGGGCGGAGGCAGGAGGATCACTTGAGCCCAGGGGATTGAGTCTGTAGTAAGCCATAATCATGCTACTGCACTGTAGTCTGGGTGAGAGAGCGATACGCTGTTTCTAGAAAAAAATAAGATAAAATAAACCAAAAAGAGGCTCTAAGAAAGTAATATCCCTCCTTATTAGCAAGGCAATGAAAGTTGAGATAATTAAGAACAATTCCCAAAAGCTGGCACATTTGGACAAACAGACATTTGGGACCCCCAACTGAACTCCCACATGGCTGCCTTACACGATTAACAAAATCTGTGCCCTTCAAGGTGTTAGAGATGAGAAAATAAACTTGCTCGTTAGAAAGCCAAACTTCTTAAGAAATAAAACAAGACAAAAGGAGAACCTTATGAGGCTTTTTCTTCTCATGACAAACCATACGAAGATACAGAAACAAGGAAAACAAAGACCATCCTAGGAAAATGACAAATCAATAACCAAATAAGTATGTACAACAAATCTACAAGAGTCACAAATTCAAATAACCATTTTTTACAGATTTTTTTTCCTGTTAATATGAACCTGGAAAGGCAGGGACAAGGAAAAGAATTTACTTTCCTCTCTCCACCAGGTACCACAGAGGGAGAAGCTGGCTTGAGTAAGAAACCTTACCTTTTTCTGTGGACTTTTGCCAGTTCTCTTTCAGGATTCCCTCTATAGGTCCCAGAACAAGTGAATTATCTCTGCTTTTCCAGGCTGCATTGAAAAATTGTAGGGGAGAAATCATAGTTTCTTTTAAAATTCTTAGTTGAGACATCTCCTAAAAACAAAAAGTCAAATTAACAGAAAAGTAAAAACAACCAGAAGTTTATTAAAACATGCTGTACCCATCACGCAGGAGAGGCCTCAGTTTAAAAGTATTTCTCTCTCAAGGTAGTGGTTTATGGGCCTTGCTTAAATAGTACTTTAACAAAGAGCCATAAATCCTATCTAGTGATAAGACAGAGGAGAGAGCAGTTCCAGTCTTTTAAAAGGCAGGAACATGTGAAAAGATTGTAAAATCTGTTCCCAGATTCTTCTGGTGCTTGCTAGTGCCTTCCCTGGGCCCATAAGCAAGTGTCGTCTCCAGTAAGGAGGGAACGATGTCCTGCCACCAGGCAAATAGAGGCTGAGGCAGAGCATTCTCCTATGTTTTTAGTGACATTAACTTAACAATTCTCAATATTTCAAGGAGAAATATTTTGGTTTCATTCATCTGTGATACACTTTGGACATCTGTCTTTACTCAAATCTCATGTTGAATTGTAATCCCCAATGCTGGAGATGGGGCCTGGTTGTGAGCATTTTGGTCATGGGGGTGGATCCCTCATGGCTTGGTAGCTTCACCATGGCGAATGAGTTCTTAAAGATCTGGTCATTTAAAAGTGTGTGGCACCTCTCCATCCACTCTCTCTCCCCACTGCTTTCGCCATGTGATGTCCAGGATCCCCGTACACCTTCCACCATGAGTGTGAGCTTCCTGAGGCCTCCCCAAAAGCAGATACCAGTGCTATGCTTCCTGTACAGCCTGCAGAACCATGAACCAATTAAACTTCTTTTCTTATAGTCAGTCTCAGGTATTGTTTTATAACAGTGCAAAAACAGCCTAATACAACCTGCCTACCTTTGTTCCTTATTCCCTGCTTTCCCCCAGCCCCCATTATCCATTCTTCACACAACTGCCGCAGTGATATTTTTAACATTAGTCAGTTTTTGTTTTTCTCTTTAGATTTCTCCAAAGTCTTCCAACTGGTCAGAGGGTGAGTGTCCCAGATGGAATGTAAGCTGAGCTTTGGTATGCAAGTGATTTGATAAGAAATTGTTCCCAGGGAAACTGGTAAGGAGCTGTCCCCAGGGAAGAGCTGAGAAAGCAGGACAAGAAAGGACAAAATCCAAGTGAGGGTGTCATCACAGGCAAAATCCCGTAAAGCGCAGCTTCAGCCTAATCCCACAGAGGAACTCTGAAGAGAAAATTCAGCCTCTGTGTTTTCCCAACTACAAGCTGCACCTATTAATTATCTAATTATTGGGTGGAAGATCGTGGGCATACATTTTCAGATATTTCTCTGAAGTGTGGACCAGGCAGGCTCCAGTATCTTGAGGACATTCCTCCAAACAAGATTCATAGAAGAAAAGTGCACAGAAACTGAAATATGCACAAAAATAGTCATATAGATCCTAAGGAATTGGGGGACCAATATTATCTATTACATAATTCTACTTAGAAATCCAAACTACTTAGCATGGTTTTGTTTAATTAAGCCCTGACAAATTCTACAAACGCCTGTCTCCCACCCAGCCCCTCACACTAACCAAACTAATCTCTGTTGTCTTGCTGTAACCAAGGTTGATCCCTGTGGCCTATTTCCTTTGCCCAAATTCTCACTTGAACTCCATTGTTATATGATTGACCCTATCGTATGCTTCTGATTTAGTTAAAAATGATTGCTTTTCACAGAGTCTGTCCCTCATCATCTGCTTCAAACTTCCATACTTCCCAAACTCTTGATTAAATGAATTTGTTTTATTTTCTTTATAGCAGTTAATGCCATTTGAAATGATCTTGTTGCTTTATTGTCTCTAACTCACCTCATTGCAACATAAACTTCATGTCTGTCTTGTTTACCCTTTCAACTCCACCACACAGAGCAGTGCCTGATACAACATAGGTGATCAACAGTTATTTATTTAATAAGCAAATAAAGGGCCATACATGACCTACTTACATTTTATGCCTACTCCACCCTCACCTCCTTGGATTCCTAACTCCTATTGATAGGGTTGCTACTAGGAAATTAAGAACACCTCATCAAGAATAAAATAAGAAGACATTTAAGAAGGAACTTCCTTATCATATAGTGATGCAGCTATATAAGTTATTAGAGTGCACTGCCATGTTGTTTAAACTTCTTGTTTGGAAATCTCAATGAATCCTTGACTGATCTCGCTAAGGTCCCTTGCCTTGAACTTTGTAGCTTGGGCACATATGAAAAGCTGTTTCTTTTTATATAGGGTATACTCTACTCTAGAAGTCATCAATATATCTAAACATAACAGGAAGAGAATACAGCCCAAGATCTCTGATTTATAAAGTGGCATATATGGGAGTCCAAATCAAACTCACAATACCTCAGATATACAGAGAGAAATATGCCTAATTTAGTTTGCCTGTAACCAATGTCTGTTACTCCCCACGTTTCACTATGGGTTAAAGGAAAAATTTCTACTTTGGATATTTTATGTTTAAAACTTAATCCAATTCAATAATTTGTTAAATAAATTTATAGGAAGTCATTGGTTTGGATTGAGTTCCTGCACTAGGCTTCAACAGACAAAACCAAAATGGAGTCACTCGTGCTAAACTTCTTTATTTAACAAACTGACACTAAGTTGTTTATCTGACTTACCAAGAAATCAGAACAGAGAAAGATAATAGCCAAATCCCCAAACATTCCTGTTTTATCAGACATGATAAAAAACAAAACGTCTCCTCTGCTTTAACCCTAAAAAGGAAAGAAACCTGGAGTAATCTAACAAATGCTAGCCAATCTGCTTTGTGTTCCATTTTTCTAATCTCTTCAGCCCTTTCTGCCTATAAAGCCAGTCTCCTCTGCTCAGCTCATCTGAGTGCCTTTTGTAAATCTTTAGATGAGAAGCTCTCTGATTCACAAATTGCTAATGAAGGCCAATTAGATATTTAAACAAAATTTGTTGAATTTTTGTCTTTTAACAAATTTAAAGAGCCTTTCAAATTTGACAAATTTAAATTATATTAATAATTTGAATAATGTAAATCCAGTTTTGTGATTTAAGATTCCATTTAGACAATGATCAGTCTTACCAGGAAAAATTTCTCAGTCACTCAAATATCTCAGGCATAGGCCTGTTTGTCTGGCTCTTTCCCAGAGTGAGATACATATCTAGGAAAGAAAGCATGTGCCTCATGTACACATCTGGCCAGAGGAAAGGCTCAAGGCCCTTTATTGTGATGTCCTTTGGCTTCAACCCAGGCTATGCCACTAATCCATGCTTCTGCTGCATCCAGATGAGCAAAGTATATGATTGATATCACTCAAAGTCTTATTTTTCTGTACATTTTCATTTGGCCTATGTTCTAAGATTTTTTTATTGCAGGTAGAAGATATAAAAAGTATAAAAAGACATTTTTAGAGAATGTGCATAGCTCAATATTTATATGTGAAAATAGGTAATTAACAATATTATTGAAATCATATACTGTATATTTCTTAATATAATGTGCATGAAAAATCAAAATTGTTTCATTTATATTACTACATATAATTTTTTCTTTCACATTTTTGTCACACTCAGAATTCTAATATTTTATAATTATAGTCTTGGAAATCAATAAATTAAACTTTCCATTTTACAAATGAAAAAGCTATGACATACAACAGGATATAAGAATTTTTTTTAAGTGTCAGAAATCTGGGAGTTTCAAATGTGGAATCTAGGTCCTAATTACCAATATAATGTATTTTCCTCTATCTACTCTGTGTGTGTGTGTGTGTGTGTGTGTGTGTGTGTGTGTGTGCGCGCGCGCGCACGTGCATATATAGACTGATGCAGAGAGAGAGAGAGAGAACACTTTCTTTCATACATTCATTTATTGATGGCTTATTCCACACCTTTGTTATTGTAAACAATGTTGCAGTAAACATGGGAGTATAGACATCTCTTCAACATATTTATTTTATTTCCTTTGGATATATACTCTGTCGTGGTATTGTTGGGTCATAGAGTAGTTTTATTTTTTTTTTTAAGGAACTTCCATATTGTTTTCTGTAATAGCTGTACTACCTGATGTTCTTAGCAACAGTGTACCATGGTTCCCTTTTCTCCACATCCTTTCCAACATTTATTACCTTTTTTTTCTTTCTTTTGGTAATAGCTTTTCTAACAGACGTGAGGCAATATGTCATTGTCATTTCAATGTGCATTTCTTTTGTGATTAAGGATTTTGAGCATTTTGTTATATACCTGCTGGTTATCTTTTGAAAATTTTCTGTACAGATCCCTTGATTATTTTAAAATCAGGTTATTTTTCTTACTACATGGTTAAGTTCCTTACATACTTTGGATATTACCTAGTTATATGATATATGGTTTGCAAATATTTACTCTCATTTCACAGGTTGTCTCTTCACTCTGTTGATTGTTTCCTAGGCTGTGCAGAAGCTTTTTAGTTTGATGTAATCACATTTATATCTGTGCTTCTTTTGTGTGTGGTTTTGAGTTCATATCCAAAAATCATTGCCCAAACCAATGCCATCAAGATTTTCACCTATATTTTCTTCTAGTAGTTTTACATTTTCAGGTCCTGCCTTTAAGTCTTTATCCATTATGAATTGATTTTTATACATGATCTGACATAAGGGTTAATTTTGGTCTTCTGCATATGGATATCCAGTTGCCCCCAAACAACTTATAAAGAGATTGTCCCTTCCCCATTTTGTGATATTGGCACCTTTGTCAAAAATCAATTGACCAGAAATATATGAATTTCTGGACTCTCTTTTCTGTTATATTGGCCTGTCTTTCTATTTATATGTCACTACCATACTGTTTTTACTATAATAACTTTGCAGTATATTTTGAAGTCAGGTGGTATGATGCCTCCAGGTTTGTTCTTTTTTCCTCAAGGTTGCTTTGGCTATTTAAAGCCTTTAGTAGCTCTATACAAATTTTAGGATTGTTTTTCCTTTCCATGAAAACTGTCATTGTGGTTTTGCTAGAGATTGCATTAAACCTGTAGATAGCTTTGGATAATATGGACATTTAAATAATTTTAGTTCTTCCAACTCAGGAACAGAGGATATCTTTCCATATATTTGTGTTTTCTTCAATTTCTTTCATCAATGTTTTTTAGTTTTAGTGTGCAGATCTTTCATCTTTGGAAAAATTACTTTATTCTTAAGTATTTCATTTTTTGTTAGCTATTGTAAATGAGACTGTTTTTGTTGTTTCCATTTTTGAATATTTCACTGTTAGTGTATAGAAAAGTTACTGATTTTATATATTGATTTAACATCCTGCAACTTTGCTAAATAAGTTTATTTTCAATTTGTGGCGAAGTCTTCGGTTTTCTATGTATAGAATTGTGTCATCTACAAACAGGGACAATTTAACTTTGTATTTTCCAATTTGAAATTATTGTCTAATTAATGCCTCATTTCCTTTTCTTCATTCTGTAATTTAACTAGAAGAGCCCCTACTGCTTACCAAAGCTGTTATCCACTTTTTAATATATTTTTTTTTCCTCAGGACTCTGTGAGTCATGATTCCATCTTCTTATTAGTTACCTCTAAGGAGATGATTCACAAATAATCTTTTAAAAAACTTCTTTCAACTTCCTCCTGTCATTTACCACCCACACTGAATTACTTTTCATGTAATCACATTCCTGTCAGTAGCAGAGTAATTTGCCCACTATTTTAAGTATTAGGTGTATCCCAACCAATACCTTGACAGGGCATTCAGTATTAAAATTAATATCTCAACAAATAAATTGAGTTCCTATAATTTTTTTCATCAAACTCCAAAGACCTGGAAATTTCTGGTGGAGAGAAGGTGAGACATACAACTGTGTCTTCAGTGATACTCACATGCTTACATGAAAAGAACAAGAATATTCAATTTCTACTGCTTTTTCTACTGCAAGTATATCTAAGTCTTCTCTGTATGGAAATATACATTACAGATTATAAAATTCCATTCTCCTTTACCATAGCTCTGTGATCATAGGGAGGCCAGGACTTCAAGTTGAGAATCATTGGCTTGTTAGAAAGAATTAACAGGTAACTTCTATGTTGGGCTTTGTATACGTTGGACTGAACCTCAAAACAGAGGCTGTGATATTACATAGCCTATAAAATATACATTTCTAGGGAATATATATATATTTTTTTCATTTATTTTATTTTATTTTATTTTTTATTTATTTTTTTTAATTTTATTATTATTACACTTTAAGTTTTAGGGTACATGTGCACAATGTGCAGGTTTGTTACATATGTATACGTGTGCCATGTTGGTGTGCTGCACCCATTAACTCGTCATTTAGCATTAGGTATATCTCCTAATGCTTTCCCTGCCCCCTCTCCCCACCCCACAACAGGCCCCGGTGTGTGATGTTCCCCTTCCTGTGTCCATTTGTTCTCATTGTTCAATTCCCACCTATAAGTGAGAACATGGGGTGTTGGTTTTTTCTCCTTGCTATAGTTTGCTGAGAGTGATGGTTTCAAGTTTCATTCATGTCCTAACAAAGAATATGAACTCATCATTTTTTATGGCTGCATAGTATTCCATGGTGTATATGTGCCACATTTTCTTAATCCAGTCTATCGTTGTTGGACATTTAGGTTGGTTCCAAGTCTTTGCTATTGTGAATAGTGCCACAGTAAACATACGTGTGCATGTGTCTTTATAGCAGCATGATTTATAATCTTTTGGGTATATACCCAGTAATGGGATGGCTGGGTAAAATGGTATTTCTACTTCTAGATCCCTGAGGAATCGTCACACTGACTTCCACAATTGTTGAACTAGCTTACAGAACCATCAACAGTGTAAAAGTGTCCATATTTCTCCACATTCTCTCCAGCACCAGTTGTTTCCTGACTTTTTAATGATCGCCATTCTAACTGGTATGAGATGGTATCTCATTGTGGTTTTGATTTGCATTTCTCTGATGACCAGTGATGATGAGCATTTTTTCATGTGTCTGTTGGCTGCATAAATGTCTTCTTTTGAGAAGTGTCTGTTCATATCCTTTGCCCACTTTTTGATGGGGTTGTTTGTTTTTTTCTTGTAAATTTGTTGGAGTTCATTGTAGATTCTAGCCCTTTGTCAGAGGAGTAGGTTGCAAAAATTTTCTCCCCTTCTGTAGGTTGCCTGTTCACTCTGATGGTAGTTTCTTTTGCTGTGCAGAAGCTCTTTAGTTTAATTAGATCCCATTTGTCAATTTTGGCTTTTGTTGCCATTGCTTTTGGTGTTTTAGACATGAAGTCCTTGCCCATGCCTATGTCCTGAATGGCATTGCCTAGGTTTTTTTCTAGGGTTTTTATGGTTTTAGGTCTAACATTTAAGTCTTTAATCCATCTTGAATTAGTTTTTGTATAAGGTGTAAGGAAGGGATCCAGTTTCAGCTTTCTACATATGGCTAGCCAGTTTTCCCAGTACCATTTATTAAATAGGGAATCCTTACCCCATTGCTTGTTTTTGTCAGGTTTGTCAAAGATCAGATAGTTGTAGATATGTGGCATTATTTCTGAGGGCTCTGTTCTGTTCCATAGGTCTGTATCTCTGTTTTGGTACCAGTACCATGCTGTTTTGGTTACTGTAGCCTTGTAGTATAGTTTGAAGTCAGGTAGTGTGATGCCTCCAGCTTTGTTCTTTTGGCTTAGGATTGACTTGGTGATGTGGGCTCTTTTTTGGTTCCATATGAACTTTAAAGTAGTTTTTTCCAATTCTGTGAAGAAAGTCATTGTTAGCTTGATGGGGATGGCATTGAATCTATAAATTACCTTGGGCAGTATGGCCATTTTCACGATATTGATTCTTCCTACCCATGAGCATGGAATGTTCTTCCATTTGTTTGTATCCTCTTTTATTTCATTGAGCAGTGGTTTGTAGTTCTCCTTGAAGAGGTCCTTCACATTCCTTGTAAGGTGGATTCCTAGGTATTTTATTCTCTTTGATTTTTTTTTTATTATACTTTAACTTCTAGGGTACATGTGCACAACTTGCAGGTTTGTTACATATGTATATATATGTGCCATGTTGGTGTGCTGCACCTATTAACTCGTCATTTACATTAGGTATATCTCCTAATCCTTTCCCTCCCCTCTCCCCACACCCCACGAAAGGCCCCAGTGTGTGATGTTCCCCTTCCTGTGTCCAAATGTTCTCATTGTTCAATTCCCACCTATGAGTGAGAACATGCGATGTTTGGTTTTTTGGCCTTGTGATAGTTTGATGAGAATGATGGTTTCCAGCTTCATCCATGTCCCTAGAAAGGACATGAACTTATCCTTTTTATGGCTGCATAGTATTCCATAGTTTATATGTGCCATATTTTCTTAATCCAGTCTATTATTGATGGACATTTGGGTTGGTTCCAAGTCTTTGCTATTGTGAATAGTGCCACAATAAACATACGTGTGCATGTGTCTTTATAGCAGCATGATTTATAATCCTTTGGGTATATACCCAGTAATGGGATGGCTGGGCCAAATGCTATCTCTAGTTCTAGATCCTTGAGGAATTGCCACACTGTCTTCCACAAGGGTTGAACTAGTTTACAGTCCCATCAACAGTGTAAAAGTGTTCCTATTTCTCCACATCCTCTCCAGCACCTGTTGTTTCCTGACTTTTTTAATGATCGCCATTCTAACTGGTGTGAGATGGTATCTCATTGTGGTTTTGATTTGCATTTTTCTGATGACCAGTGATGATGAGCATTTTTTCATGTGTCTGTTGGCTGTATAAATGTCTTCTTTTGAGAAGTGTCTGTTCATATCCTTTGCCCACTTTTTGATGGGGTTGTTTGTTTTTTTCTTGTAACTTTGTTGGAGTTCTTTGTAGATTCTGGATATTAGCCCTTTGTCAGATGAGTAGATGATTGCAAAAATTTTCTCCCCTTCTGTAGGTTGCCTGTTCACTCTGATGGTAGTTTCTTTTGCTGTGCAGAAGCTCTTTAGTTTAATTAGTTCCCATTTGTCAATTTTGGCTTTTGGTGCCATTGCTTTTGGTGTTTTAGACATGAAGTCCTTGCCCATGCCTATGTCCTGAATGGTAATGCCTAGGTTTTTTTCTAGGGTTTTTATGGTTTTAGGTCTAACATTTAAGTCTTTAATCCATCTTGAATTAATTTTTGTATAAGGTGTAAGGAAGGGATCCAGTTTCAGCTTTCTACATATGGCTAGCCAGTTTTCCCAGCACCATTTATTAAATAGGGAATCCTTTCCCCATTGCTTGTTTTTCTCAGGTTTGTCAAAGATCAGATGGTTGTAGGGTGTGGTATTATTTCTGAGGGCTCTGTTCTGTTCCATTGGTCTATATCTCTGTTTTGGTACCAGTACAATGCTGTTTGGTTACAGTAGCATTGTAGTATAGTTTGAAGTCAGGTAGCGTGATGCCTCCAGCCTTGTTCTTTTGGTTTAGGATTGTCTAGGCAATGTGGGCTCTTTTTTGGTTCCATATGAACTTTAAAGTATTTTTTTCCAATTCTATGCAGAAAGTCGTTGGTAGCTTGATGGAGATGGCATTGAATCTATAAATTACCTTGGGCCGTATGGCTATTTTCATGATATTGATTCTTCCTATTGATGAGCATGGAATGTTCTTCCATTTGTTTGTATCCTCTTTTATTTTGTTGAGCAGTGGTTTGTAGTTCTCCTTGAAGAGGTCCTTCACATCCCTTGTAAGTTGGATTCCTAGGTAGTTTATTCTCTTTGAAGCAATTGTGAATGGCACTTCACTCATGATTTGGCTCTCTGTTTGTCTGTTATTGGTGTATAAGAATGCTTGTGATTTTTGCACATTGATTTTATATCCTGAGACTTTGCTGAAGTTGCTTATCAGCTTAAGGAGATTTTGGGCTGAGATGATGGGGTTTTCTAAATACATAACATGCCATCTGCAAACAGGGACAATTTGACTTCCTCTTTTCCTAATTGAATACCCTTTATTTCTTTCTCTTACCTGATTGTCCTGGCCTGAACGTCCAACACTATGTTGAATACGAGTGGTGAGAGAGGGCATCCTTGTCTTGTGTCAGTTTTTAAAGAGAATCCTTCCAGTTCTTGCCCATTCAGTATGATATTGGCTGTGGGTTTGTGATAAATCATTATTATTTTGAGATATGTCTTATCAGTACCTAATTTATTGAGTTTTCAGCATGAAAGGCTGTTGAATTTTGTCAAAGGCCTTTTCTGCATCTATTGAGATAATCATGTGGTTTTTGTCTTTGGTTCTGTTTATATGATGGATTATGTTTATTGATATGCATATGTTGAACCAGCCTTGCATCCCAGGTATGAAGCCCACTTGATCATGGTGGATAAGCTTTTTGATGTGCTGCTGGATTCGGTTTGCCAGTATTTTATTGAGGATTTTTGCATCGATGTTCATCAGGGACATTGGTCTAAAACCCTCCTATTTTTCTTGTGTCTCTGCCAGGCTTTGGAATCAGGATGATGCTGGCCTCATAAAATGAGATAGGGAGGATTCCCTCTTTTTCTATTGACCGGAATAGTTTCAGATGGAATGGTACCAGATCCTCCTTGTACTTCTGCTAGAATTCAGCTGTGAATCCATCTGATCCTGGACTCTTTTTGGTTGGTAGGCTATTAATTATTGCCTCAATTTCAGAGCCTAGTATTGGTCTATTCAGGGATTCAACTTCTTCCTGGTTTAGTCTTGGGAGGGTGTATGTATCCAGGAATTTACCCATTTCTTCTAGATTTTCTAGTTTATTTGCATAGAGGTGTTTATAGTATTCTCTGATGGTAGTTTGTATATCTGTGGGATCGGCAGTGATATCCCTTTTATCATTTTTTATTGTGTCTATTTGATTCTTCTCTCTTTTCTTCTTTGTTAGTCTTGCTAGCGTTCTATCAATTTTGTTGATCTTTTCAAAAAGCTAGCTCCTGGATTCATTGATTTTTTGAAGGGCTTTTTGTGTCTCTATCTCCCTCAGTTCTGCTCTGATCTTAGTTATTTCTTGCCTTCTGCTAGCTTTTGGATGTGTTTGCTATTGCTTCTCTAGTTCTTTTAATTGTGATGTTACAGTGTCAATTTTAGATCTTTCCTGCTTTCTCTTGTGGGCATGTAGTGCTATAAGTTTCCCTCTACACACTGCTTTAAATGTGTCCCAGAGATTCTGGTATGTTGTATCTTTGTTCTCATTGGTTTCAGAGAACATCTTTATTTCTGCCTTTATTTCGTTACGTACCCAGTAGTCATTCAGGAGCAGGTTGTTCAGTTTCCATGCAGTTGAGCGGTTTTGAGTGAGTTTCTTAATCCTGAGTTCTAGTTTGATTGCAATGTGGTCTGAGAGACGGTTTGCTATAATTTCTGTTCTTTTACATTTGCTGAGGAGTGCTTTACTTCCAACTGTGTGGTCAGTTTTGGAATACATGTGATGTGGTGCTAAGAAGAATGTATATTCTCTCGATTTGGGGTGGAGAGTTCTGTAGATGTCTATTAGGTCCGCTTGGTGCAGAGCTGAGTTCAATTCCTGGATATCCTTGTTAACTTTCTGTCTCGTTGATCTGTCTAATGTTGACAGTGGGGTGTTAAAATCTCCCATTATTTTTGTATGGGAGTCTAAGTCTCTCTGTAGATCTCTAAGGACTTGCTTTAAGACTGTGAGTGCTACTATATTGTGTGCATATATATTTAGGATAGTTAGCTCTTCTTGTTGAATTGATCCCTTTACCATTATGTAATGGCCTTCTTTGTCTCTTTTTGTCTTTGTTAAAGTCTGTTTTATCAGAAACTAGGATTGCAACCCCTGCTTTTTTTTGTTTTCCATTTTCTTGGTAGGTCTTCCTCCATACCTTTATTTTGAGCCTATGTGTGCCTCTGCAAGTGAGATGGGTCTCCTGAATACAGCACACTGATGGATCTTGACTCTATCCAATTTGTCAGTCTGTGTCTTTTAATCAGAGCATTTAGCCCATTTACATTTAAGGTTAATTTTGTTATATGTGAATTTGATGCTGTCATTATGATGTTAGCTGGTTATTTTGCTCGTTAGTTGATGCAGTTTCTTCCTAGTCTCGATGGTCTTTACATTTTGGTATGATTTTGCAGTGCCTGGTACCGGTTGTTCCTTTCCATGTTTTGCGCTTCCTTCAGGAGATCTTTTAGGGCAGGCCTGGTGGTGACAATATCTCTCAGCATTTGCTTGTCTGTAAAGTACTTTATTTCTCCTTCACTTATGAAGCTTAGTTTGGCTGGATATGAAATTCTGGGTTGAAAGTTCTTTTCTTTAAGAATGTTGAATATTGGCCCCCACTCTCTTCTGGCTTATAGAGTTTCTGCCGAGAGATCCACTGTTAGTCTGATGGGCTTCCCTTCGTGAGTGACCCTACCTTTCTTTCTGGCTGCCATTAACATTTTTTCCTTCATTTCAACTTTGGTGAATCTGACAATTTTGTGTCTTGGAGTTGCTCTTCTCAAGGAGTATCTTTTGGCGTGGTCTGTGTTTCCTGAATTTGAATGTTTGCCTACCTTGCTAGGTTGGGAAATTCTGGATAATATCCTGTAGAGTGTTTTCCAACTTGGTTCCATTCTCCCCATCACTTTCAGGTTCACCAGTCAGACACAGATTTGGTCTTTTCACATGTCCTTTCTGTTTGTTAGTTTTCCTTCTAACAGCCGGGACCCTCAGCTGCAGGTCTGTTGGAGTTTGCTGGAGGTCCACTCCAGACCCTGTTTGCCTGGATATCAGCAGCAGAGGCTGCAGAACAGCGAATATTGCTGAACAGCAAATGTTGCTACCTGATCGTTCCACTGCAAGGTTCGTCTCAAGAGGGGTACTTGGCCATGTGAGGTGTCAGTCTGCCACTACTGGGGGATGCCTCTCAGTTAGGCTACTCGAGGATCAGGGATCCACTTGAGGAGGCAGTCTGTTTGTTCTCAGATCTCAAACTCCGTGCTGGGAGAACCACTACTCTTTTCAAAGCTGTCAGACACGGAAATTTAAGTCTGCCTCTGGGGAATATTTTTTAATGTTGGAGAATACTTTAGCAATATCATTACAGGGAAAACAAAGAATAGTATCTATAAGAAAGCCCAAATAAAAATATACCAAACTTTTAGTAATAGTGTTTTCCTTTGCAAGGACATAAAGGGAAGTGAGTTGGTTATAGTTTTGTTCTTTGATTCTTAATCCTTGTATTCATTTTCCACTAAAAGCAATTATAATAAGGATAAAAACTAAAATTAGATGATTAAATATATTTTATTTATTTGTTTGTAACTTTGTAAAGGAAATTGCATTAAGCGTACAGCTTTGAACTTTAACCTCTACTGTGAGTTTAAGAGCTGTCTCTTTTTTTTTTCTTTTAGATGGAGTTTTGCTCTTGTTGCTCAGGTTGGAGTGCAATGGTGTGATCTTAGCTCACTGCAACCTCCGCCTCCCGGGTTCAAGCGATTCTTCTGCCTCAGCCCCCAAGTACCTGGAATTACAGGTGTGTGCCACCATGCCCAGCTAATTTTGTATGTTTTAGTAGACAAGAGGTTTCACCATGTTGGTCAGGCTGGTCTGGAACTCCTGACCTCAAGTGATCCACCCGCCTTGGCCTCCTAAAGTGCTGGGATTACAGGAGTGAGCCACCGTGCCCATTCAAGAGCTGTCTCTTGATTTATTTATGTACTTATATCATTTTATTCTGGCTCCTATTTCTCATTCATCTCACACGCCTTAGGCAACATTCTGAAGCATATTCTCTTATTTTACATGTAGTTCCTTTATCTAGGCATTGAACTGAACCTCATCACAGAGAATGTAATATTATACAACCATTAGAATATATGTTTCTAGGGAATATTTTTAAATGTTGGAGAATACTTAAGCAATATTATTATGAGGAAAACAAAGAATAACATCTAAAAGAAAGCTTAAATAAAAATATATAAAAATTTCAATAATAGTGTTTTCCTTTGCAACGAAGTAAAAGGAAGTGAGTTGGTTACACTTTTGTTCTTTGACCCTCAATCTTTTTATTCATTTTCCATTAAAAGCATACATATAAAGTATGGCTACATGTATATACAAGTATATAATCATACTTTATATGTTACCATACATAAAATATGTTCATACTATGTATGTGTTTGTGTTTGCCTGTGTTTGTATTAACTTATATGTAAAATATTTTGTTTAGAAAAAGGTTAATTTTCATGTTTAATTCATCAGTATGCTTTCAACATCTAGCCGTGTTGTTTTGGTTACATCTTATTACTCATTCAAACTGTTGCATAATATTTGATGGTGTAATACCTTTATTATTTCACTTCTGTCAATAATAGATTCCTAGGCTGCCTTCAAATCCCCAACAGCACAAACAAAACTGAAACGAAGATTCTCATTTCAGTGAGAATTTTACTAGAAAATCTATATAGAAGCAGAATTCATGGATACATATGGATGGATGGATTAATAGGTAAATAGATAAATAGATAGATAGATAGAGAGATTTTGTTCCTGAAAAGCTGAAAAAGGCTATTTTCTCATCAGCTATACATGACGATTTTCCATACCCCTAAATTCTACCAGCACTTTCTGAAAATCATTTTTTCAAATGTTTACTAGTTGAAAGTGTGTAAAGGAGTGTTTTGGGGAACTTTTAAGATGACTGAAACAATGATATAGATATCTTTCTTTTAATTTTTCTGAAACTAGGGACAGTAACTAGAATACTAAAATGAACATATAATATGTACAGAGATGTCGATGACAATATATTACCATGAACTCAGAAGTATGTGTGAAGGGGGACAAACCACTAATCACTATAATACTTACATGGTAAATATGTAGGAGAAACAAATGAGAAAAAATAGCTCTTGTGAAAGATGTAGAAATTACAAAATTGTCGTTAGGTATGTATTAGTCAATGTTCTGCAGAGAAACAGAGAAACCAATAGGGTATGTGTTGTGTACTGTTGGTTCTGTTTCTCTGAAGAATCCTCATTAATGTGTGTGTGTGTATTTGTGTGTGTGTGTGTGAGAGAGAGAGAGAGAGAGAAAGATTGATTTATTATGGAAATTGGTTCACACGATTGAGGAAATTGAGAAATACCACCATCTGCCTTCTGCATGCAGGAGAACCAGAGACGCTGGTAGTATAATTTAGTATGAGTCCAAAGGCCTGAGAACAAAGAGCGACAATGTGTCAAGGCAAGAGCCAGAGAAAGCAAATTCGTCCTTCACTTGCTTTTTAGTTCTATCCAGACAGTTAAAGGATTGGATGATGCCTGTCCACACTGGTGAGCTCTGTGTCCTAATTTAAATGTGAATCTTTTTCTGAAATACCCTCATGAACATACAAAGAAATAATGCCTTACCGATTATTTCAATATCCGTTAACCCAGTCAGGTTGACACAGAAAGTTAACAAGTTACTCATTGTAAATCTCAGAGGGACAGTTTAAAATTAATAGTTGGAACTGGAGAGAATTTTATACCCTGCAACAGTAGATGAGTCTAAAACTAAAGCAGTAATATCTGTAGGATGCTGGAGCTTTCTGAGTCTCGGAATTCTCAAAACTAAAAAAGCTGCAGAGAAAAGAACAAAAAGTGAGCATCACAAGAACAATAGAAAAAAATGAAAGATGAGTTCCCCATAAAATTGAGAGAGGAGATCAGATCCAGAAGATTTTAAAAAGTAAGCTGCCATATTTATTTAAGTACATGAAAATAACGAAAGAGACAGCCAGGTTAAGCCAGAAAAGCTACCTTGAACTTTAATCTTCTGAACGCTGAGTAAAACCAAATTAATGTAAAAACTAATAGAAAAAGAAAAGGGTCAAGCCCGCAAAAAGTTATAATAAAAGAGAATAAGAAGCAAAATAACATATCTATAGATAACAAATGCATGCTAGGAAATCATGCCTATAGTTAAATTAAAATAATAGCTTATTATTTCAAAATAAAAAGTATCCATAAAAGTACAGGATTATGGAAAAATTACATAAATTTAAATTAAAAAATTAATAAAGAAGTGATATTATTCAAAGAGAAAACTAGAAAAAATGCCCACAGATGAAGAGAATGTTAAAAAGATTGCAAAGGTAAATAAACAGCGATTAGCGCCCTAAAACTAGAAAAAAAGAGTAATTTTAAAAATGAATAAAAGACATTAACTCAATTCAAAAAAAGAGGAAACATTTATCAAATAAATGACGTTTATTTAACAGAGATATAAGAGGGACTTTGAGAAAGAAAAGTAGTTTAATCCAAGAAAAAATGTCCTGAAGCTAATACAAAGATTCAGAATTACATCTTGAGAAAACACACTACATAAGCTGACTCTAAATGAACAATTACTTGACTTCAGGAAAAAATAAATCTACCTAAAGGAACAGGTCAAATGATTCATTTTATACTTTTGATATTAATGAGTTGTTCCAGAAGAAGATGACATAAACATTTTAGTATATTCAAGGAAAGAGATTGAAAGGTGAGGATTTTACACTCAGATTATACAACTTGCAAACAGTTGACAACAGGCAAGAACTCAGGTTAAATTAAGCTATAAGTTCTGCCTAAGGAATCTTCCAGGGAACAAGTTCTACACAATAAAAATAACGAGCCACATTGACAAAGTACTGGCAGAGAACATTAAATATATATTCTTCTGTATAACTAAGAGTATACGAGGTTAAACAGTATTATATAATGAATATGCCTTAACAATATAGATCCCACAAAGACTTAAAGGAAAAATGATAAAAAGTTTGTGTTCTAACCACAGTAAAATTAAATTATAAATAAAAGAAATATATAATTTCCAAAATATTTGGAAAGTAAACAATACATATTTAACTCAATGTTCAAAGAAAAAAATATTAAAAAATGGAAATTACTTTGAATTGAATGACAATAGAAATAGAACATAAAAATTATTTTTGTGTGATGTAGCTAAAGCATTAAATATCAAGCAATTGACAGCACTAAACACCTAGACTGAAAAAGAAGTTTTCATTACAACAATCTAGGCTTCCATCTGAAGAGGAGAGAAAAAGAAGAGCAAATTCAACCCAATGAAAGCTGGACAAAGAAAATTTAAGAGTAGAAATAAAATAAATGAAAGGCAAAAATAGTAGACAAAATTAACAAGAGCAAAAGCTGTTTTTTTGAGGAGATAAATAAATAAAATGGATAATAGATGGATAACCCTTTAGCAGACTGATGAAAAGAGAATAAACATAAATTGCCAAGGTGAGGATAAAAGGGGGACACCATTAAAGATCTGGAAGCTACTGAAAGAATAATAAGGAAATATTTTTAAAAGTGTCATGACATTACATTTGGCAGCTTAGCTGAATAGAAAAAATTCCTTGAAAGTCTAAAATGACCAGGGTTCACTTAAGAGGAAATAGAAAACCTAAATAGACCTTGTCTATTAAAGAAATTATCTTGTAGTTAAAACCGTCCCTTAACACACACCACGCATGCACAGAAACACACACACGGTTTCACTATTGATTTTTACCAAACATTTAAGGAAGGAGTCTGCAATCTATTTTTTTTCTCTGTTGCGTCAGTCTATCTATTTGTTCTTTCATTGATCCCGTGCTGGTTTCATTAATGTGGCTTTGTAATGTGTCTTACCGTACACTCCCTTTCTCAGCATTAGCTTACCTTCACTAAGACCTTTATTTTTCATACTAATTTACATTTTTTTCAAATTTCTCAAATTTTAAATTATAGAATTGTAGAATTAGATAGCTACAAGTTAATTTTTATAATTTTAATTAGTTTATATTTTTCTCCTCATTGATTTAAATTTTTCTTTTGCTCTATTTTTAAGATTTTTTTCATAAAAGACATTTTTTGTTGAGATCAATATTATTTTTATGAATATTTGCATTAGTATCTTATTATTTATGATAATTTCTTGTCAGTTATTGCTACAGTAGGAAAATAAAATTTTGTAAGTGGTCTTACATATGACAACATTGAACTGCATCATTTCCATTTGATAGGACTAAACATTTTTCTACTTTTCAATACTTCTAAACATTTTCTGTAGTAAATTTACTACTTTATTGTTGGAAATAAAATAAAATATAAAAGAACATGTGTTCTAATGTAAACATTATCATATTTTACATACATTTGAATTCTGCTATCATTGTTTTTTATTAAAATAAGTAAGAGAACTATCAACTGCAGAACTAAAGAAAATCCCAGTTAACTAAGAGTCATATACTGCAATCCACACTGTCTTTAATCTCTGGTGGAGTAGTTATTCCAGTTTGTTTTCAGAATAGCTTTGAGGCCTTTAATATTATAGTACACTTCCCCTGCCCGGCATTCCACATCCCATTCACTCAGGGAACTGCATTGGAACTAATACTAAGCATTAGGGAAGAAAACATCTGTTGTTCTTCTAAAGTTTTTTTTCCTTGTAAAAGAATCTTCCATTAGAAAAACTCTCCTAGCGTCTCGCCACCTATTTGCTCATTTTTCTTCAGCAAAGAATTGACCTATCTGATTATCAAGTTTAGAAGAATGAGCTAGATGTACGATCAGGCTTCTCTTTATCTGAAATCTGCCTGGCAGCCAAAGTTCTGCTCTCTGTCCTTGGTCTCAAGTTCATTACTAAATTTGATTAAATATAAAAGCTCTGACTATGGCTTTAGTTTTTCAGTAGTAAAATGTAGCTTCATTTACTCATCAGTGTCAGATTTTTCTTAATAAGAAGGAAACTTATAAGACTATCCTATCTACTTTTATTTAAGGAGATAAACAATGAAATGATTAGAAACCCAAAGGCTGACGAGGTTCTTACAAAGACCTGTGCTTGGAACTTCAGGCTCTGAGAATAATACTTGCTCAGAGAATCAAAGACAAATTGAAATGACTAGAAAAACTGCTTCAATTTTCCCATTAGGTAAGGAGCAGCAAAGAATCAAAACAAAAGAAAAGCTGACTATTTTAGGGAAAGAGATAGTTCCTCAAAAGGAATGTTAAATCTTAGGAAGAAATTAAAGAAGTTATAACTTACAAAATAAATTTTGGAAGGGCAGGACAGAGAGATAGACAAAGGGAAATGAAGTAGAAAGGGTATCTGAAAATAGAATGTTGTTTTAGTTGTTAACAGACCAGCTAGTACAACTAAAGCCTCAAATGTCAAGATCAAAGACTGGAATAACTTCCCAGGGGAGATTTAGGGTCCAGGGAAATACTAAGAAGTTATACAATAAAAAACAAGCACCTAAGAATTGATACAGGTATCTCAGATAATTATATAAAACTGGTAGAGATCTTAGAGAAGACCAGAGAGACAATTGTAAGACACTGTAAGAACTACTGGGTTAGTTCTAAGGGGACTTCTTCAAAATAGGTGGGATACAGGTATTACGTGTGCCCTGGGCCACCAGGCTGAAAAGTATATTAAATTAGGATTTAATAAAGAATCAAAGTTAGAGAAAACTTTAAGTAGGGCCCATGGCTATCTGATAGGCAAAATTTTGCCAACTGAAAACAAGTTGCTCTGTGCTTTGGGTAGACACACACCATGTAAGGGCACACAGCTCCACAACAGAGATACGGGTCGGATATCGTTTTTTTGTTGTTTTTTTTTTTTTTTTGCAATTTACCACCTATAAAGCAAATATGGCTCCTGGGTGGGATTATCAAACTCAAGGTAAGAAGGAAGAATAAAATTTTTTAAACAGTGGATATATTTGGCAGATCTATGGTTCTCACTAAGGGAAACTCCCAAGAAAAAAATCTATTAAAAAAAGTTAAAAACAAACAAAAAAGAACAATTACAGTGCAGAATGTGCAGAAATAGCGCAACAAACTAGGCACTCAATTCCAGCAAACAATAAGCATATGTTGAAAAAAAAATCAAAGAGGGAGGTTAAAACATAAAGAAGAATAATTCAGTCATTTTTAAAAGAGCAGAAAAGTGCTTCTCAGCACATACTCATACCCCTAGGACATTTTAAAAAATAATTAAGGCTCCTGTCCTAGCTCATAGCTCTTGACTTTAAAACCATGGGGGGTGAGATTATTTTTAAAGAACTTCCTTCCTAATTCCTGTGTGCTGTCGGAGTTCAGAGGCATCACATTAGAGGCAGATTCTACTACTATATAATGATATGGATTGGAATGCTGCTGCACCAGATCCAAGTCATTCAGAGCTAGGTTAACAGAATCTCTTGAAACAAGCATGGTAAAAGTATTGTACACTGCTAGGGCCCTAGTGGAAAAACTTTGGGCAGATTAAGAGTTCCTTCAATTTAGGAATCTTTTGGAGGTAATTCTACAGCAGAAACAATTACAGGGACTGAGGACAAAGTTTCCCTAGGAGGCAAGTTTCACAGGCATAAGCAACAGCAAGAGGTAATAACAGCAGCCAATAGGCAGAGGACAGAAAATGCTTGATCATGAGACAATAGAAAAGCTATGTCACCAGGCAGAGTTCACACTGAATGCTGCACTAGCAAGACAGAGACATAGGGATTCAGGGGGAAATGAAAATTAGGCATCTTAAACCATTCTGGATTTAGATTTTGGGTTGAGGCTGCCAACATTGTACATTTCTAGCCAATTTCAGAAGACAGGAATGATTCAAATGTCACTCTCTAAGAAAGAATTAGGTAGAAATTATTTTATACATCACAAAACCAACTACTCTATTCCCGAAAATGGGAACAATCAAAACAAAACAAAAACAGTAACATCAAAGTTCCAATTTTCCCTGTTTATGATGCAACTGCTTCTCTAATTTTTATGCATTGAAGAAATAAACCAGTAGGCTGGCTTTCTTTTCACTTAGATAAGTTATCTCTTTTCTGTCTCTAACACCTTTGCTTATACCTGCTCCAGAAATTTAAACTGCTGAAAGTCAGGATTCCATCCTTCTGATTCCTATGAACCTAATCTCCCCTCCACAGTAACTGAACCATTTCATCCTTTGGTGAGCCAGCAAATTCAAATTATCTTCAATTTGTTGTCCTTCACCAGGCTTTAGTTTTCTTCTCTCATTTGAAAATGCAGTAAAAGTCCTATGATAATGTGATATGTAAGATCTAAAAATTTAATCATTTTAAATGCTGGGTCACGTTGTTTTGAGGTTAATGACACGTCTTGAGTAAGCCTGTGCAGCTCCTTGATCAGGGAATCTGAGCCTGTGAGCCCCAACTCCATCCAAGGCCTGCCTGCAATCTGGTGCCACCTGATGGCAGTTGTTCCCTCCAGCTTAAATAATAAATGGGGATGTTTCTGGGTCCTGTGGGAGGCTGGAACTTCTGGGACAGAAGCAGTGATTTCAGGAATGTACCTAGAAATGGACCCATTTTATTGGACCAATCTGGATTCATCAGCCTAGGAGAATAATGAAGATATGAAGACCCACATTCTCAAGATGCGATTGTCTGCTATTTTCCTACTTGGACTTGTCTTCGCTCCAAAAGAGAAACACTACTTCCATTTGAGAACACAGGTTGGTCACAGGCTGAGAGTTAATCACTAATTACATTATTTCAAAACTTGGATTAACCCTGCGTAGATTATTGCAGGGATTTGCTGTACTATTTTTCTGGCTCATGTCTTTTCCAATTTTAACTTTTAGCTTCCTTTACAAGAACCTTCTACTAGATAATCACTGCAACCTTCAGTCTGTTTCTCCGAGTCTTCAAGATTCAGCTAAAATATGTTATCTTTTCCTAAATGCTTCTCAGTCTCCTTCCCCTGAACTTCTTGCCCTCCCTTACTCTGTGCCTCTTCAGGTCTGAATAAACATGGATGCAGAACACATCACCGTCTCATAATTTATTGATTACTTATCAGCCCTCTTGATCTTGAGCTGCTTTAGGATAATAACCTATCATCATTCTATTCCAAGAATTGACCACAGTGCCTAGAAAATTGTTGATGATTATCTAAGTATGACTTTATTTATTCCCACTATGTTACACATCCCTAACATTATAGATGATTTCTTTATTGGCCCTCTAGTTCCTTGAAGAATGCTTTATTCATAGTAGCAGAATCACAGCTAACTTGAGCTCATACTGAAAGCATCTTTGTCTAAAATTTTAACATTTACTTTATTTAATATAAAAGCTAAATTTGGACTGCATGATATTACTTTCAGCATTACCACTGTCCACATAATGTTACTTTACCCCTTTATCTTATTTTCTCCTCCTTTTATTTTAAACCAGTGTTAGCTTTTAATCTGAGAGTATTTTCTGTGACTCACTATAAACAAGACATGGTGCTGGCAATGTCTTGTTAAAAAGTTAAAAATAAATACCACGAGAGTGTGTTCTCATCCTCTTGAGCCCAAAACGTAAAGAACTAATGTTGATAATGTTGCAAATAATGATCTTTTAAAGAAAAGTGTCATGTTTTAAAAAGTAGACTACAATACTAGGTATTATATTAATTATTTTATAATGACCTGAAACTGCATATATACTTCTCATACCTCATGGATGATGAATTAAAGGAGGTTTGGGAATATCAACAACCTGCCCAGGTATATAGAATGAGTAAATGTAGAATTAGCACGTGAACATTGACTCTTCAGTTCAATGACTCATGTGCTTAACCATGACATTATGCATCTACATGTGAGAAAGGCAATGCAGGCAATGTAGAAAATGCTGATATGCAAGATGAAGAGGAACAGATTACCTTCAAGTGGACTATTCAGAAAAAGTTTCACAAAGGAAGTAAGATGTGAGTTGGTTCTTGTAATATATGAAGAGGAAAGGACTGGCAGGGTGAATTATAAAATACATCTGGGAAAGAGGTGATTAGATATTCTATTAGTTCTTTCTCACACTTTTATAAAGAAATACCTGAAACTGGGAAATTTATACTGAAAAGAGGTTTAATTGGCTCACAGTTGTTTGGGCTATACAGGCTTCTGCTTCTGGGGAGGCCTCAGGAAACTTACAATCATGGAGGAAGGAAAAGAGAAGCAAGCATGTCTTCATATGGTCAGCAGGAGAGAGAGAGACAGAGAGTGAAGGAGGAAGTCCTACACACTTTCAAACAACCAAATCTCATGAGAACTCTGTCAGGAGACAGCACTGGGGGATAGTGCTACATCATTAGAAACCATCCACATGATTCAGTCACCTCTTACCAGGCCCCACCTTCAACTTTGAGAATGACAATTCAACATGAAATTTGGGTGTGGACACACAGCCAAACCATATTAGATATAAAGCTTCATACTGGGTAATTCTAAAGACAATCTTTCTTTCTTTGATTTCTCATAAATAAAGCTCTCATTTATTTTCTCTCAATATGGCATTCAAATTAATTTACTGTCCCAGTACAGATTTGAGTTCAAAGGGATTCATCTGTTAACTAACATTTTGCCTGGAGCCTTTTACAGATACAAAAATAATGTAGAAAATAATGATTCTGGATTAGATCTAGTCTGTGATAAGGGACAGAGCAATGTAACTCTAGAGACCAAAAATAAACATCATTTGTACCAGGCTGACTTCAACCACTTACTGGTAAATTGTATAAGAAAATGTTGTGCACATATCTGTGCATCTTTTTACCTTACAATTACATAGTTTAAGAAGTAATAGAATTGTATATTTGAAATTAAGAAAGCAATAGTAATTTTTTGTGATCCTTAATATAGTGGCCAGCGAAGTTTTCTAGCTGCCTCAACCTTGTGCTAATAGGTCACAGAGACAAAAGAATGAGCAATATGAAAGCCCGTATTAATTATAAACTAACTGCAGAAGTAGTATAAGAATGAGTTTGAGAGTCATCATGTTTTGAGATATATGTGAAATAGTTTGTTGCTAATAAAATATGCTTTATGGGAAGTAGGAAGCCTTAAGGGAACAGATATTTTCTCCTAAAAAAATACTTTCACTCAGACATCACAATATACAAGGTTCTACTTTTTGAGATTTGTTGGAGTAAGAGATGTTCAACGTACTTTCCAGCTAGTAGAGGTGACACAAAAAGTATTCAGGCAAAAGTTACAGATATACTTTTTATATTCTTGTATAATCTATTTGGTCAGTGTTAATTGCTGTTTACTAGCCCTGTGTTCTTACTTTGCAAGGGCAACATGTCCATAACCTTTCAGCAAAGTGAGCAACGCTTTCTGCTTCCTTTTCAGTTTATCTGTTATCAGTATAACTTTTTAGTAGTCTGTCACCATATGACCATATCAAATGTACTGCTTCTGTGGGAAATATTTTTTAAATGAGGTGACAGATATAGAAATACTTTGAAACAGAATGGTGATTGAAAATGAAATGGTATTGTCATTACTATTATTTATTATATTATCTTCTTATTGTACATACAAAACTTCCTCAAGATATCCAGTAATGATCCTTTCTCAAAAAAATAAAAATTGCTCAGGAGAATTCTCTCACTAAAAGCTCTGTTTGCTTAGAAATTTCTGTCTAGAATAAGTACATCCTGCCATTTCATTTTGCCCTCAAATGTGTCACACACAAAAAAAGGCCACATTATATGTGAAAAGTTTGGCTGGAAAAAACAAAACTGGCTGGTCAAAATTTCACAATGCTAACAAAAATATTAAATTATTCTTCAGGTCTCTCAATTTTTTCTAAATATATTTTATAAAATATGTTCCTAGAATATTGTTTTTTGGATGTTAATAGATATTATAAAAAATAAGGTTTTGTGGCTAAAAATGTGTTAGGTTCATGTAGTAATATAAGTATAGTGATAATAATTTTGATGACTATAATCTTTTGAATAGTTTCTAAGATATGTAATTCCTAAAAAATTTAGTATTTAGAAAAAAATTAACTTTAGAAGTATTATCTCAATCTTGACAAGAATCTCGCTAATTATGCCATTTTGTAGGTGAGGTATCAGAAATTTATTTAGAGCCATTAAGTAAACTGCAGAAAGTCACACAGTTTGTAGCAGAACCAAGATCTAAATCAAGGCTTTTCTACTCAGTTTGAAATTTCCTTTACATTAAAAGGTAAGGATGTTTTATTTTTTACTCCAGACTATTTTAGAGCTGCTAATATGTTAATGCGTTACATGCTATATTAGTTAGGATTCTTCATAAAAACAGAACCAGTGGGAGATATATATATATGAAGATAGAGACAGAGTAAGAGAGAGATTATAGGGAATTGGCTCATACGATTACAAAGGCTGAGAAGTCTCAAGATTTGTAATCACAAGCTGGAGACCCAAAAGAGCAGATGGTGTAGATGCAGTCTGAATACAAAGGCTTGAGAACCAGGAGGGCCAATATGTAAGTTTCAGTCTGAAAGTTATGCAGGCTCAAGACCCAAGAAGAATGACTTTTCAGTTCAAATTTGAAGGCAGGAAAAAGACCAACGTCCCAGCTCTTCAGAAAAGCAGCAAGAATTACCTCTTTTTGTTATATTCATTTCTTCATTTGATTGAATGATGCCCATCTACATTAGGGAGGGTATCTGCTTTACTCAGTCTACTGATTCAAGTATTTATTTCATCCAGAAACAGCCTCACAGACACAACCAAATAATGTTTGACCAAATGTCTGGGTACCCTATGAGCCAGTCAAATTGATACAAAAAACTAACCGGTATACATGCGTATATGTAAACCTTAGGGCTAAGGTGAGACAGGAAGATGGGTATTTTCCAAATACATTTGATGGCAAAATCTATCTTTTTGAAGAACAATTCTCAAGATCAATGCTCTATAGAACAGCTTTGAGATTTATCACTTAAGACTTTAGAAACTATTACATTACCTCACACTCTCTCCATAACCTTTGAAAGTTTTTACTCTTCCATTTCATTTTGAATCAATGTGCCCTCAGAAAGGAATAACTCTAATAGAACCCATCAGAACGGAGGGAATTTGTCTTTAAGTAACTACGGTATATTGTTCCAATTCTCAACTGAAAAATCACATGATGTATAAATTTAGAAAGGAAACTTTATTTCTTATAAAGAATTTTAGCCTCTACACTGTTTATCCTGACAGGCTGGGAAGCATAGCCTCTAGCAGAGACCATTAGCAGGTACTTTGAAGGAAGAGGAGTTGGCTCAGGGGATTTATGCTAAAAGAGTTGGCTGAATATACATATTCAACAGGTTATAGGAGCTATGCATATTCATTAAGGAGATCCTGATGCATGTGTACTGAACAAACATGCATGTTACATGCTTTACCTGTTCACTTTGGGGTGGAGGCTTAACATGTAAATGCATTACAATCAGACTTTTATAAGTCAAAAAGTAAAGCAGATACACGGAGGCACTCAGTGCCCAGCCTCTGTCAACCTGCCAGAATGAGTCCGTTGTTGGTGATCTCTTCTCAGGTAAAGTTGCTCAGATCACTCTCTTGTCCAACAAACCTGCAGTTGTGGCTTATGGAAAAGGGGTCAGATAGTCAGTGTCTGGGGACAGATGAGCTGCAATTGTTTTTATAGTGTTTATCTTGAGACCAGTGCTTATTTCGCTGCTAGAGAATAGACAAACCTTGTGGCAGTCAGAACATAGTTTTTACTTTAAGTGTAGGGGTGCCTGACTTAACCCTTGCCTGCCATGGTCTTAGGTCCTGTTTATAATTTTATTGCTTACTGCCACAAAGAGTCTGTTCTATCAGTCTCATGACCTCTGTTTTTACATTAATGCTGGTCAGTTGTTATGTCTAAATTGCAAGTGGAAGGGCTTATGATGAAGTGTGTCTGATCTCCCTTCCCATCATCACTGGGAATTCTGTTTATAAGGTTTCTCTGGAAACCCCTTGGCCAAGAGACGGTCTATTCAGTTGGTTGTGGGGCTTAGAATTTTAGTTTTAGTTCTCACACTAATGACATCAAGTTTGTTCACACTTCTCTGTACCATTGCCTTTGGGTAGTCCTCTTGTCCACTGACAATAGACTTGACCATGTCACTTTCTTTGATCAGTGAGACAAGCAAAGAATTGAAACGTGATGGACCATTGGAACTTTTCTTCTTTTGCTGATTTTGGAAACCTGCTGGATAACAAAGACTGGCCCAGTTTACCCCTTCACCTCAGCTGACAGCCAGCCAGCCCTCGGAGCTGTGACACCTACTTGACTGCATCTGCTTGAGTAAGTCTGGTCATAATCAGCAAACTATCCATTCAGCTGAATCCAGCTCAACCTGCTGACCTGAGCCATCAACCATGTTGTTTTAAGCTGGTAAATCTGGGGAGACTTGTTACTAAGAATTTGGAATTAAAAAACCTGATTCTATGAAGTTTTGGCTGTGTGACTCAGCATCTGAAAACCTTAGCTCTTCCTCCTTAAAGTTAGGACAATAATAAAATGTACTTAAAATTGCTTTAATAAAGTAAATAATAAATGTGAAAAATATTTGATAAGCTACTGTACATGTCAGTTATTACGTAACATCTTACGTATTATTATTTTTAGTTATCATAATGCTAGTTATCATGTGTATTGTTTGAATAATGTTATTTACTGCCCTATTAACCAAGTTCTCAATAGTTATACAGATTATCTTGTTCGTTGGCGAGACCTATGTGGACCTGGTCCCTAGGCCAAGGCAAAGGGTTTAGAATGGACATGTAACCAGAATTTGTTATACCTTGTTCAATGAACCCCTTATGTTGTTCACACAGACCTTTGTTGGACATCTTCAGCAAGCTTCACACATGATAGAAACCCCTGCACAAAACAAAGAACTCCAAGGTCTGGCCCTACTAGTTAGTCTCTCTAATGCGTGGGAGAAAGGAGAGGCCAATCTTAGTCATCTGAGGCCTCATAGTATGAAGCATAGTATCAAGCACTTTATTTCTTATGTTTCTTGATTTCTCTCTGCTTTCGTTTCTTGATCTACAAAACGTGGGAAAATAACAATAACTACAGCATAGTCTTGTGAGAAATAAATGAACTGATGCTTAGAAAGTGATCAGAACACTACCAAACAAGTTCTCAATAATATATATCATAAGTGCTCAAGAAGTAAAGAGCTGTCATTATTTTTACAATTTTTGTAACATCATAGTACAATTGTACTGTTACTACTGTTTTATTGCATTACTTTTCTTTGGACTATGTAGTCTATAAAAAACTCTACTAGTTCTCTTATTTTTGCCACATATAAGCTAACATGAATATACAAATATTTCAAATTGATCATCTAGGCAATTTTTAATATTATTTACAACATGTAGGTAAAACAATCTTTGATTATTTGACATATAAATTTAGATAGAAACTTATCAATACAGATTTTGAGAGGGAAAAAAGTATACTTAGTACACATAAATGATTATTTACAGACATAACAAAATATCCCTTAAAAAGCTGATGTCTAAGAGACATCAGCATTTTTGTTCATTGGCTTTTCTCTACTTAAAAACAATGGGAGGAAAATTTTTAACTGAACTGAATTATTTCAGATGAGGGGAAGAGTCAGAATTTCTTTTTTTGTTTGTTAAATGCATAAGGACTTTTTTTTCTCATTTCTATTAAGTTCATGGCTTTTCAGATGTTCAGGAAATGTTATTTATGACAGAGCTTGATAAGAATATAGCTGCTGTGTTAGCAATAGACATATCACTGAAAACTCAACTTATTATTATAGAAAATACCATATCTGCCAATCTTAAACTGCAGCCACTAGACAAGGGAATGAGGTCAAAGAAAATGGATGAAACAGTAAAATACAAAAACATAAGCAAGAACATTTTTATTTCATACCAGATATCCTGAATCCTTAGCTATCCACAGGATAATCATGTAAGAAGAGATAAATAGATGAAAAAGGGAGGCTAAAGCAAGTGAAACCCAAAGAATTCACCCCAAATCTAGAGGCCATACATTGTAAACATGGTTAATTCCCAGAAATCGGGCATTAACAAGAGGCAGAAAAGGAGTCCTTGAAGGTGTAGGAAGGGAAAGCCAAATGAGTCTATTCTACATTTTTGAATCTACATTTAGAATTAGAGAAAAGAATCAGAAAGAAAAATGATAACTTGGGGAATACCTTTAGAAAAACAGAAATAAAAATAAAAATATTTAAAGTTATACAAGTACATTGTGCTAAATGTGTATTTTTTGAGTGGGAATATACTTAACATTTTTATTTACTGTAGTCAAAATATTACAGCAATTTACATGGTAAGATAGACATCTGTTCCTGTTTCTGGTTCTGGTTTCTTCTCTTCAAATATTAAGAACATAAAATAAAATTGAATGTATGGTAATCAAAAGTTTTTCCATAAGTTAATATTCATATTAAAGTAGTGTTACGTAAGATATAAGTAAGCGTTACATAAGATATAAATGAGAAGTAAAATATAACTCAAAATTTTTAGTAATTCTGACCAATTAAGAAGTTTCTTCTAATGTAATAGGAATAACAATATCAAGTTATTGGTTAACCAGGAACCCACAATATATGGATGTTTTCTATGGCAGAGTGTAGTATGACATTCTAACAGATTATTTTGATTAGTCGTAAAACAGGAACATTTTATTTTCTTCATTGTAAATATAATTAATCTCATTCTCAGTGACACCACATAAGGTGAAGACTCAAATTTTGAAAATTTTAAATTAGATTTTTGAAGATAAGAACAAATTCTGCCTAGTTTTTGAAAGCTAAACACATTAGATCATGGCTTCTCTTGAACATGAAAGCTAAAACTCAAGTTCTTCCAGGTGAAAATCACTGGAGGGCAGACCAAATAGACAAAGGGACAGGAAGAGGGAAGCAAAACAGCCAAGAAACAGAACTCACAGTCCAACACATACTTCCTCTGAAATTCTTTGCACTTTAAACTATTAATTTTTCACATATAGTTTTCAACTTGATTAATCCTACAGTGCTTAGATTTTATTCTATTTTTTTCTGTGGTGTTCTTTGCCATTTTACTTACCACTTTAGAATTTCTATTCATTATCTATTTTACCTGCCCTTCATATATTAACTTGCATTTTTGTATGGTAAGTACACACAGATCAGTCATATTTCCTCTTCCTAAAATCAGAATTAGGCAAATAAAGACTCGGAAATACATAGAGGTCTTACGAGCAGTCACTCCCTACCTGCTACCAGCTGGTGTAAAAACTGATCATTTACTCTGCCTGGGTTTTGTGGTGCTATTGTATGCCTGCATGTTATGTACCTGGAGTAACCGCAGGAAAACCACACTCAGCTGAAGGTGTGAACCACACACACCGACACATGTTTTCTGTACGTACATCGAGTGAATACACATTTTTTTTTTTTTTTTGGTTTCAGACAGAGTCTTGCTCTGTCGCCCAGGCTGGAGTGCAGTGGCACGATCTTGGCTCACTGCAACTTCCGCCTCCCGAGTTCAAGCGATTCTCCTGTCTCAGCCTCTCGAGTAGCTGGGATTACAGGCATGCGCCAGCACCCCTGATAATTTTTGTATTTTTAGTAGAGACAGGTTCCTTCATGTTGGCCAGGCCAGTCTTGAACTCCTGACCTCAGGTGATCTGCCTGCTTTGGCATCCAAAAGTGCTGGGATTACAGGCGTGAGCCACTGCGCCTGGACCACTTTTCTTTTTAAATAAGTTATAGAAATAAAAATAGAACTTAATTCTATTAAATTCTGAGTGCATTTCCACTAGGGCTAATATTAACAAAATATCAAAATACTTTTTCATTGGGCATTTTCTCCAGCTTTCATAATTTTTTTTACTGTTGTGTAACAAATTACCATAAACATAGAAGTATGAATTACATGTATTTATTACCTCACAGATGTGTTTTCATTTGAAGCTTGAGGCTCTCTTTCAATCTTACTGGTTGTTGAAAAATTTCAGTTTAAGTGATTATAGGACTGAAATTCCCCTTTTCCTTCCATTTATTGGCCAGAAACTGCTCTCAGTCTTAAAGGCCACCCTCAATTTCTTGCCATGTAGCCCCCTCAACAGGCAATTCAAAAGAGCAATTTTACTTCTTCTAAGTCAGCAGGAGAAATCCCTCTTGCTTCGAATGGGTCTGACCTCTTTTAGTGGCTTACATGACTGAATTAGGCCGAATCAGGATAATTCTCTTTTGATTAACTCAGTTACTGACTGGGAACCTTAATTACATACTCAGAATCCCTTTTGCCATATAATATAACATCATCATCGGGGGGCATCTCACTGTATTCTAAGCCTCTTTCAAAGTGAGGTATGTTATACAGGGTATGTACAACAGCATGGTGAGAATCCTGGGGGCTAATTCAGGATTCTGACTACCACAACTACAATCTGGATATTTTTAAATTTTAACTTGGATGTTTATGAGAGCTTTTAAACCACATAAAGCACCAGATTTTTTAGAACAAAAATTTAGCTTCTACATCAGCTCAGAAGTTGCCACACATCATGACCACACGTAATTTAATCGACCTCAGGAATCAAATATGGTTATTTGCTCTGATTACATAGAAACAATTATTAGCATCTTATAGAACTGTCTTAATAGCTACAGTGTTTATACTGAGAGTCTGGGTAAACACCTAGCCACATAAATCTTTAAATGAAAAATATGAGACTGCCTGTTTCAGCTCTGACATGCAAGAGATTGGAAGTCAACGCTTTCATTCTTACAACAAAAAAGACTAAACAAACTGAAAATCAATTACTTTTTCTTTTGACCCATCAGAGAACTGAGGTCTCAAGGCAAATTGTCACCTTAAAAGCTGGAGAGACAGAAAAATACAGCTGAGATCTGCTTAACTAGAACAGAAGTTGCTGGAACCACAGACTTGTAGAAACACTTAAGTGGTAATTTGCTCAACTGCTGGCTGCCGAGTGTAGACTAGCATAAGAGTGGAAACTCTGGCATCTTCAGTCTTAGGGAGCTCCTCACACTTTCACTGGTTTTACCTCTAGGTTCTATAAAAGGATCTCAGTGCAGATCCAAGAAAGATCTTGTGGCTTTGGCAAGAGGAAGAAAAGAGTAATTAGGAAATACGCACAGACCCTCACCAGTACAAAGTCTTGCTCTCCTGGGGAAAGATTTTACCCAGTTTTATCCTAGTTTTAGAAAGGAGACTTTTCCCGCTACAGCCCCTATTAGCCTTCCTATCACATAAGCAGTGGGGGAGGAAGGAGGTGGGAAGTGGAATTGCTAGCAAGTGGAGAAACAATTGTAAGGGCCACAGCCTAGAGACACAGGCCCACAATAAGACTGAGATTTAATCAGAAAATTTTATAACACTTCTTTTCCTCAATACCATAGCACTACATTCACAGGATTATATTATAATAGAAGATTACAGTTGACTGAGCTGCAAGACATAGACTCTCTCTGAAGAGGAAGATTTAGGGAAGCCCAAACTGAAGAGTGAAGTAAAAAAAAAAAAAGGAATTACAAAGCCTCTGACACTTATGACACCTACACCTACAGGAAACAATAAACACAGCCCAGCTCCTAACCAGATTAGCATAAAACCACATACTATAGGTCTATTTACCTTAGTTTCAATTACCTGATACAACATATCCAGCTTTCAACAGAAAATTATATTCAGTAAGATAGAACATACTCGGACTGTGGGGAAAAATAAACAAAAACTAAATTTGTTTAAAGGAAAGAAATCACCTGAGGCAATGCTGACCTCATAAAACAGATTTGGAAGTGGTTCTTCTTCAGTTTTTTGGGGCAAAGTTTAAGAAAGATTCATGTTAATTCTTTTTTAATCATTTGGTAGTATTCACCAGTAATGCCATCTGGTCCTGGGCTTTCCTTTGGTGGGAGGTTATTGGTAAATGATTACATCTCCTTATTCATTACTGTTTTTTTCAGGCTTTCTAGTTCTTCATGAGTCAGTCCTAGTAAATTGTAAGATTTTAGAAATTTATTCATTTTTTCTAAGTTATCCTAGTTTGCTAGTTTATTGTTCGTAATAGTCTCTTGTGATCCTTTGTTATTTTTGTGGCATCAGTTGAGAAAAAACCACACATATACTGGATATAAACATGCAAAAGAATGAAATTAGACATTTATCTTAAGCAATACACAAAAATTATCTCACAATGGATGAAATATCTAAATATAAGACCTGTAACTGTAAAACTCCTAGAAGAAAACATAGCAGAAAATCTTCATGACATTGAACCTCACAATGATTTATTTGATGTGACACCAAAAGCAAAAGTAACAAAAGCAAAGTTAGGCCAGTGGGACTACATCAAACTAAAAAGCTTCTGCACAGCAAATGAGGCAATCCACAAGATGAAAAGACAACCTACAGAATGGGAGAAAATACTTGCAAGCCATATATCTGATAAGCTATGGAAATCCAAAATGTATAAAAAACTCCAACAACTCAACATCAAAAAAACAAATAACACGATTTAAAAATGGGTAAAGGTCTTGAATAGATATTTTTCCAAAGAAGACATATGATAAAATGCTCAACATCAATCATCAGAGAGTACAAATCAAAACCTCAATGAGATGGCACTTACAACCTTTCAAGGTTACTAAAACATACATGCACACACATACACACACACAAGTAACAAGTATTGGCAATGACGTGGGGAAATCGGAACCTTTGTACACTGTTGGTAGAAAGGTAAAATGGTGCAATAACTAAAGAAAATTGTATGGAGATATCTCAAAAACTTAGAAATATTATATGATCCAGCAATCCACTTCAGAGTATATATCCAAAAGCATTGAAATCATAATCTCAAGAGGCTTAGCACTTCCATATTCATTACAGCATTATTTATAATAGTCAAAAGGCAGAAACAACCTAAATTCCATCAATGAATTACCTAATAAAGAACATGTGATATAATGCATTTGATTTTTAGCCTTAAAAACAAAGGAAATTATGCCATTTTGAACAACAAAGATGAACTTAAAGGACGTTATACCAAATGAAATAAACCAGTTACAGAAGAATGAATGCTTCATGATTCCACTTAAATGAGGTATCTAAAATAGTCAGTTTCATAGAGAGTAGGACAGTGGTTTCCTGAAACTAGGGAGAGAGGAAAGCAAAAAGTTGATGTTCAATGACATGAAGTTTTATTTATGCAGAAACAAAAGTTCTACAGAACTGCTGTGCCTACAGTTAAAAATACTGTGCTGTAAACAGTTAAAAAATGAGAGGGTATATCTCATGTTAAGCATTCTTACAAAAATTAAAAGTAAATTAATTTAAAAAATTATAAATAAGAATAAAAAATTCACCTGGAAAATGCCCAACTATGTGAAGATCAAACAAAACACATCTAAATAAAATATGGAACCAAGAAGCAGTCTCAAAGGAAATATAAGAATTATTTTGGACTTAATAAAAATACAACCTGTCAAAACTTGTGTAATGCAGTGAAATCAGTGATTAGAAGAAAATTTACGCATGAAATGTATGTACTAAAAATAAGAAAGGTCTAAAATGAGTAACCTAAGATTTATCTTAGGAATTCAGAGAATGCAGGGCAATTTAGCCTAAAGCAAGCTGAAAAAATGAAAATGAAAGCACAATTCAGTAAAACTGAATTGTAATTCTTTGAAAGTATTTAAAAATTGATAAACTTATCTCCAGGCTATTTAAGAGACAGAGAGAGAATACAAACTACCAGTATCAGAAATGAAGCTCATACATTTATGCAATAAAACATATTTTTAGCAATAAGAAGAAATGAACTATCAGGCCACTAAAAGACATGGATGAATCATTAATCTACCCTGCAAAGGGGAAGAAGCCTGTGTGGGGAAAAACAACAACAGCAACACCAACAACACAGATTGGATAAGTTCCAGAAAATGCAAAGCTATAGAGATAGAAGACAGATTAATGGTTACCAGTGTTTGAATATGTAAAGCACAAGGTGATTTTATTTTTAGAAGGAAGAAACTATTCTGTGTGGTACTGTAATGACAGTTGTATGACACTATGCCTGTATCAAAATCTATAGACCCTTACAGAATAAAAAGTGAACCTGAATGTATACAAAATTTTCAACAGGTCATTTAGGAGGTTGAAGAATCTTAATACAGAATTCAGAATGTGACAAAACAATGTAACTGCATTAAAAATGTATGGGACAACTTTACAGCCAGGAATAAGGGGAAAAACTGCTAAATTGAATAACTTTCAAAATCAATACAATCTATAAAATAAATGCAAAAAGAACTGTACATCGCATTGTACTTTAGTTGATAAAGTAGCTTCCCACAGAGGTGTGGCATAACAATTCTGATAGCTCTATATGTGTATGCTGGTATTTAACAATTAAGTAAATGAAGATGGGAGTGGGATTTCTCACTGTTGAAGTGCAAGATTACAGATAATCAAAGAGAGGAGGCTAAAGAGATCCATATGGAAATTTATTAGAGTTGTAAACATAAGTACAAAGTTTAATTAGTGTAAATTAATATACATATATAGACATTTCTAGACATCTGTGTAGTATCTCACTGACAGGGCAGGAGCACCATCATCTTAGACAAACACTGCCACTTTAAGTTTCGGCTCCCTTTCTAGCTTCATGCATTTCAAGCAAATCACTTCTCTTCTAACTATAAGCAGCCAGAGAAAGCAGAGAGTGAAACACAGATAAGACAGCTTGGGCACAGGGGAGGTGGGGGAAAAGTCTCTTGGGTAATTGCCAATCTTCACCCTCATACAATGAACCCCAATAAAACAGTGGGCCTTAATAAGCACATTTCTTTCCCTTCAAGTGCACTAAAACAGGAAAGCTAAAAGCAGACTCGGGGGTATGCCTGCAGCTGCAAAAAAATGTATAAAAAAAGACACACAACTCTCCCTCCCAGATAAGCACAACAAAAAAACACAGAAGCAGTCAAAGCCTCTAATAAACTCTCCCACTTTAAACCCTTAAAAACTCTTAGTCTGTAAAAAAGCGTGCTTCTAACCTAATGCAGCCAAACGCCCCTCTCAGGTTTGTTTTCTCTACAATAAACCTGTCTTGACTGTCAAGCCATCTTTCGTGTTTCTTTCCTCTTTCTTTAATTCTTATACTTATACACGCACATGTCTTTGCTCTGTCAGCTGAAAGGGCCTAGAAGCAACAACATCCTGGTAGCAATTAGCACACTTAACTCTCAGATCTTGGTTTCTAATACTATTCTCCAATAAAAAGAACCAATAAAATAGCTGATTATAAGGCTGACATAGGAAACATACAATATGAACCCAGAACATTTTGTAGTGGCAGAGAGTAATAAATTGCTCAAAACTTAAAAATTTAAAAAAAAATAAAAACACCCACCAAAGAGACAGAGGAACCCAAATGAAAGAGCCCCTAGTGGCCAAAACTATAACAATTTGTGCAACAAAATAAAGTACTATTAGACTATAACCCAAAGTATGAAATGATTGTCCATGAGTACATACTGATATAAATAGTTACATAAAAGTATAGAAAAGACAAATGACCAGTGCAGAAGAATTCCAAGTAATTTATTTAGATACTTTGCCCTCAAGAAGGTGAAGTGCAACTCCCCACTTCCTAAGTATGAGCAGAGCGTTACATCATTTCAGAGAATGCAATATGGAAAGCGGGGACAAAGAGTAACTTCACAGTAGAGAAACCTGACAAGCATTACCTCAGCTAGGTGATCAAAATTAACACCAACGGCAATAAGTCATGTTGATAGCCTGTAACCTTGAGAAGATATGATAAAAATAGTAATTAATCTCTTTGGTCACTCTCCCAAAAAATGCACAACTCCATTCCATTCATGAGATAAACATGAGAAAAATTCCAACCGATTATGTAAAATATCTAATCAAAACTCCTCAAAACTCTAAACATCAACAAAAATGAAGGAAGCCTCTGAAGTTGTCACAGCCAAGAGGAGCCTAATGGTATATGACTGGTAAGTGTAACATGATATTCTGAATATGACACTAGAGCCCCCCCCCAAGAAAAAACAGAGAGAAGAAAAAGAAGAAAGATGGAAAGATAATACGAGGTAAAAACTAAACAAAAAAAAGTATGAAAACTGATTCATTAATTATAACAAATGTGCTATACTAATGTGAGATGTTAACACTAGACTAAACTAAATATAGTTTAGGGCATAGTTTAGGGCATAGGGAACACTTAATACTAGCTTTACAATTTTTCTGTAAACCTAAACTCTTTCAAAGTAAGAGTTTATTTTTAAAGGGAAAATATTATTTGAACTGTCTGATATGGGCGAATTTTGTCCCTGCACAGTTCATATATTTAACCTCTAACCCCTAGTGTGATTATATTTGGAAATATGGCCTTAAATGAAGTAATTAAGGTTAAAAGAGTTCATAAGGGTGGGTCCTAATCCACCAGGACTGGTATCTTCAGTTCATAAGGGTGGGTCCTAATCCACCAGGACTGGTATCTTCATGAGAAAAAACACCAGAAAACTCTCTCCACACCTGCACAGAGGAAAAGCCATATGAGGATACAGTGAAATGTGGACATCTACAAACCAATAATAGAGGCCTCACCAAAAAGGAAACCTGCCAGCACCTTGATCTGAGACTTCTAGCCTCCAAAACTGCAAGCCAATGCATTTCTGTTGTTTCAATATTTTGTTACGGCAGCTAAAAGACTAATAAACATTCATTAGCAGTGTTATCAACTTGAATACACTGTGGTTTGAAAGAGATGCCCAAGAAAATTCCAGGCAACTTGAAAAATATTCATCTAATGTGAATATACTCTAAAGATATTAATGAATATGCTATTTGATTTACAGTTGAAATAAAAATACTATGCATGTTTGTATTGTCAGATAATCATGTTTGAAGGATGAACAAGCTTAGCAGTCAGAGAAAAAAGATTTGTGCTTAGGCAGCAAATGGAACTGCTACACACTGACAGTCTAATACTTGTGTGTTTTTACCATTTCATACAGTTAGAAGGTCAAGTTCGATATATGAGACCAAATAATTACCTCACTTGTGATTTAACTATTTCTTCAAAGTAAGAAACATTTGCATATGCCTATTTCTTTGTATAAGCCTCCCTTTGTTCTGATGTTTTGGTCTAGACTAATACAGTCTTGAAATATGACATCCTCACCAACACCACCATTATGTGCTTTATTCACATTTCTCACTTATGAGAAGTTACACCCTAACTAGAGCAATAGCCAGAATAGTAAATTTATGCAAAATTAACATATAATAGCTTTGCTGGTTGCAAATTCAAATAATGATGCTTAGACGTATAGTGCCCGTCCTAATTTAATGAGAACATTAAAAACATTAAATATCTGCTCTCTTTTTTTGACTTAATTCAACAAAATCATTGAAGTGATTTTCCATTTTACTTTAACGAATGGATTTTAGAAAGCATTTCCACCCACTTCAGAATCAACATTACATGGAGAGTTTGCAAATCAGAGTTTTAATTAAAGCTCTTCTCAAAGAATACTGTAATTACATGAAAAGTTTATTTGACTAGGAACAATAGAAACCTATTAACCCATTGGACTCTGCTCACTGAAGGCATGATTTTTAATAAACTTAGTTAAATATCAGAGCATTCTCTTATTAACTGTAATAGCCAGTAATTGGAGTTTGGAGTACTAAACTTATTCATAAAATTTTACACAAAAATGTCTGAAAAAGTAGTTGATGACTGGCCAGGTGTGGTGGGTCACACCTATAATCCCAGCACTTTGGGTGACTGAGGCAGGCGGATCACGAGGTCAGGAGTTCAAGACGAGCCTGGCCAACATGGTGAAACCCTGTCTCCACTAAAAATACAAAAATCAGCCAGGCATGGTGGCAGGCGCCTGTAATCCTAGCTACTCGGGAGACTGAGGCAGGAGAATCGCTTGAACCTGGGAGGCAGAGGTTGCAGTGAGCCCAGACTGCACCACTGCACTCTAGCCTGGGCAACAAAACAAGATTTCATCTCAAAAAAAAAAAAAAAAAGTAGGTAATGACTAATCATTCACAATTCTTCCTTGTGTAATGCTCTCCAGAAGTAGAATATAAGTTCTTTGAGGGTGGCAACATTTGTTTCATTCTCTTCTCTATCCCCAGCATTGGAAAAGCACTGAAATATAATAGGTAGTCTATAAATATTTATTGAACCCATTACGACTTTCACAGAAAGCATGAACTCAAGAATTGCTTCTTTTTCCCTAAATAATACTGTAGAACCTATAACCCTTGCAGATCCTATGTGAAGTGGCTCTTGACAAAGTTTGAAGAAGACAAATTCTATAACGCAGAATACATTGATCTGCATTGCTATCTGTGCTACCTGGCTACTAAAAATTTTAAGCTGAAACAAAAACAAGATTATGTTCAGATCATAATATTTTAGTAGTCTTATTATTTTCTTTGGTAATCACAAAGTACCACCTTTCTAAGAAATGCAAAACCAAAGTTAAAGAATACAGTGAAGAATCCAGAAATTCTACCACATTACAATTTAGCTGTAAAGTTTTGAAGGATTATTAATAGAAGTAAATATAACTGTTTTTTTGCTCCAGAAGGTATAATTTATTTTGAAGGAAGTTTTGAAGTCAGTATAAGGAATATGTAACCATTATAGCTGTTGATTTTTGAAGTGAATACTCTGGTAATGGGGGTTCCCTATTACTTGAATATATTCAAGATATGTTTGACAAAGATTCTTGACACAATCAGAGACTTGAATATATATTAATTAAGGCTATTTGTAGCTTTGAAAGTCCACAAGACTATGTTTATTTTCATATATTTACAACTATCTATTTTACTACTGTATAGTCACAAAAGCACTAAACTTGGTTTATATGTCTTTAGTTCAAGTACTGACTGTGCAGACTATTTTTGGGAAATTGGATAGTCTCTGTTAGTCTTTTGGAATTGACAAAAACATTCTTCAGAGAGTCATCAGTAAGGACTAAATATAACATAATATGCATTCTAAAATATTATATACATTAAGTATATCTATATATAATAAATCATTTATTGAGCACCTATATACCAATATCTTTCACTTACTTTTCCTTTAACTTATTAGGGCTACTGTTTACCAGGCAATAAGCTAGTCTCAAAGATGCAAAAGCAAACAAGTACAAAACATCCCTCATAGATCCAACAGATGTTTTTCTCATGATCTAGTCATTCTAATTTACAGTTGAATGAAACAATGCTTCAGATTATGTAATAACTTGCCAAGGACTACACCACTATCTGTGGCACAACTAGATTGGAACCAGGTCTGTGTATATCAAGACCCTATAGGTAAGGTCTTTCATCCAAAGAATCTAGATATTTATGTACATTTGATTATTTATCTTGATACGATTAATATAATATAGGGAGTTCTCTCTTTTCTTCTTCTTCTTCTTCTTTTTTTTTTTTTTTTTTTTTTGAGACCAGGACCAGGTCTCACTCTGTTACCCATGGTGGAATGCAGTGAGCTCACTGCAGCCTCGAACTCCTGGGGTCAACGATCCCCCACCTCAGCCTCCCAAGGAGATAAGACTACAGATGTATACCACCATGCCTGGCTAATATTTGTATTTTGTTTTTGTAGAGATGGATCTCACTATATTTCCAAAGCTGGTCTCAAACTTCTGGCCTCAGGCAGTCCTGTCTTTTTTGTGCCTGGCTGCTTTTGCTCTCTTTTATGTTTGTAAGATGTATTCCATTGTGTAATGCCACAATTTATCTTTTTCCATCTATTCCTTATACATATTTTGCTATTTTCCAGTTTCTGTCAGTTACTAATATTGCTCATATGAACATGAGATTCATGCTTTCTGCTGAACATCTGTATGCATTTATGTCATGTAAATGCCTCATAGCAGAATTCCTGGTTCTTAGAGTGTGTGTACATTCACCTTTGATAAGTACTGCCAAACAGTTTTCCAATGTAGTTGTAGCCATTTCCACTCTCACTAGCAATGTTGGTCTCTCTAATCCCTTTCAAACACTGTGGGTTTTTTCCCCTTCCATCTTTTTCATCTTAGGAAGTCCGGGGATTGGGGAGTTGTATTACTATTTAATATTTATATCTATGATGTGTAATAAAGATGAGCTTGTTTTCATGTGTTGATTGGCCATTTGTATATCTATTGTGATGTGAATATTCCAGTCATTTGCCCATTATTCTATTGAATGTTTAATGTGCAGAGACCCAGGAATTTTGACCCTGGCAACCTTAATATTTGGTACTTGAAATCCATTAAATTTTAAATTCTATGAGATAAGCAATATTCGATTTTTTTCCTGTTTTCTTCAGTACTGTATTTCTGGCTCCTAGACTAATGCTTCAGTTATTGGATTTTCAGTAAATACCAAAATGATTAATATAAATCTTTTCATCATATTAATATATATATGACAGCATAGGTATATATCAAGCTATGATTTTAACATAGAGATCTACCTTAAAGCTTTAGTCTTTTAAATAGTTGGCTTTTGCCAAAATCAGTTGGTTTTCCAGAAGTTGGAACAGGTTTATAGTAAGTGTATTATTTAGTTGTTTTCTATACACATAGGAAACCTCTAGGGTGCCATTTATACTTCCCATCATGATGCCCGATGCTACAGTTTTCTTCCACTTTAGGAAATCTCTTTGTCTTCAACTTGTATATAATTGTCATATTCAATCATAGTATTAATCTCAACTGTATTCTCCCTCCAGCTCTAACTGTCTTTTCAGTGCAAGAAGTAGAAAAGAAAACACAGCTCCTTTCAGTTCAACACATCAGAGGAGGCTAGAAATCCAATTTCCTGGTTCCCAGCTCAGTTTTCTCTCTATTACAAACATAATACCACTGAGTGAACTTTAGCTACTATATCTACAGAAAGTTCTAACATTTGGAGTCACAAATCGACATGTATACAGTTTTCTTCAAATTCAGAGGGTGCACACAAAAGGGAAAAAGGGAAAAACAAAACAGTTATGAGGAAGGTATTTGGGTAGGGATTTGATTTATAAACTTTAACTTTAATTTACTTTTGAACTCCGCACATCCTGTTTTTTTGTGGTATTGTTACTTGAAGCTACCAGAGCATTTGACCCAGAGAAGACCAAAATAAACAGAAAAGAGGATTGCTGGTTAAGAAGAAGAGAATAGGCCTGATCATAAATAAAGGCAATGCCTGTGATAAAGGATTATCATTATGGATTCATACACCAACTACATATATAAAAATATCTAGACATAATATATAATAAAGATAATATGTTTTGAAGCACATCCTTAATAAATTAGAAATCTTACACTAGCAAACTTTTCTATCTGATAGTAAAATTAAAAATACTAAATCATCAAACCTCATCAAATATTCCTGTGTATAAGGATGTTGTACTGAATTATACTGAAATTGTGGAGAATGCTGAACAGTACCTAAATATTGCCAGCATTACTCACACAAACATTACAAAATAAAATGACACCCTAAAAACAAAGAAAGACATTTCCATAAAAGGAATGAATTTATCTTCAGTTGATAGTTCATGCCATCATTGTATTTTTTGTTGACTATAGTGCAAACTAAAGCAGGGTTGTAACAGAGAACAAGTGAAATTACCAGTAACAACAGGTTCTAAATTCCCTCTCCCATCACATCAACCACAGTACAAGAATGGTCAATAATAAAAATCAAGATGGAATGCATTTTTTTAACACTCAATGTATTTTTTTAATATAGACCTATGAAAGTGATAGCATCAGTGCTCTTTTGTAATGTCTTTTTCTAACTGTTTTATGGTAGCTTGGAAAATGAAAGCATTCTAATAAATAAAATGTATTAAAACTGAGTTTCCTATTTTAAAATTAACAAAACATTAATTCCAAAACATTTTAACATTTACCTAAGTAAGTAGTCTACAGGCCAAATCATAAAATTTCCTTTTTAAAAATTTTTAAGTTTTTTTTATTTTTAATTTTTGTGGGTACATAGGGGTTCTATATATTTATAGGTTACATAAGATATTTTGATACAGACATACAATGCACAGTAATCACATCAAGTTAAATGGGGTATATACCCCCTCAAGCACTATCATTTATGTTACAAACAATCCAATTACATTTTTTTTTACTATAGTCACCCTGTTGTGCTAGAAAATATTGGGTTTTATTCATTCTTTCTAACAATTTTTTCTACCCATCCCCACTTTCTCCCAACCTCCCACTACCCTTCCCAGCCTCTGCTAACCATCCATTTTTATACTCTCTATCTCCATGAGTACAATTGTTTTAATTTTTTAGTTCCCACAAATAAGTGAGAACATGAGAAGTTTGTCTTTCTATGCCCAGCTGTTTATTTAACATAATGACATCATGCTGTTGCAAATGACAAGATCTTATTTTTTTATGGCTAAATAGTACCCCATTGTGTACAGGTACTACATTTTCTTTATCCGTTAATATGTTGATGGACACTTAAGTTGTTTCCAAATCATGGCTATTAAGAATAGTGCTGCAATAAACATGGGAGTGCAGATATCTCCCACCAGCAGTTTATGAGGGTTACCTTCTCTCCACATCCTCACCAGCATTTGTTATTGACTGTATTGGATAAAAGACTTCTAACTGGGGTGAGATGATATCTCACTGTAGTTTTGATTTGCATTTCTCTGATAAGCAACAAGGTTGAGCATGTTTTCAAATGCCTGTTTGCTATTCATATGTCTTATTTTGAGAAATGTCTATTCAGATATTTTGCCCAACTTTAAAGCAGATTATCAGTTTTTTTCCTATCAGTTTGAACTCTTTATGTATTCTGGTTACTAATCCCTTGTCAGCTGGGTGGTTTGCTAATATTTTCTCCCATTCTGTGGGTTGTCTCTTTACTTTGTCAATTGTTTACTTTGTTGTGCAGAAAGCTTTTTAACTTGATGTGATCCCATTTGCCCACTTTTGCTTTGATTGCCTGTCCTTGTGGAATGTTACTCAAGAAATCTTTGCCCAGGCCAATGTTCTGGATAGTTTCCTGAATGTTTTCTTGTAGTAGTTTCGGTTTGAGGTCTTAGATTTAAGTCTTTAAGCCACTTTGATTTGATTTTTGTATATGGCAAGAGATAGTGATCTGGATTCATTCTTCTGTATGTAGATATCCAGTTTTTCCAGTACCATTTATTGAAGGGACAGTCTTCTTTCAATACATGTTCTTGGCAGCTTTGTCAAAAATGAGTTCACTGTAGATGTACAGATTTGTTTCAGGGTTCTCCATTCTGTTCCATTGGTGTATGTATCCATTTTTATGCCAGTACCATGCTGTTCTGATTACTATGGCTATGTAGTATAGTTTGAAGTCAGGTAATATGATCCCTCCAGTTTTGTTCTTTTTGCTCAGAATAGCTTTGGATATTCTGGATCTTTCATGGTTCCTTATAAATTTTAGAATTGTCTTTTTATTTCTGTGAAAAATGTCATTGTTATTTTGATAGGGGTTGCATTGAATCTGTAGATTGCTTTGGGTAGTATAGACAGTATAACAATATTAATTTTTTTCAACATATGAACATGGAATAGCTTTCCATTTTCTTGTGTCCTCTTTAATTTCTTTCATCAGTGTTTTATAGTTTTCATTATCGAAGTATTTCACTTCTTTGATAAGTTAATTCCTTGGTATTTAATTTTATTCGTGGCTATTGTATAGTTTCTTTTCCAGATTGATCAGTGTTGACATATAGAAATGCTACAAATTTTTGTATTTTGTGTCCTTCAACTTTGCAAAATTTCTCAGTTCTAATAGTTTTTTGGTAGAGTCTTTAGGTTTTGCAAAATATAAGATCATATCATCTACAAATGAGGATATTTGATTTATTCCTTTACAATTTGATGCTGTTTACTCCTTTTTTCATGTCTGATGACTTCATGTCTTTTTTCATGTCTGTTGATATGACGTATCACACTGATGGATTTGTGTATGTTGAACCATCCTTGCATCCCTGGGATAAAACGCACTTCATCATGATTTATTATCTTTTTAATGTATTGTTGAATTTGGTTTGCTTTTATCTTACTGAGCATTTTTGCATCAATGTTCATCAGAGATATTGGCCTGTAATTTGGTTTTTCTGACATGTCTTTGTCCGTTTTTGGTAACAGGGTATTACTGGCCTCACAGAATGAGTTTGGATGCATACCTCCTCTGCTATTTTTTCGTAATAGTTTGAGTAAGATTGCTATTAGCTCTTCTTTAAATGTTTGGTAGAATTCAGTAGTGGAGACAATGGGTCCCAGGCTTTACATTACTAGGAGACTTTTACTATGGCTTTGATTTTGTTACTTGTTATTGGTCTGTTCAAGTTTTGGATGTCTTTATGGTTCAACCTTCATAGGTTGTATGTGTAGGAATTTTCCATTTCTTCTAGAATTTCCAATTTATTGTTATATTGTTGCTCATAGTAGCAAGTAATGATCCTTTAAATTTCTGTGGTATGACTTGTGATGTCTTCTTTTTTATCTCTGATTTTATTTGGGTCTTCTCTCTCTCTCTTTTATTAGCCTGGCTATAGCTTTGTTAATTTTGTTTATCTTTTCAAAAAACTGGCTTTTCATTTCACTGATCTTTTGTATTGTTTACTTTGTTTCAATTTCTTTTATTCCTGCTCTGATCTTTATTATTTCTTCTACTAATATTGGGTTTAGTTTGCTCTTGCTTTTCTAATTCTTTAACATTCATTATTAGTTTATTAATTTGTGATTGTTCTTCATTTTTGATGTAGACACTTATAGCTATAAGTTTTCCTCTTAGTATTGCTTTTGCTGTATTGCCATAGGTGTTGGTATGCAGTGTTTCCATTATCCTTTGTTTCAAGAAATTTTAACTTCCTTCTTAATTTTGTCACTGACTCACTGGTTACTCAGAAGCATTATGTTTAGTTTCCTTGCATTTGTATAATTTCAAAAATTCCTGTTATTATTGATTTCTAGGCTTTTTTATTGCTGTCACAGAAGAAGCTTGACATTATTTCAATTTTTTGAATATTTTAAGGCATTTTGTGACCTAACATGTGGTTTATCCTTCAGTATGATCCATATGCTGAGGAGAAGAATGTGTATTCTGCAGCTGTAAGATGAAATGTTCTGTACATATCTATTTGGTCCTTTTGGTCTATAATGCAAATTAAGCCCAATGTTTCTTTGTTGATTTTCTGTTTGAAAAATCTGCCCAATGCTGAAAGTAGGGTGTTGATGTCTTCAGGTATTATTGTGTTGAGGTCTATTTCTCTCTTTATTTCTAATATTTGCATTATATATCTGGGAGTTCCAGTGTTAGGTGCATATTTATTAACAATTGCTGTGTTCTCTTGCTGAATTATCCCCTTTAGAATTATATAGTGATCTTCTTTATCTCTTCTTACAGTCTTTGTCTTGAAATCTATTTTGTCTGATGTAAATATAGCTACTCCTGTTCTTTTCTTGTTACCATTGGCATGGAATATTTTTTCCAATCCCTTATTTTCAGACTAAATGTATCCTTATAGGTAAAGTGTGTTTCTTGTAGGCAACAGATCATTTGGTCCTGTTTTTTTTTTTTTTTATCTATTCAGCTGTTTTATGTCTTTTGATTAGAATTTAGTCTATTTACATTCAACGTTATTATTGATAAGTAAGGCCTTAATCCTGCTATTTTTTTATTTGTTTTCTGATTGCTCTGTGGTCTTTTCTACCTTCTTTCCTTTCTTTGTGTTTTCTTATAGTGAAGGTAATTTTTTTCTGGTGGTTTAATCTAATTTCATGCTGTTTTTGTGTATGTGTTGTATTTTTTGAGGTTATGATGAGGCTTGCAAATATTATCTTGTAACTCATTATTTTAAACTGATGATAACACTGATTGCATAAACAAATAAGCAAAAAAAAGGTAATGAAAATTCTACGCTTTAACTGTGTGGCCCAGTTGATTTTTGAGATGGAGTCTCGCTCTGTCACCCAAGCTGGAGTGCAGTGGTGCGATCTCGGCTCACTGCAAGCTCCGCCTCCTGAGTTCACGCCATTCTCCTGCCTCAGCCTCCCGAGTAGCTGGGACTACAGGGGCCTGCCACCACGCCCAACTAATTTCTTTGTATTTTTAGTAGAGACAGGTTTTCACCATGTTAGCCAGGATGGTCTCGTTCTCCTGACCTCATGATCCGCCCACCTCGGCCTCCCAAAGTGCTGGGATTACAGGCACGAGCCACCGTGCCTGGCCTGTGCCCCACTTTTTAAGTTTGTGTTATTTTTCTTTATGTCTTACTGTACTGTTTATGTCATAAAAAGTTGCTGTAGTTATTATTTTTGATTGGTTCATTGTTTAGTCTTTCTACTTAAGAGAAGAGTAGTTTACACACCATAATTACAGTGTTATAATATTCTGTGTTTTTCTCTGTGATTACAATTACCTGTGAGTTTTGTACCTTTAAATGATTTCTTAGTGCTCACTAATGTCCTTTTCTTTCAGGTTAAATAACTCCTTTTAGCATTTCTTATAGGACAAGTCTGGTGTTGATGAAATCTCTCAGCTTCTGTTTGTCTGGGAAAGTCTTTATTTCTCTTTCATGCTTAAAGTAAAGTATATTTTTGCCAGATAACTCTTCTAGAATAAAAGATGCTTTTTGTCTTTTGGGATTTTTCTTTTTTTTTACCTTAAGCAATTTAAATATGTTATGCCTCTCTCTCTGCTGGCCTGTAAGGTGTCCACTGAAAAGTCCGCTGCCAGACAAATTAGAGCTCCATTATATGTTATTTGTTTGTTTCTTCTTGCTGCTTTTGGGATCCTTTCTTTATCATTGTCATTTGGGAGTTCAATTATTAAATGTCTTAAGGTAGTTGTCTTTGGGTTAAATCTGCTTGGTGTTATAAACTTCTTGTACTTATATATTGATATCTTTCTCTAGTTTTGATAAGTTCTTCATTGTTACCCCTTTGCATAAACTTTCTACCCCAACTCCTTCTCTACCTCTTCTTTAATATCAGTAACTATTAGATTTGCCCTTTTGAAGCTATTTTCTTGATCCTGTAGGCATGCTTCCTTTTTTTATTCTTTTTTCTTCTTTCTTCTCTATGTATTTTCAAATAGCTTGTATGCAGGCTTACTAATTCTTTCTTCTGCTTGATTAATTCTGCTATTAAAAGACTATGATACGTTCTTCAGTATGTCAAGTGCATTTTTAACTCCAGGATTTCTGCTTGATACTTTTTAATTATTTTAATCTCTTTCTTAAATTTACCTGATAGAATTTGGAATTCCTTCTTTGTGTGATCTTTCATTTCTTTAAGTTTCCTCAAAACAGCTAGTTTGAATTCTCTGCCTGAAAGGTGACATATCTCTGCTTCTCTAGGATTGTTCCTTGGTGCCTAATTTAGCTCATTTGGTGAAGTCCTGTCTTCCTGGGTTGCCTTGATACTTGTAGATGTTTGTCTGTGTCTAGGCATTGAAGAGTTAGGGATTTAAGGTAGTCTTTGTAGCCGGGGCTTGTTTGTACCCGTTTTCTCAGGAAGTATATTAGTCCATTTTCATGCTGCTGACAAAGACATACCCAGGCCAGTGTGGTGGCTCATGACTGTAATCCCAGCACTTTGGGAGGCAGAGGCAGGCAGATCATGAGATCGGGAGTTCCAGACCAGCCTGGTCAACATAGTGAAACCACGTCACTACTAAACATACAAAAATTAGCTGGGTGTGGTGGCACACACCTGTTGTCCCAGCTACTTGAGAGGCTGAGGCAGGAGAATCACTTGAATCCAGGAGGCGGAGGTTGCAGTGAGCCAAGACCATACTATTGCACTCCAGTCTGGGCAACATAGCAAGACTCCATCTCAGAAAAAAACAAAAAAAAAAAAAAAACAAGACATACCCAAGACTGGGCAATTTACAAAAGAAAGAGGTTTAATGGACTTACAGTTCCACATGGCTTGGGAAGCCTCACACTCATGGCAGAAGGCAAGGAGGGGCAAGTCACATCTTACATGAATGGCAGCAGGCAAAAACCGAGAGCTTGTGCAGGGAAATTCTTGTTTTAAAAAACGTTTGATCTCATGAGACTCATTCACTATCACGAGAACAGTGCAGGAAAGAACCACTCCCATAATTAAATCACCTCCCACCAGGTTCCTCCCATGACAGATGGGAATTGTGGGAGTTACATTTGAAGATGAGATTTGGGTTGGGGACATAGCCAAACCATATCAGGAAGGCTTTTCAGATGTTCAAAAGGAGTTAGGTGTTGTGATCTAAGCCATATCTGCATCAGGGGCACCCCAAGGTCAGTAACACTTTGGTTCTTGCAGACTTGTAGAGGTACTGCCTTGCCGATCTTGGATAAGATCCAGAAGAGTTCTCTGGATTGCCAGGCCGAAACTCTTGTTGACTTGTAGAGGTACTGCCTTGCCGATCTTGGATAAGATCCAGAAGAATTCTCAGGATTGCCAGGCAGAAACTCTTGTTCTCTTCAATTACTTTCTACCAAACAGAGCCTCTTTCTCTGTTCTGAGATACTTGAAGCTGGGAGTAGAGTGACACAAGCACCACTGTGGCCATCACCACTGGGACTGCTCTGGGTCAGACCTAAAGCCAGTACAGCACTGGGTTTTATCCAAGGCTTACTGTAACAACTGCGTGCCTACTGCGTATGTTTCTCCAAGGCCCTGGGGCACTACAGTCAGCACCTGGGGCTCTACAATCAGCAGGTTTCATAGCCAGCTAGGCTTGTGTTTTACCCTTCAGGGCAGCGAGTTCTCCCAAGATGCTAGGCAAGTCTAAAGGTAATTTCTGGGACTCAAGGACTGGAGTCAAAAGCCTTAGAACTCAAACTGGTGTTTTATCATACAGTGGATGAATTGGCAGTCAAACCACAAGATACATTCCTTCCCACTTTTCTCTCCCCTTTCCACAGGCAGAAAAGCTTCATCCCATGGCTACCATCATGACAGGCCCATAGGGAGTGCAGCCAGGCTGCCAACAATGTACACTTAAGGCCCAAGGTCTCTTCAGTCAGCTTATGTTGAATGCTGACTGGCCTGGCACTAACCCTTCAAAGCAGAGCACTGGACTGCCTCTGTCCCAGGGCTGGTCCAGAAATGCCATCCAAGAACTTAGGCCTAGAATCAGAGACTGGAAGAGCCCGTTTGATTCTCTATCCCGCAGTGGCCAAGCTGGTACCTAAGATGCAAGGCCATGTTCAGAGTTCTCTTTACTTTTCCCTCTGCTTTTCTCAATCAGAGTCTCTTCATAGGCACCACTTCTGGGAATATGCTGAGTCTCATCTCAAGTCAGCATGTCTCAGAGTCTCACCAAAGGCTGATGACATATTACCTGAGTATCACTGCGGTTATTCCGGGCCCAAGGACTCTGTATTCATCAGGTGATGAGTTCTTCCAGGACTGAGTCCTTCTCTTCAAGGCAGCAGATTCCCTTCTGGCAGAGGATGTGTCTTTCTGGAAATGTTGTCTGGGAGACAGGGCCTAGAAAGGGGAGCCTCATGACTCTACCTGGTGCTCTATCCTACTGTGGCTGAGCTGGTATCCAATAAGCAAGACAAAGTCCTCTGTGCTCTTCCCTCTCCTTTCCTAAAGCAGAAAGAGGGTGTCTCTTTTGAAGCCATGAGCTATGCCACCTGGGGTTGGGTGAGGGGTGGCACAAGCACTGTCTTAGCCACCCCAGCTGCTGCCTCAGTAAGTTGCATGCCCCCCTAGTCCACTGGCTTTGAGCCAGCTTTAGCACTAGGAGTTACCTAGGAGTCGCAGTCATTATGGCCTAGTCTGCCTCTCTAGTTTATTTGGAGCCCAAGAGCCCTTTAGCCCACGGAAGTAAGGCTTGCCAGAACTCAGGTTCTGACCATTAGTATGGACAATTCCCCTCTGGTTAGAGCTAGTTTAAATGCTCTCTCAGTGGGCAAGTATCAGCTGAGTTCAGCACAGTTTTGCTTTCTGGTATGACAGGGCAGCAGTGAGTTTAAGCAAAGTCTCACAATTGATGCACTCTCCCTCTTCCAAGCATACAGATTTTCTCTCTATGCCACAGCTACTGTGATGGGTTGGAGGAGGGGTGGCATCAGCAAATCAAAACTGTCTTTCCTAACTTCTTCAGTGCTTCCTTCAGTGATATAAAGTTAAAACCAGATACTGTGAGTGCTTACCTGATTTTTAGTTCTTATGAATGTACTTTTTTGTGTGTAGATTGTTGTTAAATTTGGTGTTCTTGTAGAGGGGATGACAGAGGGAGCCTTCTATTTTGGCCATCTTTCTCTACCTCTCTTGTCACATCACTGTCAGATGCAGAATTTATGTAACCTGGTCACATGGACAGCATCTATTGCATTGAAAATTAAAAAATAATTTGGTTTCTGAGTTATGAAATAAATGTGTAGGGAAATTTTTTTTCAAATTCATTATTAATATCTTTCAAAACTCATAGTAAAATAAACCAGATTAAAACACAGCATATGAAAACAATGAACCAAAAAATCCAGTTATATACTATACATTCAACAGTATGAGTTACTAGTTTTTAGGTCAAGAAGTAAAGAATAATATTATTAAATAAGTACTTACCAAGAATTACATTTTGACTTTTTTCTGACATTATTGATAGTATAATTTCCCATGCATTATTAATCTAAATTATGTTTATTAATGAAATATTAATTTAATTATCTAAATTAATCTAATTTTTTCAGATATTTTGTACAAATAATCATTTTTATAACTGGAAATTATGTTTGTTTTTATGGCTAGTGTTGCATGAAACAAATTTGAATTAGAAATAAAGACACTGTAAGAAACATTCAAACACAATGGAATTACTACACATCAGCAGTAACTTGTGAGAAGATGGAATAAAAAACACTCATTAAGATTGCCCTTATGGATTTGACACTCACTTTCAATTTTGCAGATATTCCTAACCTAAAATCGACATTTACTTGACTACATTGAAGCTAAACTTTCGGATGCAAAATAGATTTTAGTAACGAACGGTATTGCTGCCCAAATTTGAAAGACAGAAATTAAGCAGAAGCTCTCTTCCAGGTGCCCTTCTGACAGCAAGCAATGTCATAACCACACCAATACTGAGAGACAGTTGCAGTGGCCATGCTTCACATCTAGTAGCCAGCCAAAAATTCATGAATAGTTGCAGAGAAAGCAATGGTAGTTTTCTGATCTCTGGGTTACAAACATAGGAGTGTTCTCAAAATCAGTGAGGTACAGGTGTCCCCTGATTCTCCCTCCTTTTTTTTTATTATTATACTTGAAGTTTTAGGGTACATGTGCACAATATGCAGGTTAGTTACATATGTATACATGTGACATGCTGGTGCGCTGCACCCACTAACTCATCATCTAGCATTAGGTATATCTCCCAATGCTATCCCTCCCTCCTCCACTCACCCCACAACAGTCCCCAGAGTGTGATGTTCCCCTTCCTGTGTCCATGTGTTCTCATTGTTCAATTCCCACCTATGAGTGAGAATATGTGGTGTTTGGTTTTTTGTTCTTGCGATAGTTTACTGAGAATGATGATTTCCAATTTCATCCATGTCCCTACAAAGGACATGAACTCATCCTTTTTTATGGCTGCATAGTATTCCATGGTGTATATGTGCCACATTTTCTTAATCCAGTCTATCATTGTTGGGCATTTGGGTTGGTTCCAAGTCTTTGCTATTGTGAATAGTGCCGCAATAAACATATGTGTGCATGTGTCTTTATAGCAGCATGATTTATAGTCCTTTGGGTATATACCCAGTAATGAGATTCCTGGGTCAAATGGTATTTCTAGTTCTAGGTCCCTGAGGAATCGCCACACTGACTTCCACAATGGTTGAACTAGTTTACGGTCCCACCAACAGTGTAAAAGTGTTCCTATTTCTCCACATCCTCTCCAGCACCTGTTGTTTCCTGACTTTTTAATGATTGCCATTCTAACTGGTGTGAGATGATATCTCATTGTGGTTTTGATTTGCATTTCTCTGATGGCCAGTGATGGTGAGCATTTTTTCATGTGTTTTTTGGCTGCATAAATGTCTTCTTTTGAGAAGTGTCTGTTCATATCCTTTGCCCACTTTTTGATGGGGTTGTTTGTTTTTTTCTTGTAAATTTCTTTGAGTTCATTGTAGATTCTGGATATTAGCCCTTTGTCAGATGAGTAGGTTGTGAATATTTTCTCCCATTTTGTGGGTTGCCTGTTCACTCTGATGGTAGTTTCTTTTGCTGTGCAGAAGCTCTTTAGTTTAATTAGATCGCATTTGTCAATTTTGTCTTTTGTTGCCATTGCTTTTGGTGTTTTAGACATGAAGTCCTTGCCCATGCCTATGTCCTGAATGGTAATGCCTAGGTTTTCTTCTAGGGTTTTTTATGGTTTTAGGTTTAATGTAGCCCTTCTAATCATGCTCTAAGCAACAAATATCATGTTTAAAATTCCCTAATATTTGAAATATCTAACGAGCAATACTTTTGCTGTACTCCATGCTGACTGATATGAAAGAAAAATATGTGGGAAATTTAAAAAAGAAATGTAAATACATACATGTATGAATATATTTATATATATAAAAGATATTACAGAAGATTCAAATGAACAGAGATACACTTCATGTTTCAGGAAAAGTATAATTTTTTTAATAATCTAATTTCACTGACATATAAGATTAAAATAAGTCAAATGAATATAATAAATGAATTATTATGGAGCTTATGAAACATGATTTTATCTGTAAATATAAAGATATAAAATATTATAAAAATAAAAGTGATATAGATATATTAGATATTAGCTAAGATGTAGCTATAAAAATTAATTCACTATAGTGCTAGAAAAAAATCTGTAAATAGATCCCAAAAATACAAATAGCAGAAATACATGTTCTTATATATAAATAATTATACAATAAATAAATCATTAAAGTCAGTGAGGAAAATACAAATTAAGCAACAAATGATTTGGATAAAATAGGTATTTAAATTAAAACAAAGAAAAACACAAGTATTGCCTTGTACAATAATTCAAACCTAGTTCCCCATTAATTAAGAAACTTAAGTTACAAATTGTTATCATATATTCTAAAAGGATATTTACAAGTTTATTTAAATATTATGTAAATGATATAAGAATGGACATATACTTTTTTGAACAAAAATACATTGCAAAAAATCACAAAGAAAAATAAATAATAAAAATGATTTCAGCATGTAAAGCAAATATTTTTATGCCAACAATCTCTTAAATGAGATTGAAAACAAAAGATCTAGAGAAATACTGGCAATGATTATGGGAGACAAAGAGTTAATTTTTAATTTAACTATAATACAGAGATTACAAAAAAACAATAAAGAAACTATGTCACTGGAAAAGTGGAGAAAGAAACTGAGTTATACTGATTAATAAACAAAAAAAATTTAAAATAAATGATTCTGTTTCACATTTTAAAAATAAACTTCAAGAATTTTTTCTTATTGAATAATTAGAGGTGCAGATAAACAATATGAAATAAAAGAACAGATTATAATGTTGTTTAAAATGATGAAAATTAGAAACAATATAAATTTGCACCATAAAGCAGCATTTGAATTAATTATGCTGTAAGTTGGATGATGATGAGTTATTAAAATCTTTCTTTTAATATTGAATAAAAAGATGCTCAAAACATAGGAGCAAGTGATGAAAATCAGCATCTAATACCTTAGGTAAGAAATTAGTCATTTAAAAATGTCTATAAATTAATCTATTTATTTAAATACATCCTGGAAAGAAATGTATAAAAATATCAGTTAATTGCAGAATTAGGGGTGATTTTTATTTACTTTATATTTTTCTATATTTTTTCATTGTCTGTAATAAGCAAAAAAGTATTTTTAACACGGTACATTAATTGCATAACCCAGCAAAATAAGAAATATTTTAATCTATAGTTTGGATATTTTTGTTTCCCACATTGAATGAAAATATGATATCATACCAAAAACCAGATAGCTTTAATGAAAAATGAAGGGAATATTATAAGTAGAAATCATAAAACGTCATTATACAATTGTATTTTCTGTTTAAAACTACTTCATTATGACATGTTACTTTTGCTTAAATAATATGATTAGTGTGCCAAAAACAGCATTAAAACAACATGTAAATCTTAAAGAGTCCACATTGCAAGTAATAATTTAGAGAAAAATATCAGATTGATGGTAAATTATAAATTATACCTTTGATCAATGTAGAATATATGTGTTTATATAATCAGAAGTGACTACATCTATACATGCCTGTTCTCTTTCCTGATTTATATCACAAGTCCCTAGCATAAGGAACAGAAATGACATTTATATTTTCTGGACTTTATTCTGAATTTTCTCAGCCATAAATGGAAATTATGATGCCATGCCTATATTTTTTCAATAGGGCTCTTAGGATCATCAAAATGAACTGAAAATATAAGGCGGTGATAGCAAGAAGAAAACTGAGGACATAAGAATTTACAACAGGACAGAATATGCAAGTAATATTAAATAACAATTTTTATAGTATAAATGAGGTTAAGCTTGAGTATTCATTGGGATACCATTGAACACAAGTGACAGAATATTTAACCCATACCAGCTTAAGAAAAAAATACACTGGCTTGAGAAATAGAATTTTTTATGCCAGTATGAAGTTTTTCATCCAGGCTTGATTCTGGGACCTAAACAGTGTTGACAAAACCCAGATCCTCTAGTTTCTCACTTCTAATTTATGTGGGTTAACCATGTTAATCATTTTCAGGATGATCCATACATGTAATTTTCCAGAACTTTTGTCTATTTTGTTCATTTCTGTATTCTGAGTGCCTATGCTTGGCACATGGTAGATGTAGCAGAGATATTTGTTGAGTAAATAAATAAACAAAAGATGAAAGCAAGATGGCTATAGTAATTCCAGCTTGCCATCCTTCTAGCTTCAGTAGAAAAAAGTTTTTCACGTATATGAGCAGCCCTGGTCTAAATCTCCGTGAGTCTCTTTAGTTCGTCTTTGAACCAAACAATGGGTCTTTATCCAGATTTGGACAGAGGCCAATCCCAAAAGATAACTGTCCCATCTCAATCAAGATGGAGGAGAAATGGGTAGTTACACAGATGAAAATACCAAAAGAATATGCTATAATTTATAGGAACTCAAAAGATGGCAAAGAGTCATTATTGTGTATCTATGTTAGTAAAAAAATAGCCATGCATAATCCTAATATATAAGTTATGCCTATGGAGCAATGAATAGACTTTCCTCTATTAAGAAAGGTAAAATTTAAGAAACGTTGTATAAAATCATTCAGGGATAATGTTTTGCAAAATGCAGGTTTTGTTGATTGAGCCAAGATACTCCAAGTTTGCAGTTGGCTGTGTAAGGTGAAATCAACAAATGCCTTTCTTCTTAGAGAGGATCACATAGAAGAGAGCATAAGTCTGAAAGAAGACTAAAAAAGTGATGACCTGTTAAGACGAATTAGTTACCTTTTGTATTAGAAAGCAAAAACAAAGCACAAGAATGGATGACCCCACTCACGGAAGGCTTTTCCATTACAATTTTATCTTCAGTATTCTTCAATGGATTGGTAAAAATGCTTTTTGAATGGGTTTCAAGGCACGAATCCATTGATTTACTTAGAGACTCAGCTATCAATACAGCGTCTCCAGGCTGTCTGGCACACCAGTCACCTCCAGGCAGTGTTTTAAATGAAGAGTAGGTAAACTGCCTTCATGTTTATTGTAGACTTTCATCTATTGATTAAGAATTATACTAAATAATGAAATATGAAGAAAATTGCCCATTGCCTAATATTTCCGTATAATATGTTGATGATGTCATTCTCAATACAGCCTGGGCGACAGAGGGAGACTCGGTCTCAAAAAAATAAAATAAATTAAAAAAAATAGTGCATAAAGTGAAAAAAACAAGTAAGGATGAACAGGTGGGCTAGTATTTTTTTTTAAGAAAATCATTACTTTCATGTAGAAATATTCAGGATTGATGATACGAAATGAGAAACACCTAAAGTTATGAGAACAGTAGCTTGTGATTACAGTCATAATTAAGGAAGATTTTATAACAATTCATATTTTCCTTGCTGAATTTTCTGCTTTTCATACTCCATAATTCAGCAATACTACACCCCTTGTATATGCTGAACTTCCACTATTTTACATCTCTATACCTTTGTATGTATTGCTTCCTTAATTGTAGCACCACCTGGTCCAGATGTCATCTTTTTTTTTAACTTGCTAACTTTCTGAAGGTTAACTATTTCATTACTCTATGACTGCACTGTGTATACGAGTCTGGCACTTAGCAGATATCTGATAAATATGTATTTAATTAATATACTTCTACTCTAGATTGCCTCATGAACTATATCTTTACTACAACACAGTGAACTCACTGAATACATTTGTTATGTGTCACCCAGCTTTGAATCATCACCTTGTCACACACACAGTAATGATGTTATCAAAGTAAATTGACATGTGTTATGGGTTAGCGTGATGAGAAAATAGAAGTAGAGAAACTCTTCAGAAATGTACCAAATTTTCATCCTTAAAGAAGCACCGTATAGTTATTTCAAACTCACTATTCAGGTTATTAGATTAACAAAAATGCTATATATTACTGAATTAGTCACTAATACAATATAAATGAGTTTGGGATGCCACAGGGCTTTTGTAAAAGCATGATGCTCTTTGGATTAATGCTTTTAAATCGTGGTGAGACTAAAGCTGATGGACTCTCAGCAAACTTAGTGGTATCACAGCAAAATAGCTGGAGATACCAACAGCTCTGTTTTGTAGGTAATCATTCACTAAGTCCAAGATGATATAATTTAAAATATATTATTAATAAAACTTACAAAATGATGTAAGGTGCGGTGATATTGTAATGTTTTTGGAGATGCATGAACCAGATTTGATAAGAAGAAATTCTGTGAGGGATTCAATTTACTTGACCAGCTATCCCCGTCCACTAGAACCTTAACTGTAAATGTCAGGTTTGTCTTCTTGTCTTGTTAAAAAAATATTGGAGTTATGTTTTCTTAGTTCATAAGTTGGAATTAATAAAATCATTGTAACTCAATTTTCTAAGTAACAAATCTTAATGTTAGTATATGGTTATATAAAGAGACCACAATATGCATGATATAAAATGCTTTGTTCTTAGATATTAGTAAAACTTACAGCCATGAGCCATTAGGGAACTGCCCATCTTTTCTCTTGCCACTTAGCTTAACTTAGATTGAACGCATCCTTGTAACACAACCGACATAGCAATTTCAGAGACATCTCAAGCTACAGAAAGTCCAGTCCTTAATATATAGTCTTTATTATGTGTTCTCCTATAATTCTGATATTTTATTCATGTTATTATTATTCTGCAGAGATCTTTTAAATACTATGGTTGTATATGACTGCCAGGGAATGACTTCTATGCTGGTATCAAAGAAAATGTACAGTTTTTCTCGACTTCTGATAAGAGTAAAACAACTTCCACATAGAGTGTCATACAAGATGTTTCTTCCATTCTTTAAGGGCTTTGCTATCTATAATTTTGTTTTCTGTGTTGAATCTTTATTTCCCCAAGTATCGATAAGTAAAACTGTATAAAATTACTCATTATTTGTTGCTTTGATTTTACATTTTTTGTTTTATACTCTGTTAATTTGGTTTGCATAATGATAAAATGCAATAAAATAAAATAAAATAAATAATATTTATGACAAAATCCTATAAATACTATATAAATCTATAAGAAATGTGTGAAATAAGTAAAAGCACCAGCTCTGGAGCCAGTGAAAGTGGTTGCAATCTCAGCTGTACCATGTGACCTTGGGAAAGTCACAAATGCTCCAAGACTACATTTCCTCATCTTTAAAATGGGAAAAATAATAAAGCCTGCCCCCCAGGATCACTGTTAGGATTAAATGAATGAATAATATACAAAACTTTTAGAAGTGAAGCACCATAAAATGTTTGCTTTAGAAATATACAATGATTTGGTTCTTAGACTATTTGAAATGAATGGAAAGCCTGAGTAAGAGAATTTTTAACAATATTATGTGATTACCACAAAAGCATGTAGCTGTTTAAAACATTGAATCAAAACCACTACAAACTTAATTTCATTTGGGTCATTAATACTCCCTAGGAAACTTTCCTTCAGCTGTTTCTTCTAATGATTTCCCTTAATAGATATCCCTAAATTTTCAAATGTCTTCTCACAGCTCCTATATTACTTATGCTTCGGCCTCAACACACGGCTGTGCTTCCCACTTTTCTGAGTAAATTAGGAACATCAGCAAAGAACCCTTTCCACTTCCTTTCAGGGCAATAACAAAGCTATTAGGGCTCACATTTTTCCCTTTCTTTCTTTCCTCCTCCTACAATGAGAGAATGTTCACCAGGTGTGTCCTTTATTCTATCCTTATTCCCGTTATCAAGGACTTTGTGCTAACAATCATCAATTCTATATTAGAACAACTCTCTTCGGGATTCTATATGTACCTCAAATTCAGCATATCCAAAATTGAATTTGATTACCCAGCTCACTCTTTATAAACTAATATTCTTCCTGTCTTCCCTATCTTGGTGAATGGGACCACTCCCCAGCCTGATATCCAAGGTTATAGTCACTTCGCATCTTTCCACTCCCTAATTCACCACATTCAGTGTAAATCTCTTTTTCCTTTAGACAAAAAACTTCTTTCCCCATCCTCATTAGAATTCCATCAGTTTGTTCATCTTCATCCATATTCTAATGTTTGAATTATGGCAACAGCCTTCTACCAGGATGACCTGCCCCTGGACTTGACGTATGAAAAAGCAAAGGGTAACACCAAAAGAAATCTACTAACCAGTGGTATATTGAAGCCAGTTCCTGCTGGTTCATGAGAACCAATCGTTAAATGCTTAGTGATTTTTTGAGTGGATTTTCAAACTACAGGTAACTTAAAATCACTCACGGGGAAAATATCTATACTACAAAAAGCAGCAAACACTTCAACAGATTTACCAGCACATGACAGGTCTCCACTCTAAAGCAAGACTAATTTTTATGATTTCATTTCAAGAATAATTTTTATGATTTCTTCAAGAATAATTTTTATGATTTCATTTTCATGTTTAAAATTGGTTAGTGGTCTCATCTTCTTCCTGCTCAACCATGGTGGTTAGAGTGGAACAACAGAACTTCTCAACCTCCACACTTCTGCCGTTTTTCTACTTGGTAAAGCCTACTGTTCTTGCCAGCAGATATATTGCCCTTGTGCCTGTCTCAGCTCAAAATAATCACGAACCTCAAAAACTGTAGAATGACTTGTCGTCTGCATCTTCCTATTATTTTGTCTTTTAGTGGCTTTTTGTCCTGTATATTGAGAAATGTTGCTACATGGATCTGGTCCCAGACATCCCTTATAATCAGGACCATCTTCCCCTCCCATACATTCTTTTCCTTCTACCATGGATAGGGTAAGTTCAAAAAGCTGACATTATTTCTCTAGTTTCGTTCAAACACTGGGGACGAGGGAGGCACTGGGTCATCACCTTTCATTAGGAACCAGGGAATAAAAATGCAAAGTCTGACAAATGTAGGTTTTTACTGTACTTTTTACAGAGTCATGAGCTAGAGTTTTACTACCTGGAGAGTTTGTATATGCAGGGAAAAAAATCAAAAGATTAAATAGCTCCTTCAGCAGAATATGGCTAATTTTCTCATCCTCACCATCATAAGCAAACAAGAAAAATTATCAAAGTATTGAGGATTACTGAAGGGAATTTAAACAGTCCCAACCAATATAACCTAAAAGATGAAGAAAAGAAACTTAAGACCTTTCCACAGTAACATTACTAGTAGTCACTGTGCTAAATAGAGATCTGATTATAGAAGTAAGAGTCTTTGCCAAAGTCTCCATCATTCTGTTATCAGTGATTGTGAGACATGCATCTCACTAAGAGACCTTAGTGTCATCTTCTAGCACTTGACCTTCAGTATTAGAAGCTTTACTTTAGTAACAATTGCTACCTAATTCTAACCACTTGTTGTCACATACTTGGTGACATCAACAAAGAGAATGACAGGTATAGTCTAAGGCTTCCCAGCTACCTTCTTTGCACACCTAAGGTAAAACACTGAAAGAATGGATACTCTGAGGTCAGATGAGTTATCATTGCATATTTGATATCCAGGCCATAAAGAGAAATATGACAGTTTACAATGTCCCTGTCTTTTAAGTAACCACACTTGAGTGAAAGTCATATGCCATAATAAAGCATTAAAACATCATCTATAAATGTTTATTTCTGAATTTAAAAAAATCTATAAACTCCATGAGGAAAAAAACTTTCTCTGTTTTGCTCACTACTCACCTTTACCATCTAGGATGCTGCTTGGCATTTTCTAAGGTTTTAAAAAATATTTATTGGTTTAATGAATATATGGTGATATGAATGTGTTATTAAAAGAAAGGAGCACAGAAGAAGAAGTTAATAATTCCATTTCAGAAGCTCCAGGCACTAGTCTATTCCCCATGATATAGAATAAAACAGCAGTCCTGCCTTCCAGGTACTATCTGTCTGAAGAAGACCCTGAAACACTGAATAAGTACTTAGTTTTGTCTTCTTCTGAATGTGCAATGTAGAACTCAAGTGTCTATGTTTCCAATCAATGTTTTAATTTTAAAAAGCAAAGACACTCAGAACCCAAAGACGCTATTGTTCCCAAAGTAGTTTGTATAAAATGTGAAGTGATTTTACAGATGTTCTGGAATATACACATAACTACAATAAATGCATTGTGGCTACTGGCCAGTCACCAGGTCTCTGTGTGTTGATCGGCCACAGACGAGAGCTCTGTAGCCGGTGATAAAGCTCAGAGTGGAGGGCATTGCAGGAAGGCAGAAAGTGACATCACTCTGGCTTAATCCATGATGCCTTGATTCCAACAGGCTTGTTGCCAACATAGACATAATTGAAGAACTCTAGACATTTAAAAAGCCATGTTACCTCTTACAATTTTTCCCACAGAGTGGATGTAAAGGATCAAAAACAATGAGCAATGTGGAGATCAACATAATTGGATAAAACCTAACCAGGTCATCATGTAGCCTATAGAAAGGGCCACTCTATAATCAAGCAAAAATGCCAAACCAGTTTTCCTAGTGATGACCCATCTTTTGAACCTGGAACTGTAGACATAGATTGGGGATCATGAGGCTTTGGAATACTGGCTCTTACGCTCTTTTGATTCTCTGTCCAAGGGATCTTATATCTTTCAGCTAAATTTAAAAGATGAAACATAATCTTATAGCTCTAGCATGAATAAATCACACGTTAAATGTTCTATAATATTGTGTTTACAATAAAGACTAATAAATATCAATTATTGAGCATGCAATTCTATTTTTTGATGTCTCCAGGTAAGTGACAACAGTAAGTTCAAATCAGAGAACAGTTGTCACTGAAATACAGCTTCTAACAGTGAAGGTCAAGTACTAGAAGGTGATCTTCAGGTCATCTGCTGAAATGTATGTCTCCAGAGGCTTTTAAGACCTGCAGAGTTTTCCAGCTTTTCATCTCAGTCACTATAATTAATCATTAATTTTGTTTGAACTAATCTGAAAAGTTATGTCAACATTTTTAAATTGCACAAAGTTTACAAGGTAGGAAGTTGGCCAGAAATGAGGAAATATTATTTAAAAGATGAAAAAATCAGAAATAATTAGTGAAAGAATGAGCAAAATGTATGAATCATGAAGAGTTGCAAATGACCTTTACATATGCCAAAATCATCAATGAGAAAAACCAAATCCTGTGATGAAATATTGATTTTTCAATCAAAGTGTCATTTTATATATACTCTGAAGCTGACCAATATGCTTTTGGCCAAATTATTTTTAGCCAAATCACCTAGCGTTAACAAATGGGCAATTACAACATGTTGGGAAATATGCCGAGAGCTGGATAAGTGTAAGACACCGTGGAAGCACATAACTCCATCTGCCTGCAAGGTATGAGTCAAAGGAGGCATCCCAGAGTAAGGAACCCATAGGTGGAACCTGGAAGGGCAAACAGTATTAAACAAGGTTAAAGTAGAGAAGAAGAACAAAAGAAAGAGTCTACTACACATGGAAAACTCCGGCATGATAGGAAGCAAGCACATTTCTCTTTGGCTGGAACAGAGAAACAAGAAATTTATTGTCAGCACATAGCACAATATCTGATATGTATTAAGCACACTGTAAATATCTGTGAATAAGTTATTTTATCTTGCTTATCTGTAACTTCTATAATGAGTATATATTCCTTTTGCACTGAAGAAAAACACACACACATTTATCAAAAAAGGAGATTATAATAGTACTTTTTTAACAAATTCCATGATGCTCCAAATTAAGTATTTGCAAAACAGGTGACTGAGGTTGCATTTACACCCAACTAGTGGATTCAATCAAATGTGTCAAGTGCATCAATTTCCAATTATATTCTTTGAGCAAAGATGTCTTGTTCACTGTTGTCTCATCAGCAACTAGCTCAGTACATACGTCACACTGCACATATTTAATAACTCCGGACTGAATGTGAATATGCTGTTTCCAACCCTTGTGGACTTAGTTTGGAATTCTCTATTGATCTTCATATTCAATACCTCTTGGACATTTCACTTGGATGTCTCATAAGCAACTCAACACAAAATTTCAAAATATGTGCCTTTTTCTGTATTCCTTATGCTAGTAAATGGCACAACTACATATGATATTGTTAACTATTAACTTTTTTCTCAATTACTGACTGACTTCATCAATTACTAAGACCTATCCATTCTCTTTCTAAATCTTTTGAAATCCTTTCACTTTTGCTATGTCTCCTGCCATTCTCCAAGCTCTCATCCCTTATTAACTGGATTATAGTCATATCCTCCTAATTCTACTGACTTCTACCTTAGTGTTATCACAATGATCTTTCTAAAATGCAAATTTGATTAATTTTTACCCTTTAAAAATCCTTTAATATCATTGGGATACCATTCAGGATAAATTTTATACACTTCTTTAAGTTAGTCTTTCTAATAATCTTTGAGATTAAGACTACCTAGCTCTACAAAGAATTTAGAGGTCCCAAAAGAATTTATAAATTGTATCAAAATGTTTCTATAAAATATAAGGTATCCACTATCTATAAAATGTAAATGTCATGAGTTATTTACTAAAAATGAAATATAAGATACTTTTTCATGATTTTAATCTAATCAGATCACTGCCTATTATAATTTTACAAACAACCCACACATTTTTCACAGGTTTATTGCTCACCCTTCTTTAATTTTCCTATGCTTGATTTTGACACTCAGAGACACACAGATTTTTAGCCAAGGTGACATGACCCCTCAGCATTTTGTGCAATAAAATAATTCAGAGATACAAGGAAGGATTAATAATAATCCTTCGTACATTTTACTAATTATTTTATCACTTTTCTCTCCCTATTTTCCAAGAAGTTTCCCTGCCTCTTTAAGTATTTAAGCCACAGGGGAGTCAATATTCATGCCTTGTTTTGTTATTTGTTATACTTGCTCATGTCTCTTAACTGCAAGCTTTCTGCGACAGCAAACTATTTGTCTAGGATTGGTTCACCATGTATATTTCCTGTCTTAAACAGTAAATAAGAAGAACCAGCTGGTACCTGTAACATAAAAGAACAGCAAGAATACAGAAACAAAGCAAATCATGATTCAGAATGTCACAATCATCTTGGATCTTTGCACTTGCATCACAATGGTAGAATGTCCAATTGTCTTCCCCTCCTCATCTAAAATAGCACCTTTATTGAACTGGTATCTCTGCACTATGCTATATAGACTGTTTTTTCTTCTGCATACTAAAATATTTTCTTCTACTTTGCTAATTCACAGTTTGTGTGGGTATTTTATTGCTTCCTGTGTATTTTCTGCCAATAACCTTTGATTTGTTTTTATCAGTTCACATTATTGATTTTATGTAGTGAAGCTTCAATTTGAACAGAAAAGCAGTTAACTTCATTTAACTTTTTTACCTGTTCCTCCTATAGATGCCATATTACTGGTGTTTCTTTTTAAATGTAATCAAAATAAACAATCAAGCACTCATTTTCAATTGACCCAAAGACTAAATTTTTCTTTTTAAAATATCATTATGTTTTCTTATGCTATCTCTTGCACACTATAGACTAAAACACAGAGAAACTTTCATTTGAATGCCTATGTCAGAGGTGTTTGAACCAGAGCAACTCCATCTTGACTAGGGGCTTGGTAAAATAAGGCTAAGATTTTCTGGGCTGCATTCCCAGGAGGTTAGACATCCTCAGTTACAGAATGAGACAGGAGATTGGCACAAAGTACAGGTCATAAGGATGCAGATAAAAGAGGCTGCAGTAAAGAAGCTAGACAAAACCCACCAAAATCAAGATGGCGACATGAGTAACATCTGGTCATCCTCACTGCTACACTCCCACCAGTGCCATGACAGTTTATGAATGCCATGTCAACGTCAGGAAGGTACCCTACATGTTGTAAAAAGGGGAAGCGTGAAAAATCCACCCCTTGTTTAGCATCCACTCCTTCTTTAATAAAGAAATAACCATAAAAATAGGCAACCAGCAGCCCTCAGGACTAGCCATTCTCTTATTCCTTTACTTTCTTAATCAACTTCCTTTCAATTTACCCTGTGGACTCACCTCAAATGTTTTATTGTGAGAAATCCAAGAACCCTCTTTTGGGGTCTGGATTGGGACTCCTTTTTGTTAACACCCACAACTACAAACAAATGCCCAGTATAATAAAGCTACATTTGGATTTCAGCTGATTACTGTAGAAACAAAACATTGTTGATATTTACAAATAATTTTATCAGTAATTTTATGAAAAGAGAGCTTTCTATCGTGCCTAATAATGTATTAATCAATTACCAAAAAAAAATGGCCACAAATTCCTCTCTTCCTCAATGCATGTACCCTTGCAATATGACTTTGCTATTAGGAGGTGAGATCTATCTCTCTGCTTATTGCTTCTGTATTAGATTCCATAACTAATTGGATATTAACAAGCAGGAGTAAGCAGAGGCTTGAAAACAACTTTTACAATCTTAATCTCTTCCCTTTTACAGTTGGGGATCTTTTTATCTTCATGTAAAGAAGCCCTGGCTAGCCTAATGTAGGAACCACCTGCAGCAGAAACAAGCCATCCCAACGGAGGAGCCCTAATGCCAAACAAGAAAGTTGCAACCATCCTAAACTCTTCAGCCCCAAGCAAATCACCAGCCCCAGTCACATCACCAGCTGATGGTAGAAATCCAACATGCTAACCCGAACCAGAGGAATAACCCAGCAGCTGACCCAAGACTGGCAAACTAATAAAATGGTGGCTATTATAAGTTTTGGCTTAGTTTGTTATGCAACAATGGATAAAATAGGTAAGGGTTTGCTCTCTGTATCACAGCCAGATAAAAATGACAAAGGTACAATGGGAAGCTGCAACTTAGCTGGTTCTGTCTTGTTTCCTGCCACCAAGAAGTAATTATCCTTTAATTTCCTTTACTCCTTAGGGTTTTTTTTTTTCTAATCTCAATCATCAAAAAAATGTTATCCAAAATCCCAAGCCACCCAAGAAAACACAGTGACTCAAAGGGACAGTTAAAAACCTAGAAAAGAGTTTATTTATACATTTTAACAGCTGCAATTTTCCTTGTTCCACTATAAATCTGATCATAATACCTGCATTTATTACTGAAGCCTCAGAAAGCAAAGGTGGCTTATAGAATCATACTAATTTTAAACAATATTCATGATTTAAAAAAGGAACTGGCTATCTCATAAGGTTTGTTAGAATTTAACAACATAAAAAATTACATTTAGATAACCTTATCATTTAAAATCGTTTTAGCTTTTGTTAGTCAGATAAATATTGAAAAATGATGTCTCTAAATTCTCCTCTGTGATAAAATACATATTTAGTCTTTGTTTTTGATTCCTGTTGCAGAGCTCCTAAAACCATTGGAATTTACTGATTGAGAGGAGCATCTGTTGTTATTCATAATCAGTCACTTTTGATCACACCTGTGTTCATGCTAATGCAGTGACTTAGGTTGGAGCCCCTAGATAGCCTCAGGATTGTGCTTGTCAACAGAAAGGCCTATTGATTAGAGGGTTAACACTTTCAGCCCCACCTTCTGACATCTGAGGAGCAGAGGGAGACTAGAGAATATGCTCTATAAAAACTCTTGAACAAGGATATTTGATGAGCTTTGTTGTTGCTGAACAGGGGGTTTACTGGGAGGATGGTATACCCAGAGCAGGCCTACAAGCTCTGCAACACCACCGCCCAGCCCTCCCCCATATCTTGCCCTATGCTTCTCTTCCATCTGGCTCTTCCTGAGTTGTATGCTTTATAATAAACCAACACATTTAAGTTAAGTGTTTCCCTGAGTTCTGCAAACCATTCTAGCAAATTACTGAATCTAAGAAGGGAGTAGTTGAAACTTCTGACTTATAGGTGGTCAGTCATAAGTAATAGGGGACTGGACCTGGCACTTGGCATCTGAAGTGGGGCCAGTCTTATGAGACTGAGCCCTTACCCTGTGAAATCTGATGCTAAATGTAGGTAGACAGATAGTATCAAAATTGGATTAAACTCTAGGGCACCCAGCTGGTGTCCATAGAGTTGGAGAATTGCTTGGTGTGGAAAATACCCACACATCTTGTGTCAGAAGTGTTGTGTGAACGTGTAGAAAAACAGTGTGTTTTTTGTAATCTATCTACTCTGTCATGAATGAATGATAGAGTATATATTTATTTATACATATTGTCAGTTATATATTTAGATAATTATGTTGAACACAACTTTATTCAAGAGGCCTTACAGATTCTCCTGTTTTTTCCCACTAGTCAGTGTGTTTACAAAGAATAAATTTAAGAAAATTTAATAAGAGATAGCCAGATATAAGAACTATAGTTTGGCAATCAAAATCCACTATAGCTGAAAGTTTTATGGATTTTATAAATTATTATACCATGTTACACATGGAAGGATATTTATCAATTATTATAAACCATGCTGTAAACTATATCTATGTTATATACTAATGGGCTGGATTGTTGTGGGTTTTTTTGTTGTTAGTAGCTTTTTTTATTAAGCTCTTTATTTTGAAATAATTACAGATTCACAAGAAGTTGTGAAGGTTGTTACATTTCTGTGTTCCTAATGTCTCCTGTACAAAATCTGTAATATATGAGACAAAAAGAAAACCCAGGGATTCCTCAATGTTTCAGGACTCAAGGTCTCCTCTGCTTTCTTTCCTCCATCTTCTATAGTTTTCTTATTTTTGTTTTGTATACAATAGTCAAGTTCCTTAGCTATACTTAAAATAATAAGGAAAATACTTTTCTTTATTCTCACAAGCAAAGTCATTAGGGGAAACTCCAGTAAATTATGTAAGAAGTATGTGGGAGTTGTATTTAGACATCATTGAAGAAAAGAATGATATAGTTCAAAATATTATCTGAGTTATGTTGATGTTCTTTTTGCTACTTTTTAAGTAAAGCTTTCAAAATAATCTCTATGGCTCTCTGTATTCTAAAAGCTTTCTCTGTTCCTATTCATTCAATCAGTTCTATAGAGAATTATTGAGAGCATAAATTTATTAAAGGAACCTTATGGATTTTCCTACTTTTGCTGCGATTTATTGTTTAGTATGTTTGTAGGAAATAAATGTAAGAAAATTTGATAAAATCCAGAAAAAAATAGCTACAGTACCACATTCAAGTCCCATTGTAGCTCAAGTTTTTATAAATTTTTAAAAACGCCGCAGCACATTCATCATGGAAAGATGTTGCTCAGTTACTATAAACCATGATGTGAGCTATACACATAATACATAATGGTAATTTTATATTATTATAATGGCTCATAGTCACAAGTACCAAGGGGGGGTCTCAAAAAATTTCAAGAAGTTCTCCAAGGTCCTACAGTGACTCTCTCAGAGAAAACAATCAAAATCTCTTCTTTATAGAGCAACTCAGAGTATCCAATTCTAAGTATTTTAGACATTAAGCAAACTATAATAGTCTTTTGTTTCAAGAAATATCTTTATCTAGTGTCTTTTTCCCTGGAGAAAATTATTCACCTGTACCATAGGAATTCATTGCCTATAAAAGCATTGTTTTAGTTTCAAATGGAAAAACCCCAGAAAATAAATATCTAGATAATAGCGTTTTTACACCTCTATTCAGAAGGGTTTGCTTTATTTTCTGTTTGTTTTATCATACATATGCTTGTAGTATTCTATGAGCCAGACTGCCTTAGGCCAGATCATAGTATTAAGAAATAGAATATAGAACTAAGTAACATTGTCAAGGCAAGAATGACAATGATTTTACTGGTAATAGGGGAGACCTTTGACTATAATTTAGTCCCATCCTTAGGCTAATAAAAAAATCCTGTTTTTGTAGTCTCTAACATAATGTATTTATTATTCTGTAAGGGCTTCTTTGACCACCAGACTTGGAATGTGCCTTCAGGAGAAATAAGACAGGCAGTGAAGCTGTTCCTGCAGGTGAATGTTGACCTCTCTTACTGTTTTTTTACTTGTTTAGTAGTAAATCTAAATGCAAGAACTTCAACCAAGCATGCATTGTCATCCTAAAGGGTCTTATAACCTGGACAAAATCACCTTCACCTAGCAAAATGGGTCATCACGTGCTACTTTAAAGCTACTTTGCAACTTCTTCAATCAGCTGGGCTTTGTGCTTCCTAGTATGCTTCCATGACATGACTATAACCAAAGCAAGCATATTAATAGCATTATCTGCCTCAGAAATGCACTCCAATACAGCATTGCAGCATCAGAGCATTTTCTGCTCCTCCCTTTTCGAAATAATAATAATTTAAAACCCTTAATGCATACTCTCTATTTTCTGTGTCTATGAAAATTAATTGGGGCTGAAGTATAATGTATTATTTACATTGCTCCTAGAATTTAAGCCCTTTGGTCCTTCAGAGTATTGCAATTTATAAAATTATCTTCTCCCAATATCCTGTGACAAATAGGTCACCACAATCCTCCTAAATTTATTAATGTGAAAAATGAAACAAGACAGTAAGAAGACCTGAGACTTATGAGAACAATACTGGGAGGGGAATGTACAAGTCTTGTACTCTAAAGTTTGCAGTCTACCAGGCCTTGAGTTGAATATTGGTTTTGTATGAGCAGCTTAAAGGCTGTGAAATTTACATGGAAAATAAGCACATGTAAGAACAATAATTAATGACAGTGACTTAAAAAAAAAACACAGCAAGTGCTCAAGATATACTGGAAACTTTGTACATGAGCAAGACAGCGCAAAACTAAATCAAGGACGTATGATAAACTACTTGTTGAAAATAAGCTCTAGATTTAGCTTTTGTTTCTCCTGGCAGCCAGGGAAATACCGATTTTATTATTAGAAAAATGAAAACACAGAAGTGTATTTTGAGAGCAAAAACATTATTTGCACTAAAGTCTGGGAAGTACCTACCTGGTACTCCCCAATATAAGGTTATTCTAGTAGGGCACAGTGTTTTCAGATATATCTTTGTAAAGTTATACAATCATTCTTCAAAAGACCATGTCTTATAAAAATCATAAGCCTTGGTAGATAAAGCCTGGGAAGCGAAACTAAATGACAACACATGAGAGCCTTCCTATAAGCAACTAAAATAATAGCATCCATAATATTATCCAGGTCGCCATGGACTGAACTGTTTACTATCACCCTACCCCCACCTCCCCCCGACTCCCCGGAAAAATACACGTATTAAACTGCAGGAGTCCCCAGCCCTAGGACCGCGAACTGGTACCCGTCCATGGCCTGCTAGAAACTGGACCACACAGCAGGAAGTGAGCGGCAGGCAAGCGAGCATTACTGCCCAAACTCTGCCTCTTGTCAGAGCAGCTGCGGCATTAGATTCTGGTAGGAGGGCGAACCTTATTGTAAATTGCACATGAGAGGCGTCTAGGTTGCCCGCTCCTTGTGAGAGTTTAACTAATGCCTGATGATCTCAGGCGGATCAGTTTCATCCCAAATTATTACGGTTCAAACGTTGGGGACTGCTGAATTAAAGCCTTATCCCCCAATGTGATATTTGGAGATAGGGCCTTTGGAAGATAATTAAGCTTAGATTAATTTATAAGGGTGGCGCTCTCACGATAGGAGAGCCTTTATAAATAAAGGTAGAGAGCAAGGGAGCTCTCGCTTTCTGCGTGTGCATGAAGAGATCATGTGAGCACACAGTGAGGTGATGGCCACCTATAAGCCAAGAAAACCTCAGAATTACATTTACCTTGACAGCACCTTGACCTTGGACTTCCAGCTTCCAGAATTGTGAGAAATAAATTTCTGTTGTTTAAGCCACCCAGTCTATGGTATTTTGTTATGGCAACCGGAGCAGATTTATACATAGGTATTTCCTTTTATCTTGCTCTAACATAATACGGTTGATATGTTTGGGAAAACTACTCTCTAAAGAGAACAACATAGTTAGCCTGTTCCTTAGACTGTATGTTTTAGTTACCAGATGTTTGCACAGAGATTGTTGGCAAGGGCTGGATTCCATATAATTCAAGTTTCAATTTTCTGTTTTTATAAAATCAATCCTGTGAAATGGTTAAAAGAAATACACCTTATATTTTTATAGCTGTTTAAGTTTTCCAACTTTTTTAAAAAAATATCTTCTCATCTTATCCCAACAAAACCCTGGGTTACAGACATATTTTTTTTCCATTTTACAGATAAGAAAACTGAGGGCTTTAGAGAAAAGTGAATTGCTTGAGATCAGTTTATTTATTCAATTGACATTAAATATGTATTTAATGCCTTCTTTTGTTTTCATTCCAGGCACTGCGCTTGCAGGGGGAATATGTTGATAAGTGATGCAAAGCCAGATGAGGTCTCTAGACTCTCCATAAAATCTCTCTTTCTTCAACCAGGTTATCTTACTTCTATCTGCAAGGCCCAGCACAACCATCATCTGTCAGGCAAGCCCAAACTTCTACAGAGATATCTCAGATACAATATCAAGTAACATTTACTGAAAGTTTGTCTATATTTTTTATTCAAGATCAGGAAAATGTCAATCTTTTCTATTGGTAAGGAACAATCCTGTTTTTCACTTTATTTCCTCACATAAGTGTGAATGTGTACAGCAAAATTTCTAGAGGTAGAGTAATATTCAAGTCTGCGGTCAGCCACTTGCCAAGTTTGCAAAGTATGGATATATTATTTTATATACCCAAGACTCAAATGTTCTCAACTGTAAAAAGTATATATTAGTAATTTCTATCTAATGGATTTTTGTGAGCATCATGTTATTTTCAAACACTTAAAACACCTGACATACAATAAATGCTCACTAAAACTAAATACTTATTAATAAGTGCCTCTCAGTATTACAGCGGCACATGTGAATCTCAGCTCACATTATAAGTTAGTATTCTCTAACTTAGCTTAATTGCCTACTCCAAATCCATTCTGCTTAGATTGATAAACACATAACCTAAGTTATCACCTTTACATCACAGTTATGCTAGAGGCCTGAAACCACCTATGGTGGCAAGCTCTTGATAAGACAGGAGGTTGGGGACATAAGATCCTTTGTCATTGGCCAGCTCTGTTAACCGCTATTATTTTTCGCGCTACCCTATGGCAGGGAAACTGGCCATGCCGCCTCGAATTCTCTCTGCTGAGATGTTTTCTGTCACCATCGCTTTCTTGGGCCTTGCTACATCTCTATTCTAGGACCCATATATTTTTATGCACTTTGTCTTCCATTTTTTTACTGTTCAAAGTAGTCTCTTTCAAGAAAAGAAAAATATTCTTTATCCCTTGTTTTGGTCTGTTTTCTGTTGCTTATAAAAGAACACCTGCAACTGGGTAATTTATAAAGAAAAAGAATTACTTTATTATGGGGAGCCTGAAAATTTCAAAGTTGAAGAGCTGCATCTAGCAAGGGCCTTCTTGCTAGTGGGGACCATGCAGCGTCCCAAGTGCTACAGGGTATCACATGGTGAGAGGGTTGAGTGTGCTTACATGCTAACACACTCAAGTCTTTCTTACTCTTTTTACAAAGCCACTAGCCACACTCTCAAGATAACCTATTAATCCATTAATGCATTAATCAATAAATTAATCCATTCATAAGGGGAGAGCCCTCATGACCCAATCATCTCTCACTACTGCCACATTAGGGATTAAATTTCAACTTGAGTTTTAGAGGGGACAGACACTGAAAACAAAGCATCTCTCATCACATTAGTTTTAAATCATCTTCCCACTTTAGTGTTTAATTTTTTAGAAGAAAAAGATCCACAAAATATGTTATATGTTTCTCTTCCCTGAGCCATCTTCCAAATAAATGAAAGAGGGAAAGATATTATCTAATGGCCCCAAATACTATTTCCACTCAAAATTCTGGTTCTTCAATTCTGGGACCTTGTGTCTGAGAGTACCGCCATCTGTGGGTAGGTTTCCTTGGTGCCTCTGCATGCTTCACCTCAGTGTAGAAGTAACATTGATTCCCAACCATCTGCCATGTCCCTCTGCCTGCCTTACAGGAACATTCCATTCCTCTCATCTCTGAAATGTCTGGCTCCAGCCAAAATCTTATGTATGATTTTTGAGACTTAACCATAAACAATTACAAAGACTTTCTCCTGCAGGCCTCACAGAGGAACACTGTCCTCCCCACAGCAGACTTGGAGCACAGAGAGTAAACTGCAGTCTCTGAAAGGAGTTGCAGTCAAGGACACAGGCCCTCCTGGCTGGCCAAGCTGTTAACACCCAACTGCTTCCCTATCTCAGGTGCCTCCATTTAGAGGCCTCTTTTATTTATTTATTTATTTATTTATTTATTTATTTATTTATTGTCACCCAGGCTTGAGTGCAATGGCAATCTTGGTTCACTGCAATCTCCACCTCCCAGGTTCAAACAATTCTCCTGCCTCAGCCTCCCAAGTAGCTGGGATTATAGGCGCCTGCCACCGCACCTGGCTAATTTTGTATTTTTAGTAGAGATGGGGTTTCCCCATGTTGGCCAGGGCAGTCTCGAACTCCTGACCTCAAGTGATCCACCCACCTTGGCCTCCCAAAGTGCTGAGATTACAGGCATGAGCCATCGTGCACAGCCCAGAGGCCTCTTTATAGGCCTCTTTATAGGAGCTGAGGCCTCCCCCAGTTGCCTCTGCTGCTAAGACCTACTTTTGGGGATTGGGGTGAATCTTGAGGTCACTTTCCCCATTCTCAGTACTCAGCACTTTTCCACCATGAGCTCTTCCTTTCCTCCTTTTTGTCAACCCACTGGTCCATGAAATGGCAGAGCCTTTGGTTCAAGGCTTCTTTGGGAGTGAGACAATTCCCACATGGGTGCTGATCCACTGGCCTGGAGCCATTACATGGCGGGAGGGTGCGGGGTGGGGCGGGAATGAAACGATGGAGAGCTGGCACTTGTTCCCATTTTATATCTTGCTTAGACTATCACAGTGCTTAAAGGTGTGACTGCTGCTTTCATTTTAGCTGGTTGCCTTTATCGGCTCTCTCCAGCTGAGCCCAGCTCTTGACAACATCCAATGCTTAAAACAGATCTAGACTTCAGTCTATTCTGTACTCCTTAGAACTCTCTTCCTACTACCTCATACACATTCCTTACACCTGATACTGTTTCTATGGCCTCTTCTCCATCCTCTGTATACGAATTTGAATTCACATACCCAAATAGTTGGCCCTGCTCCTCTACAGCTAACAGGGACCACACTAGTGCTGCCATGAGACTATAATATGTGGTAAATATTTTTCTCCCAACTACACCATTTTTCATTTATTAAAAAAATACATATGCCTTAGATACTGTAAAATTCCATTTATGTTTTGGAAACATAAGAACCAAATTATATGGGCCTATTATCTGTAGGTAGTAACAGCTTCAATTTTTTTCTCCAAGGAATTTCTCTTGCAGTGGTTGTGATGAAATTTGTATTTGCTTTAGAATCAAAGAAACATGGGTTCTTAGCTCAGCTCCTCCACTTCCAGCTTTAAGTACCCTGATTCTCAATTTTCTTAAATGTAAAAATGGTTATTAATACTCCCCACAGGGTTGTTAGTAAGTAAAATCAGATGGCATATGTAATGTGCTTAGGGATGCACTCACCCAAAGGTATCCACTCAACAAATGTTAATAACATTTTGTTCCCTTAAATTGAGAGTAAATAAATATGCATGAGAGATTATTAACATATTTTAATAAAGAAAGGTGGAGAGGTTTCATTAATTTATTATCTTATTCATAAAATAACCTATTGTCTATTGATTTTCAATGACACTCTATCCTAAGATGCTCATCAAGTTCAATTAATCATAAATACATTCTCAAATGGCATTTTAAATTGATGTTCTAGGTAGATTATCAGTAATATTTATTTAGTTGTTGAAGAATAACTGTTCAAAAAACTTTCTTTAGTAGAGTAGTTACAAAAATGTTCTTTCTGATACTAATTGGATGACAGCTACAGCCACATTTTAAGCCAAATTCAGTTCTTAATAATAAAGCATGTCACTACTGTACAGTGGGATTCATACCTTTCTACGTACAATGATATAGATAAATCATTTTGGTTCCTTTGGTACCAAAGTTTATCAGAACTTGCATAGGTAAGCAAAAAGAGAGCATAAGGAATTACCCAGTTATATACCTTGCTAAATTAAAACCGAAAGTCTCAAAGACATTTTTTCCACTCTGAAACTTGATACTATTTGGGTACTGCATTTGAAAAATAATACAGCGTTAGCAAGATGGTAGAGCTTAACCAAAAGATATTCCCCATGTATGGAACTGATGAAATGTTAATGACTGTTTTCGATAATCTTATCAGCTCTCTCATTGAAATGAGGCAGAGTATAGCAGTCATTCTTAGTAGAATTCCACCTAAAATTTGCTTGTAACCAACAAAAATTTAATAAAATTTTAATTAAAAATAACTTGCTAAGCAAAATAATATCTGAATGGCTATACATTAAAATGGTTCTAGAATTTAATGTAATTAGAAATTAGCTTTTAGTTCTCAAACCCACACTAGGTCTCCAGCTCCACGGAGAGAATGGGCTTTCTAATTACTGATCTCTGGATTATACCTCCTTCTCACTTTTATTCTTCCAGCAATAGATACAGCAGAGGCTTCCTGTAATTTGAAGTCTAATTAAAGCCACTTTCTCCCTTTCGTTTCTCAAACTCCTCCAACATTTTTATAACTAACTCCTTGTAATATATTATCTGTTTGAATATCTACTGTAGTTTCTGTTTCTTGCCTGGATGAGGGCAAATATATTTTAGTAAACAATAGGTGATATTTGCCATGACTTGGTCTGTATCTACCATTCAGATTACATCTAAGAAGTGAGGAATAATGTTTGTTGAAATTAAATTAAATTAATTTAATCTTGTTAGTTGACAAAGTAATTCTCCAAACATTGTTTTATTTGATTTTTACAGTGATTAAAATGTAAGAACATAAAAATATGTTTGAATATGCAAATATATATGTAGAGGACTTGAGATTAATTGATCTGTTTGTAATCATACAGCTAATTTACTTATGGAATAACTAAGATATCAGGAATATCTTTAGCTGAAATGAATTTGAGTATTCTAAGCATAAAATAGTTATTAAAATAATATTGGGTAACTCATAGAATTATTGTAAAACTCTGGTACCAGGCTTGGAAGATAAGCAGTGGCAAAGGGAAGCTGGACAGAAAATTGGATAAACACTTACATACCAAAGCCATACTATCTGGGTTTGTATCCCAACTCTGCCACTTAATTACTGCCTTGTTTGGAACAATTTGCTTCTCTTTTCTATTCCTTATTACTTCATGTGTGCGATGGGGATAAAAATAGTGCTTACCTCAGATAATTTTTATAAAGAATACATAAGATTAATCAATGCACAGTGTTTTAGAACAATACTGGGGCTACAGAGAGATCTCAATAAATATTAAATGAATAAATGAAAAATCTTACCATTCTGGGGACAACAAACAGACTCTGAACTAGTTTCTACACTTTTCACCACCAGACATTGGATGCTGCTACCGCACAGCTCTGTATGAAACTGGAAACGACATGTGACTTTCCCTCCATCACCATGATGAATGCCCACTGTCTCTGCCTACATTACCAAGTCCTAATTGCTGATAACAAGGCATATATTCATGCTTCAACTGCTATAAATGTCCAAAGGTCTTGCTTAGGTTCTATAATTGTAGGTAGATTCTAGCTAACCAAGGTCCACAGAGTAGATAATTACTCAAACATAAGAAATGGCTTCATATGCTAGTCAGGAAAAAAAAGGAAGAGAAAAAGAAATAGACAAATGTTCTCTAAAGCTACTTAATATGAAAGGCTGGGTTTTTTAATCTGAGGATAAAAAGAAAAGTAATCCATCATTATTACATAACAATACACATATTGGAGATGGGAATAATACTTTACTCATCTCCTTTCATTATCGAACAATATAAATTTAGTAGCAGTCCATAGTTAAAAATTTCTTTAGAATTCATATGCAGGTTCTATTATTTTACATGTCTACAAACTCTGAACAGATTAGACTGTATTTTTCGTCTTTGTTGTCTCTTTTTGTCTAATTCTACTCCTTTCCCATGTTTCTGGGCTATTTTTTTTTTTTTAAAAAAAGCTGATAGACATAGTGAGTCAAAATAGAGAACTTTTTGTAATATGCTAACCAGTAAACTCAGTGAATCAGGTATAATCATTGAGTAACATATTATTCTTGCCTAGAAGATTGTTTCTTTACCTCAAAGTTTGTAGCCTAGTTGAATTTTATTGCACATAAGCAGGACTTAACACCTCTCTCTTTGTTCATTCTCTTTTTTCATCTCCTCTCCCAATACATGAGATAGGTAGTATCTTACAATAATAGCACAAGAGCACAAAATGTGACTCCACAAGGGTAAGACTGATATATTTACAAATATACCGGTACATAAATACGCAAATAAGTACACTAACAACCATCTCTTTTGAAATCTATGCATTACTTTAATGATGATATTGGTGTTTGATCACATCTGGAACTTCTCTTCCAATAATTGCTTCTTAATCAGTTTAGAGCCTACAAATACATTTTTTTCTAAATTACATTTTATTATACTAAGGATGTAAAGATATTACTAATAATAATAAAACTTGATTATATTATTTATTAGATTTGGTTTTGAATAATTTTTTTCAGTTAAAAATCCAATCCATGCAACAAAAATATTTTTCCACTAAAAAGGATTTTATTTTTTGCTTGGGAAATAATTGCTGAGTATATATTTTGTTATGTGACTTTTTAAAATCAGCCTTATTTGACTATACCATATTTTGTGGTGGCATTATTCACAATATATGAAATTAATCTATTTGCTTTAGCACACATATCATTTGAAACTAACTTGTTTAAGGTCATAAACATCCTGTCTAATTGATTCTGTTAGTCCTAGTTCCTAGTTGAATCACAATACATACTTACCGAAGAGAGAAAATACAATATATGGCAAAAGAGAAAAGAAAGGGAGAGAAAATGAAGTAGAGAAAAATAAATGATATAGTCCTACCATTACACAGGCAGCTATTTAACCCCAGAACCTTCATTTCTCCTGGCTAGATTTCTCTGAGAGACAACATCTTGAAAACTAATTCCATTTCCTTAAACTCTTTAAAGGCTTCAATTAAATTGTGTACATACACAGAAGCTGAACCAAAGGTCACCTACCCAAGCAAACAGGGAAAACACATAATTGTAAAACATTCAATAAATGTGTTTTAAACAAGTGCAGAATACACCAGGTTAACTTCCAAATTATACAGTAGAGAGAGGAGCTAGCCTAGAATGCTGACATATAGTTGTTTTCCCTCCCTCAACCTGTCTTTCTAATAGAGTCCATGATGTGTCTTAATCATTAAGAAATTCCCATTATTAATTAATTTGCATCTTTAAATTCCAATGAATCATGTCCATTAGCTTAATCTAAGAAGCATATTAATAAGTATATTGTGATTATCATTGGCTTTGAACTTCTGAAGTCCCCAAAAATAAAAAACCTGTTCAATGATTCCTTAAATACCTGGTGTCCTATATTGTGTTTTGGGTCACTGAAATATACATACCATTTCATAGTCAAACAAAAACCCATTTCAACAAACATACGAATGAAAAAATGGGTAAATGGAAAAAATAACAATTTATTTTCACAGCAATTGTTTTCATAATATTTAGAAGAGAAGAGAGCTGTCAGTTTCTCTAACTTTATTTGCAGTATTTCAAAAGCCAAACCTATTTTATTTACTTTATTTGTGGTGAAGTATTTGTTTTCACAAGGCCATGGCAATAAAGACAAATAATATCTAACTATAGGGCATCACACTTCAGGCTTACAGTTTTATTATCTCATAAGTATGAAAATGGAAATTGAACTCATATCTTAGAAAAGTTAGTCAATTTCTAAGGTGCATAAGGACAAATGATTTTACAAGCAAATATTACATACTTCTCTTGTCCGCCGATTAGAAAAAGAATGAGAGGAATGTCAAGTTTCATTAAGTGGTGAGTGATTAAACAAAACTTAAAAGAAATATAAAACTTTACAATTTAAAAATAATACCAGAGCTTAAATATGTAAAAAGGAAAGATTATATTGTTAGACATGTTCAATTTAGAATGTATTTCCTGAAGATGTTTAAGGTCTTCATATTGTTATATACTAAAGAGTGGCAGAGCATACAAGACAATAAACTGAGATGAACACCTTGCTTTCTCTTATGAAATTAACCTAGAGAAGTTATAGAAACCAGAAAGGAACTTGGATTCCAATAATTAACAAAAGTTAATGTCAACAAAAGCAGCAACAATAGAAATTACAAGCCCTTTGGAGAAACAGAGCATTTTCTTGAAGTGGTGTCTGGATGCAGAAAGAATGAGGGCCAGTGTACCCCTCCAACCCAGGTGTGAGGACAGTCATGGGTGGCAGGAAGAGACTGCAAACATAGTTTACAATCTCTTCTTGCCTCTCTCCAGCAGAGCCTCAGAAAATCATACTGGGTTCCTTCACCAGAGCAAACAGCAGCAGTGGGCATACAGACCTAGGAACTGAAGTTCACAAGGGAAGCAGAATGGGATGGACCAGAAAACCATGAGAATTCCTTCCTCCACTGCTCCTCCTACAAATAACCAGGAAGGTTGGATTACAGAATGGAGACCCTGGCTCCCCGAAAGCTGCATCTTTCTAAGGGTTTATAAGGACAAGTCTACCTAAGATGTTCTTTGGCATGTTGTGGTCATAGGGTCCTCTACGCTGGCATTCAGTGTTCACTTTTCCCTAATCCTCATCAGACCAACATAGAGTAATGCTCAGCTTGAGCCCTTCCCAATACACGATCAAGAGTATAGCTAAAACTTCTTCCTAGGGGAATATGAAGTCACTGGTAAAAGTCACTGGACACAGGAGTTACATACCTTAAATATAAAATATATTCCTGGAAAAACCGTCATTCAATGCAGAGTTACTGAAACAAATTCACATATAATTCAAAATAATAATAATATATCATTATTATTTAAAATTATAATGTATCATTTATACTTAGGGGATAAGAGAAGATATGAGAATAATCAAATCAGAAAATTACAGTAATGAAACAGAAAAGAACAAAAATGACATGAAACAAACAAAACAATCTATTCTATAAATAGTAAGATGGAATCCGCTGAAGAACAAGTAATCAGATGTATGAAGGAGGCAGGAAGGGCTAGAGGATCTACGGAGATAGATGGATAAGCCACTCAGATAATAGGGGTGCCAGAAGATAAAAACATAAAAACACACAGATGAAAGATAAAATATCCCAAATATAAGCAATCCATACATTGACAAAGAGAACAAATATGGTGAAATGTGAAAAAACAAAAGTAGAAGAAAATATATAGCCTGCAGACAGAGCAGATCACCTGTAAAAGTATAAGAATCAAATAATGTCAGATGTCACTGGTTACACAAAGACAGTATACTATTTCCAAAATATTAAAGGAAAATAATATTGAGCCAATAATTTGATAGCCAGCTTAATTATAACTTAAATAGATGGCATAATAATAATAACAACAATTCCAGACAAACAAGACCTCAGAAAATACGCTATGCAGGGATCTGAATTGGAAATCTTTTTAGAAGGACTCAAATAATAAAAAAACTCAGAGAACCTAAATATTTGCGCTGGTACTGAATTTAACTCAGACTGCTTATAAAGTTCTATTCTTTCTATTCCACCATGCTGTCTCTAAAATTAACCGCAATATTATATATCTTTAATGTCTTTGTAGGTAAAGCATGGTAGAGAAGCAGAAACTATAGCAGTGGTTTTAAACTTTTAAAAGGAGTTACAGAATTCATCTCACTTAAATGACAAAATTTATTTTACACATAAATTAGGACACTTCCACTATATTTATATTATTATAACTTTATAATTATTTTATCAATAGATATGTGTCTAAGAACGAATGAGAAAACCAAGAACCCAAAAATAGTTAAGGGTAGCTAATTCTCTTACTGAATCGACTAGACCATTTGCATAGCACTTATCATGTGCCAGACACTGTGGTGGATAGTGCCAGTGAGATAAGGTGATGATTTTTGTGAAAAAAATCACAGCATAGTGAAAAAAAAAAATGTGTATAAGACAACCATAGGCCAAACTTTTTTAAGTTGTCTTTACTCTTTTTTCCCCAGCCTATATCCATAAATTTTATTTGTTCACTGTCAAAATATACCCTAAAGACAACTCCTTCTCCCAATTCCACTGGCACCACTATGAAAGTCTTCTAACTCTTTCTCTACATTGAAGCTTCTCTTCCTTCTTATCTTTGCTCGATATTAGCTACAGTCATCATTTTAACACTTTAGTCACGTGACAGCCTTTTCCCACTCAGTTTTCTTCAGTGGCATTCCATTTATTGAAATGAGCACTTTCCACATGCACAACACTATTTTTAGTGCTGATTGCACTCACTTGTTCCTGAGACATGTCTCTGATCCTGATCAGTAAATTAAGGCATAGAGAAATGAAGCATTTTGCCCAAAGTCATCTAACCAGTAGGTGGCAGTCAACTTTGACGTCCATGGACTCTCTGCTTTAGCTCTATTCAAACTGCCCGATTGTGAATGTGTACTTTCCAATATTCCTTTTCTTCTGCCTTCTTAATATTAGACTCCCACTCTTAGCTAGACATGTGGATGCTTCAAAAACCATACTCCCCAACTGCTCTCCGAGCTCATTGCAGCCTTGTGCCTCAGTTATCAGCAAAAAAAAAAAGTAAGAATTGTTTTGAGGCAGGTTTCCAGATATCTAGAGAGTGCCTTAGACCCTTCTTTTTTATTGTTCCTTTTCCTGATTGCTGGGATGCAGACAATGACAGGTGCTTTAGCAGATAGTGGGCAAGGGTAGAGTTGCTTAAGATTGTATGCCCCACAAGAGGCATACCCTTGCATCATTATGCCCTGGATGTGAGATACGGAGTCAAAGGAGATTATTTTGTAGCTTGCCCCTTTGTCCTCTCTCTCCTGCCACCATGTAAATAAGATGCTTGCTTCTCCTTTGCCTTCCACCATGATTGTAAGTTTCCTGAGGCCTCTCAGTTATGCTTTTTGTTAAGCCTGCAGAACTGTGAGTCAGTTAAAACTCTTTCCTTCATAAATTACCCAGTCTCAGGTAGTTCTTTATAGCACTATGAAAAAGAGACTAACACAGGCTACTACAGGAAAGCTAAATGTAATATGTTTACAATTTCTGTGATTGGTATCAAAGCCAATCATAATATGTGCCGGGTACTGTTACACATCTCACAGGGATTGATGTAGTTCAAATTCTCAACACCATCATGAGGTAGATTCTAATTCTGTCTCCATTTGAGAGATGGGAAATTGAGGCTCAGAAAGGTGAATAACTAACCAAAGATCAATGTATCTGTAAGCATTGAAAGTTGAAGTTGAACCCCAATCATCTGACAGCTTGTACATCCCTGTCTGGTGCCTCTCATCAGAGACTGCATAATTCTGTTTCATCATGATTACTTGTTTAGTATTGGTTTTTCATAACTTTGAGATATTCTCCAGGCCAGGAATCAAACCTTATCAGCAGAAATTCTAGAGCCAGTGAAGTGCCTGATACTTAGGATCTGAATAAATATTTTTATTTTGAGTTTTTTCAAATTCATACAAATTTATGGGGTGCAAGTGCAATTTTGTTACATGCATAGATTGCATAATGGTCAAGTCAGTGGGTTTAGGGCATCCATCACCTGAATAAAATACACTGTACTCATTAAGTAATTTTTCATCATTCCCTCTTCTCCCAACTCCTCATCCTTCTAAGTCTCCACTCTCTATCATTACACACTCTATGTCCTTATGTATGCATTTTTGTGCATGTGTGTGTGTGAGACAAGTTCTCCCTCTGTCATCCAGGCTGGAGTGCAGTGGTACGATCCTGGCTCATTGCAACCTCAGCCTCCTAGGTTCAAGCAATTCTCCTGCCTCAGCCTCTTAACTAGCTAGGATTATAGGCACGCACCTCCACACCCAGCTAATTTTTGTATTTTTAGTAGAGACTTGTCTCAACATGTTGGCTAGGCTGGTCTCAAACTCCTGGACTCAAGTGATCTGCCTGCCTTGACCTCCCAAAGCGGTGGGATTACAGGCATGAGCCACTGCGCCCAGTCGTATGTACATTTTTTAACTCACTTTTGAGAACATGTGACATTTGTCTTTCTGTGTATGACTTATTAAGATAATGACCTCCAGTTCTATTAATGTTGCTGCAAAAGACATGATTTCATTCTTTGTTATGGCTAAATAATATTCCATTGTGTATGTATACCACATTTTCTTTATCCAGTCACCCACTGATGGACACTTAGGTTGATTCCATATCTTTCTGCTGTGAACAATGTTGTGATAAACTATCAGGTAGAGACCCAATGGTAGGATTGCTGGATCAAATGGTCGTTCTATTTTTAGTTATTTGAGACATCTACATATTGTTTTCTATAAGGGTTGTACCAATCTACATTTCAACCAACAGTGTATAAGCATTCCCCGTTTTCCCACACCCTCACTAATGCCTGTTATTTTTTGACTTTTTATAATAGCCATTCTAACTGAGAAAGACAATAACTCATTGTAATTTTCATTTGCATTTCTATGATGATCATTGACATTGATTACAGTGGCACAATCATAGCTCACTGCAACCTTGAGCTCCTGGGCTCAAGCAATCCTCCTGCCTCAGCCTCCAAGTAACTGGGACTACAGAGTAGCTAATTTTTACATTTTTTATAGAGATGAGGTCTTACTATGTTGCCCAGGCTGGTCTTGATCTCCCAGCCTCAAGTGATCCTCCCCCCTTGGCCTCCCAAAGTGCTAAAATTACATGCATGAGCCACCACACTTGGCCCGGAAAATCCATGTCTATTCCCAACATCAAAATTTTAAAGATTTAATATTTAAATTATGTTTTTAGGCTGAAGCAAATCTATTCCTTATCATTAGCTAACTAAACTAACAGTAATTCACATAGTAAAACAATCAAAAAATGATCCTGGAATTTTCATTTAGGAGCATAAATCTGTATACATTAAGTATTAAAGTCTGAATTCAATTAAAACATGCAATTTGATTGCAACATAATGTAAAAACTTTGCTCCAGGTAAAATCCTGCCAATTGCACTTCTCTGATGTATACGGCTTTTTAAATATTACAGCAACATGATAAAAGATCATACCTTCAGTTTTGGTCTTGTAGATTTATATGACATTGGCTTTCTTCCTCATCTGAATCCATTTTCTTTTTGTTCTGTGTCATACAGAGGACAGATCATTTACTTTAGCCAACTCTGAAAGATGCTGGAATTTTTTTTTCCTCATTGCTGTTCATTTGCTCAGCTTTATCCCCACTTCCATGCATACATCCACAGGGTAAAACAGCTAGATTTTTGGAGATGCCAGTAAAATACACAGTCTCTTTATGGTAAATAAAAAGCCATACACTATTCATCAGTCCCCTCTCTGTCTTTGTTCACAGAGTTGCATATGTGGAAGCAAAGACAACCAGCCTCTATTGTCAAAAAGTCAACTGCTTTCAAGCAGTTACCCTGGCTCAATTCCTACCTTTCAGCAGATGCATGACTATTTTCCCAGACCTGCATTACAAATCATAACCTGTGAACTGCCAAAGAGAACCAGCAATTCCCAGACCAAATTCTTGAAACTAAAGAATAAGAGCACCCGTGGAATTGAGTAACACCAAAGTAAGATTCCCAGTGAGATGCTCTAATTCTTACCAAGGTTCATCTGCCCTGTTCCAGGCACAAATATCACTAAGAATTGCCAGGAGCTGGAGGAAACACTGGCAGAAGTGGAAAAAGGCCTCCCACAACATATTCAGAAAACCTTAATTAAATCCTCATGGCTTTCATTTGCCAAAATGGGAGCATGATGAATGAATGTGATACATTATACACATTTAGACTAGCAAAATTTCCAAGTGTGAGCACTAAAGGAAAAATAGCAGAAATGGTTTGCATGGCAAAATTTCCATTTATTTCTTTCTATAATGAGTTGTTTAAAGTTGTGAGTATCCTTAGATCCCCAGAGGAAAGGCATTTTATTTTATTCAAGATTTCATTTCTTCAATTTGGACTTTGCATATACACTGCCAAGCCTTCACTAGTATCATCACACACATACTGCAGATTCCCCAATAGGACGCCTCTTCTAAGTTTTGTTACAGAGCCATATTTGATCTGTAGTAGCAGCAATGCTTTTAACACCAGCTCTTTTTCACTACTGTTATTCAGATGGAGTACTCACCACAGTTCAATATTTCTTGCCAACCTCTGAAAAATCAAAGCCATGAAATACAGACAAAGGGATTCCAGGTCATTGGACATGATTTTAGGCTACCTCTGACAAAAGCAACAGCAAATTGAGAAAACATTTTTTATTAAACACTTACATTGCCTCAGCATAGTCCTAAGCATTTTATATGTATTAGGTCATTTAATTCTCTGGACAACTCCATGATACAGTTGTCATTATTATTGACTTTTTTTTGCCACAGATGAGGAAATCGAGTCCCAGAAAACTTAAATTAACTGTCCAAAATGACAGGAAGTAAGTAGTTGTGCCAAGATTCAAATCCAGGCCGTCTTTTTTCCAGAGTCCAGTCTTTTAACTACAATATGCTGCTACCTCTCATTAACAGTCATAGCTAACATTATTTATGCACACTCTAGGTCTTTCCTAAGTTCTTAGCAAAAGTGGGGTCACTCTTTATAAAGTGCTCTTCAGACTGTGAAATAACCTTACCTTCCTGGGTACCGTGATTTGAATGTTGCTGTCCCCTGCCTCAAAATTAATATGTTGAATCTAACCCCCAAAATGGTATTAACAGGTGAGGCTTTGGGGACATAATTAGGTCACGAGAGATGAGCCCTCATGAAAGGAATTAGTGCCCTTATAAAAGAAGAGGCTCAAGCAAGTTTCCATTCCTCTTCCACCATGTAAGGCAACAGCCAGAAGGTGCCATCTATGAAAATGCAGGCCCTCATCAGACTCTGAATCTGCCAGCACCTTGATCTCATATTTCTCCACCTCCAGAACTGTGAGAAATACATTTCTGCTGTTTATAAAGTACCAGTTTATGTATTTTGTTACAGCAGCCCAAATGGACTGTGTATTCAATTGATGTTAAAGTGGTAGTACCTGGAGGTATAGTCTTCAGTTCATATTTTCATGGTGGACTATAGGAATGAAGAGGCAGAAATATAATGTAGCTGTTTGAAATGGGTGTCTTTGGTTCACACAACAAATATTTTCAGTTAACCATTCCCTTTACAAAACTGACAAAAATGGGACAAGAATGGCATTTCAATTTACTATGATTTATTACTTTGTTAATAATTATTTTATCCCATTTGGCAATCCCTTTTTATATGCTCAGTTTAATAGTTAAATATTACATAAAGAAACAGCTTAAGCCATCTGTAGGAAAATTTAACCTAAACGCAATGTGGTTTATGTTCACTGCTTTTTATACTGGGATTATTCAAAAATTATTTAAATCATTCAGTTCAGAACCCTGATTCAAATTATAACTGGAGTGAGAAAATGGATAAGGAATCTCAAGGTAGCATATGAGAAAAGAGGTATGTATATAGCAAGAGATAAATCAAATATTGCTTTAAGAAAGAAAAAAATGGTTTTCATTGCTTTTAGTGTATTAAAACATGTTGCAGGTTTTGGAGGATATCTGAGTATGAGTAAGAATAAGACAAGGAGATGAAATTTCTCTGCTTGAGAAAGTAATAGCAATGTGGAGATTTCCCATTTGGTAGCCTGGTGGAAGTAGTAAAAGATATCAGACTAGGAGGCTCAAAGAGATGGTGACAAGCTGAGGTCTAATGAAGCACGATAGTCAGCAAGAAATTTCCCTTGGTATGGAAGACATAATAAATATTTAAGACAGTGGTTTCTACTTAAATTTTTTTTCTGTGGGCTCTAATTATCCTTTACTACACCTTTGGTAAGTGTCCGTAATATACAATAGCCTATGTAAGCAATGATTTACAAAAATGAAGGGAAGGATCAAGCCATTTGGGTTTGGCATGACAGCAGTTGCAGGAGCTTAGGGTGATGATGAGAATGAGCTTAAAATGATGAAGTCAAATGTAGCACCTTCCTTGAGGAGGATTTCAAGACCTCTAATATTGATGGCAATATAGAGATGACCCCAGAAAGTTAGACCAGCTGATCTCTCTCTCTCTCTCTCTCTATCTGTCTATCTATCTATCTATCATCTATCTATTGAGACAATGCAGACAGACAGAAAGGGAGGAAGAGAGTTTATTTTCCTTAAGGAATTTTAATTATTTTCACAAAGGGCCTACAGAGAAAGATGCCCACCCTGCCCACCCCCACTACCCCACTCTCACTTCCACAATTACTACGGAAAGAGATCAAATTAACACATGGAACTAACACAGCAGACAATTTCCACAGTAGTCACTGCATCAAGACAGAGACCAAGATTCCAAACTAGAAATATAATAATCACATTATTACCTTTTCTCTAATAAAACAATGACCTCAATCCAGTGGTTTTATTCAAAATAAAATTAAAAATTATTTCATTTGGCCTGTAATTATTTATATTTTTATGCCAATAATAAATTGTTATTATGTAGAAGAAGGAAAAGGAACCAATTTTAAATAGATTTGTTACTTTTAAAGTCTGGCTGTGTATTGGCTTTTATTTTGTAGCCAGGATGTCCATGACTACATGCATAAATTGAGTAATGAGATATCTTAGTCCATTTTCTGCTGCTGTAACAGAATACTTGTGACTAGGTAATTTATAAAGAACAGATATTTATTTCTTACTTTTCTGGAGGCTGGAAGGTCCAAGATCAAGGAGCCCATCTTGAGAGGGACTTCTTATTGTGTCATCTTGTGGCAAAAGGCAGAAGAGCAAAAAAGAACAAAAGGGCTGAACTCACTTCTACAACAAACCTACTCCGATCATTAAACCACCCCAGAGATAACAGCATTTATCTACCCATGAGGGCAGAGTCCTCATGATCTAATCATCTCATGAAGGTCTGACTTCTCAACATTGTGCATTGAGGATCAAGTTTCCAACACATGAACTTTGGGGAAAATACTCAATCAAAAGCAAGAGAATATATTTGTGAGCTAATTGTGGGACTGTTTAGGTATATTAGAAAGAATAAAATCATACAGAACGAACAGTTTTCATCTGGTAGATAAGAGCAAAAGAGAGAAGTACACAATGTTTTATTTGCACATCATGAAAACTAGGGGTTAGAGTTATTTTAGCTTTAAATATTTATTAGTGAAAAACGAAGAAAAAGAGAAAGAAGGGAAGGAAAGTAAATGAAAAAGGAAAAACTTATTATCTACAAATGTCCGCTTTTCAGGACTCATAAGGAAGTAAATGGCAGGCTAAGACAATAAATGGAACTATCAAGACATAAAAAATAGACTTTCCTAAATTCTATATTTGTATTAGAAGTACATATCTTTGATTTCACCCTTACTGTAGATGGATGGTACTACATAAATAGACATAAAATAAATAGAATCTGCTGAAGCAAAGTGCAGGTAGGTCAATGGCTGAGTTTCTAGGGACAGCACCACCGCTCATGGCATAGAAATAGAAACTGATTATTGTCTATAATTAAAACAAAACCCAAACCAGAAACAGATGTTTCCTAACTCAGTGAAAGCACATGTCATTTAGTGGATATAACTATTGTTGGAGTTTCTTGTTTCTAAAAAATAAAAAGTTGTCTCCTTTCCTGTATACTTGGCCCTTCCTTTGCTTTAGTTACTGTTATTGAAGACTCCATTTCCGAGCTTCTACAAGGGTGAGTAGTCATTTCATCAGGAAGACCCATCTACACTTTCTCTTCTGGGCTTCAAACATGATATGCCAACAGTTTTGCATTCATCAACCCTGGAAGAAAGTAGGGTACTCTTTCAGTATATAAGTCCTATGTCTTTCCCCTCTCTCTACACACAGTAATTTGGAAATGAAGAATTAATAGTTCATGATAATTTGTTTTATATTAAAAATCCACAACCACAAATGCTAATGATGAATATCTTGTTTTTGCCTCTGTTATTTTCAAGACTGGTTATATACAACCACTTTAAAGAAGTGACAGCTTTGACACTTTCCTGTAAAGTTAAATATATTACCAGGGGTGGTGGCTCACGGTTGTAATCCTAGCACTTTGGGAAGCTGAGGTGGGCGGATCACATGAGGCCAGGAGTTTGAGACCAGCTTGGTCAACACATCAAAACCCCATCTCTACTGAAAATACAAAAATTAGCTGGGCATGATGGTGCACACCTGTAATCCCAGGCACTCAGATGGCTGAAGCACAAGAATCACTTGAACCCAGGAGGTGGAGTTTCCAGTGAGCTGAGATCACGCCACTGCACTCCAGCCTGGGCAATTGAGAAAGACGCTGTCTCAAAGACAATAAAACAAAAAATAAAGTTAAACATACACCTACCCTATGACACAGCAATTTCACTCCTATTTACCCAAGGGAAATGAAAATATGTGCAGTCCCTCAAAAACTTACTAAAGATGTTCTTAGTAGCCTTATTCACAGTTACCAAAAACTATAAATGACCCAATGTGCATCTGGAATATTTGAACAGTGGCATACTACTTAGCAAAAAAGGAGATTAGATGATGATGAAGAAGATAGATAGATGATAGATAGATAGATAATGGATGGATAGATATACACATACATGTATAAGTATCTTGTGTGGGTGTATATATACACTCAACATAAAGAATACAATATAAATAAATCCCACAGATATTTTGCAGAACCAAAGAAGCCATACCAAAATGAGTTTATACAATATGGTTTAATTTATATGATATTCTTGATCAAGCAAACATACTATATAGTGGAAAAAATAGAAAAGTGGTTTTCTCCAGGGTAGGCTGTGTTGGGCAAGTTAAGAGAACTATCAGTACCACGAGAAGCATGAACCCCTCGAGACTGTGGCACCCCTCTTCCTCTGCCATCCCACAGCTGCCTCCCAAGAGACCTCCCACAGCCTTATGGTGATGCAGGAGGTCTTCACCACCAATGTCTTTCCCATCTGTCCTCCCCCAAAAAGACTAGTACAAATAGACCGAGGACACTCGGTCAGGTAGGAGACTTGGAAACTCGGGTATCAAGAACTGAACCAGACTTGCATCTGGAAATCAAACTAATGAAGTCAGTTCTTTGTGGCTCTCCTGCTCACCCAAGCTGTCTGGATGAACCCGGATGCATGTTTCCACATTCCCCTGCAAACAGGTGCCAGCAGCATTTGTAACTTACCTGTGGGTGACAGGTGCTGAGCACAGGTCAGCAGCAGGGCTCCCACGCAGCCTGCAGGCACCATGGGCCGTTTGCTCTGTGGTGCTTTCCAGTTAGGAGTCAACCTGTTAGATTTTTTTTTCCTCTTTTATAAAATGTAGTCAAGTCACATATAATCCACATCCCTCACAGGTTGCACAACTACCATGAAAATGCATTTCAAGTTTAATTACTTCTTTTCTTTACAGAGTGAACCTTCTTGATTTTGGGACTCCTATAAAATTATTTCACTAAAAATAATATGACACTTGGGTCTTGCAGTTTTGTATTGCACCATACAAGATTTTCTTGAGTTCAAGGAACTTTACATATCTCAAACTTCTAGATTATGACCTGCCCCAACTAAGTCTAGACAAGAATAGCAAGAAGTTTACTCTTTGACCCAAAACTAGCATCTCTTACACATTTCCTACTCTATGTAAATGGAATCTGCATACTTACTGTTGCTCTTATCAAAATTTTGGAATCATATTTGACCCTGTCTTTTTCTAACATTCATCGGAAAATACTGTCAGTTCTGCCTTCAAAATATTTTTGTTATTGTTAAGTGGACAAATTTCTTATCCTTAGAGGCTGCATGATAAAGCATTTAGGAATGACATCATGATTTTTCTATAAACTACTTTAAGTAGTTTTTCTGTAAACTACTAAATAAGTTGGGCCACCTTAAATTTGTATGTAAACCTACATACTTACATGCATACACAAATACTCAGAGGAAGATAAAGAAAGGACAGTGAAATAATAATTGGTTAATCTAAGTGAAATATATATGGTTGCTTATTTTATGGTTATTTCCATTTTCTGTAGGTTAAAAATGTTAGAATATAAAGTTTGGGCAAAATGTTGATTCTAAAACATATGCAGAATTTTTCCAGAATCTAACCACTTCTTACCATCCCCAACCAACCCTACCTTCTTGTTCTTAGCCACTCTTCTCTTGCCAGGCTACTGAAGCAGCCTCAGAACTCTTCTCCCTGCTTCTGCCCATATACCTCTATAATCTATTCTCCCTAGCAGATTAATCTTCTTTAAAATTACAATATACCACACTTAAAATGGTGTAATATATGCCGTAAAATATTCCTATGGCTTTTTAGCTTACTCAGAGTAAAAGCCAAATTTCTGACCATGGCTAATTAGGCTCTTGGATCTGTCCAAATCACCTCTGATCTCTCCTCTGACTCCTTTTTGCCACTACACATCTGCCACCCTGACTTTCTTCCTATTGTTCCAAAAGAACACTCCCACTGCTTGCTAATATTTGTTCAGTGAGAGAGCCACATAGTTTACTCCATCATTTCCTTCAAGTCTCAGCTCAAATGTTAACCCCTCAGCCAAAAATTTCCTCATAGGATGAAGCAAAGAAAGTGAGCTCTCCACCACAGATGGTTTTCCTCTTCCATGATGTCCCTGGTAAGTGGCTGCCCAGACATGGACTACATTTCCTAACTCCCCTTGCATATAGCTGGACCACTTAGCTGTATAAAATGCAATGGAATGGAGGAAGAGGAAAGTAAGATCCACCACTCTATGCCTACCCCATAAAATCTCCTATCAGAACTCTACACTCTCTTCCCTTATTTGCCATCTAGATATTGACGTCCAAGGGAACACTGGAAGCCACACATTGAAGATGGTAGAGTCTCCATTAATCTAGGTCTCTGAATGACTTCAAAGAGCTGAGCACCCAACTGTCACCAACATATTCATTTGCATATGAATAACAAATTTATATTTGGATAAGCCATTGAGATTTCAAGTTTTATCTGTTACAAGGGCTATTGTATGCTTTAAATGATACACCATCCTATATACAATAGAAATCCCCTGATATCAAGCTAATATGCCACGCATTTATTTGTTTGTTGTCTATTTTCCCCAGAAGATCACAAATTGAATGATGTTAGAGACTTATATTGCTTTTGTTCCTCATGTATCATGATTACTTGGAACACCTACTTCTAGGCAGTAGAATCTCAATAAATACGCTTTAAATAACATGCTGACTTTAACCAATTGAATGTGACTACCTGGAGCAATAGTTTGAGAAGGATTATGACAGTGTATCTGGACTAATATTAAAAGTTCTATGGTGGATTAATAATTACTATCATGGATTTGATAAGAGAGCTGTGTGTGGTGGCCTTCTGGCTAAATAATTAATGCCCCAGTTCTAGAAATAGTACTAATTCAAAGGTATTCACAGACCTAGAGTTTAAAAAAATAATGTAACAGAGTAGCTATTCTTGCTACTGGTTCTGTAGAAGCCTTACTCATTAATTTATTCAACCTTCTTTGGCCTTTTATTTTGTATTCATTCTTTCACCAAATAATTATTGATGAAAAATTCTAGTCATGGAAGATAGAGTGGCAAACAAAATACAGAGTTAAGCAAAATGCAGAGATAAACAAAAATATAAAGACCCTGGGGTTAGTATAGTGGAATAAACAGACTATTTAGATGATTTAATGAATAAATGAATTAATATCAAGTAGTGATATAAAATAATAGCAGGATGTAACATAAGTAAGGACTCTAGGTTTTGTTCCTACCATGCTACAGAAATTTATCCTCTCAAGCCCACAAACAACTTTCCTTTTGTTAAATTCAGTGGAAATTTCTCAGTCTTCATCTTACCTGAACCATGAGCGGCATTTGATACAGTTTATTAGTCCCTTCTCTTTGGAACACTCTTTATTTGGCTTCCATGACACCAAAATCTGCTACCTTACTGCTTGCTCCAAGTTTCTTTAGCTGGTTCCTTCTTTCCTTTTTGACCCCTTAGCAGAGTATTGCTCAGAACTCGGGCTTTAGACTTTTTTTTTCTATATATATATTATTCCCTTAGTGAGCTCATCCAGTCATGCCATAAAAATGATGTATTTCCTGATGACTCCAAAATCTATATCTCTAGTCTTTCTCTCAAAATTCAGACGCATCCATCTTGACATCTTCACTTATATATCTAATAGCATCAGAAAGAACAGTTCCAAAATTTAGCTTCTGCTGTGCTCTCCCAGTATCAATCAAGATAAACTAGATGATGATGCAATAGTAAGTAGCCCCAAAATCTTAGTGGTTTTGTGTAACAAAAGGTTATTTCTGGCTTTAGCTATATCTCCAACATAGATTAGCAGGGAAGTAGAATAATCATAGTTATTTATGTACACAGATGAAGCTCTATTGCAACTCATGTACTCAGAGGCTCTATCTTACTGTATACTTCCATGATCACTTCTGAAAAAAACTGTACATGTGTATAGCACCATGCACAGGCCCTTAAAAACTTCAAATGGAAAATGACCTCCATCACTTCTGCTCATATTTTATTAGCTAAAACAAATCACATATACATGTCTAAGTTCCAAATTTGTAAGTGCAATCCTTTTATTCTCCCAGAAGGAGGAGATTTGAAATATTTGAGAATACCTCAAATGTTATCCAACCACCCCAATCTGCATAATCTGTTTTTATCACAGTCCAATCCATCCCCATAAAAGGAAGTTCCTTTCTTTTGGGTACTTGGACTCATCGTCTATTTCTCATATTTTTCTCAAGCCCTGTTACTTATCCATCAGCATATCTCTTAGGTCTACCTTCACAATATATCCAGAATATCATTACTTCTTACCATTTTCACTGTTAACACCATCACTGCCTCCTGAATTACTACAAGATCCCCCTAACAAACAGGTATTTATGCTATTGCCATGCCCCTCTTCATTCTGTTCTTAACAAAGTAACTTAAGAGATCCAATTCAAACTTCAGTTCAACCATATTCCCTCTCTGTTCAAAACCTTACCATCTCAGAATAATATAATTTATATTTTTAGGTTTTTGGACTTTGTTTCCTTTAGACCTCCTCTGTGGTCAACACAATTCATTTTTACTATCATCTCCAAATTATTATACCATCTAAACCTTTTTCTCCCTTACTTTATCTATTAATATGCTTCCCCTCAATCATTAATTTAGCTATAGTGGACTCTTCTATGATTCTGAATGAAGCATGTTGGAATCTCAACTCAGAGCTTTTTCATTTGTTGTTTCCTCCTGTTGGAGAGCTCTTCTGTCACATCACTGCATAGTGTGCTCCTTTATGTTCTACATGACTTAACTAAGCATCATTTTTTTTTCATCTGAGGCTTCCCTGGACATCCAGCATTTCCTGTTCCCCTTCCTCATTTATTTTTCCATGCTCACTAACATAAATATTATATATTTTATTTTTTTCCTCTGGTATTATGTATCTCCATGCTAGAATTTAATCTCCATGAGAACAGAGATTTTTGCATGTTTTTGTATGCTGTATCCCAGTGCCTAGATAAGTATTTGGTACATAGTATGAACTCAAAACACATATATTGAATGCAATTAAAAATTTTATAAAGAAATACAAAGCGGGTAAACAGAGACACTGACAGGTAGGGCTATTTCAGATTGGATGCTAGGGAAGTCCTCTTTAAATAGGTGATAGATCAGCAGAGACTTGAATCGAGTGATGAAGTAAGCCATGCAGCTATCTAGGGGATGAGACTTCCAGCAAAAGGAAACAGAAATGCAACAGCAATGAGACAGGGGTGTGTTTTCTAGGAATAGCAAGCAGGTAAGCATGATTATAGTTTCAGAGACAAAAAGGAAGTATTAAGAGATAAGATTATAGCTTTAGCCAGAGTAAAATTATATTAGCATTATAGGCCATGATAAGAAATTCAGATTTTAGTTCTAAAGTAGATTTGACAACTAAGTTTCAGGAGCTGTGGTAAAAGATAGGAATACAATAATGACCAAAAATTTCCAGTTACTACCCTTTCGACAGTCTAATGATAGAAACACATATTAATGAGCCAAATCAGTAGAATAAATGTAAATTGCAACTGTGTTATCATCAACATATACCCCATTTTCTATGATGACTACCACCACCAAAAGGGTTGTTCAGAAGTGGTAGAGATGTAAAATTCTATTCTAGGTCTTCTAATTAACTGATTTCTTGACATTGAAAGAATTGATTAACTTCTTGATGTTCCTGTCTCTGTCTAAACATTTCAGAACAATATTTTCACACTGTGAGAATGTAAAATCAATCATTTAAGTTATATCTAGTAATTTAACATAAAACCAGTACAACAGGGGCTATTTTCGTCCTGTGCCATGTAAGTGAAAAAATAATTTTGCTTATTTTTTACCTATTTAAACTCCAGTTTCCTTCCACTCTCCCTCTCCTGATGACGCCATTCCTCCTCTCCCTGTTTTTTTATTTTTTTCACTTTTAAGTTTTTAATTTTTTTAATTTTATTTTTTTTGAGACGGAGTCTTGCTCTCTCACCAGGCTGGAGTGCAGTGGCGCAGTCTCGGCTCACTGCAACCTCCGCCTCCCGGGTTCAAGCAATTCCCCTGCCTCAGCCTCCCAAGTAGCTGGGACTACAGGCACCCACCACCATGCCCGGCTAATTTTTGTATTTCCAGTAGAGACGGGGTTTCATCATGTTGGCCAGGATGGTCTCGGTCTCCTGACCTCATGATCCGCCCGCCTCAGCCTCCCAAAGTGCTGGGATTACAGGCCTTAGCCACCGCGCCTGCCCTTATTTTTTATTTTGAGACAAGGTTTCGCACTGTTGCCCAGGCTGGAGTGCAATGGCACAAGCATGGCACTGCAGCCTCGACCTCCCAGCCTCACGACTAGCTGGGACCACAGGTGTGCACCACCACACCTTGCTTTTATATCTGTTTTCTGTAGAGAAGAGATCTTGCTTTGTTGCACAGGCTGGGCTCAATCTGCTGAACTCAAGCCATCCTCCTGCTTTGGCCTCCCAAAGTGCTGAGATTACAGGAGTGAGTCACCGTGCCTAGCCTCTCCTCTTTTTTTTAATCCTCATGGCTCCATGTAATTCAAATGTCTCCTGGAATCAATCCCTTCCCACTGTCAAAGGGCAGTATGCTTAGGCTAGTTATTTCCCAACTTTTTGTAGAAAAAAGTTGGGAAATAATGATCCATTGGTTTACATAAAGAAGACATTATAATGACAGTTATAGTTTATTCTCATATAAAAAGAACAATATGTCAGTTTATAATATCGAATGAATACAGTAAGTATAAGTAGAAAATAAATACACATATATTAGCAGTGCTTGCCTTTAAAAAGGAAGCAACCAACAAACAAAAACTGAGAGTTATATGTGTGTCCAGAGAAAAAGAAGACTATTTTTATACCTATAGGCATAAAAAGACAACGTTCAGGCCTTGTGTCTTTTCTTCCATGTGGAACACTCTCTCAACATTATTAATCTTAATTTCTGCTTCCATCTTCAATCTGATTACTCTTAATTATCACTGGAAATACCTTTAAATAATAGTAATAACTACATCTGCTATTATCACATTAAGTTTTTCAGACAAGCGCAAAATCTACTTATTATCATTATTTTATAAATGAAGAAACTAGATCTCAGAGTGGTTAAATAAATACAGAGTAGCCATAATAGGAAATGACAGTGTCTGCTTGGTTACCTATCTTCAACCTTTAGCAAATTTCCAGGTATGCAATAGGTCACCAGTTGTGTTGCTTAATATTGAGTGTCAACTTGATTGGATTGAAGGATGCAAAATATTATACCTGCGTGTGTCTGTGAGGATGTTGCCAAAAGAGATTAACATTTTGAGTCAGTGGACTGCGAGAGGCAGACCCACCCTCAATCTGGTTGGGTACCATCTAATCAGCTGCCAGTGTGGCTAGAATAATGCAGGCAGAGGAATGTGGAAGGACTAGACTGGCTGTCTTCTAGCCTTCATCTTTCTACCATGCTGGGTGCTTCCTGCCCTCAAACATCAGACTCCAAGTTCTTCAGCTTTGGACTCCTGGACTCACATAGTGGTTTGCCAGGGACTCTCGGGGCTTTGGCCACAGACAGAAGGCTGCACTGTTAGCTTCCCAACTTTTGAGTCTGGGGACTCAGACTGGCTTCCTTGCTCCTCGGCTTGCAGATGGCATGTTGTAGGACTTCATCTTGTAATCATGTGAGTCAATACTCTTCATAAACTCCCTTTCTTATATTCATCTATCCTATTAGTCCTGTCCCTCTAGAGAACCCTAATATACCAATAAACTTTTTTTTTAATGAATGGCCATGCTGAGATCAAAATCCAATCTTCTAGACAAAAAAAGTCCACTATATCTTGCAGTACATGCTAAGATACTTATGTCTCAATCATTAAACATGGGACAAGGTTGTCTTAGATAAATTTGAAGTGAAGGGTGGGAGTAGTCTTTATTCATTATATATCTAGATGAGGTATCTGAATAACAAATTATAGCGCAGAGTGAGAGAAAGCCAAAAAAGCATTAATAATTATTAAATAAATGTATTAAACATTTATTATAGGTATATCTATCTACCTATCTTTATATGCATATGTATAATGTCATTTTGTTCCTTCCCACATTCCTTAGAGAAAAGCATTGCTTAGTAAATTGTTCAGGATGAAACAGACATTAAATGGCTCTGCCAGATTTATGACCTGGCCTGCCTGACTTCAAAGCCATTATGTAAGTACTTAAGAGAGTATTTTCTTATTCCACCTGAGACAAGGTAACAAAAATGTGTGTGGGAAAGAGAGGGTGAATTAAAAATGTAAATTAGTAATATAAATGGTAAAATTGGAAGAATGATTAGACATGGAAGTAAAAGGTAAGTTAATGTTAAAGATGACCTTAATGTTTTTAACCAAGTATGTATAACATTACTGGGAGAGATCATAAGAGCTGCAGAATTAAGACAATGGAGGTAGAGTGGATAATGATATTTAAAATGTTTCTCAAAATATTAATTCATGAAGTTGAATATAAATTACTGTAGGGCAGTTGCAGAGAAAAGGTGGCATTGAAGAAATAGAAGAGGAGAACTCAAGATATATTACTAGGTTATATAAAGATGAAAGATATAAAATATTAAATCGCTATTGCTCAGATAATGTACTTGTGCTTATGTGAAGAGGAAAACAATAAATCTTTTCTCTGAAAGATTGTTTATAAGATGTACTACCATATGAGCAGCATGAATAGAGTCAGTGATCAATATAGTATTTGTGGATGATGATGATGATGATATGTTTTTTGGAAGAAATAGCTATATCAAATATTTTCTTCAAGAAACATTTTGGGAACAAAGATTTACATTTTCCTATCTCCAAACTAGCTTTGAATTATAGCCTTAATTTCCTAGGTAATAGATCTGCCGTGATTGAGCTTAAATGTTTTAGACTACAAAGTTAATTCATTGCTCAGCAAGAGTGGGAGGTCATGTCCCCTCAGCCATAGGGAGAGAGATTGTACACCAAGTGCTGTTTCCACACACACTGGAGTCAATGTGCCCTTCTTAGTCAAAAACGACATACATTCTGGCTCTTGAACTAGCTTGCCCCTGGTCCATCTGCCATGATGGCAATGTGCCCATTGAGAAAATACTCTGCCAGGTTTAGCTGGACAAAGGTACCAGTCAAAAAGGGATTAGAAAGGGGGTTTGTTTCACATGAAAATGAATATACTAAGGTAAAAAAAAATATGACTTCATCCTTGAAGACACATCTGAACTGTGAACACTGAAAACACTTTACACCATTTAATCAGAATAAGCAATGGCCTTCAAGAAGCTTGTAGATCCAGGTTGTATCCCATTGAGTTAGTTATAGGTCTGTTTCACTAAAACTAACAGGAACAAACTGTTAACTCTTCAGAACATCACTATAGACTTTTAGGGCAGTAAGCCCTTATAGAAAGTAAATAAATAATAGTAAAGACAAAATTAATCTTTGATATTAATTACGGTGTCAAAGAAGAATAACAGAGAACAGAAAATAATCAGTCTTCTTGACGGGCTAAATCATAGCATTCAAACACTTGGACATTCTATATTCTTTCTCATTTTGCTATTTGTAACTGTAGTAGTTCCTCACCTTATATTTCTAGCATATGTAATCATAGGAATTCCACCAACAAAGATATGTCACACAATTTCCAATAAAAGTATGGCATTGACTCAAGTAATGTGTTTCTAGAGAAGTTAGTAGGCTGAGAGATGATAACTGTCAGCTTTAAGAAGAAAAATGGCTTTTTATAGTATTTGGCAACAATAATTAGGTAGGTACTCAGCTATCAGAAATAAACCATTTTTGCTGCGTGTGTAAGGGATCTAAGTTGTGCACTCCTTATGAGAATCTAATGCCTGATGATCTGTCACTGTCTCCCATCACCTCCAGATCAAGTTGCAGGAAAACAAGCTCAGGGCTTCCACTGATTCTACATTATGGTGAGTTGTATAATTACTTCATTACATATTACAATGTAATAGTAATAGAAATAAAGTGCACAATAAGTGTAATGTGCTTGAATCATCCCAAAACCATCCCCTCCACACCCCTCCCCACTGAGTATGTGGAAAAACTGTCTCCCATAAAACCTGTTCCTGGTGCCAAAAAGTTTGGGGACTGCTGCTCCAGAGGCATCATCGCAATTGAATCTCACCACAGTCCTCTAAATCAGGCAATAATAATAACCGTACTTTGCAAATGTGGAAGTCTTGCCAAATACCACAAAACTATTCTGTCTCAGCCTTCGAATTTAAACCAGTCTATTTGACTCCAGAACTGAATGCCTAAAAATTAACCTGTATTCTTTTACTATTATTACCACAAATATTTAGCAATCACTTCCATATTATGGAACTAAAAAGAAATTATAGAGACAAAGGGAAGTCTGAGGACCATAATATCTTTTAAAAATTCCCTTACGTTAGAGCTCTTTTCCCAACCTCTTAGTTATCCTTTATTTTAGGATTAAAATTTTAAAATACCCATTATTGCCCATTTGTAAATCCCTAAGTAGTCCCACATGATTCCAGAAAATGAGCTGTCAATGTTAGTTTGTCTTGTGGGAAACCGTCCAAAAGTATCCTGTTGGTCTACTTACACGCAGTCATGCATAATTTACTGGATAATCACTAGTGTCCTAATCAATAACTCTATCTACCTACTCACTAATCCAGTTGAAGAGCTATGTGATTTAACATGCAATAGACTTAGGACTAGCCCTTGGCGACACTGAATTCTGTGTTTGGTATCTGCTTCTCTCCTTATCAACTATTCTTCCCAAACTTAGACCATTGTTCTCACACAATTTCAAGCAAGAAGGACTTATAAAAGCAATGTGTTCACTTCCCCTCACTCAGTATGGGAAAATTGAGATTCATAAATGATAAGTTATTTATTTAATCTTATTTGACCTAAGGCCATTAAATTAACCAATTAATGATAAGGTCAAATCTAACAGCCTGTCCTGGGTATGCTGATTTTCCACATTACAAAAAACTGACCATGGTTTTTCTCTAAAACGTTTCCAAAGCAGGCCAGGCCCAAAGGCTTACACCTATATCCTAGCACTTTGGGAGGCCGAGGTGGCTGGATCACTTGAGCTCAGGAGTTCAAGACCTGTCGGGGCAACATGGTGAAAACCCATCTCTACAAAAAAAATACAAAAAAAAAAATTAGCCAGGTGCAGTGGTGTGCACCTGTGGTCCCAGCTGCTGGGGAGGCTGAGGTGGGAGGATCGCTTGAGTACAGAAGCAAAGGTTGCAGTGAGCAGAGATTGGGCCACTGCACTCCAGGCTGGTTGATGGGCATGGAATCTTGTCTCAGATGCGGGAAAAAAAAGAAATCCTTGCCTGTGTGTGACAGGAGAATAAGGTTCTATGCATTCCATTTGGTTTCAGCTAAAGAAATTCACCTTTGCTTTAAAGCAGCCTTTAGTATTAAAAACTCACTGGATGCAATGAACTGAATGTTTGTGTCCCCCAAAAATTCACATGTTGAAATACTAACCCCCAGTGTTATGGTATTAGGAAGTGGGTCTTTGAAAGGCAATTAGGTCATAAAAATGGATCCCTCATGAATGGGATTTGTGCCTTTATAAAACTGACCCCAGAGAGTTACTCAAGCTATTTCCACCATGTAAGGATTCAATAAGTCAGCAGTCTGCAACCCCAAGTGGGGTCATCACCAGAATCCAACCGCGCTGGCACCGTGATCTCAGACTTCTAGCCTCCAGACCCCAAGGAAATAAGTTTATATTGTACATAAGCCACCCAATCTGTGGTACTTTGTTAAAGCAGCCCAAGCTGACTAAGACCCTGAGTTTCTAGTCCAGCTCTGGTACTAATCAGTGCTTACCTTAGGCAAGTAACTTCATCTCTCTGGATCATAAAAATTAAATATTTATAAAATGAGAACCTAAAATTGATGGCCTTTAAATTCCCTTTTCAGCTTAAGAAATTCATGAAGCCATAGTACTTCTGCTGTCCAGTAAATGAGGTATCTCAGGTGGATAATGACAAATTTATAACATTTTATGAAAGACAAACATATGTCCCAGTTTGACTAGTCTTGGTTTACACTTGTTGTCTTCATGTAATTAACCACTTCCACTCTCAAAATTATTCTGGTTTGGAAAATAAATTGTAAAAAAATAAAAATAAAAACTCTGTGCTTGCAGGAGAGATCAATATTGGGACAGGTTAACATATTTATATGTCATGTAAAATACTGATAATGATAATAATTTCTACACTTAAAAGAGCAACTACTATGTACCTAAATACTTCTACATCATGTCATTCCAAGAGGGCAGAGTCATTGCCAAGAGGATGATACCTAGTGTCAGATTTCTGGATTCAAACTTTACTCTGCCATTTACTTATTAACTATGTAAGTTGCCAAAAATCTGTTTCCTCATCTAAAGAAAAAGGAGATGGTTGTAAGATTAACTTTTAAGATCTAAATGAGTAAATTCAGAACAAGTGCTTCAAATTGTACCTGGTAAATAGTAATTGATCAATAAACATTAGGTATCATTATTCACAAAACAAGTATATGAGGCACTTCATATTAGCTCTATTTTATAGATCCTCATTTGAAGCTTCGGGGAACTTTAAACATTTTGCCTAAAAGGTGACATATTTTATTTCTTTCAATTTTTGAACATGCTTACCTCTTTCTTATCATGGGTCCTACAGATTCCACTCTCATTGCCTCAGTCAGTCACTCTTCCTACCACTTTCCAAATGGCTGCCCCCATTACCTTTCAGGCCCCAATTTAAATGCCTCCTCTTCAGAAAAGCACTGTCTAATCCACCAGTACAAAATGTGTTACAAAACCCAACTCTTGTTACTTTCTGTCATATTATTCTTCTTCAAAGCATGTGCCTCCATGTTTGATTATATTTGCTTGGTTGGTTGCAGCTTATTTCTGTTTTCTCCACAAGGCCCCATATTTGGGGAAGTCAAGACACATATCAGTGTTTTTTGTTATGGAGTATCTGGCACATAATAAGCACTTTAATAATGTGCACTTTAGCTCATTTTTTAAAGGTGCTTGTTATGCATTTATTCAAGGAATGGACAACTAACAAGTGCCTAATTTGGGATCTACCCGTATTAGGCAAAATGCTTTGTTGGTGCACTCATTACACTGCAACCTGCATGTCAGATGATCTGCTTAAGAAAGCCTATGTAATCATTAGATAAATCACATATTTTTAAATAAACCAAATTTATTTAAAATGAACTTGAAACTAGATGTCTTCAAACAGAATTTCTAATCATTCTTAGAGGTTGCATTTTCTCCTGCACAGGATAAAAAATACTTGCATTAGGTTTGCTCACATGAAGATGCCGTTTTTATAGGTCAGTATCAGTTAAATAATTTCTAAACCAGGAATATTGGTCATCAATTCATAAAGATGGTTCTTGGGTTTCAATTCCCTACTATGTATAGCTAATCCGGTAACAAAAACAAAATGATTTTGAGGCAAATAATTGACTAAGAAAAAAAGAAATTGTGCACAAGTTGGTCTTCATCACAAGTGCCCATGAATAAACTAAAGAGATAGAATTAAAAAATATGTATTTCTTGAGAATTTGTCATCTGTAAAAACAAGTGCCATGTATTGTAACTTGTCTTTGTTTTATTCAAATTTATTTGATCTGGGTTAAGGGCAGAAAGTCCACATAAATATGAAATTCATGTAATTCAAGAGTCATTGCTAAAGGACAGAATAAAATGAATTAAGGCAATTCTATGGGAGAAAAATAATATTAAATGAATAAAACTAAGTAATATGTGATATAATCATGATTCTATGTGTTGTTAGCAAAAGTTACTTCAATCCTTTACTTTTTAGTAGGCAGTTTGCAACCTAGTTTCATGGTCTCCCAGGGACTTCGACTCTTTAAATAAAGATTAAATTAGATACCACAGTTGAATCCAGTGTTTAAGAACATTTATTTCTATATTTTCCCTAATTCTCCACATCATATTCAGTTTAGATGTTAGCATCTCAAATGCTGTATGTTTTATATTTTAAACAGGTAATTGAATAAAATTTCAACTAAGAATTAATTACATCTCTGAAATGATCTCTCTCCTTCCTGTTAGTGCATGAATCATACACTGGAAGAAACATCATCTTCAGGATGAGAAGATTAGCAGGAGAGACTGTTTAGTCAGTTTTCACATTAACAGGCAGGCCAGTTGAAATTACTCCTCAGATTTGATTTGGCCTGCAGCCAGATGGTTGATACTGTTAATAGAGAAAACATCTGTTTACCCTAATGTGTTAGTTTACTGAGCTTGGAGGCCATCAACATGAGCCGCTGTGCACAGGTATTATAAAAGGAGTGAAAACTCTTTTTTTCCTTTGGAAGTCAAAAGTAGATAGAAGCATCTAGTCTCATCATCCCCATGTTAGGGTGTCCTCAGACCTTGATGATAAACAATTACAGACAGCCCAGAGACCACACAGTGTTCTTATTATTTATGAATCATTATTTCTCTTTCTTCAAATTTGAGTGACATCAGATTTTGTATTTCTAATGAAATTGGCTGAAATGAAGCAATTAATAAGAAAACTGTATACACTGTATGTGGTTAATCAGCAAATTCAAGAAAATCCACCATTATTTAATTCCGTCACTTCTGAAACAGCCTCAGAACAACAGCCTGGAGTTTATTTTTATTTTTATTTTTTGCATCTAAAAGAGATACTCAGTTTACATGATTTACAGAGACTAGGTTAAATTTACTGATGGTACAAAATAGCCATCTCTGCAATAGATAAAACCCTAAAAATTGTACAAATGTGTGAGAAAAAGACGTCTCAAAATTAGGGGAGAGGTGTAATATCTTCAAAAACTTAGAATTACATGTTCAGAGAAGTTCTTGTGAAGTTTGTAAGGTGACCAAACTTCTGCACTACTTTGGGTCATTATGCAAACCTTCATAAATAATTATTGGTTATTGAAGTACAAGGAAAACAAGTTTTCGTTTATTTGGAGAAGGTCATTACTTAAATGTAGATGGTCTCATTGCTTTGTGGGATAGGCTAATGAAAAATGTACTTGCTCACCACAGCAAGAATCAGGGCATGAACTAAAGCCATAAAACTTTTATGGTGCTTCTCCACAGATACCACATTGCTTTCTTTGCCTTTACTTTTCGCAGCACACTTGATAGGAAAAAAGCTAAGTGCAGGACCAATATTCAAAAGGATTGCTCAAACTTAAATTATTTTACTTTGGAGCTGAAGCAGAGTCCTTCTGACAGCTTTACTGGCTGCAGGTTTGGTGGGAGGTAAAGCCATGCTCCATGTAGTGTTGCAAGTATGAAGTATAAATCAGGTTTCATAAATATGCCCATTTGGTGTACTCAATTGACTGTAAAATAATTATGCTCTGCTGTGTAATTGTTGTGCTGTGGAAGAAAACAGGACTTCTAAACATTTAACGGAAAGTGATTATGCAGCCTGAATTAAGACTGTATTTTCTCCCACCATCTTCTGTAGTGCAACAAAAGCACTTTGTAACAATTTCGTCTTAAATCCATAGGGTGTCAGGCTGCCTAGGCATTAGGGTTGTTTTTTCTTTCTTTCCTTTCTTTCCACACTTGTTTCTGACTGTCTATTTGTCCTCCTCCTTCACTATTTTAGATCAATCATAAAAATAACACATTTCATTGAAAGTGTCAGGAGTTTCTTATACTCTAGCAGCATTTTACTGACCAAGGAAAAGGTGAGATGTGAGGTTCGAGGAGAAAATATCCATTAGCTATAAAATTTTGTTTGGTCTCTTTGTTCCGCTTTTTTATTTTAAGCTTTTTCTGGAAATTTGGTAGTGTATGTTTCAAAGACTAATTATCGGGTAATCTTCAGATATATTAATAATGTAAACATTTCAGATACACCTTGAAATGTATGTCCAAAGGTAAAGTGGCATCTGTTTCTGTATCATGGTAGAACTTCACAGAAATGCTCAATATCTGTGCCCTTTGTTATTTTTTCCAGAAATTTCTATTGAGCTAAACAGAGAAAACAAATTCAGCAGAAAATGGATAAGGATTTTCACTGTAATATTTCCAGTTCTGTAATCTTCTCTGTTTGTAAAATAAGTAAGTGCTCATTGTATGACATTTGGAAGACACATATAAGACAGGCTACCCATAATCCTATTGTTGACATTTTAATTTATGAAACGTACACTTAAATATACAAATATTGTTCTCATGTCCAGTCATCAGGGCTCTGAACATTTGCCAGTGGATATGTTTCTCAGGTCATCAAGTCTGAATGTGAACTACAGTGTGGCAGCCCCAGTGTATAAATGCTACTGTATGCATGCATTCAAGTCCTTCCATGGGCATTATTTTATTCCCTATCCTTTAATACTTAAAGTTGTCATTTGTGTTGATATTTTCTCATGAAACTAGAAAAGAAAATTAGGAAATGGTTACTGTGAGCTCTTCAGTACATCTTTGTTAGCTTCCTAAAAATAATATTCTCTCCAGCTTGTGTCGATAAACTGTAACAATTTGCCTCCAGTCATGGTCAATCTAATCTACAAATATCAAGGCCTTGGTATTTCATTGCCCCATATATGTAAAAACTTATCTCACTCTCTTTTTCTTACATTTTGCAATAGCTAGAGAACTTCAGAATGTCTGGGGTGAAGTCATTACTCTATGTGAGGCTTCTTCAAAGACCATCACAATCTATGGAGCTGGTGCTTTGAAGTTTATCTTTTTTCTTACCTGTCTTTGGAATCTCCAGGTGGCAGGCATTTAAGTCTATATTTCTTTAATCTAGAGCCAAAATGACTTCCTGCACTGTTGCTGCCCTCATTTATGGTACTAGAAATTTATCTTCTCTTAATTAAGGGAATCAAACTACTACATTGGAGTGCCAAACATTAAACTTCAAGGATAGAAGCGACCATCTTAAGTTAAATATAACATATTTTGTTTTAATATTTGTTCTGGCCAGATTTTTTTGAACAAAGATCATTTTTATGTGCTTAACATATAAATAATGTATGTAAATATATTTAAAAGGTCTAATCATAAAGACAGGCTAGAGAGTCAAAAGAGGATAGTCAAAAACTGATTTTATTTATTTATTTTTTTCTTTTTTTTATTATTATGCTTTAAGTTTTAGGGTACATGTGCACAATGTGCAGGTTAGTTACATATGTATACATGTGCCATGCTGGTGCGCTGAGCCCACTAACTCGTCATCTAGCATTAGGTATATCTCCCAATGCTATCCCTCCCCCCTCCCCCCACCCAACAACAGGTCCCAGAGTGTGATGTTCCCCTTCCTGTGTCCATGTGTTCTCATTGTTCAATTCCCACCTATCAGTGAGAATATGCAGTGTTTGGTTTTTTGTTATTGCGATAGTTTACTGAGAATGATGATTTCCAATTTCATCCATGTTCCTACAAAGGATGTGAACTCATCATTTTTTATGGCTGCATAGTATTCCATGGTGTATATGTGCCACATTTTCTTAATCCAGTCTACCATTGTTGGGCATTTGGGTTGGTTCCAAGTCTTTGCTATTGTGAATAATGCCGCAATAAACATACGTGTGCATGTGTCTTTATAGCAGCATGATTTATAGTCCTTTGGGCATATACCCAGTAATGGGATGGCTGGGTCAAATGGTATTTCTAGTTCTAGATCCCTGAGGAATCGCCACACTGACTTCCACATTGGTTGAACTAGTTTACAGTCCCACTAACAGTGTAAAAGTGTTCCTATTTCTCCACATCCTCTCCAGCACCTGTTGTTTCCTGACTTTTTTAATGATTGCCATTCTAACTGGTGTGAGATGGTATCTCATTGTGGTTTTGATTTGCATTTCTCTGATGGCCATTGATGGTGAGCATTTTTTCATGTGTTTTTTGGCTGCATAAATGTCTTCTTTTAAGAAGTGTCTGTTCATGTCCTTTGCCCACTTTTTGATGGGGTTGTTTGTTTTTTTCTTGTAAATTTGTTGGAGTTCATTGTAGATTCTGGATATTAGCCCTTTGTCAGATGAGTAGGTTGCGAAAATTTTCTCCCATTTTGTAGGTTGCCTGTTCACTCTGATGGCAGTTTCTTTTGCTGTGCAGAAGCTCTTGAGTTTAATTAGATCCCATTTGTCAATTTTGTCTTTTGTTGCCATTGCTTTTGGTGTTTTAGACATGAAGTCCTTGCCCATGCCTATGTCCTGAATGGTAAAGCCTAGGTTTTCTCCTAGGGTTTTTATGGTTTTAGGTCTAACGTTTAAGTCTTTAATCCATCTTGAATTAATTTTTGTATAAGGTGTAAGGAAGGGATCCAGTTTCAGCTTTCTACATATGGCTAGCCAGTTTTCCCAGCACCATTTATTAAATAGGGATTCCTTTCCCCATTGCTTGTTTTACTCAGGTTTGTCAAAGATCAGATAGTTGTAGATATGCGGCGTTATTTCTGCGGGCTCTGTTCTGTTCCATTGATCTATATCTCTGTTTTGGTACCAGTACCATGCTGTTTTGGTTACTGTAGCCTTGTAGTATAGTTTGAAGTCAGGTAGTGTGATGCCTCCAGCTTTGTTCTTTTGGCTTAGGATTGACTTGGCGATGCAGGCTCTTTTTTGGTTCCATATGAACTTTAAAGTAGTTTTTTCCAATTCTGTGAAGAAAGGCATTGGTAGCTTGATGGGGATGGCACTGAATCTGTAAATTACCTTGGGCAGTATGGCCATTTTCATGATATTGATTCTTCCTACCCATGAGCATGGAATGTTCTTCCATTTGTTTGTATCCTCTTTTATTTCCTTGAGCAGTGGTTTGTAGTTCTCCTTGAAGAGGGCCTTCACGTCCCTTGTAAGCTGGATTCCTAGGTATTTTATATTCTTTGAACCAATTGTGAATGGGAGTTCACTCATGATTTGGCTCTCTGTTTGTCTGTTGTTGGTGTATAAGAATGCTTGTGATTTTTGTACATTGATTTTGTATCCTGAGACTTTGCTGAGGTTGCTTATCAGCTTAAGGAGATTTTGTGCTGAGATGATTGGGTTTTCTAGATATACAATCATGTCGTCTGCAAACAGGGACAATTTGACTTCCTTTTTTCCTAATTGAATACCCTTTATTTCCTTCTCCTGCCTAATTACCCTGGCCAGAACTTCCAACACTATGTTGAATAGGTGTGGTGAGAGAGGGCATCCCTGTCTTGTGCCAGTTTTCAAAGGGAATGCTTCCAGTTTTTGCCCATTCAATATGATATTGGCTGTGGGTTTGTCATAGATAGCTCTTATTATTTTGAAATACGTCCCATCAATACCTAATTTATTGAGAGTTTTTAGCATGAAGGGTTGTTGAATTTTGTCAAAGGCCTTTTCTCATCTATTGAGATAATCATGTGGTTTTTGTCTTCGCTTCTGTTTACATGCTGGATTACATTGCTTGATTTGCGTATATTGAACTAGCCTTGCATCCCAGGGATGAAGCCCACTTGATCATGGTGGATAAGCTTTTTGATGTGCTGCTGGATTCAGTTTGCCAGTATTTTATTGAGGATTTTTGCATCAATGTTCATCAAGGATATTGGTCTAAAATTCTCTTTTTTGGTTGTGTCTCTGCCCGGCTTTGGTATCAGGATGATGCTGGCCTCATAAAATGAGTTAGGGAGGATTCCCTCTTTTTCTATTGATTGGAATAGTTTCAGAAGGAATGGTACCAGTTCCTCCTTGTACCTCTGGTAGAATTCGGCTGTGAATCCATCTGGTCCTGGACTCTTTTTCGTTGGTAAGCTATTGATTATTGCCACAATTTCAGCTCCTGTTATTGGTCTATTCAGAGATTCAACTTCTTCCTGGTTTAGTCTTGGGAGAGTGTATGTGTCGAGGAATTTATCCATTTCTTCTAGATTTTCTAGTTTATTTGTGTAGAGGTGTTTATAGTATTCTCTGATGGTAGTTTGTATTTCTGTGGGATCGGTGGTGATATCCCCTTTATCATTTTTTATTGCGTCTATTTGATTCTTCTCTCTTTTTTTCTTTATTAGTCTTGCTAGTGGTTTAACAATTTTGTTGATCCTTTCAAAAAACCAGCTCCTGGATTCATTAATTTTTTGAAGGATTTTTTGTGTCTCTATTTCCTTCAGTTCTGCTCTGATTTTAGTTATTTCTTGCCTTCTGCTAGCTTTTGGATGTGTTTGCTCTTGCCTTTCTAGTTGTTTTAATTGTGAAGTGAGGGTGTCAATTTTGGATCTTTCCTGCTTTCTCTTGTGGGCATTTAGTGCTATAAGTTTCCCTCTACACACTGCTTTGAATGTGTCCCAGAGATCCTGGTATGTTGTGTCTTTGTTCTCGTTGGTTTCAAAGAACATCTTTATTTCTGCCTTCATTTCGTTATGTACCCAGTAGTCATTCAGGAGCAGGTTGTTCAGTGGATGTAGTTGAGTGGTTTTGAGTGAGATTCTTAATCCTGAGTTCTAGTTTGATTGCACTGTGGTCTGAGAGAGAGTTAGTTATAATTTCTGTTCTTTTACATTTGCTGAGGAGAGCTTCACTTCCAACTATGTGGTCAATTTTGGAATAAGTGTGGTGTGGTGCTGAAAAAAATGTATATTCTGTTGAATTGGGGTGGAGAGTTCTGTAGATGTCTATTAGGTCTGCTTGGTGCAGAGCTGAGTTCAATTCCTGGGTATCCTTGTTGACTTTCTGTCTCGTTGATCTGTCTAATGTTGACAGTGGGGTGTTAAAGTCTCTCATTATTAATGTGTGGGAGTCTAAGTCTCTTTGTAGGTCACTCAGGACTTGCTTTATGAATCTGGGTGCTCCTGTATTGGGTGCATATATATTTAGGATAGTTAGCTCTTCTTGTTGAATTGATCCCTTTACCATTATGTAATGGCCTTCTTTGTCTCTTTTGATCTTTGTTGGTTTAAAGTCTGTTTTATCAGAGACTAGGATTGCAACCCCTGCCTTTTTTTGTTTTCCATTGGCTTGGTAGATCTTCCTCCATCCTTTTATTTTGAGCCTATGTGTGTCTCTGCACGTGAGATGGGTTTCCTGAATACAACACACTGATGGGTCTTGACTCTTTATCCAATTTGCCAGTCTGTGTCTTTTAATTGGAGCATTTAGTTCATTTACATTTAAAGTTAATATTGTTATGTGTGAATTTGATCCTGTCATTATAATGTTAGCTGGTTATTTTGCTCGTTAGTTGATGCAGTTTCTTCGTAGTCTCGATGGTCTTTACATTTTGGCATGATTTTGCAGTGCCTGGTACCAGTTGTTCCTTTCCATGTTTAGCACTTCCTTCAGGAGCTCTTTTAGTGCACGCCTGGTGGTGACAAAATCTCTCAGCATTTGCTTGTCTGTAAAGTATTTTATTTCTCCTTCACTTATGAAGCTTAGTTTGGCTGGATATGAAATTCTGGGTTGAAAATTCTTTTCTTTAACAATGTTGAATATTGTCCCCCACTCTCTTCTGGCTTGTAGAGTTTCTGCCAAGAGATCCTCTGTTAGTCTGATGGGCTTCCCTTTGAGGGTAACCCGACCTTTCTATCTGGCTGCCCTTAACATTTTTTCCTTCATTTCAACTTTGGTGAATCTGACAATTATGTGTCTTGGAGTTGCTCTCCTCGAGGAGTATCTTTGTGGCGTTCTCTGTATTTCCTGAATCTGAATGTTGGCCTGCCTTGCTAGTTTGGCAAAGTTCTCCTGGATAATATCCTGCAGAGTGTTTTCCAACTTGGTTCCATTCTCTCCGTCACTTTCAGGTACACCAATCAGAAGTAGATTTGGTCTTTTCACAGTCCCATATTTCTTGGAGGCTTTGCTCATTTCTTTTTATTCTTTTTTCTCTATACTTCCCTTCTCGCTTTTCATTCATTTCATCTTCCATCACTGATACCCTTTCTTCCAGTTGATCGCATCAGCTCCTGAGGCTTCTGCATTCTTTAGGTAGTTCTCTAGCCTTGGTTTTCAGCTCCATCAACTCCTTTAAGCACTTCTCTGTATTGGTTATTCTAGTTATACATTCTTCTAAATTTTTTTCAAAGTTTTCAACTTCTTTGCCTTTGGTTTGAATGTCCTCCCGTAGCTCGGAGTAATTTGATCGTCTGAGGCCTTCTTCTCTCAGCTCGTCAAAATCATTCTCCGTCCAGCTTTGTTCCGTTGCTGGTGAGGAACTGCGTTCCTTTGGAGGAGGAGTGGTGCTCTGCTTTTTAGAGTTTCCAGTTTTTGTGCTCTGTTTTTTCCCCATCTTTGTGGTTTTATCTACTTTTGGTCTTTGATGATGGTGATGTACAGATGGGTTTTTGGTGTTGATGTCCTTTCTGTTTGTTAGTTTTCCTTCTAACAGACAGGACCCACAGCTGCAGGTCTTTTGGAGTACCCGGCCCTGTGAGGTGTCAGTGTGCCCCTGCTGGGGGGTGCCTCCCAGTTAGGCTGCTCCGGGGGTCAGGGGTCAGGGACCCACTTGAGGAGGCAGTCTGCCGGTTCTCAGATCTCCAGCTGCGTGCTGGGAGAACCACTGCTCTCTTCAAAGCTGTCAGACAGGGACATTTAAGTCTGCAGAGGTTACTGCTGTCTTTTTGTTTGTCTGTGCCCTGCCCCCAGAGGTGGAGCCTACAGAGGCAGGCAGGCCTCCTTGAGCTGTGGTGAGCTCCACCCAGTTCGAGCTTCCCGGCTGCTTTGTTTACCTAATCAAGCCTGGGCAATGGCGGGCGCCCCTCCCCCAGCCTCGCTGTCGCCTTGCAGTTTGATCTCAGACTGCTGTGCTAGCAATCAGCGAGACTCTGTGGACCTAGGACCCTCCGAACCAGGTGCGGGATATAATCTCGTGGTGCGCCGTTTTTTAAGCCCGTCGGAAAAGCGCAGTATTAGGTGGGAGTGACCCGATTTTCCAGGTGCCGTCTGTCACCCCTTTCTTTGACTAGGAAAGGGACCTCCCTGACCCCTTGCACTTCCCTTTTGAGGCAATGCGTCGCCCTGCTTCGGCTCATGCACGGTGTGCACACCCACTGTCCTGCGCCCACTGTCTGGCACTCCCTAGTGAGATGAACCCGGTACCTCAGATGGAAATGCAGAAATCACCCTTCTTCTGCGTCACTCACGCTGGGAGCTGTAGACCAGAGCTGCTCCTATTCGGCCATCTAACAACAAACTGATTTTAATAGCAAAACTTAAAATTATTGAGTTGAATTTCCTGTTTTTCTGGAAAAAGGAAATGCACCCTAGATGTGCATTCAAGAAAGTCACTAGATTAATTTGGTGATACTGCAAAATTCTTCCTCATTTAGATATCATTTATTAATTTAAAGAGGGTTTACAATCTGTAAAATACCTAGTACTAAATGGTTGACCAATTTTCCCCATATATTCCCCATCTATTTCATTCATATATATATATATATAATATATATATATATACACACACACATCTTTGAAGACATTTTATTCTTATAAATTCACATTCCAAATCTTCAGCAAAGTTTTAAGTACAATCGTGTTCAGTATTTCTGTAAGAGCCCTGTCCAGTAGAACTTTCCACAGTGATAGTCACATTTCGAGTCCTCAACAGCCACATGTGGCTAGTGGTTTACATGTGGCTGTTGAGCATTTGAAATGTGACTAGTGTAACTGAGGAGCTGAAAAGTTAGTTTTGTTTAATTTTAAATAATTTTAAGTTTAAATGGTCACATATTATTAATGGCTACTCGACTGGACAATGCAGAGTTAACAGACTACCACCCAAGTCCTTGACAACTCATTCAGGCTTCATTCTTTAAGAAAATTAATTAGTATTTTATGCTTAATGATTATGTTTTTCTTCACATATATGCAAGTAGATATCCAGCAGCATTTCTATTTATTTCTCTGTTTTATAGTGTACTATCTTAAATTAAAAAATTAATGACATCTGCCATCAGTGGGTACAGGGCAAAAAAAGAATTAATGACAGTTTAAAATCTCATCTATGCTTTATCATAGTGATGCACTCTTGGGAATTAAGCAGCTTCGCATAATTAGCAGGTCACACACTTGTGGATAACATTTTAGATCAGAAATTCAGATGCCTTATTAAGCTTGGGGAGATTTTAATAGCAGAAAGATAGATGTATATATGTGCCAAAATGTAAAATAAACATGGTTTAAATAAATTATGCCAGAGAGTGTTGACATAATTTATGAACATACAAAATTAATTCTTATTTTGTCTTCTCAATCTTCCTTGAAAACGAGGTCTCACCTCAGGGCCTTTGCACTGATTATCTGCCTGCTACACACTTGCTGCAAAGAGCCATAGGTCTTGTTATCTTATCTTTCTCCAGTCTGCACTAGTAGCATCTTCTCAGTAAAGTCAACTTTAACCACCCTATCCAAGAACATGGACTACCTGCCCCTCCTCACTCCCAAATTTCCATACCCTGCTCTATTTTACCCTGCAGAATTCATTACTTTCTAATATACTATACCATTTATTCAGTTATCTTATTTTTGAGTCCTCTAACTAGATATGAGATTATGAAAGTAGATATTTGGGTCATTTTTCTCACTGATATATCACCAGCTTCAGTACATGTCCAGGTGCTTTTGATAGCCCTCAATATGTATTAGCTACTGCTCAAATGACTTAATGAGTTGTCTAATATATGGGTTGGCAATGGCAACTTTCTCTATAAAAAGCCATATAGTATATATTTTATACTTTACAGCCCACATACATTTTCTGTCACAAATTTTTTTAAAAATGTAACACTTTCTTGGCTGGCAGGTAGTATAAAAGTAGACTGTGGGCCACATTCATCCACAGACCATCGTTAGTCAACCCCAGGTCCAATTTAATGGAGAATGCAACAGTAGAACAATACTCAGAAGATAATTAACCCTAGAATGATTTGTATTTAACATGGCACTTTGTGATTATGTTTGTTATGTCCAACTTCCTAAAACTAGAGAAAACACCATTGTGGTTAATTCAGTCAGAATGACTAGAAACTGATCTAACTTGGCAAACTACATCCTTTTTTAATCCCCAGTCTACCAAAATTATTATTCTCAGTCTCTTACAAAACATTAATACTAAATTGATGTTCGTTCCTTAGTTTTTTTTGATAGACCACAAACACTATTTACAAAACCAATGGTTTGTTGGACTCTTTTCTCCCCCAAAATGTGCATGTAACCATGATTTTGCACACAGATTTTAAGGGCTAATAAACTCACTGAAGCCTGATATTAAGAATCTCTTCCTCTTCTTTAGATTTGCTTATCTCTCTGGCTCATATTTGTTTTGTGTATCTAATAGAATGAAAAGATTTGCTTTAAATGGCCTTTCCTTTCAACTTATTGTTACTGGACACAGTGGAAAATGTCAAGAACTTTAATCAAACACAGCACCTAGTAATGCCAGCAAATACTTAAAAGCATGTTTTGCCTAAGATAAAATTTCAGTCAGATCATTTCTTCAGCAATCAGAATTTTTTCATAATGGGAAACAATGTTTTTGTTGCTTTTGTTTGTTTGGTTCTAGTAATCAGTACCATAGTATCCTTAGAGTCCCCCGAATTGATAAGATCCACATTCATTTTGGGCATTTGAAAGTCTTAGTATAATCAATCAAAAACAAAAGCATGATAGTCAGTATTCTTTCCTTTCCACATTGCTGTCATCAAGAAGTATAAGATCTAGACATTTCTTTTCTGTATCTTCCTTACATGAACCATTTCCAATTTTATAAGGGTATATTCTATTTGTTTTTTAAAAAGATGTTCAAAGAGAGCCCTTTTTACCAATCCTGAAGTTCCCAGCATCAAATTCAGGTCAATAACCTTAGATATCATCTAGAGCTGCAATTCTCAACCAAGGAGTTGTGACAGTCCTGTGTCATGCTGGCAAGAGAGGTATGTCACCTGGTTTGTTACTGAAAGTATTTGAAGTATTGCTATTCCCAATTATTTTACTTTGCAAAACATTTTATAATGAAGTTGTTTGTAGTTACTCCTACAATAGTATTATGTATATCAGCATTTAGTTGGGCCTTCACTAAAGAGTGAGCTCCCATAGAGGATTGAATATCTTCCTATATAAGTTCATGTGAGCATGTTGGTCACGGGAGCATCATCTGTCAAATGTGTCTCATCAGAAAATAATAAATTGTGAGAATCACTGAACTGGAAACATTATCCTTCCCTGTGGAAAATATACATTCAATATGCTAATTAAGGTAAAATACTGCACATATCCACTAATATTGATGGGCACCCTGTTTAAAAATTCCCAGGGACTTAAGTAAATCAACTGCTTAGGCTCAAGAAAATGTAAGCTGAAAACTGTTCCTTTGCCTGGTTAATCACAGTATACTTACTCAAGCTTCTTGGAAGGAAGTGAAGATAAAATTGTGGCAAACAGCCAGGATTAATTAACAACGTCAAGGTCAAATTCACACATATTGCCTGGAAATGCTGGAAGTTACAATAAGAAGAAAAGCTATGACAGAACTAGGATGATGACAATTTTTAAAATAGACACAGATTGTTACCAAAAAAGAAGAAAACTGATTTACCTGTTTGATGATTCACAAATCCCATTGCCCTTCAGTAAGACATCTCTTAGTCTTGTTTTGTCACATTTTTAGATTTAAAAAAGCCAAAATATATCCCATTAGCCAAACACTAGATAACAAGAACAGATCAGAGTTTGAGAAGCATAGCAGTCATAGGAGGTCCAACAAATTACTGGTAGAGAGGATTTTGAACAAGCTATCTTCTCTCTCTTGCAAATATAATAAATTTTTTAAGATCAGAGTGCATATCACATGAAGTTAATAAAGTAGAAAATGACACTATTTACCTTCATCAAATAATATGTCAAGAAATTTATAGCTCAGCTCCTTGGAAATCTGTCTTATTTTGCCTGCTGTTTTTTGTAACATTTTAATAGCCGGAAGCAAATGGGGAACATAAAGCATGCTAGACCAAAAAAATTAAAACACACACACACACACACACACACACACACACACACACTTTTGTTTTATTTAGTAATCCTTTGTCTTATATCATTCTTATTATTTTCTGTAAGTAGTACATATTAATATCACAAAAATTAATGTGTGACATTGGGTAGTTGGAAAAGGCACAGAATTACATGATAAATAATGAGCTAACCAACCCAAAGGAAGAGATGATTGGTAAGACAACTTCTTAAATAAGAGTTGTCATTACCCATGGTTTATCTACAGATTACTGCATGTCCCCAGGAACACCAGGCTAAAGGATATATTTCAAAGAAAGCCAGTTTTTCTGATCTTAGAAAGGATTCTCCATTCCAAGTCATATTAATAATCCACTTATTCTAACATCCTTCATAAAGAAGTGATTAGTTTGAGTTTTAAAAAGAGATTGAGGAAGGGGAGATGAATTCTTCTAACTCGTTTTGCTTTTTACCATTGTCACGAAGGAGTAGATTTTATCTAAATTCTGAAAGGGACAGGTGAATTCATTATTCTTGCCTTGTATCAAGAGCTATTTATTGTTTTATCTGCATTACTACTGACAGCAACAATAGTAAAAAACCACAAAAGCAAACAAATGCAATCCCTCTTAGTATTATATGAAATCATATTATATAATGTTGAACAAATAAGAAGAAGCTCCTATAGTTGACAATGATATAGTTGTATATAATTCCATATAAAATTTATATAATTAAAATTTAGGTAGATTTATTCTTTCTAGTTAATTTTCATTACCCACCCATTTGGCAAATGCTTTTTCATACCAGCTTTATAAATGCAGATACTGAGACTCAAAAAGTCTCAGGAAAATCTCTGCTTGTATATACTGTAACATTCTGGCAAGTTAATTTGTACCATATCAAAAAATTTCAGGATTCTCTTAATAGGCATATGATGACTAAATGTCCCCTAAGTTTATGCACTGTGTGGCTGAAAGTCTCTTGAGGTAATATACTTACATCCACTGTGGGCATTTATTGACTGTTTTCAGAACACTGAATTGTGAAATTTATTTTCCTTTATTTTGAAGTGGAACTCACCCATCATTTTAATGCTGCATCTTAGTATTACATAAAAATGTAAATTTGTTTTTAAATAATATGTTTTTGAATATTTGAGCTGCCTATTTTTGGTGACATAAGAAATTTTGTCAACAGTTATTTTAATGTGCGCTGTTTTTGTTTGTATTTATTTATTTATTTATTTTTGAGACAGAGACTTGCTCTATCACCAGGTTGGAGTGCAGTGGCGCAATCTCGGCTCACTGCAACCTCTGCCTCCCGGGTTCAAGTGATTCTCCTGCCTCAGCCTCCCACGTAGCTGCGACTACAGCCGCGCGCCATCATGCCTGGCTAACTTTTGTATTTTTAGTAGAGACGTGATTTCACCATGTTGGTCAGAATGGTATCAATCTCCTGACTTCATGATGTGCCTGCCACAGCCTCCCAAAGTGCTGGGATTATAGATGTGAGCCCCCGCACCCGGCAGTGCTGTTTTTATATAATGAAACATTTCATCTGAAATACAAAATGATTGCAAGATGTGGATAGATAAATAGATAATCTAGGTATTTCACATCCACCATAGAAACAGAGTATTAAATTATAATAGAATTAAGGTGCGGTGGCTCATGTCTGTAATCCCAACACTTTGGGAGGCTGAGGCAGGCGTCTCACATGAGGTCAGAAGTTTGAGACCAGCCTGGCCAACGTGGTGAAATCCCATCTCTACTAAAAAATGCAAAAATTAGCCAGGAATGGTCGTGCATGCCTTATTCCCAGCTACTTGGGAGTCTGAGGCAGGAGAAGAGCTTGAACCCAGGAAGGGGAGGTTGCAGTGAGCCAAGATCGTGCCACTGCGCTCCAGCCTGAGCGACGGAGGAGACATTGTCTCAAAAAAAATAAAAATAAAAATAAAATAATAATAATAATAGAATTGAAAGTCTTTACATACTTCTGCTGAATTTTCTCTTCTCTTCCCAAAAGTATCTACTCTCCTGAATTTCATATTTATCACTGGCATGCATTCTGTCATAATTTTAATTTATACATATTTATCTCTCAATAATAATGTGTTATTCTGGCTATTTTTTAAATCTATGTAAATGATATCACATTATATAATCAAAGCTCATACCTGAAAGGAGCTTATCTAACACAATTTTTCTGTAAGGCATATCACAGCCTTCTTGAACTTAGAAACAATAGACACGAATTCAGAACTGTACTTGGGAATAATTTCAAACAACAAAATCGCCAACAAAAAGAATAAAAGTGAGGGGGAAAACGTGGCACTAAATGGTCAATAAAGAACACGTTTTTACAGTAAGAGAACTGAAACAAAAAAACAGAATGTTGCCGTGTTCGACTTTGGTTAGGAATGTTTACACGGGGTTGTTCAGATTTTCTTTTGAGTTGCATGTGCACAAGTCCACAAATGACTGTTTAAGCACCATGAGTATCGATTTTGGGATTACCAAAAATTTTAGCAAGTAGGAAAATTTATAAATATGGAATCAACAAGTGAAGATCAACCGTATCTTTTTATAAAACCAACTTCACAAAGGGAAGATAGTTTTTGTGCATATAGAAATTAAGGCACTCAAAACTCTATAAATATTATTCCATGTCTTCTAAAGTTTTATTGCCATATCAAATATCTAAAGCCAGTCTGGCTTTCAGACTTTTTAATATATGTTTCTTGATTATTTGTTTATTCATTGCATGGGGCTTTAAGAGGAATTTTTTCTTAGTTTATTCAAAATTCCTATTTCATCTGAAAATAAAGAGATGCCATTTGTAAATATCTAGTATAGTTATGTTTCTTGTTAATTCTACTCAACAACTGAACAGCAAGTCATCTTTTTGTTTGTTTGTTTCTATTTGTTTGATTATTGGTGGTCTTCCAGTTCATTCTTTGATTTATGCTTTCTTCCTGAAAAATATGTAAATAGCAAATCACCATGCTCTAAATTCCATCCTTTATTTTCTTTCAAAATGTATTTCTCTTTTGTCTTTGAGTGGGATTCCACTATTTCTTCCTCTGTTTGATTTCTTCACTTTTTAGAAGTATTTATTTTATTATTCTGTTATGTTGTTTTTAAATTCACAACATGTTTTCAAATATATTTTAAGGTAACCTTTACCATATTTTCTGAAATTTGATTATTTTCCTCATAAGTAAAATAACACTAAGAATAAAAACTATGACTTTTTTTAACATGTTTTCTTATTTTGTTTCAATGGAGGTCTGTCTCGAGTTGGTTTCCCTTTTTTACAGCTATTTTTCCTAATCTGTTTACATTCATAAATTAAGGTCTAGGTTATTTGATTTTGGTGGATGGCATGGCTCCATCAGCAATTGTGTAAGTCACTTTTTAAGGTCAATTACCTACCTCAGATCAGCATTCAGGTTTCCCACAGGAACCTCCAACTCAGTGTATCTCCTCCAAACTCACCTCTCCTTTGCTTCTAATATTACCCAAGACAGGAATTTTGAAGTTCCTGGGCATCTCTCTTTTCCACAACAAACCTATTTGATCCATAACCCAATGGCACTGATATATATTTTTAATTTCGGGTGTTCCTCCTCATGTAAATTTCCACCACTTGCCCTAGCTTTCATCGTTTGTCTCCTAAATTCTTGCAAATGTCTCTGAATTTCTTTACCCTTTTCCCAGGAAATGCTGATCACTTTCTCCTTACTGTTCCTGAAGCTTCAGATGTTCAGACGCAGCTCAATAGCTCGTGAAGCCACACAAATGTCATACTAAGACCCTGGGACTCTCTTGCTTGGAAATAAAATTGGCCAGTATCCCTCTTGTGTTTGTGTCTCAGCAATCCTCCCCCATCAACTCTCATCACCTTATTTTAGATTCCTTAGATTCCAGTATAATTAAATATAGAAGTTATTTTTACCTTTTCAATTTGTTCATTGAGAATACAGTAGAATCTATTAGGTAGTCTATGTATTCCAGAGCTGGTTTATCACTATCATTTCTTCCATTATACCATGTGTCACAGTGTATGTTAAATTTGTCCTTTTTTTAAACCTATTAGTCTTCATCTTGACGGTATGGTTTTCTTGAACACAGGTATATTCATTTTTATTTCTATAGCCAAATTGTCACCTCTCTCTATATATACATATATAGGTATATATAGGGAGAAAGGATATATAGAGAGATGATGATCTATATTTATATATAGAGAAATCTATATATTACATTTATATATGTATATATGTGTGTATATATAGATGAACATATATATATACATATATATGAATTAACACTGAAAAAAAATGAGATTGGCAATTTTGTGTGTACCATTTCTTTTCTTGCCCACTTCCTCAGACCAAAATATAAGCCAAAAGTCAACTTCCAAGGATATCTCTTATACAGGTTTTCCTTTGCATAAAACCCCTGGGGCTGTCATGTTCATATAATTGTAGTTGACCAGTGTAATCACATATTAAAACAAAGAGTTAAAACTTAACAATTTAAGAGAAGGAGAGTTTTATTAATTTGGTTGCCAAGGTACTAATTATTTCTGATAATCTTTATACAAAGTAATAAACCATTGATCATTTAAGAATTTTCTTTAATCAATTAAGGCTAAATTTCTATTTATTTGCTTTTCCCATTGTTTAAAATTGTTTTAATCCCTTGGTGTCTCTGTTTTTAAATTAAAAACCTTATAATGGAGCACTAAGTTTAAACTCTTTCTAGTTAGCATTTTCTTAGCTCTAGAAGTTAATTTAAATTAATAGAAATCAGTGATTTTCCCAGACATGGTAAATTATTAGAGATAATAGCCAGTTATTATTAGAGATATAGCCAAATAGTATAAGAATAAAACTCCAGGGGGAGAGACTTAAGTAAAACATTTGGAGGAACTATCACTGAGAGTTGTAGGACAAAGTAGGTATTATAAGCAATTGATGTTATAGACTGGTATCAAACTTCTGGAGATATTTAGGACATTGAGAGATTGATAGTTTTTTTGGAATTATGAAAGCACAATTTAAAAACAGGCTCAAGTTGTGTTTATCCTGAAAATTCCTTCTCTGGAGACTTCTATCTCTTCAAAGTTTCGAATGACTTTTGTTGACTCCATTTCTCAATTCCCTCCAACTAAATTTTCAACTATTTTTCACTCTGACTTTGATTCTTATATATTAAAATTAATCTGATAAAGTGTTCACTGATTTCTTTCTAGTCTCATATTACTTAAAATCTCAGCTACATCTGGCATTTTTATTATTTCCCTCTTTATGAATTCTCCTTTCCTGGCTGCCCATGACACTAAATTCTGCCCTTTTAATTCTTTTTTTTTTTTTTTTCTTTGCGACCAAGTCTCACTCTGTCGCCAGGCTGAAGTGCAATGGCACGATCTCGGCTCACTGCAACCTCCACCTCCTGAGTTCAAACAATTCTTCTGCCTCAGCCTTCTGAGTAGCTGGGATTACAGGTGCCCATCACCACGCCTGCCTATTTTTTTTTTTTTTTTCAGTAGAGACAGGGTTTCAACCTGTTGGCCAGGCTCGTCTCAAACTCCTGACCTCAGGTAATCTGCCCTCCTTGACATCCTAAAGTGCTGGGGTTCCAGGTGTGAGCCACCACACCTGGCCCTGCCCTTTTAATTCCTTTCGAATTTTTTTTATTTTTTTATTCTTAAATAAATTTTTTTATTCTTGGTGTTGCTGACACATCATATTTACTGATATGGTTTCTTGCCGTATCCACTAATATGCCTTCTAGATTCTCTTCTTGTGAATTTTTTTTTTTTTTGGCTTCTGCAGCTTCAACTATTATGGTTATGCTTGAATCTCTCCTTTCACAAAACACACAGCTATTTTTAAACTGTTTACAAATTCTCAGCTGAGTGATTTGCAGATATCTCCAATTCATTATACCGCCCAAATGAATTTTCCATCTTTTTTCTTTTCTTGGGAGGCATTACAGTGTGGGGCTCAAGAATCTGGTTCTCAGAATAGAATCTGTGCATGTGGCTCCGCCATCTACTAGCTTATTATCACCTTGAGCAACTTTCTAACTTCTTTACACCTCAGTAACTGTAATTGCAAAGGGTAGAAAGAATAGTACTAACTTCACAAAGTAGGTGTGAGGTTTCAACAGGTTAATATATATAAATGGCTTAGCAGAATACATGATAACTGCCATTTCTATTTGTTATTGTTCTTATTGTCAACTTCCCTTTCTCAGGGAACACTATCAATATCTGCCCATTCGCCCAAGCTAGAGACCGTGAAGTAATTCTATCAAGTTCTTACCCAGACATTCAATCCCTTACCAAATTCTTTTTCATTTACTTCTAAGATTTCTTGCAGCTTCTTCTTCTCTCTATTCCACTGTTAATGCCATAATCCTACCACTTGCTGCCAGAACATTACTTTAAAACTTCCTAATCATGTTCTCTGTCTCCATTCTCTCTCAGTCCATGAATGTGATGACTCTCAAAACAGAGTTAACTCTGCTACTTCTTTAGAAACTGGTATTTACTGATTGCTTTTAGAATAATCTAAGCTTCATAGAATGGTATAAAGGCCACAACTTGATGCAGCCCCAGCCATTAGCGCCTGCTTCTGTGTTCCCAGTCCTGTTTGCTTAAACCATGCCCCTGTAAGTAGCCTGTGCTTCAACACTGTGTCTAAACTACCTTGTCTACGAGGCAAAGTTCCTTTGATGTTCTAGGTTAACATTCCAAACATACCTCCTCTCTGTAGCTCCTGACGCTCTTGACCACACTCCCTCCCCTCCTAAGGAATATTACTTGCTTATCTACGTTTTTGCACTATTAAAGGGCTCTCCCCATTATACTATGATTACTTATTTGTCTATTCTTAGACTTTGGTCTTCTTAAAAGACAGAAACAATACCTTCTTCCATGTATTTTAGTAACAAGTACATTGCCATTGGTAGATATTACCACATCTAACTGTAAAGGAGACTGAAAAATGCAATCTATCTGCTCAAGCAGAAGAGAATAGTGTAATCAGGCTTCATATGTGTTTCAGCTTTAATCTTGTGTTCTTCAATCACTTCAGGGCTGGCTAATTGGTTTATCACCTGTAATCACTTTAGCCTTTCATTACTCAATATGAAAATATTTACTCACAAGTGGCAATAATTAGTAAAATCATAAGAATAGAATAGTGCACTTGCGTATTCTGTGTTCACATAGTTATCTGGCCTTCTGACAGTTAACTGGAATACATATCAAACATGGAAGGGCAAGAACACACAAAAATGTAATAGTCTTAGAATAATAACTAATTCAGCATAAGTTTATGTGTGCTATTCAAATAATTTTGGTCACTATACTAAAACACTATACTATGACATTTCTTTGCCATAGTGAAAGTTATGTATTCATACTTTCAATAGACTTATTTTATTTTTTGATATTATGAGCTTATTTCAAAGCTTTCAACAGTATTTCTTGACATGGGAGGTTTTTGCTCAGAACTATACTTATATTGAATTGGTCCCAAACTTACAGAAAGTTAGCGTAGGTCAGGTCCTTTGTGGAAATACTAATATATACTTGTTTTATAGAAATGTAGTATTGATTTGTCATTCAAACTTGAAGGGTTACATGGCCGTGGAGTTCTACTTTTTGTCTAGATGTGGCTATGGAGGCACGTTTTTTACAAAAGGATATATGTTAACAAAAATGAAAAGGCTAAACAGGAAATTGTAAAAAGATTAATAGAAAAAAAGAGTCACATTTATTGTACATTTATGTACCAGGCTTTAAGATACTGTTTTGTTTTGTTTAAAAACTCTTACTATTACAATAAAATGGAACAAAAATAATTTCTAAAGAGATCAAATAACGGTCTGTTGAAACATAAGGATGTAGAGGGTCTTTGGTCAGTTTCCTCATTTAAGGATCTAGTCTCAGCATTGCAGTTCCATACATTTGATTGTTGGACCAAAGATTTGAGCAAGTTCACTGAAATTGCTCATGAATAACAAGTGCAAATGACAGTTAATAATAGAACCAAACTATTTTTCAAGTGACTACAGGGACAGAAATACTTTAACAAGATAATTAAAGGATTAACAAATTATTATCCAGAATATTATATGCTATGTATATATACAATATTCTTTCATTATTCTTGGTGCAACCACTTATAAAAACTGTCAGTGTCTATTAAAGCTGATCATACGTATCCTCAATCACCAGAAATTCTACCTTTAGCTATGTACACAACATAAATGCATGTATACGATAAAAAAAACTATATATAAGATTATTCAGAGCAGTACTATATGCAAAAGTCAGAAACTGAAAACAACCCAAATGTCTAATACCAGAATACATAAAGTGTGGTATATTGAAACAATGAAATATTAAGCAGCAATCAGATCAACAAACTATTTACTACATGAAACACTATAAATAAATTTATAACGATATGGGGTAGGAAATAATTGAGGCAAAGTGGACATAAAGCATGATTCCATTGTGTAAGTTTAACCACAGGCAAAACTTATGTATGGAATTGGAAATAAGGGTAGGAATTCCTTTTGGAATGTAAGGGGGCTTCTGCAGTGCTGGTAATATTTAAATTGTTGATTAGGATGCTGAATATACAAATGTTTCACTTTGTGAAAAATTATGGAGCTACACACTTATGATTTGTATACTTCTCTGTAGATGTGTTATACTTCAATAAAATGCTTAAAACATCTTAATAACTTGAGGGGCTTTGCAGAAGTACGGGGAAACATAGACAAAATTAGATCAGCCATGAATTGATAAACTGTTGAAAGAGGTAATGGATATGTGGCACTTCATTATACCATATCCTCTTCTTTTGTGTATGTTTGGAATTTTTACAATTAAAAAGAAAACCATCCAATTTCTAGAAAAAAATTCCAGAGAAAACATAGGAGTAAATCCTTGTAAACTTATGTTAGGCAATTACCTTAGCCATATACAACATCGAAAGCATGAGCCATAAAAAAAAGATAGATTGGATTTCATAAACTGAAGAATTGCTCTTTTAAAGATAATTTTAAGAGAATGAAAAGACAATCCACCACTACGAGACATTCTTTGTTAACTGCATATTTGATAATGGACTTTTACTCAGAATGTACAAATAATTCTTCAAACTCAATAAGACAATCAACAATCCAACTTAAGAAGTGAGCAATATATTTGAACAGGAATTTCATCAAAGAAGACATAGGGATAACAAATAATCTCATGAGAAGATACCCAACACCATTAGATATTAGAGAAGTGCAAATTATGCAAATTAAAACCACAGTGAGATGCCCCTAAACTATTTGAATAGCTAAAATTAAAACTATTGACCATTTCAAGTATGAGTGAGGATGTAGACAGCTGGAATTCTATTTGTTTGTGAAGTGTAAAATGTTACAACCACTTGGATAATATTTTGCAAGTGTGTTAAAACATTAAATATACTTACCTAACTTTTTACTATTTCCACTCCTAAACATGTAATCAGGAAAAATGAAAGCACATTAGTACAAAAAAACTTGTACAAAAATCTTCATAATGGTCTTACTTGTAATAACCAAAACTGAAAGCAAAACAAATATAAATAAATGGGCAAATAAGCAAAAACGTGTAAATCTGTGCAAGGCATACTACTGAACTGTAAAAAAAATTAATGATCTACCTATCCACACAACATGGATAATCTCAAAATAATTATTATAAGTTTAACAAAACAGACAAAATTAGTAAATTCTGTATTACTTTATTTATGTAAAATTACAGGAATGCAAGCTCACTGGTAGTAACAGAAAGCAGATGAATATTTGGGTTAGAAGGAGGAAAGGAGAGAGGGTTTATCAATGATTATGGGGTGATGAATATGTTTCTTATCTTGACTGTAGTAATTGTTTATAAGTGTGTATATATGTCAAAACTTATCAAATTGTATACTTTAAATATATATAGTCTGCAGTATGTCAATTATACCCCATTAAGCTGTTAATAAAGAGAATTGCATAGTGCATTACCTACCTTTGTAATGTGAAGTTACTCAATATTTATTACTGTACTTGAAATAAAATGAAATAAAATTAAATGACCAAGAAAAACTTACTTGTTGGCCTCATAATCATCATGCTGATACCAAAACCTGGCGGCGACACCACAAAAAAAGAAAATTTCATGTGAGTATCCCTGATGAACATAAATGCGAAAATCCTCAATAAAATGCTGGCAACCCGAATCCAGCAGCACATCAAGAAGCTTATCCACCACGATCAAGTCGGCTTCATCCCTAGGATGCAAGGCTGGTTCAACATACACAAATCAATAAATGTAATCCATCACATAAACAGAACCAATCACAAAAACCACGATTATCTCAATAGATGCAGAAAAGGCCTTTGATAAAATCCAACACCGCTTCATGCTAAAAACTCTCAATAAACGAGGTATTGATGGAACATATCTCAAGATAATAAGAGCTATTTATGACAAACCCACAGCCAATATTATACCGAATGGGCAAAAGCTGGAAGCATTCCCTTTGAAAACCAGCACAAGACAAGGATGCCCTCTCTCACCACTCTTATTCAACATAGTATTGGAAGTTCTGGCCAGGGCAATCAGGCAAGAGAAAGATACAAAATAGGAAGAGAGGAAATCAAATTATCTCTGTTTGCAGGTAATATGATTGTATATTTAGAAAACCCCATCGTCTCAGCCTCAAATCTCCTTAAGCTGATAAGCAACTTCAGCAAAGTCTTAGGATACAAAATCAATATGCAAAAATCACAAGCATTCCTATACACCAATATTAGACAAACAGAGAGATAAATCATGAGTGAATTCCAATTCACAATTGCTACAAAGAGAATAAAATACTTAGGAATACAACTTACAAGGGATGTGAAGGACCTCTTCAAGGAGAACTACAAACCACTGCTCAAGGAAATAAGAGAGGAGAGAGGACACAAACAAATGGAAAAACATTCCATGCTCAAAAATAGGAAGACTGAATATCGTAAAAATAATCATAATGCCCAAAGTAATTTATAGGTTCAATGCTATCACCATCAAGTTTCCACTGACTTTCTTCACAGAATTAGAAAAAAATACTTTAAATTTCATATGGAACCCAAAAAAGAGCCTGTATAGCCAAGGCAATACTAAGCAAAGGTAACAAAGCTGGAGACATCACACTACCTGACTACAAACTATACTACAGGGCTACAGTAACCAAAACAGCATGGTACTGGTACCAAAACAGATATATAGACCAATGAAACAGAACAGAGCCCTCAGAAATAATGCCACACATCTACTACCATCTGATCTTTGACAAACTTGATGAAAACAAGCAATGGGGAAAGGATTCCCTATTTAGTAAATGGTGTTGGATAAACTGGCTAGCCATATGCAGAAAACTGAAACTGGACCCCTTTATTGCACCTTATACAAAAATTAACTCAAGATGGATTAAAGACTTAAACATAAAACCTAAAACCACAAAATCCCTAGAAGGAAACGTAGGCAACACCATTCAGGCATAAGTATCTGCAAAGACTTTGTGACTAAAATACCAAAAGCAATGGCAACAAAAGCCAAAAGCAACAAATGGGATCCAATTAAACTAAAGAGCTTTTGCACAGCAAAAGTAACTATCATCAGAGTGAACAGGCAACCTACAGAATGGAGAAAATGTTTCAATCTATCCATATGACAAAGGGCTAATAACCAGAACCTACAAGGATCTTAAACAAATTTACCAGAAAAAAACAAACAAACCCATCAAAAAGTGGGCAAAGGATATGAACAGACACTTCTCAAAAGAAGACACTTATGCAGCCAACAAACATATGAAAAAAAGCTCATCATCACTGGTCATTAGAGAAATGCAAATTAAAACCACAGTGAGATACCACCTCACGCCAGTTAGAATGGCGATCATTAAAAAGTCAGGAAACAACAGATGCTCGAGAGGATGTGGAGAAATAGGAATGCTTTTACACTTTTTGTGGGAGTGTAAATTAGTTCAACCCTTGTGGAAGACAGTGTGGCGATTCCTCAAGGATCTAGAACCAGAAATACCATTTGACCCAGCAATCCCATTACTGGGTATATACCCAAAGGATTACAAATCATTCTGCTATAAAGACACATGCACACGTATGTTTATTGCAGTACTGTTCACAGTAGCAAAGAATTGGAACCAACCCAAATGTCCATCAATAATAGACTGGATAAAGAAAATGTGGCACATGTACACCATGGAGTACTATGCAGCTATAAAAAAGGATGAGTTCATGTTCTTTGCAGGGACATGGATGAAGCTGGAAACTATCATTCTCAGCAAACTAACACAGGAACAGAAAACCAAACACCACATATTGTCACTCATAAGTGGGAGTTTAATAATGAGAACACATGGACACAGGGTGGGGAACATCACACACCGGGGCCGGTCAGGGGGTGGGGGGCTAGGGGAGGGATAGCATTAGGAGAAATACCTAATGTAGATTACAGGCTGATGGGTGCAGCAAACCATCATGGCACATATATACTTACGTAACAAACCTGCACATTCTACACAAGTATCCTAGAACTTTAAGTATAATTTAAAAATTGTAGAATAAAGCAATATGAAATAGTAAAAAAAAAAGTATTTTTTTTATTCATGGTAAAATAAATAAAATAGCCTGCTTATGTATCTCTACTTTTCAAAAATTTGCATATTCTCAATACATAGAATATTCAAGTACATTTTTATAGACTATCCTGAAAAAAACGAAGCCAAATTCTTAGTTTAAATATTTGAATAATTCTGTGGATGATTTTGCTCTGTCAACTTTTTATATCTTAAACAAAGGCTACAAGGAAGAATGTCTGCAACTTGATTGGAATTTGAATCTCCCAATATGTTTCATCCACAGTCAATTATTATTACATTTTTGTTTCCTCTGATTAAAAAAAAATCTGATCTTACTTACATGTGGATTTTTCATTATTTTATTCTTGCAACATAACCTTATCTTTGGGTTTTAAAGAATAGCACAATATGCCCCCATGAACTGTCAAAATATGTGTAATTTAAACTCCACAAACTCTGAAGTAGTTATAAAAGTAGTATAACAAATTTTTGCTGATGATCAAAGAGTTAATTTGCATAAGATTACACATATTAAGTTGTTGAGCAAAGACACAAATCCAGACATGATTGTTTGTCATATTTCACCATTTTTTGACAGATAAATGTTATGGCACTTCTAAGATGCTAGACATTTTAAATGTATTTCCTTCTTTATATCATTATCTCTCAGGATGAAAATTATTTTAATTTTTCACAGAATGAAAATTATTTTTAGCTTAATCAAGTATATGGGCACTTACATACTAACACATAGTCTTTTGCTATGGGAAATTCAGTCACTGACAAAGATGGTATTTTATAAGAGGAAAAAGTTCAGGTAAGTTCAAACCTAGACTCAGTCACCAAAATATGAGTGAGCCTATAGGAAAGGTACTTCAACTTCCTAGATTTATATTTCCTCAGCTTGCAAAATTGCCAGATAATACTTACCTTGCTGACTACGGTCAAGTTTCAAGGTAATATATACAGGATGTGTAGCATGGAGGCACTGCTCAATAAATAAATGGCTGCTCTTAAGCAGGATTGGTGAAAAAATATATTATTTCAACGGACATTAATATTTCTACCACTTCATAATATTCATTAACATAAAGACATATTTCTGAAAATACATTACAAAACACTTATAGATGTGTGTATGTGTATGTGTGTGTGTATATGTGACAAAAAATATTCTTTACAGTTAATCAAAAGAATGTTTTTTCAAATAAACATATGGAGATTTAGAGGACTTAGAGATGTGAATAACCGTACTTTATTTATCCCACATATTTACTGAGGAGCAGGTTAAAAAAAGGACATATGAAGATCATATTTCCATGATTTCCCTACCAGCTGTAATTGCCTTATATCCCTTTGAACAATTTACAGCCACATTTCCACCAATGAGACAATAGAATTAGATGCCCTTTAAGTTACATAACAACCCCAAAATTCTGTTCTGACTATATTACTCTTCCCAATTAAATAATATAAAATTATCACAACTATGACAACTCATTTCTTCCCTCAAAATTACCAGTCTATAGCATAACGATAAATTAATCTATGCCAACCACATTCACAATGCATATTGTTGTGGAACGTGAATCACATTGGCTGAGCTTTTCAGGTTCATTTTTACAGTACTAATACTCTGATGGCAATTCTAAGTTTTGTTCTTAATTTTGCAGTGTACAAACTCAAAATGATCAATTTCAACAAGTCCCTGAGATTAGACATACCCTACAAAATTTATACAAACCTCTGCAATGACTTCCTGCAACAGAAATGTATCTCTATGGAAGCACTGCCAGTGGCATGCAGACACTCTTGAATAAAATAAACCCTCCCAGGACCCCATGTTCTCCTATAATCATTACCTCATTTCCCTCACCATTGTTCCCAGGATCACTTCTCTGTTTTTATAACATTTGACTATTTAGCAATATTTGACACTGTTGGAAATTTTTTCTTCCTTGGAATTTTGTTTTTCAGTTTTTCTCCATTCATTCAAAATGCCTCTTTTCTAGGTCCCCTTCCTAACTGGTTACTCCTCTAACTCCTTTGCCAGCATCTCTATTCCACTAGATTTCTCACTGTTCATGGATATGATCCAAGACCCATTCTTTTCTCCATCTTTTCCTTGACAACCTCAATTAGCTCATAGCTTTAAACACGCTGACATGCCTTTTACTTCAAATGTACACATTCAGCCCTGGGGTCTTCTTTGAATTGCAGACTCAAACCCCCAACTGTCCATTTGATACGTCCACTTGGGTTTCTGATAGGCATCTCATAATTAACATATCTAAAGTAGAACTGTTTTTACCCTCCTCCCACTCCACTCTCCAGCAATTCTGATGAATTTAACCTCTTATCTTTGTTGTTCTCACCCAAGCCATCATCTCTCATCTTGAGTATCACAAGTGACTTCTAACTGATCTCTCTGCTTTCCTCTTGCCCTCTTCCAATCTAGGCTCACCAGAGCAACCAGAGGGATCTTTTCAAAATATAAATCAAATTGTAATGTTCCTCTGCTTAAAACCAACCCAAAGCCTCACATTACACTTAGAATAAATGTACATACAATAAACCTCAATATCTATCCCCTGCCACCTTCTGACCACATCTACTGATGCTCTACCCCTTGCTCAGCACTTCTAGTTATGCTAATCTTTTTGTTCTTAAAATATATCGATGTCACTCAAATATTAGGGACTTACCTTAAGATCTTTGAAGAGCTGACTCCTCAAAATTCAAGAATCAGCTTCAGTGTTATCTCCTTAGAGGGGCCTTTCCTATCAAATTAATCTCTAGCACTTTATCCTGTTTTGTATTCAACATATAGTATTGGTTATTTTGTATTCATCTATTTGTTTATTTTTCTCTCTTTCTCCCTATGTATAACTTTAGACAGGCCCTTGTCTATCTTATTCACTTTTTTATACCTAATGCCTAAAACATTGTTTGCCTCTTGGCAAACTCTCAATGCACATTGAAAAAGCAAAGTGCAACTGTATGTAGATGTATCTATTCATAATAGGCATGAAAATAGTATCAGATATTTAAATAGACCTTGGATATTCTCTTCAAAAGATTAATAAAATGTCAACTTGGCTTAGTCTAAGAAGATATTTTTGTATTTTGCTAATAACCAGAAATCAATTTAAGTATCTGTGAATAGCACAGACATAATGGATGTTGTGTCTTTGGAACTTATATATATGTTTTCTGACCAGTATATCTTTCCCACACCAAAGCGACTCTAGCATGTAGGCAGCCAATAAAAGCAATAGACATTAGGAAAAGCAGGGTCTGGCAGTCATAAAGTGCTGGCCTGCTTATGCGGGCACATAAATGCAACTTCTAGTCAGTTAAGTCTATGGCTCTAACTTAATTTGAACAGGAAGAACTGAATAAGACATCTCAGTACGCCCGTTTCTGCACAGATTACACTGATAAGCTCAGTCCTAGAGAGCTCCAGGCACAAGGCCTGACAGTTCCATTATTTCACAGGTCATTATATGTGGCACTCAACACAAATCCTAGGGTTTGAGATTAGGTCATGTTTCCTGGTCAATCAACAATTCTCTTATAGTTTTTTTAAAAAAATCTAGAAATGCCTCCAATAATTTGTACCATGGTAGAAATATTGTTAGGGATTATTGAATACTATTTCCTCAGGAATATTCAAGAGAGTTGCCACGGTAAACCTTAAGTATTGGAAACCACATGTGATTCAAGGCTGAGTGTCTTTAATAAGCACAGACACACCTCTCCTGCTGTGTAATTCATAGCCACTCTTCGTAAAGAAAAACACAGGCGGGAAAAGGTTAGTCTTTAGTGACCTAAATCTTCTGAGTACTTGCTTGAATGGCAGGCATGAGACAGAGGCTGCCTCCCTGAGGGTTCAAGGACATTTGCCTATTTGTAGATTCTCATCCCTGTGGATGGGTCACTGTTAGGCCAGCATTTCATTAAGTGTAATAAGGTATGAAAACCTATCTTTTATTTTTACAGAGAAATTCTCTTTCTGTCCATATTCTTTTCCTCACTAGCAAAAAGAATCTGCTAATAACACAGTTCTTTAACAAGTCTAAGCTCATTTATCACTATATGTGCTCTCATTTGGTTTCTTTAATTATTCTCCATTTTGCTAATTGTGATTATCCAGAGTACCACAATTTATCATATTTCTCTACCTCTTAAAAGACTCATTTATGGTTCTTGTTCTTTCATGAATTCTTATTAACATTTTTAATTGCAGCTGCTTTAAAGGATCTTCCATACTTCCCTCTTCTTCTCAAAGTGTAGCCATATTTATCCTTAATGTCCCTAATCATTTTTTTTCTAATTTATTCTACTCTCTGTTGCTGTTGGAGGTGTATTTTTTAAAAATCTAAACCTTTCTGCACAGGAAATTAAAGTCTCTAATTGATTTTCTGTTTAGATAGTAATGGCATGAATGCCACCTTGTAGGAAAGTAAAAGCAGATAACTTGAATGTTTTATTTAATAGGTAATAAAATGCACTGGACACAATTCAATGAGTAAAATTAAAAATAAGCCCCAAATAAATAAATAAACAACAGGTAAGTTCTGCAACAGATTTCGCAGAACTTGGCATGCAAACTTTCTAACTTCATATATTGGAATCCACCCCATCTACATTCAAGAAACATAAACTGTTCACCCAAGAGATTCAGAATATTATGTTAAGTAAAAATAAAAACCAAAACTGAGTTCTCATATTAAATACATAGCATTGTATAGATGTGATAAGATATATAGAGTAATACAGAAAGATCAATGTATTTCAAAAGATCAGAGGGAAAAAAGGCACCTTTTAACTAGGAAAATCATGGAATACTTTGAGGAAGAGGTGACATTTGAGATAGAACTTAAGATTTGGAATATTTGACATAGTCACTAAAGCTAGTACCCCAATAAAGCACAGAAGTAGTAAAATATAAGATGAATTTTGCAATGATAATACAGTAGGGATAGAGAAGAAGGTACATAAGGGGATGGTATAAGATCAAGCTTAACTGTAAGTTGGCTTGATCACATAGAAACTGACATGAAATTTTAGCCCTAATATGCAATAGATAAGCATTCAACAGTTTAAGTTTCAGAGTAATATGATTGCTTGTATAATAGAAAAACAAATCTTATAATGGAGGGTACATCAGCTATAAGACTATTACAATAGACTAACTCAAGCTTGAAGTAAGGTAGCAGAAAAAGAAATGGAAATGAACTTGATTTAATGCTAAATTTTGGAAATAGAATAAATATATTCATACTAATTAAATGAGAATAAAGCTTAAGCTAAAGGAAATCCAAGATTTTGCACTAAGGTAACTAACAATAAAAAAAATATCAAACAGTGAGAGGTTGTTAAGTTTTAAGTAGTCCAAATATATTCATTATTTTTTAATTCTCACACCGTTCTTATGAAGCTACAAATCAGTTTGCCATAAAAAAATTAGAAAATGTGATGGGAGAATAGATTTGGAGTGAAGGATAATAAATTTGGTTTAATTTTAGATACAGCTTTAGTCAAGATTGGGTAAGCTATGCTACAGAAAGTTATCTCCCTTACCTTAGAAATTGAACATAAGAGAGTTTATTTTTCACTCTCATTACATGTTCCACACAGATTGTCTGGGGACTCTTCCTATACAGTCACAGACTGATAGAGGTTCTGCCCTCTTTAGCTAACATTTGAATCAGAGGGCCTCTGACTGTTCCACAGAAAGAGAACACTGGGATGCAATAGGTATGAGTTTTTTACTGCGTCTGCCCAGACATGATGCATATTATTTCCACTCCCAGTCCATTGTACGGAGCTAATTACATGGTCTTAACATAATTGTAAGGGATTCTATGAAATGCAGAGGAGCACATGGACTGCTTAGGTGAGCACGACTCTCTCCTACAGGCACCATCTGTTTCTTTACAAGACATAGAAGTATAATAGAAATGGTGTCCAGAACCTAGTATAAAGCTCCCAATTCATTTTGCCGATGATTTGCTAAAGTAGAGGTCCTAGATCGCACCATTTTCTTACTCAGAATTTTGTTTTCCACAATGTGATTCTATTTGTTGAAAAATTTTTCCCTTTTCTTATCCTAAAAAATCTCTATTTATCCTTCAAAATGCAGTTCAATATGTTGAAGAAATAGTACTGAGGCACTTGGCTATCTACAGCAAAGGATAAAGACTCATCTCAAATAAAAATATATTGTGGGGAAAATAAAAAATAAACATCAATTTTTAAAAAATATTAAATACTTGAAGAAGATATAGGTTAACATTTTGAGTATAGTTATAGGAAAAATTGCAAACAAACATTAATTGATCTAATTACATAAATATAAAATTTCTGGACATAAAATACATTGAAAAATAAAAACAAGATAAACATTTGTAAAATGTAATTATTTTAAAAAATCATATCTCTAAAAGGAATATTGCGAAGAACAAGTAAATTCATAAAAGCAATACAAATAACCATAAGAAAACTTTAAAAATAACAAAATACTAATTATTAAAGAAATTCTTAATGTAAATAGCAGTAAGTTTACTTTTATACCTGTGAAATGGGCAACTCAGAATTCTAAGCACAGAAATAAAAACTCAGACACTATTTGTGAGTATTATTACTAGAGAATGTTTCTTAAAATTATTCAGTAATTTTATTAATTCATTTCACAGATATTTGCACATCTACTCTGTTCCTGACATTATTGCAGGCTTTAAGACACATCATTTGAAAGTAATACTAATTTCTAAAAGTAAAAGATCTCTACCTTCATAAAACTTACACTTTATTTGATGTCTCAGTTTGGGTTGCCTTAGAAACAGATCCTGAATAAAGGATTTCACTGCAAACAATGTATTTAGGAGTGGACCATTTGGAAAACACGGTAGTGGGCAATTGAATTGGGGATATAAAGGTAGCCAGTCGGCCAGGCGCGGTGGCTCACGCCTCTAATCCCAACACTTTAGGAGGCCGAGGTGGATGGATCACGATGTCAAGAGATCGAGATTATCCTGGCCAACATGGTGAAACCCTGTCTCTACTAAAAATACAAAAATTAGCTGGGTATTGTGGCATAAACCTGTAGTACCAGCTACTCGGGAGACTGAGGCAGAAGAATTGCTTGAACCCGGGAGGTGGAGGTTGCAGTGAGCTGAGATCGTGCCACTGCACTCCAGCCTGGTGACAGAGTGAGACACCATCTCAAAGAAAAAAAAAAAGTAGCTAGTCAATGATGAGTTAATAAATCAGTTATCACGGTGGGAAACTGCTATTTCATCTTGCATGGAAACTATGAAAAAAAAAAGCAAAACACGGGCTTGAAAACTGTCCACCCATGGACTGAGAGAGCTGGGGTATATATGGACTAATTCTTGTGAGTCATTAGTTGAGAACTGCTTTGGGGTGCTAATTTCTCCTACATTCAGGCTTCCACACAAGACAGACTTCAATGGTTCCCTGAGGAAAGCCCTAAAGCCCAGAGATGCATAAAATGGTACTTGGGTAAGAGTAGGAGTATATAAAAGGTATCCAGAGTTTGAGTACAGCAGGGACAGGGATGCTAGACTAATAGAGACAATACAGAACAGAGTAGAAAAGTAAGTTACAAGGTGACAAAAAATGTTATTGGCAAAAAGAAAAGAATTAGAATAAGGTAAGAGTGATTGTTATTTCAAGGTAGTGGGAAGGCTAGTTTCCAGTGTCAAGTAGAGTGATTAGGACAGACCCCATTGAGAGGATAAGATTTATACAAAGATGAAGGAGGATGAAGAATCAACCAAGCAGTTTTTTGAGTAAGATTATTACAGACAGAATATTTGAGCAAATGACACATTGGATTTTACCTGAAAATTTTGAGGAACAGCAATGAAGTTATTGTTACTAGAATGCTGGCAGCCATGGGAGGAGATGGAATGAATGAATTGACTGAGGGAGGGACAGAATATAAATCGTGTAGGACTGTCTGAGGACTTGAAAGTCTTTTTGCTATAACTGAAACAGAGATTCACAGTAGGTTTTGGACAGAGGGTAACATAAAATATTTTCTCTAACAAAAGGATTGCTCTAGCATTTTTACTTCTAGCCATGAGGAGGTAACTGATTGAGACATACTCTTCTGCAATAAACATATAAAGCAATAGACAAACTATATGAGATAACAGTTTTCTGACATTGGACTGTGATTCCTGAGAAAAAGAAAAGAAAACTTAAAGGCTCACATAAACCACTTAAGAAGAGTTAATGAATAAATGCCGGGCACAACCTCTACACTGAAAAAGACAAAACACTGATAAGAGTAATTAAAGTAGGCATAAATAAATGGAGAAATATACCATATTCATTGATTGTAAGACTCAATGTTACTGACATGTCCATCTTCCCACATTGGTCTATATGTTTTAATGCAGCTCCAAACTCAATAAAAATTTGGTAGCAATTCATAAGGAGATTTAAAATTTATATAGAAATACAGGGATCTAGCATAAACAAAACTACTTTTGAAAAGAATATGTTGTGGCAACTTTTGCTGTGGGAGTTTAAGAATTTCTAAAAAGCTATTGTAATTATACAGTTGAGTGTTAGTGTAAGGGAAAGAACATAATAAACCCAAATAGAGAGTTTAGAAATAGAACTTGCAGAAACCTGATTTTCATCAAAGATGCAATTTTTTTGGGAAAGAAAAATCAACAAATGCCACCCTAACATCTGAATAAACATAAATTGCAAGCCCTACCTAATACTATATACAAAAATTAATCTGAAATTAATCATAGGCCAACCATGAAAGCTAAAAATATGAACTCCTTGGGGATCACATATGAGAATATCTTCATGACGCTGGAGTAGGCAAAGACTTCCTTAAGAAGACACTGAGAGTTAAAACACTTAAAAAAATGATAAATTGGACATCATCAAAATTAAACACTTTATTTTTTGAATAATAAAATGATAATATGGTACTACTTTGGAAAACTAGTCAGTCATCTACTCTAGGCCCCAAATATTCCACTTCTTCCCTAAGAGGTGAGTTTGATTGAGGGATTTACTCAAGATAAATGAAGATATATGCACATGAAAAGAGTTGTGCAAAAATGTTTATAGAAGCTTTATGCGAAACAGCCGCAAACTAGAAACAATCCAAATGCCCAACAAGTGAATGACAATATATTGTTGAATATGTATCCATTATAATGTTACTGAGCAATTTACAAAATCAACTATTGATTCAGTCAACAATATAAGGAATCTCTAAAATATTATTTCAAACAGAATAAGGAATGAGCTATCATTATGGCTGTACAACATATGGAATAAGAAGTCAGAATTATCTTTGTCCAAAATTCCCCTTAATTACAACTCTACACAACAGAAGCAGAAGATGGCTATGGGGTGTTTTATAATGCTCTTTCAGATTAGATTATTCTTAGTGCAATGCTTTTCATATCTGTGCTTATGATGTTATAGAAAGTCCTGAAATTGACTAAGAGAAGGGCAGAAGTTACATGTATGTTCAGTTGTGTTCTCTCAACATGACAATGCTTCTGCTGATTCTAAAATATTCCCTGCCTTCTGAATGTCTCTGAAGGGTTGACTCAAGGGTCATCTGTGTTGCTTTGCAATTCTGGAAGCAAACATAGAGGAAAATGTAGGGAAGGGCAAGTTGAAGGGACACTAAGAAAGTATCAACAGCTAAATATTGAGTCTGAAAGTTTCGGGCTTCCTCGCTAAAGTATGTACTGCTGTTCGCTCATTTTGCCACAATTCATGTTTGGGTTGGAGTTTTATAGAAGGCAAAGGAAGATGTAATCTGCTTTGACTCATAAGCCTGTGATTCTTTGGCATAGTTACTATCAAAAAACTAAATTCCAGGTGACAGTGTGACATTTTTATTAGAAGGAATGGCTGCCAAAATTGGAAATAAGAGTCTCTACCAAAGTCCTTTTTATTGTGCTCAGACCTCTCATAACCATATATCCTTGCTTGAAAGGACAGTGTTGTTAGAAATTAAAACTTCCTTCACACCTATTGCCTTCCACTCATTCAACCAATGACCTGAATTGGGTGGAGCCATAGTTGATGTGAAAAATCCTAAACTCCAAACTGCCTCTGGGTCCAAAGTGAACCTATTTCTCATTAAAATAAAGAATTTTCCTATTCTCCCTGGTTTTAGCAACTATAGTTAGGGGTTAGAAGGTAAAGGCCATGGGTAGGGTTTAGAAGGCACTTCCTTCTGAGCCCAGAAGTCTTCAACTGACAATTTCAATTACTTTTCATGATAGTAACTTTGGTCTGTCCAGTCCGCTATTCCCTGTATCGTCCAGTTAAAAACCTTTATTATGCAAACCTTCAGAGGAGCCCATATAATCATGAAAACTCAGGGAGATATGACTCAGCTCTTTAAAACTTAAAATTCTTAAACGAAAAAAAAAAACTCACATGAAAAGAGATAAAAACCCAATGCTGCAGCTGCCCATAAAATCTGGGAAAGTATGTTAAGTGGGTGTCCTTACAAGGAGTTATATGGAAACACAAACTGAACACAACAGAGTTTGCTTTTGATTTCCATATACTTTTGGCTCTTGCTATTTTTAGGCCCACAGGTACATCCACAGGTGCCTCATGAAGAAGCAGCTGAACCAGAAGGGTTCCAGGGTTTACTGAAATATATCAGTAATGATCATACCTCTATAAACAGAACTTGGAAATTTCAAGGGCTTATGACTGTCAGTAGCCATGTTATCATTGCTCGAGAACCCAGAGGCAAGCTGTTCATCTTCTGATGCTTCTCTCTCCTGTGTTCAATGTTCATTATGCTTTGGAAGTGCAAGGCCACTGTCATAATAAACAGCATTCAAAGTGATTTATTGTTTTCTGCTGATGTTTAGACTTTGGCTGCTACGTATTATTGCCAAAAGCACAGACTTTTATATGTTCTGATGTATTCTGATGTTCAAAATGACCTGAAACAGAAAAGCAGAAAAGGTGGGCAAGACAGTCTAGTAAGCTGTTAAAGGCAATTTTAATTCTGGTAAGAGGCTAGAGAAATTCATCAAAATCCTCTTATTCTCTAGAAACAGAACTTAATCTTCTAAGTACTTCATTTCTCACCTAAAATAAAAGATTCTAAAGACTTTTAGTAATGAGAAATGCTGTGTACCCTCCCTTGTCAATCTCAAATCTACCACCCCCAGCAAACATTAACTAAATTTCTGCCTGCCATGACCCTTCTTCTTGTCCTTTCCCTGGTGACAATGTGTTATGAATATTAGTCATTCTCATTCTCTGTCTCTGCCTCTCTCTCTCTCTTTCTGCCTCTCTTTCTTTCTATCTCTCTTACACACACATTATCCTGCTCAGAAAACTCATAATATTTTTTCTTGAATATTGGTATGACAACACCAGTAGTTCCAACAGCAACAGCATTGTTCTAAAAAAGGAAATGTTAGGAAGATATATGTGAATATACCTCAAAAATGTCCTTTAACTGTAAAAATACATATTCTTCCCCGGCTTCTAATGTGCAACGTAGCATTCCCAATGGCATTGTTCTGGTTTTCTTCAAAAGGTGGCAGCAAACACCCTACTGTTATCTCTTCAATGAACTGCCTGGTATCTTGCTAAGTTAAGGCGTCCTACGCATGAGGATGGGGATGGGGACTGGTGCCTAGCCTTAGCCAATGTGGATCCCATTACAGAGGATTAGGATGACACTAATGGGGTTGATTCTGCAGCATGTTCATCCTCTGTCTGCCAATATTCAGAGTGAGCAGCCAGAGAACAGAATATCTATGGGTTGGTGCCAAGACAACTGCAATAACAGAGGCTTGCTGCTATCATTGCCTCTTCAGAATGGAGGCAGAAGGTAACACAAAAAAAGGACACCAGCAGCAGGGTCTTCAGAGTCACCTGGAGTGAAGGGGCCAAAGCCATGAGGTGCCCTGCTGTGCTGTCAATGCCCCTTGTTTAAGAAGGCTTGGTTCAAGTACACACCTCGTGCTATAAAGGTTGATTTGGGGAAAGGCCTAGGATTATCACAAGTTCAATAAATAATATTCTTTGCTATGCTTAGGAGGAATTTTTTCCTATATTTGGTGTTCTATAGATAAGGATTGAATTCATAGCTTTTTTTCTGGCACAAAATCTGGCAAAGAGGCAGAATTTGTATCCAAAATGGAAAGTTTCTATACATTTTCACGTGCGCCTTCTTTGGCATCAGTCGGTACAGCCACAGCTGACAGCCACTGCAGACACCAAGAACTGATTCTCAGAAGCAGGAAGAAGATAAAATCATGTCCAAAAGCAGCCTCTAAAAGCTTAGTCACCCCAAATTCTCAGGATGTCACACAAGCGTTAGACAGTTTATAGTCCTTGATTTACTTTCTAAGAGGAAAAAAAAGAGGCTTCTTTTGGAAATTCAGAGAACCAAGTTAACGGTGTCTTGATTGGACAATAGGCATTTTTGCTTCAGGACCTTACATATCACCGTATTGTTAACCCACCTCCAACCTGGACAGGAGAAGAGTAGAAACAAACATGCTGTCACGACACCATTTCTTCAAATAAGAACAAAAGTTAAGAATATTAGAAAGTAACCTTTTAAGATTTCACAAACCAGCTGTTTCTGTGCTAGTCACCTAAGAAAGCACTTCAAGTTCATTATTTTTCTCTTTTAATTTTGGATCTAAATATTTACACGTGGTTTCAGTCATCTCCTCAAAATTGCTATGCAAATTCGTGAGCTCTCACTCCATTTCTGATGTTAGTAACATCATGGCCTTGACAAAACACCTGCTTTTCTATGATGTCGGGAGTATTGTTGGAGGGTGATTAAATACGAAAGTGAGGCAAAGCCCCGGACTCCCAGAGAATAACATTTCAAATAGGGAATCATGCTACATTAACAGTTCAAAATGTTGTCTATATTCATATAAATAGCGAAAGATGCTAAATAAGACAGTATATGTAATTCTTGCACTGGATGTGATAAGGAATAAACAAAGTCAACGAAAAGGTAGATAATGTACCTGGATCCTTTCTGATACAATTTAAATTGTTTTCTTAAAACAATTCATATTTAACTAAATAATTTTACTGTTGTAACAATTCCTATTTCTCAAAATAATTTTTAGTTAGATGACTCCCTATTTCTGTCAATAAGCACATTATGTAAGTAGGGCAAGGATAACTATTTTAGTGTTTTAGATTCAGAAGAAACAGTGAAACAGAAATTAAACATACTTTTATAAGTACAGCAGCAGCCTCCACTACTGATCCCTTGACTAGGCCTATAATCTCTTCATCAAGTTTCTTTCTACACTGAGTTTCTTTATAATATACATCGCTCATTACTTTGCCTCTTCTGCAAAGAAGAGCCTGACCACACAACTCAAGACTACATGAGTATGTGGCAAGCATGAGATCACTATATAGAGATATTTTTACGAAACAGTCAAAATTTGTGCAGTTGGGAACAACATCAAGAGGCCATTTAACATTTTCCTTCCTTAATTCTCAGGTCTCTTTTAGAAGGTGAAATACAGTCTTGTCTTTTCTTTAGATGTTTTAATTAGCCAATAATTCAGTCCTACTTTATTAGTCAAAATCCAGTCAGGAGATAGAAACCACACAAGTAACGTTAACAGAGAAAATTTGCTATGAATAATTGTTAGCCAGGTATTAGAAAATGGAAAATGAAATAGAAAATGCTGAGGTATTGTGAACAAGTAACTGCAGGAAGCAGATGCTGATCCAGTGAGGGGGACAAGAGCAAAAGGACAAGGTTGGAATTATTAAAGTTTAGAATCTTGGAGAAGTGGCTTGGTGGAACTGGAGCTCAGATCTCTGAAAAGGAGGTGTTGCTTGGATGTTGCTGGAGCCTCAAGAACTCAGAGGGAAGACTCTGAGGAGTTGGGATTCAGAACCCTGAAAAATCTGTCTCTAATGGGGCTAGTTCTAGGAATACTGGGAAAAAAAATTGTAACCTGGAATCTGCTGCTTCTAATGTAGTGCACTGCTGCCAGTGAAGAAGTTTTGCATAAGAGACACTGATAGGAGCAGAAAATCCCCTCTTTAACCTCCAACCCTCTAGTCTCTTTGGCACCGTCTACGCCTACGGAATCTAACAGGAACCAGCTTACAAAGGAGAAAACATGGTTTGCAGTGTCTCAGCCCCAGCATCATGAGCTGAATATGAAAGTAGTTTAATAATTGCCATACATATAAGAGAGTAATGACAATTCTCTGATTATGAATATGTTTATGTATTTTTTTCTGCCTAAGATGATATAGTAAATATGCTCTTAATGCTTTAATGAAAACCAATTCAAATAATAGGTGCAGAAGGAAGTTACTTTAGATACGAGAGTCAGGGATGGTCTCTGAGGAGCTGATATTTGAGTCAAATCCAATAAAATTTGTTACATAGTGGAAAAATAGGAAGAAGTTCAATGTGGTCAAATTCAAGAAAGGGCAAGAGAGGTAAGAGAGAAAATCAGAGAGTTATTCAGCCAGTTCATGTAGAGCCTCAAAGGCCACCATAAGGAATTTGAACTTTACTAAGTCTAATGATAAGTCATTTGGAGAGTTTTAACAGGAAAACGACATAATCTACTTTCAGTTTCAAAGTATCACTTTGAATGCTATGGCGAGAAGAATGGGGATGACAAGTATGAAATTAGAGTAAGTAGTAAAGGTGATATTGGAGTTCTTCTGGTGAGAGATCAGAGTAATTCAAGCTAAAGTAGTAGTTGTAGAAGTAGAAATAAGTGGATAAATATGGAGCATATATCTGACATAAAAGATTCAATAATAAATGAGGTAAAAGGAAAAATACCTATGGTTTAAGTAATTAGGTAGATGGTGTTACTGTTTACTGAGTTGGGATACTGAGGTAGACAATTTTCAGAAGAAAACTGAAGAAATGCTGACTGTAGATTTTGTGTTTTAGAGCATTGGACAATATGATGACTGGATAAAAGAGCTAGTCAATGGAGAAAGCAGAGATAAAAGCACGTATTTAAATTTCCTTAGCCAACAATGGTTATTGGAGATGTTGACAAGTGTTTTTACAAGGATATTCATTGCCATATATTTTTGTAATGGAAAACATTGAAATTAATATGATAAAAATTAGCATAAGAATATAGTGTAGATAGAGAATCAAGCTGACGTCTACCCTACAGCCATAATCACATTTTCTCTAATTAGACAAGGTTACAGTGCAATGACAATACCATTGTGTGGCTCTAGAGCCACATTTATGTTTGTGAGTGAGAAAAGATCTATGGGCTTATAAATGAAATGGTTAATTGATTTTCAAATAAAGACTATTTAATCACTAAAATTAGAGGTGACCAGGATTCACAGGAAAAGTTTTGTGTAAATACAAATCTGTATCCCATGCATTAATGCATCAGAATTAGGAAGATTTCAATCTTTCTGCCACATCTTGGTCAAGGTTATGATCCAATTAGCAGTTAATGTTAGACAAAGTATGGATTCTTCTACTTGTTAATAATTAGGCCTAATTATTTTATTACATCTTCATTTATTATCTTGTATGCCTTTAGTTGGGATTATTCCTAAACAGGTTTCAGATGAGAGGGATTAACTATATAACAGGCAATGTAGATTATCTGATACAGAACATAAGAAAATTGAGTTGTTATAAAATATTTTTAAATTCAACATTTTTTACTTTAAGTTTTACATATGACTTCAAAAGTAAATTACTTACCAGTTTGAAATACATCTAATTGAACAGTTGAACTAAATTCAAAGACTTCCTAAATAAGTAATTTTGTTTCTTTAGCAGATTTCAGCAGATGGATAAGATTTACCCACATGACAATATTTATATATTTTTATTTGTATTAAATCATATGAAATTATGATTATTTAACTATTTTTAGTATGGATGTCACAATATAATAATAAATACATTTAAATTTTTAATATAAACTTCTCTTTATCAGTGATGCCTTTTACACACACAAGTCAGTTAGCTGGTGTTTTGTATATGACTAGAGAAATTTCTGCTATCCCACCCACAATTATGTTTAGTAATTGTGGAGGCCAAAATAAGTTTTCATGTCCTTTCAGTATGAGCCAGAAACGATTTGTTGTAAAATGCTTTGTATTAGCCTTTTTGCAGTCCAAGTAGCTGCTACTTATTCCTTGATTAAAATATTGACGTAGACTTCCAGACTCCCAGACCAAAATTCCTTTCTGTAAGCAGTAAAACTTCTAAAGAATATAAATGAAAGATATTTCTCCTGCATAACGGAAGTTTTCAAAAATTCATAATGGATTAATGACAAGATAGTAATAAAATAATCAGTAAAAGAAATAAACATGAAATTGGAATAAATTTAGGGTTTAAAGACAGTTTTTTTTTCTGATTGTCTTTCATCCTACTCTCCTCCACTGCCCAAATTAAATCAATCTTATCCTCAGAGAAGACAAGGGAAAAAAGAGAGAGAGAGAAAGACAAGTAAAGAGATAAAATAGAAGACAAAGATTCTTATTTATTTGCAATACTTTAGATACCACAGAAGCAAGAAAGACAAGACAAAATTGTCTTTTTAAAATTACTCCCCCTATTTCTTCCATGTGATTTTCTAAACACTACTAACAATCATTTTAATAATTAATATAAGGGTTTATGATAAGGTTATTATTTTTTTTCTAATTTGAAAACTAAGTAATAAAGGCACTTACTACAACATATAGTAAAAAAAGTTTTAATATTCAGTGGCCCTCTCACAGTATAAATAAAACTATCCAATCTTTAAAATTAGCCCTGCATCTCTATTACATATTACATGTATATAAAATAGATTTTCTAGACATACATCATAGATGTTCTTACATGTATTAAACAGAGGAGGATGAAAATTTTAGATAAGGGAACTCGAACAGAGAATATAATATTCATTAGTTCAAAAATATTGGGCCTGGCACGGTGGCTCACGCCTGTAATCCCAGCACTTTGGGAGGCCGAGGCGGGTGGATCACGAGGTCAGCTCGAGACCATCCTGGCTAACACGGTGAAACCCCGTCTCTACTAAAAATACAAAAAATTAGCCAGGCATGGTGGCGGGTGCCTGAAGTCCCAGCTACTCGGGAGGCTGAGGCAGGAGAATGGCGTGAACCGGGAGGCGGAGCTTGCAGCAAGCGGAGACTCCGTCTCAAAAATAAATAAATTAATTAATTAATTAATTAATTAATTACAGATTATCTTTCATATACATGCAGATAGTCTACACAATGATCCCTGAACATTAGCCCAGTCCCACAATTCTGTGATAATCATTCTCATAAATTATTACGTTGATCCCTAAAAGTTCTGTATTATCTCAGGGTCACAGAAACACTTTAACAGTTCTCTTAATGAAGTGTTTAAAAGTGTTTGACGTCTAAAAATTTCATAGAATACAACAAAAATCACGGGTAGGATTTCAGAGCCAATTTCACCAACCCACAAATAGAATAAAACAAACTGGAGAAAAAAAAAACTGAAAAAATAATTCTCCTTTAAGTTGTCCTCAAACCCGTGAAATATACGTTTTCAAAGAAAACAACTTAAGTAGAACTTTGAATGGAAGTTAAACATAAATTTTAATAATTCATTGTCGAATGAATTCAAGAATGACTACTGAGCTTGTTTTCTGTGCACAATGTTATGGAAAACACAGAGAACTAAGAAATAGTATCCTTTTCTTAAAGACCTTAAAATCTGACTGAAGAATTAAAACCTGGAAGCATAAGTGGACAACTGGAAAACGAAAAGAAGTAATTGACACAATAAAAAATACACATGTGCATATGAAATGTCAGACAAAGGGTGATTATTGCAGATTGAAATCAAGATAAAATAATTTTTGGTCTTTGTTATTCTAAGATTCATTCTTTCATATAACCTACCACATTAAGTACAATTTTGATTCATTTTGGATTTGTTCCTAGTCTCAGATAATAGCGAGATAAATAGAAAACAATCTCTAGCCTATTCTGTACCCCTAAACTAATTCTTAAAGCCATTTTGTGTGTGCTGTATAAAAGTATGAACCAGTGGTTATGAAAGTTCAGGAAAAGAACTACTAGTTATGTCAGAAGATCTCAGAGAAGATATCACATAAAAAATTACATTTGAGCCACTTTAAACGATGAATAGGATAGTATTGTAAGCAGAAGTTTGTCCCCTTGGGGAAATGTGCAGAAGTACTGCAAATGCTGGAAAGATAAGCAAGAATTGGATCATGAATCCCTTGTATTCCATATGAAGAATTTCCAAATTTATCAATGAGCTTTGTAGAATCGCTGAAGGACTTTAGACTGGATTGCTAGGATTTGCAATTTAAAAGATTAGGCATTAGGCATTGCAGAAAATAGACTAAATGAAGTAAAGGGAGAAGAGTTAGAAGTGTATTAGACACCTCTCATAAAACACTCCAAATCCTCTCAGGCTTAGTTGTTTCTGCATGGGCCAGACATATTCAACCTAATAGCAGTTCCTCATGCTTCTTTGTCTTGTGCTTCTAGTCCTGAGGCTTCCCTATTAACCTCTGTGATCCCACTTGGTACCCACATATGTGTGGCCAAACGTGTGAGGCTGTAAAAGCCCTGTAACAAATATTTGAGTAATAGGAGATGAGAACAAGTTCACAAATTCTTCCACCATTTTCTTAAAATCTCCCCTTCCCAGTCTTGGAATGTATGTTATAGGACCTCTTAGGGGAGGGAATTTAGCATCCAGCAGTCTTATTTTGTGGGAGCCAGCTAGATATTGTATCCAAGTATTGGCTCTCTCTCCTTTCCTGCTTTGCTCCTTCTCCTCACTGTACTCCGTGTACTCTATAAAAATGTTTACCAGGAAAGTGATCTTTAACCATAACAGTGAAGGACAAAAGAGAATGGGTTTGAGAGATAGTAAGATAGATTCAACATGGACTGATGACTACTTAGATGTTGAAAATGAGTAGTAGACATCAGGCAAGAAGGGCTTCTAAGACTGTGGTCTGGGTGATTTGTTGGGAAGTAGTGCCATTACACAAAATAATAAATACCAGAAGATAAGCTAGCTTTAGAATGTAGAAACATATTCCATTTCAGATATAAGGCACCATTTATCATTGAGGAGCAGCTACCAAAAAGGCTATTGGAAATATTAATATGGTGCTCAGAAAAGACTATTAGTCTTAAAATTACAATTTTGGGGTCATCAGCTTTATATTGTTTGGGCGAACTTGCTGTTGAAAAGAAGTGGATGCAGGATGGAAACTTAGAGGAATCTATTATTAAGGGACATGGAAGAAGAAAGAAAATCTGACATGTAGTTGACAATAATGAGGGCAGAGAAGAAGAAATGATATATGCTTGGAAGCCAGGGAAGCCATGAATTTCAAGAGAGGGATCAACTGTGTTAAATGTGATAAACAGATTAAATAAGTAAATTGGAAAGTGTGAACCTGATTAAACAATGATGCCGTGGTTTACTTAAGAGCATTTTTAGAAGCAGAAAAGAGTGGAAGAAAGATTTTTATTCTTATTTTTATTCTCTATTTTTGTAAAAATAGTAACTGGAAAAATAAAATGAACCACAGAAGCTATGAAAATATGAAGGTAAATATGTAGATGACAGGCATTTTCCCATCTCTTCTCCTTGTTCCATCAGGATTTTATCCACCAATAACTTCCAAACACATTACTTAAAAGAGGCCCTGCTGGCAAAACCCCACTGAAAAACATAACATGGACTTAAGCCTTCCATTGTTCTTTGCCTAACTGTGCACTACTGCTGTTGTTGGCAACTCTCTTTTACCTTCTATTTTGAACTGACAAGAGTTTTGTTTTAATCCCTTTTCTGAAATAGTAGCAACAGGATGATTTCTTCATTGTCCCACATTGAATGTGTACACATTCAAAGATATTCTTCTGCAGCATTTAATTATTCATTTATCCATGGGACATATTTAGTCCCTAGAGCAGGTCTGCATTAAGATAGGTAGAACCAGCTGCACTGGGAACATGCACCAGGATATGCCTGATCCTAGAGGAAACAAATCTCTGCCACCAGCTCCTCTCACCACCCCCTCAAAAGGTAAACCAGCATATTTATCTTCTTTCTCTTCTTTTCTTTTCAGGGCACACCATGCTTTATGGTTCGACTCAAGCATTCCAGTCTTATTTTTGGGCTCAGTATACAAGCAAGTAAGAAGGGTATAAGATAATGAGAATCTTATATTAACATGATTGAACTAGTCTTGTTCTTTCTAAGCAAAGACTACATTTCTTACTGAATCAGAAGGACTTCTAGTGTTTTAAAATGATTCAGAATAATTAGAGAATATATTTATGCAAAGTAATACACTCTATGATGACTAAATTTTTTTAAAAAACAGAAACCACACATGATTTTCTAAATAGGTGCAGAATAAAAGCATTTTTTAAAAATCAACACACTTTCACAGTAAAAACGCTAAACAAACTAAAAATAAAGGGGAAATTTCTGAACCTGACTGATTGAAGAGCATTTAGTAAAAACTCACAATAACATCATACTTTATGGAGAAAGACTGAAAACTTTCTCCCTACACTTAGGAACAAGGCAAGGATATTTGTTCTCACCACTTCTGTTCAACATTGTATTGAAGGTTCTAGTCTGGGCAATTAGGCAAGTGAAAGAAATAAAGAGTATCCATATTGGAAAGGAAAAACTAGCATTTCTATTCACAGTTGACCTGATCTTGTATAGAGAAAATCCTAAAGAATTCACACAAAAACTCTTAGAACTAACAATTGAGTTTTGCAACATGGCTGGATATTAGATCAATATAAAAACGTCAATTTTATTTCTATCTACTAGTAATAAATGATATGAAAATGAAATTAAGATTCTGTTTACAATGGCAACAAATATAATTAAAAATTAGAAATAAATTTAACAAAAAATATAAGATATGTGTATATCTTTAATTTCTTTTAATGTTTTGTAGTTGTCATATACATATCATTAAAATCATGAATGCAATTTTCATTAAAATAAATTAAAGATATATGACAATTTAAAAACATAACTAAAATAAATTACTTTTTAGACATAATTGAAAGAAATTAATATTTCATATATATGAAAACATTCATATATATTTCATATATATTTATTCACATATATATTTAATATATATATTTCATATATATATTTATTCATATATATATTTCATATATATTTATTCATATATATTCCATATATATATTCATTCATATATATATTTCATAGATATATTCATTCATATATATATTTCATATATATATTCATTCATATATATATTTCATATATATATTCATTCATATATATATTTCATATATATATTCATTCATATATATATTTCATATATATATTCATTCATATATATATTTCATATATATTTATTCATATATATATTTCATATATATATTTATTCATATATATTTCATATATATTTATTCATATATATTTCATATATATATTTATTCATATATATTTCATATATATATTTATTCATATATATTTCATATATATTTATTCATATATATATTTCATATATATTTATTCATATATATCTATTCATACATATATTTCATATATATGAAAACTAAAAGAGAAAGCACATAGGTGTATATATGAAAACTAAAAAGCATCATTAAAAGAAATTATAGAGCACCTAAATAAATAGAAAATATTCTGTGTACAAAGATGAGAAGATTAAATATTGTTAAACTGGTGTTATGGGATACCTCTCAAATACTTATGTTGAAGTCCTAATCCCTAGTCCCTCCAAATGTGATCTTTTATGGAAATAGAATCATTGAGGCTGTAAATAGTCAAGTTAATATAAGATCATATTGGAGCAGGGTGAGCCCCAATCCAATATTCTGGTGTCCTTTTATTTGTATTTATTCATTTATTTATTTATACAGAGTCTCACTCTGTTGCCCAGGCTGGAGTGCAGTGGCGCGATTTCAGCTCACTGCAACCTCTGCCTCCCAGGTTAAAGCCATTCTCTTGCCTCAGCCTCCCCAGCAGCTGGGACCACAGGTGTGCACCACTATGCCTGGCTGATTTTTTTCTATTTTTAATGGAGATGGGGTTTCATCATGTTGGCCAGGCTGGTCTTGAACTCCTGACCTCAGGTGATCCACCCACCTCACCCTCTCAAAGTGCTGGGATTACAGGTGTGAGCCACTGAGCCTATCCCTGGTGTCCTTTTAAAAGGAACTTGGTTTAATTAGATCCCGTTTGTCAATTTTTGTTTTGTTACAATTGCTTTTGGCGTCATCAGGAAATCTTTGCCCATGCCTGTGTCCTGAAGGGTATTGCCTAGGTTGTCCTCCAGGGTTTTTATAGTTTTGGGTTTTACATTTAAGTATTTAATCCATCTTGAGTTAATTTTTATGTAACGTGTAAGGAAGGGGTCCAGTTTCAATCTTCTGCATATGGCTAGCCAGTTATCCCAGCACCGTTCATTAAATAGGAAATACTTTCCTCATTGCTTTTTTTTGTTTTTGGCCAGGTTTGTCAAAGATCAGGTGGTTGTAGGTATGTGATCTTATTTCTGGGTTCTCTGATCTGTCCATTGGTCTACGTGTCTTTTTGCGGCAGTACCATGTTGCTTTTGTTGCTGTAGCCCCACTGTATAGTTTGAAGTTGCGTAGCGTGGTGCCTCCAGCTTTATTCTTTGTGCTTGGGTTTTCCTTGCCTATTCAGGCTCTTTTTTGGTTCCATATAAATTTTAAAATAGTTTTTTTCTAGCTCTGTGAAGAATTATTGAATCTGTAAATTGCTAAATTAAAGGGCTTCTGCACAGCAAAGGAAACTATCAACAGAGTGAGCAGACAACCTAGACAATGGGAGAAAATTTTTACAAACTGTGGATCCAACAAAGGTCTACTACCCAGCATCTATAAGAAACTCAAATTTACCAGAAAAAAAAAAAAACATTAAAAAGTGGGCAAAGGACATAAACAGATATTTCTCAAAAGAAGACATTTATGCAGCCAACAAGCATATGTAAAAAAGCTCAGCATCACTGATCATCAGAGAAATGCAAATCAAAACCACAATGAAATACCATCTCACACCAGACAGAGTGGCTATTGTTAAAAATTTTTTTTAAAAAAAGGATGCTGGCGAAGTGGTAGAGAAAAGAGCTCTTATACACGGTTGTTGGGAGAGTAAATTAGTTCAGGCATTGTGGAAGACAGTGTAGCGATTCCTCAAAAACCTAAAAATAGAAATACTGTTTGACCCAGCAATCCCGTTACTGCATATATACCCAAAGGAATATAAATTGTTCTATTATAAAGACAAATGCATATATATGTCCATTGCAGCACTATGCACAATAACAAGGACTTAGAATCACCCTAAATGCCCCCTCAGTGATAGACTGGATAAAGAAAATGTGGTGCATATATACCATGGAATACTATGCAGCCATAGAAAGAATAAGACCATGTCCTTTACAAAGACATAGATAGAGCTAGAGGCCATCATCCTCAGCAAACTAACATGGGAACAAAAAACCAAATACCACATGTTCTTATAAGTGGGAGCTAAATGATGAGAACCCATGGACACATAGAGGAGAACAACAGACTCTAGGGCCTGTCAGAGGGAGGAGGGTGAGCGGAGGGAAAGGATCAAGAAAAATAACTAATAGATACTAGGCAATATCTGGGTGATTAAATAATCTGTACAACAACCCACATGACACAAGTTTACATATATAACAAAACTGTACATGTACCCCTGAACTTAAAATAAAAGTTAAATAAATAAATAAGAAGAACTTGGTGTGAAGAGAAAGAGACACATACATAGGGAAGACTATATGAAGACATAAGGAGAATGCCACCTCAAAGAGTGCCAAAGATTGCCAGCAAACACCAGAGACTAAGAGAGATACATAGAACAGATTCCCCCTACAGTCATCAGAAAAAAAAAAGAAAAAAAATCTTGCCAACATCTTGATCTCATAGTCCTAGACTCCAAAACTGTGAGAAAACAAATTTCTGTTGTTTAGGCCACTCAGGTTATGGTACTTTGTACAGCAGACCCAGGACACTATTACAGTCAGCAATACTCCCAAAATTGATTGGCTGAGTCAATTCAGTTCCAATAAATATACCAAATGAATGTTTGTAGACATCGACAAACTAATCCAAAACTGCAAACAATAGTTCAAAGGACTCAGTATATCCAAAACAATCTTGAAAAAGAAGAATTAATTTGGAGGACTCCTACTTCCCATTTTTAAAACATACTGCAAAGCCTTCAGATCAAGACAGTGTGATATTGGCATAAGGATACACATGTAGAACAATGGGTAGATTGAACATCCAGAAACAAATACTTAAATTTGTTTTTATATTTTAACAAGGGTTCCAATTTTAACAAGGTTCCAAATTTTAACAAGGGTTCCAAAATAATTAAAAGGGGAAAGACCAGTCTTGGCAATAAATGGTGCTATGACAACTAGATATCCATCTTCAAAGGAATTGAGTCTCTTCCTCATAACTTATACAAAATTAACTCAAAATGAATCCTGGAAATAAATATAAGAGCTAAAGCCACAAAACTATTTGGTTAAAAATAGGTTAAAGCTTTGTGATCTTGGATTAGGTCATTGTTTATAGATATGACACCAAAAGCACAAGCAACAAAGGAAAAAAAAAGATAAACAGAACTATACAAAAGTTAAAAACTTTGGTGCTTCCTTTTTATATCCAGTCCTCTCACAAAGACACATCTCTCAGATTTCTTTAACCATGGGCGGGGGGAATGTTATAAACACACAAATAAATGTATAGTTACTAATCATCCCACCATTATAACACCATTATTTTTATTTTAACATTTTCTTCCAACATTTATACCTATTCATAAGTACTTTATGCAATGCACAGATTTCTATAAGTCTATTATAAAAATAGATTGCAATAGGTAAAAGAAAAGAAATTGAACTGACAACCTAGTGAATGGGAGACCATGTTTGCAATCATATATCTGATAAGGGACTTGTGTCTACCATGTAAAGAACTACAGCAACTCAGTAATAAAAAAGACAATACAATTGTAAAATTGACGTTGAATTAGACATTTCACCAAACGAGGTGTATGAATGGCCAAGAAACATATAAAAGATGCTCAATATCATTAGTCAGTAGGTAAATTCAAATCTAAACTTCAATATTAGGCTGTTGCAAAAGTAATTTTGGTTTTTGCCGTTGCTTTTATTGGCAAAACCGCAATTACTTTTGAACCAGCCTAATAGATAGCAGCACTTCATATCCACTAAGATGGCTATAATGAAAAATACATTTAATAGCAAGTGTTGGCAAGGATGCAAATAAGTTGGAATCCTCACACATAGCTGATGAGAATATAAAGTGCTATAGGTGCTTTGGAAAACAGTTTGCCAGCTTATCCAAAAGATAGACACAGAGTTGCCATATGACTCAGCAATTTGTCTCCTGGGTACATACCCAAGAGAATTAAAAGTATATGCACACACAACAACTTGGAAATGAAAGCTCATAGCTGCATTATTCATAATAGCCAAAAAGTGAAAATAACCACATTTTCTTCAGTTGATGAACAAATAAATGAAATGTGGTATATCCATACAATGGAATATTATTCAGCCCCCAAAAGGAATTAAGTTTTCAGTGTTATTTCAGTGGATGAATGTGGTAACCACTCTGTAAGGCACGTAATGGAAGTCTTTAAGGACACATGTATAACATGGTCATTTTAACATTGCTACTTGAAAACTATGTTGAGAACAGTGTTATTGCAGTGAAGGGTCCACACACTGTAATGCACATAGCAAGTTGTCTAAAACACATATGTAAAAGACAATTCTAAGAATGCTAAAAAAAAAAGAAAGGGAGAAATGAAGTTCTGATACTTGGTGCAACATGGATGGACTTTGAAGATACTATGCTGAATGAAAGATGCCAGACACAAAGACCATGCATTATATGATTCCACTTACATGAAATGCCATGGGCAAATCCATCAAGACAGACACAAGATTAGCAGTTGCCAGAGGCTGGAAAGAGGACAGAATGGAGAATGACTAGAGCCTTTGCTCTAGCATTTGTATGACACTCAATTCTGCCTTCCAGAAAGGGTGATATTAATATATATATGTCATTGTCATTTACGTAAAAATTTTGCCACCCTTCTCAAGAGGCAAACACAATTTTTTTACTAGTTTAAAGTTGTTATAACATTGTTTAAAGATCAATGTCCTATTATTTGTTTTATTGTGTTTATTTACACAGGAGTGAAGTTAGGCCCCCTTGCAGGGTTGCCCATCTAGTGCCAGATGATAATATGTAACCACAATAGTAGGTTAATTAAACTAGCAGTACTCCAAAATGATTTTTAATACCATCTGTTTTGGGAATCATCACAGCTGAACCTTCCAACCTATATACTACACTCACAAAATCTTCATTAATGGACCATATTAAGTTTATTTGACAGCCACCCTGTGGCATTCACAGAGTAGCTCTGAGTAAAATTATGGACACTATAAGAATCTCGTTCCCCATAAAAGATCCCTTCTTACTTAATAGCCCTCCTTTCCCTCACCATTCTTTATTACATTCTTATTACAAACTAAGACACATTTATTATAACAAGTAAAACAATACAAAAATGTATAAATAAAAAAAATACTAGTCCATTCTTCCCCGTCATCATGCCAGTCACATTTCAACTCCATGATACCAACATTTACAGCTTAGTGCGTATTCTGTTTTTCCTTGATGTTCACGCAAGCATACAAAGCTATGTTTAACATCTTTATTTTTCTAAGACTGCTAAGACTCCCAGATCATTTCACAATCCTCCCACTAAAGAAAGTTCCCCATTTTTTTCTTTCACATGAATGACTAACCACTTAAGATATTAATCTCTAATAATAATTTATCATTAACAGGCCCAAAAGCTGTAAACTAGAAATTAAATTCTGACAGCAGAATTGCAAGCATTGATCAGTGGATAAAAGAGGATAGTCAGTAATTGGGTTGGGAAAGGGCAGGCTATAACCTTCCAGAACCTCAGAAAATCTTTAAGTTTTTATATTTTCTTATAAGTAAGTGAGGTTTTAATCCATTCTAATACACTAAGTGTACCTTATCTGGAAGGCTTCAGTTTACAAGAAGATGTTGGCATGACTTCACAGTCACATACAGACATAAATATGCACCCAGTTACTCTTTTATCCACCTGAAGTACACACTAGTCTTTGCATGTTACTGTAGAACTATACATGTTCATGATGAAAAGTGTCTTTGTTGTTTTTTCATTGACTTCTTATATGAGGACAAACCGGGTTGGAAATAACATGCAATGTATTAACCAATAACGATGATTATGAAATAATGAAAAATAATGAGGAAAGAATGAGGCAACACAACAACAATGTTTAGGCAACTCCCCTCAGCCCATCTGCCCCAGGTAATATGTGGGAGAATGGATACAAGGAATATCTAAACTTTGCTTTTGTCTGTATCTTTGAAGTTCATACATTTTTTTTACACCACTATACTTTTAACTCTATTGCTTAGTTGAAGCAATAACTTACTGGGACTAGAGCAAATATAAACTTTGACTATATTATATAAAGAACATTAACAGTTTTCCCTGTAAAAAAATCAAAATTCCGGAATACCATGGAAAAACACTGTGATTTTGGAAATTGTAATGAAGACAACTTAAGCATTAAAATGAAATCTTACCAAATATCATGGGAATATTGTCTAGAAGACTCTCAAGATAGACGATATTAGAAGAGAGATTACTAACATTTCATACATTCCTCTATGAGTATTTTTACTTACATTCTTCATAAGAAGGCACTGAAACCATTTTGTTAAATAACAAATTTATTTCACCACCATAGAATCAATATAAACTTTTGACATTTAAGGCAAGTCACTCCACTGTGGTCATATTCGTTTAGATTCTAAGGACCAAAGAAGTATTTCAACATTAGAAGTCTATAGTTTAATTTTGTGTATTACTTCTATCAAAATATTGTTGTGTGTTGATCATGGATCCATTTTCCCATCTTTCTTGCTTAACGCAAACCTGCTTTGTTTCAAAGGAACTAGTACAAATCATAGTCAAAGAGGAAAGGCAAAGATGAAGACAAGAGAAACAGCACTAAAATCCAGGTTTGAAAGATAAAATAAATCCAAGACATTGAAAGTGTTCATGACATTAGCAAGTGAGGATTTTGGAAACAGGTTGGGATTCACACCATAAGGCCGAAAAAGTTAATAATTAAGATTTGTGACCAAGTGTATTTACAAAGAGGCAGAGAATGAATTGTATTGGATGGCAGCAAACAGCGCTGGGATGGACCCTCAAGATTAACATAGGTATAAAATACAATTTCTTTGTTAAATATCACTTTATGGAAGTCCACTATTAAACTTACTTGACCTACTATTTTGTAGTCATTACCATATTAAAAACTCATTTTGCATATAATCTTTGGAAATAAGAGATAAAACATGTGGTAGAGATAAAAAGGTTCAGGCCAAAAGAGAAATCATTCACAAGGTGAGACATCTAAAATATGGTACCTAGAAAGCCCTGAAACGCATAAGGGTGAGGTACCTGATATCTTAAAGATAATTCAGGTAATAGATATCTTGAAGAAGAAAACATAAGCATAATTACAGTCATCTTTCCTTGCTCACATATTTTTTACCTAATATGTACATCATAATAAATTTTCTTGGATATTTTTAGAAGCAAAAATGGGCTTAATAAAAATGTCGTTAGCTGACAAAAATAACTTGGGTAAATAAAATGTTAAGAAAACTTTAAGAAATTTTCAAAAATCGTTTGTCAAAAAGATCAAATGTCAAACTAAAATAAGTGTTTGGAATTTCAATACAAAATATTGCAAAGATTTTAAATGCTATTGCAAATTGTTCTCAAAACAAAACAAATAAAAGTATGCGCAGAAGAAAAAAAAACTATTATTTCCTGATGAAATAGATGTAATTATCTAAATTTTAATTTACTCTGATCCATAGGAGGGAAATGAACACCCAGGGGCGAATAAGGAATTACAACTTGAGAAATGTTAAAATCTCTGACAACGTTATTAGATTTTAGATATTAATAAATAAACCACTATAATGACAAATATAATTTGTTGAATTTCTGAAATAAAATAAATATTAATTGTACAGACCAATTTTTACAACACTAAAACGTTTCTAGCTTTGATTAGCTAAAGAAGTTAGTCTGCATATTTGAATTTAAAATGTCTTAAGTTTAAGATGTTATTTTAAGAAATTCAGTTGTATTACTTTTAAGAAAAAAAAACTTTTAAAAAGTTAACAAAAATGGTCATTAATAAAGTTCAAAAAATCTATTTGTATCATCCCAAAGAACCAGTCTATCAAGCTTAGGGACTGATCACACTGAAGTGACATAAAGTGCTTAAAAGTACTGTGTTCTTTCATGAGGGTAAACACTTTCTTGGCATTGCCTTTAAGCTATTTGCTTAAAACTCCCCCTTTCCATGGTTGGTGCGAAGTATGTAAACCTAATCCGTAATCTTACCCTTGTCTCATTATTACAAACAGAAAGGCTTGATTTAACAGTTTGTATTCAGTAATCATAACCTAACTCTTCTTCCCATTATTATAATTAGAAAAGCTTGATGTAGTGAAAGGCACTAAAAGGAAAGTTGGGAGAAGCAGGTGACAGCTTGTTACTAGTTTGCTTTAATGCTTTGGTCTCATCACCTAATCTTTGATTCCAATTGTTTTTGTCTCTGCAGCAAGTGATTTGGATAAAGGATCTATTAGAATTCTCCAGGTGAAATAATAAAGTACCAATTAATGAAAATGTACTATAATAGACTACTACTTGATATAATGCTCTGTCATACACTGACAAGTCTTAATAAATCAATCAAGACATTTTACAATAGATATAATGCAATGTAATGCTATGCTTAAACTTTGGTAGTTGTTTAGTATATTTTAATTACATATTTAACTGTCAGCTCTTGTTAATGCCACAAAAATATAAGCTTTATAAAAATGCCTAAGCCACTATGGCACATGTTTACCTATGTAAGAAACCTGCATATCAAAATAAATAAAAATATCTAAAAGAGTTTTTAAAAGCCCGTGAGTTAAATCTATCAGTAGTTGATGTTTAGCCCTTACAGTGTTTAAAAAAAAAATGGTTAAACTTTCTAAATTAGATAACATGATTGGTAAGTGGATTTCAAAAATAAATGTTTAAACTTTTTAAATTATAAAACATGATTTTTAAGTGGATTTTAAACTTCTCCAAAAAGGAAAGAGAGATTTGGAAACACTGGTTCAATCACTACTGCAGAGAAACAGTTGGCTGGTGGTGAGTAGCTGGGACCCTTTAGATTGGAGTTATGGAAACCTCACCTAGTTTCATTTTCTCATTGACTTTTTGTTTGAAAACTTAAATTCTCTATTTTAGGAATTCATCAAGAGATTAATGTGGCTTGAAAAATTAAAAGACATGAAATTTTGGTCCTAGAGCATTGTGAGTGTGGGGAGCTGTCTCATTCAGGAGACTTACTAGAAAACAAAGTCAGCAACCTTGCCCCTTACCTTTTCTGTTTGCCACTAAGAGACATATCATTTTAGGAATATATTAGAAAGATGTCTTCCTACAAAGATATTCAGACAAAAGGGCACTAGCTCGTTTTTCATATTTTCTCCATCGAGTATACACTGCCTGAGCTGTATATAGTTCTGAACTGTAGCAATAAAAAATAAGCTGTGCGAACACGAACCAGGAGACAGACTGTGCACTGTATTTCCTGCTCATATGTTGTCTCAGCTGTTTTGCACTTTACAGTTTCAGCTAAAGAATGTCCATTTATCACGTAATGCTAATCAGTTATCATTCTACTCCACATTTTGTACAAAACATTGCTGGGAAGTCTGTTCTGGATTTGATGGATAGCCAGAACGGGACAGCACATAACCAAAAAAGGCATAAATACTCACAGATGTCTGGTCATACAGATGAGTTAAAATCAAAGAAAATTAGAGCTGGGTAAGACAGACGTGATCATGGAGCATATCAGGGGAGTCTAAACTTGGTATTTCTTCACCTTTTTTTTATCCAAATGGGCTTTCTTCTCATTAAGATAAATGTTCAAACCAGAATGTCTTCATTAGTTTCCTTAAACTACAAGCCTTTTTTTCTTCGAATGTAAACCCCCACATCAAGAAGCCAAAAAGCAGAAATCCTGTTTATTACCAAAGACATCCAAAAAGCTGTCCAAATCCAAATTAGAGCATATGGTGCAAATTCCTCCACTCTTATAGCCTCCAACATCCCCCATCCCACTCCCTCATCCCGCTATTGTTCTGGCTTGAGTAATGTGTTTATATTTCCCTATTCAAGAACCACCAGGCAAAAATCACTTTTTCTGCACCAAGATAATTGGCTAGCAGAAAATAAGGCAGTCATTTTACTGTTTCCTTTTCCCATCAGTATTTTTGTATTTTTTGTCAAGTGATGTCTGATTGCTGTAAATATATCTCACATGTTAAATATTAATCTTTTCACATGTAGTAATCTATGTATCAGCCTTTTCTTTGTCCATTTCAAAGCTATTATTTTCACATTGATGATCGGTCATTTCTCTAACAGTCACCTGAGAAAATTACTCCATATTAGCTACACTCAGCCAGAGCTTATTCTTATAGTTTTAGTATTTTTGTCCATAAACAACTAGTTATTGCTGTTTTCTTTCATATCGCTTTAATTTATGAAGATTTTTAACAAAAACATGGTAATATTTCTTCGTGGTAATTATCCTTTCACAATGTGATACTTCAAAATAAAAAGTAAAGATATTTTATTTGGATATTATGTCAAATGATTAATTTCAACTCACCTATAAATATAAATGAAGCCCCCTTAAAGTTGTATTTTTTCATATTTTTATGGCTTTATACCATAATAATATTTAATTATAAAAAATAAATTTAAAGTATTGGATATTTGCTTAACAAATGTCAGAAATCAAGTCAAGTTGTGATAACAATCCAAGAATGAGGGTTGAAGGTTAGGAAAGCTTTGCAGATTTGAACTCCTCACACTCGATTTTTTCTTTTCTTCTTTTTCTTATTTTATTTTATTTTATTTTTTTGAGTGGAGTCTCACTCTGTCACCAGGCTGGAGTGCAATGGCATGAGCTCGGCTCACTGCAACCTCCGCCTCCCAGGTTCAAGCAATTCTCCTGTCTCAGCCTCCCGAGTAGCTGGGACTGCAGATGCCCGCCATCACACCGGGCTAATTTTTGTATTTTTAGTAGAGATGAGGTTTCACCATATTGATCATGCTGGTCTCAAACTCCTGACCTCAGGTAATCCACTCACCTCGGCCTACCAAAGTGCTTGGATTACAAGTGTGAGCCACTGCACCCAGCCTCCTCAAACTTGATTTTTAAAGGGCAGTCTGGTCACTTCACCAGATTTATAAACACCAAGATATGGGTTATGGCAGAAAAGGCCCAAAATAATCATCTACTTCCAAATGATGTATTTTGATGTTATTTTCCCCATAGATTTTAGAATATAAATTTCCCTATATTTTATTTTGATTTCGAATTGGTAGCAGGAAACAGACTTTAATACGTATATGGAATGCATTTCTTCCAAGCCAGAACATTGCCATTATATTACTAAGCAGAAAAAAAGTTTCATTTATCAAATAAAAGCCCATTTCTCACATATTTGCCTACTAATTCTATTTTCATTCTTGAACAGAATTATACAATTCTTGCCAATACTTTCAAATGATTTAGCATGTACAGACCATTTCCTACTTTTAAAGTTCAAATATCTCAAAAAAGATAGTTTGGAATTGGAGATACTGATGGAATATTCTACCCAGTGGATAGCAAATGAGATACATAGAAAATCAAAACAATAATATAACAATCTAAAACAAGCAATAAAATCATGAATTTGAGACTAATCTTTTCAAAATTTAAAATCGTCATTTAATATTTCATCTAGCAACCTAAGAGAGAGGCTGCTTAGTTCATTTATCCATTTTTAACTTAATTTATTCAGTATATAATTTTTTATTAATTCACATGTACGGCCTCCACTACCATGTGAAAACATGTTTTCAGAACCTCAGGGTTCTAGAGTCAGAGCAAATTAATTTCTTTTTTTTTATTATTAATATACTTTAAGTTCTAGGTACATGTGTACAACGTGCAGGTTTGTTACATATGTATACATGTGCCATGTTGGTGTGCTGCACCCATTAACTGGTCATTTACATTAGGTATATCTCCTAATGCTCTTCCCCCTCCCCCTACCCCATGACAGGCCCTGGTGTGTGATGTTTCCCACCCTGTGTCCAAGTGTTCTCATTGTTCAATTCCCACCTATGAGTGAGAACATATAGTGTTTGGTTTTCTGTCCTTGCGACAGTTTGCTCGGAATGATGGTTTCCAGCTAGATTGGATTAAGAAAATGTGGCACATATACACCATGGAATACTATGCAGCCATAAAAAAGGATGAGTTCATGTCCTTTGTAGCAAATTAATTTCAACTTGATTAGGGGGTATAGAGGACATGCTTTGTTGCTTCACACTTGATAAAGGATTGGTTTGGGACAACCTATAATATAAATTCAGGATCAATATTAATTCACTAACCTTGGACATGTCACCAGTAAGAACTAGAATATCAATTCCTATGCAAAGAGCAGTGCAATTAAATTCATTTATCACAATATTGAAGGAAAACCAAATAACTCCACTGCTCCATAATAACTGTTTTAACAAACATCTTAAATGTATTAACTCATCATTCATTTATTTCATAGATGTTTATGAAACCACTACATGGTGACAGGTTTCCATGATAGCTGTGGTTAATATACATAAAGATCCAACAAACTAGATAGGAAGACAAATAAATGAAAAACCAGGCAATTTTAATATTAAGTGGTAAGAGACAAAGGGTCAAGATATGGTGTCATGGGACCATACAGGAAGGGGAATTAAACCAGTCATGATGAATCAAGGAAGGCATCTCAGAGAATATGGAGAGATGTCCCAGAGGAGATGGATATCCTATGCTTAGGAGTTTCAGATTTTATCCTGAAGACCATCAGAAAGTAATGGGGATATGTAAGCTGAGAAATAATGTGTTCTGTATTTTATAAGATCACTCTGATTGAAAGTTTGAAAAACATATTAGAAAAATATAAGACTATTAGCAGAAAACCAGTTGGAAGATTATTTCAGGAAACAAAATGGAAAACAATAGTCACCTGAGTTTAGGCTATGATCATAAGGATGGAACGAAGTAACTTGGTTTGAGATAAATCAAAAGAGATAGAAAAGATACATGCCAGAGTGATTGAATCAATGTTGAGGTTGGTGAAGAGAATAACAGAGTTGACACGGAGGAATCTGCCTGATGATTCAAATTCGCCATTCAGATAAGTCTCATTCATTCACATGAACACTCATCACATATGTTTATCATTTCTATACCTAAAATAATCTTACTAACTGGATATATATGTTCTTCCCCCCCAAATCAGATATTGACCCATTTGTCATTCATGTATTCATTGTGTTCTTGTCAAATATGTCTTGAGAATCTTTTGAGTGTTCCACACTGTATTTGAATAAGCGAGATAAAAACAATTGAAAAGGGACAGAAGAATGAACGAAGGAAAAATGCACAAATGTGATTAGAGAGATCCAGTATGTACAGTAGACTAAAAGACAATACCAAGATAGGAACTGAAAAGCAAAGAAGTATGATACAAGAAGGAACTGCTGGGGAAACCATGCTAAGTCTTACGTTTACTATATTAATAATTATAAATCTTAGAATAACTGTCACACTTCAAAGAAATTTCAACAGGGAAGGAAAAGTTGTGACATTATTATATTTGTGTTTTGAAAAGTTATTCTTGCTGCAATGTGAAAAAATGGATAAAGAGAGTTGTTAAGGATATAAATAAGATAGTACTTAAAGGTAATGATAATTAGCAGTAGTAGAGTGAAGTCAAAGGTATAGAGAGAAATGGATAGGGATGATTAGAAGATAAAAGCTGCAAAGCTTAGGAAAGGGATGTATAAAATAAAGAGGGTGAGAGAAAAGAAAGTGTCAAGATGTCTGGCTTGTATTACTGTATGGATAGAAGTACCACTCAGTGAGACAGGCAACACTGGAAGGGGAGCCGTTTCATTTGGGGGATGGTAGGGAAAGATATTTCAAGGAGACTTTGAAATGTACAGGAGATATCTCATAAGCAGTAAGATATACAGTGTGTTCTAAATAGATTGTTATGTTTAACCTGAAAAGGATGGGGGCTTCTATTGTCTCTGTGAGGTAGAAGACCCATCAAGGATGGGTCAGGAAAGAAAGGAAGTTAGAGTTAGTGACAAGTCTAAAAATAAATTAATTGGCCAGAGAAATATACTTAGGTTGTCAAGAAACCTAAGACTGTCAAACAATGTGGAGGTATATATCATACATTTACAGTGGAACTTGTTTTCATTGGACTTTCTTTTTCCATGCTTGGATAAGGACAAAGTATAATGGGCTCATCCATGGCTGGAACATCATAAGGGTGTAGTAAAAAAATGAGAAACAAGGATGTTTAGTATATTAGTAAGAGTAAAATTGAAATTACTAACCACAAAATTTAATTTGGATAAAGAAAAATGAAGAAAGAACAGTCTGAAATATTAGGAGAAATCAGATTATAAATGTTTTCTCATGGCACTAAGGAAGATTTAAATGGCAGTAGTCAAACAAGATGGAAGAAGGCAGAGGACATATTTTCATTCAGAAGTTTTGGGTGATAATAAAGTTCAAAGGATGATTTTTGGAAGAAAAAAACTGCAGAAATCAAAGAACTGCATAAAACAGATTATTGGAGGGGGGGGACATTGGCATGGCTTTGAATTATTCAAGATGCGGGTAAGGCTTATAAATTAGGTACATAATTTTTTTGCTAAATAAGGAAGAATAATCAGGTCAGAGGTTATCAGCAACTAAAAGGGCAGTAGAAGGTTGATTTTCAAAGGTGCAAGAATGAGTACAATGGTGTTATGCGCTGAATTGCTTTCCTCCAAATTCATGGGATGAAGTCCTGATCCTCAGTGCCTCAGAATGTGACTGTTTGGAGATAGGGTCTTTAAAGAAGTAATTAAAGTTAAATGAGGTGAGTAGAGTGGACCCTAATCCAAGATGACTAGTGTCCTTAACAAGAAGAGGAGTTTAGGTCACAGAAAGCCATGTGAAGATACAAGGAAAGATGGCATTTTAATGTCAAGGAAAGAAGCCTCAAAGAATGACCCTGCCAACACCTCATCTCAGACTTCTGCATCCAGAATTGTGAGAAAATTGATTTATGTTGTTTAAGGCACCTAATCTTGTTATGGCAGCCCTAGCAAACTAATACAGAGACATTAGAGGAATAAGGGCTTGGAAGCAGCAATAGAAAGCTACCAACCCCTATTCTTGGCCTTGACATTCATGAGCTATAGTAAAAGACATGAAATCCACTTAAAATTACTACAGGGCAAATGAAGCCTCAGCTTTTCAGCTATGGCAGGAGGTGGAGTAGCACTCATTAAATTGTTTGAGAACACAGAGGGTAATATGGGCACTCTTTATTTCTAATAATTCTAACTCAATTCCAAGAAAGATCAAAAGAGATCAACCTCTCCTAGCATCCGAGGTCAGGATATAAGCCAGTGAACATCAACACTTCTAATGGGCATTCCTAAGTACAAACTAAATAGTTTAATTAAGTGTACTATTTAGATCAATCCAGATTTAGATAGCCAATTTAGATAGCAGCTGGTCTGGCATAAAACAGAAAGAAACCAAATATCTCTGCCTTTCACATTTCCTCTATTTTTATACTGACTAAAATACATAATATTTAATAGGATACTTTTTTGAAAAAAAGATTTATTTTGCGTTCTCAATAAGAGTAATGGGAAAGAGAAAGAAAAATGACGTCAGGTATACTAACTGACCTGTTGGCAGACAAAAATTTCCTTAGGAGAATGACAGGGAGCTTAAAGGCCAAACTAGACAAATATGAAAAAGAAATAATGATATACTCAAATACAAATGTTTTTAAAGATGGGTTTAGAAAAGTTAAAATACTCTAATTGTCTCTTAGAGTATGTCAAAGGCTCAGTTTGATTTAATAGAATGGGAAGATTTCACACACACACACACACACACACACACACACACACACACACAAATGAATTGGCTTCCAAAGAGGGAAACAAGATGAAGAAATGTTTGAGCTCTCTGAAAACACAGTCAATCATTTGAACAACTGTGGAATTTATTTCCGATAAATGGAGTAATTTATTTAAACGTGAACCTATTTGAAAAAGGAAACACCAGAAAGATCAGAAAATAATACATCTGAAACCATTTAGCAGTTTCAAGAGGATAGAGTTATCACGGAAAATCAGTTCTGCCCTGTGTAAAAGTTCAGGGAAGGTGAAAAGAAGCTATAGGGAAGACCAAATCCACTAAAAAGAAGCCAGTTGAAGCTATTTTCAAAGCCTATTATAAAAGTCTATCTCCTGTGTAAAAAATACCACAATCAGGAAGATGATAATGAGGTTTCCTGTTTTGTTTCATTAGGTTGGTGCAAAAGCCATTGTGGGTTTTGCCATTACTTTTAAAGATATTTGGGGGAGACCTACTAGTTACTTTTGATGAAGAAACCAAAAAGGCAGAATATAGAAGGATATAGTCAGGAAATAAATGTCTAAACCTAAAACAAAAATAAAAGAACAATTTTTAAAATTCTAAAGCAACAGTGTGCTATTCTTCCTATCAAAAACAGAAAGGAAACATGTGCAATTAAAAAGTAAATTGGACTTTATAGAGCTTACCTGGAATTTGTAGGAGAACTGGAGTTAATCAGTGGAAAATTGAACCACTGAGAATTGGAACTTTTGCTTTAGAAGTAAAGAAATAGAAAGTTCTTTCCTCATGTTTCTGAAACAGCAAATAGATGATACTTATGGTTTAGAAAATTAAAGCTCTGAAAAGAAGCACACAACTTTGCAAAGTAGCAAAACACAAAAAAGAAACAACAAAAAAAATCATCTGCTAAGTCTCTGAGTCTCTGAAAACACAGGTTAAGAAATGTAAATAGCAGCACCTTAAATTCAGGAATCTGTTAAGAATGGCCCTCTAGTTAGTTTAGTGATGATACCAGGAGAAACCTTCTTATAAGGTAGTAGCAAGAGTCACTACAGCACAAGACAAAAAATTGGTGATCCCATTTGAGTTGAAAAAATACAGAGACAGCATGAATTTGGTCATGTGTTGAATCAAGACAATTATGTCATTTAAAAGGCTGACTGCTACAAATGTGAAGTATTAATACCTACTTACAGTGAAAATAGAAGCTCAGATACCAGAAAGAGTTCACAATAAATCTGGCATTAGAATGTAAAGCTGATGCAGAGCTCTTTTTATTTTTTATTCACACATGGTAATTTTGGAGCAGTGAAAAATATGAAAAGTTTGGGGTTAGAATAGAGTGAAAAGAGGCTCAGGCTACAGCTACTAATATTAAGCATATAAACAACATCTCTATTTCCGAAAGAATTATCAGCAATTCAGAATTTAAATGAATTTGGAGTTTAACATCTTTGAAATGCAATTTCTACAATCAGGAAGGGAATTTTTTCTTTTTGTATTTTGATTTCTCTTTGGAAATATAATAGTGAGGTATGATTCATGTTGTTAATGACCCCTTTTATGTGGTATAATTCGACTCATTTCTGGGCTCTGAAATCTTCTGGTGAAGCAAGATAGATAGCAAAACTCTTCAAAAGTTGAAATATTTAATGATACAGTAGTAAAATTTTCAGCCTAATACAAAAATTTCAGAGACCAATGGAACTACCCATTTTAGTGATTCCAAGAATAAAAATAGAGATATAGGTATAGATATAAATATAGATACAGATATACATCAGAAGGTTACCCCAAGGTGAATCCAGGACTTTCTTTAAAGACTGCTGGTCTCCTTCCCATCATAAAGAAGCACTACATTCTGGTTGACCATAGTTTCTCCGAGTAATTGCAATGAGCTAAGAAAGAAGCAAGTACTGGGGAGTATTAGGGGAAAATACTCTATGTATCATAGCCTAGCAAAGCAACCTATCACAGTGAATAAAAATGTAGTTATAATTTCTAATTTCAAAAATTATTTACCTTGGTCAGTTTGCTTAGTCTCCCTCTGCTTAGATTGTCCATTTTCAAAATAGGGTCAATAAGTATCTACCTCAAATGATTGCTGTGAAGATTAAATGAAGGAAGGAGAAAGCCAAGTAGAGTGACTCATTAAGAACTCAATCAATTTTGGATAAGATTCAGATTATTATCTTATGTCAAATTAAATACCCTTCTGTCTACCTATACCAATTTTTCTTCTTTGTCTGTCCCTCAGGATCACATCCTCCACTGGAGAAAAAAAGTATAGCAAAATGGTAAAGAACATTGGTTCTGGAGCCAGATTTTCTAGGCCAAATTCCAGTTCATGATATTATTTCAGGGAAGATATCCTCATTGGACTTCAACTTTCTTCTCTGTACTTACTTTGCAGGGTTGTTATGAGTATTGAATGAGTTGATATATGTGAACTGCTTAGAACATTGCATGCGTACACTATGCATGTATTAAAGTACATGATGTACACTATATAAGCATTACTTTTATCAGTATGATTGATGTGATGGCTAATATTAGCTATCAACTTGATTGGATTGAAGGATACTGAGATAGCTGGTAAAGTATTGTTTCTGGGTGTTTTTTTGAGAGTGTTGCCAAAGATTAACATTTGAGTCTGTGGACTGGGAGAGGAAGACCCAACCTCAGTGTGGATGGGCACCATCCAAAAGGCTGCCACTGAAACTAGAACAAAGCAGGCGGAAAAAGGTGGGGTAAGCTGGCTTTCAGAATCTTCTGGTTTTCATCTTTCTCTCATGCTGGATGCTTCTGTCCATTCCTCCTGCCCTTGGAAATTGGACTCTAGGTTCTTCAGTCTTCAGACTCTTGGACTTGCACCAGTGGTTTGCCGGGGGATCTCAGACCTTTGGCCACAGACAGAAGGTTGCACTATTGGTGTCCCTACTTTTGAGGCTTTTGGACTGAAACTACTACAGGTTTCTTTCTTCCTCATCTTGCAGACGGCCTATCATGGAACTTTGCCCTATGAGCTTATAAGCCAATTCTCCTTAATAAACTCTCTTTCATGTACACATATACCCTATTAGTTCTGTCCCTCTGGAGAACCCTGACTAATACAATTGATGAGAGCCTAGGCATTCTGTGGATCTCATTTTACCACTTTACCTTAATGACCAGAGTCCCTGCTTGACCCTTCCTCTTGAATTTTTTGCTCAGTATGACCTGGCTGTGGTGAAAACATGCCTGTCTCCTAGGCAGACGACACAATGTCTCTCTGTGCCTGATGTGCCCTGTTACATTTCAGTGGCAGTAGGAGTGGGGCAGAGTAGGAGATCCCACTTAGGCCTCCACTCTACCAAACTCTGACTCATCTTTTCCCCCCATAATCCACATTAGAGGATTAGGAAATTATAAAGCTATTTGATAATCTATTCTCAAACTAATTAATTAAACAGCCTCTCTAGGAACCTCATGAGAATGGACAGAGAAGTATTTTACAGGATTCAGGTTCAGGCATTTCTGAATTCCTAAGGATAACAACACAACACCCCTATAACTTCATTCTTTAACTAACATGACATCTCTGATTTTAAGCTCATTTTAAAATATTTATAAAATTACGAAATACCATAGAGAGACATAGTATAAAACTAAATACAAAGTTTAAGACCATTACTAAAATGAATTTCCAGTCCTCATTACCTATAAAAAGAAATCGAATATTTCAATTACCCAATATTACAAGATTTTGTTAATTTGTTTCCTTACAGTAAGGGATATAACATTCTCATCATAAAATTTTCTTTTTCCTTTTTAAAAAATTAAATGCACAATATTCAGTATTAGTATATTCCTAGGAAATATATTCCTGTCAGAATATAAACAGGAGACCATTATTTACCAATGCAAAACATAATAACATTACATATTTTGGACATTCTGAATTTCAGCTCTTGGTATAAATATCATGTACTCTGGTATCAAGATTTCCAACCCCCTCCAATGCTGCCATCTTTCACTTTACATATTTTACTAAGTATAATTCATTCAATAGTAAAAACAACAACAACAACAACAAAACACACACACATTAAACATTTGCTCTCCTGACAAGTCCTAGGCCTGACTTTCTCTGCTGAGTTTTATCTTTAAACTCATAGACTTTTTAATAGTTGGCAGTGTGGAAGACCATCAGTTAACCCCTCAAAGCTGAATTTCCAAAATAGATCCAACATTGTCTTATCAAGTTTCTTGTCTGGAGTAGACTATTTTTTAACATGAAAAATCTCTCTGCATAGACACTAAATAGGCCTGAAAAGTTGAAAAGGCACAACCAACAATATGTTCCTTATTTTTTTGTTTACGCTTGTAAACTGTTTTTACTACTTGGTCTCAAATATCCAACAGGATTATAGAAAGGACTTCTTCCAAAATACCATTGAAAAACTATTTTACACCTAGATGTGTGAATGGAGAGATACTTTCTGGAGGGAAAATCTAAGTAACAAAATAAGAATTTTATATTTCCTTGACATAGTAACTCAAATTGTAGGGAATTTAAATGTTTAGACACATGTATAAAGACATATATGGTAAAATTGTAGTAGTTTTGTTTTTCTTGTTTCTGTTCATTGACAAAGTAAAAATAATCTAAATATCTATTAATAGATTAATTATAATGACTTTATACAACAGAATGTTACTTAAAAAGAATCTGAAAGACTTATGTGTATTAAAATGGTTCAAAATAGATTCATTGAAAAGAGATTTAAGCGAACAAATATATTATAATTTCACTTTTATATTTGCACATGCACACATACACACACATGCACACATTTTAACAGAGAAAAAAGAATGAGAAAATAAATGGGCCTCTTTGGAGATGTGCTTCCCCTCTACATTATCATCTAACTTTCACAAGCATTCCAATATGGATTATGTAAAATTAACTACTCAATATATTTAAAGTACTTTTATAATCTCTGAAAGATGAAGTAATGTATGTAGAGCAAGTTAATTTATAAAAAGACAGAGAAACTGAATATTGGATTGTTCTTGTTGAAGAAGACAAAAAAAGCAATGTAATGGTGTTAAGAGAAGCTTTGTTAGTAATTTGCTTAAGTCCAAATTTTTGCCAATGAATTTAAATTTGGGGGTTCCTTACAACATTTGAAGTAACCTCTGATGAGCCAGAATTAAGAGGATAGACTCCTCACGTCAAAAGAATTAGCTGATATAGCTCCCATTTGTTTATTCCCTACCAGTGTGAAAATTATGTAAATTGATATTTTGCTCTTGTACTTGTTAATAGAATAGAACATCCAATTCCTGAAATTTTCTCTGATACCCAGAGTTAACAACATGCCATTTCTGCGGGGAGTTTCAAGAATAAAACAACATCAAGCTATGTAATCACTGTATAAAAAAGCCAAAAGATACAATTAAGAACAGAATCTCACACATAAAAGCAAATAAAAGGAAAAAACCCTCTCACTGAAACCTTAGCCTCTTCTCACAATTCATTTATATTTCCCTTCCCTGTTATTATCCTACCATCAAAATCCCATATATGAAACTCAAAGCAACCTTAAAGTATACACTTGCAACTAAATGTTAGCCTTTCACTTCTCATGACTTCCACATTTTCTGCTTCACCCTTTTTAACAAATGCTTTCATTTGCTATAAATGACTATCATTGAGTTCCCTTTATTAATTACTTGAGGGGTGTTTGTATGTGTGTGTGCTTGTGTGCGCCCACGCGCATGCACGTGTGTGTTTTCAATTTATTGCATAGGGTAACACTGGATATGCAAGGGAACATGTTCTGGTAATAATAGGGTCTTCAAGAGCCACTCGCTGAGGAGCAAATGGTTAACACTTTCACCTGTATGTTGAATAGACCTTGACAGTATTAACAGGCTTTGCATACACCTACTTGTCAACTAGTCTTTAAATCTGCTTTCCCATTCTGAACTGCACAGATATGCAAAAGGTTTCTTATTTGGGAAAAATGTAGTACATTATTGGGTAACTATTAAGCTGTCTATAATATAGCCAAAAAATACAAATAGTTACTTGTATTACAGAGGCCTCCCCTGAGAATTTTAAAGACCACAATTTGCTGCTTTCTAATTCTGGATTTCTGGCATAAAAATAAAACATATTTGGAATGGGGGCGGTGTATAACATCCATAAGGCTATTTCAAGAAAATAAAACATATTTAATTTCATTTAATATCCAGAGTGGTATTGCTTTATGAGAAATGTAGTCTTATTGAAATTTTATGGCAATATTTTGTTGAGTTTGAATCCTGTAGGAAGAGCTCATTCCACTGTATATTCATCTACTTGAATATTTTCCACTGACAGTCAAACAAAGATTGTATTATTTGGCTAACAGCCAAAGGTAAACTTTTGAAGTATTATAAGTGTCATGTTCAGAACACTCCACGATTGCAGTATTTATGAAGCCAAGTTTTGCAAGACACACGGGCTCAGGAAATCCATTGTTGAACCTCAGTGATCTGCAGTAACTTCTACTCTATTCTCAAGATTTGAGCTACGTGACTCCAGACAGAGAGCTGTTCACTATATGAGATGATTGTCATTAGAGGTACATTCCAATAATTAAAGGACATTCTGAATTTTTCCCCCAGAAGTATATTCCTGAACCACAAAAATGTATTCATCATCCATACACACATCAATACCTAAAACCCATACTCATGATTGATGGAGTTTTACATGTGGTGTTGTCCAAAGATGTCAAATATGTATACGTAAGATATACATCTTATAAATAATGTGTATGAGGTATAGCCATGTATCTAGCATTATTCCCCATAGCTTAAATTTAGACATTACATATATACTCAAGTACATATATAAGCCTATATATGCATCAACAATTCTGGAAAGATATACAAGAAATAATTATATAGAAAATACTCTAGGACATGTGACTAGGGAGTAGGGGATTTACAAGGGAAATGTTTGTCATCACATGCCTTTCCAAATTGTTCATTTTTTAAGCCATATGTACAATTTTATAATTTTAAACTAGTTTATAAATATGTATGTATACAATTAAAGAAAATATGTTATCAATCATATAAGCAGGTATACAATTAATTTTCTATTAAAACCAAGAAAAATTAATTCAAAAGAAAAATGTTAGTGATATTTACAGATCTACCACTGCTGAACAAAAAATTCAGAGTCTGATTTTCTTATGTCATATATATATATATATACCCTTAATCAAAATTTAAGTTTTTTATATATTTACCAATATCGGATATTTTACCCAGAGAGAACAAAGACTCACACAAATAAATATTTACGCTTACTGATGACAATGTTCTCTCACTAACTTAGGTATCTCTTCTAACAAGGAAGTGGTTACTCTTGATGAACATCGGAGACTTCATCTCCTTGCTTAGAGCTCACATCTAAATTAAAAAGAACAAGTAATATCTCCAAGATAAAATAATTTTGAGCAATCTTGGAGCTGTTACCATAGAAGTTGGCACAAGAAAGGAGTAAATATCTTTAGAGTTGAGCTACAGTGGAAAATTTAAGGTATCTCATATACTTGAATAAAACACTCTCAAGTATAGAGCAGAGGCTGAAGTCAAAGGGGTGTGCCTAAATTTCAAGGAATATGCCCTTTGCTTTAAGAGATAAATGAGGAACATAAAAATGATTTTCTTCCACATAATCTGTGAAGACAATGTCCAAAGTAGGGAACAAAAAATTGAAGGAGTGTAATATGAAGACAAGAAAGCAGGCTCCACTGTGATCCTTTGCAGTAAGATTGTATTACATCACTACTCAACCTGGAAACTAGCTCTGTTCATCTCTGTGTCAGTCCGATGGCCAACTCTGGATTAGGAAATTGTTTTCAACGAGCAACACTCTAGATCTATACAATTTCTTTTTCTGAGAATTCCCATGTGTCCTTTTTCTTCCTCCTCACAGTTTCCCCTGTTAACATCTAGTGTTACTGTAATACATTTGTTACAATTGATAACCAGCATTAATACATCCTTGTTAACTAAAACCCACAGTTTACACTAGCCTTTACTCTTTGTGTTGTACATTTTATGATTCGACAAATGATGTTACATACCCACCATCACAGTGTCATGTAGAATAGCCTCACTGCCCAAAAAATCACCTGTGCTCTACATAGCCATTCCTCCCGCCCTCCTTCAAACCTCTGGAAATCACTGATCTTTTTACTATCTCTATAGGAAGTCATACAGTCAGAATCATATAGTATGTAGCCTTTTCAGACAGATTTCTTTAATTACCCAAATATGCATTTAAGGGTCCTCTATGTCTTTAGTGCATTTCATTTTATTACTGAATAATATTCCATTGTATGGCTAACCACATTTTGCTTTGCTTATCCATTCGGTTTTGAAGGACATCTTGGTTGTTTCCAGATCCAAGCACTTTTGAGTAAAGTTACCACTCTTCCAGCCCTTCTCTGAGCTTACCTGCTGTTTCATGTGGGTGATTGGCAGTTGTATTATTCTTCTCTCTTGCCCTTTGTTGGGACACTGAATTATAAATGATGTATCTTTAGTTTCTCAGATGCAATATTTCCTGTCTTTTCCTTAACCTTTTTGCTTTTCTGGCAACTCCTGAATGAAAGGACATCTGTTAGATTCACTGGACTTCTGCTTGCTACAAAGACCAATTCCCTGCATCTTGATAGTTTAGAACCTGTGCTTGAAACAGGAATACATCTGCTCTTAAAACTATTCATGGGAAGAAATATTAGAGGCCCTGATATATTACCTTTGCCCTTGTAGATTTTGATCCATTCATCTGTGATTACTGAAATCATAAAGTTAAATCTTAACACTGGTAATCTTAAATCAGGAGTGCAGAATGTGGGGGGAAAATAAATGGTGGGAGGGGGATAGAGAAAAACACCTGGAAAATTTCAAGTCTCTCATATAGATTTTAACAGGAATTTAAGCTCACCATTCTTCAGAAAGAGTGGGCCTGATAATATTATTGATCATTTAAATAGCATATATGAAAAAATCACATATTTAGCATAAGCCAAACCTTTAATAGATGAAATTCCTATTCAAGGAATAGACCATTTTCAAAACTGTTCCTAATGACTACTACATAAATTAATGTATTGTGATGTCTCTAATTGTTTTTAATATCCTAAAATTAACACATCATTATAACTTATGTTTTTGTATACATGAAACCTTTACTTTGAAATTTATGTTAGAGATGTCATTCAATAAACCTTGGCCACTTATTCATCTTTAGATCTTGTGTTAAAATCTGCTGACCAAGTAATAGTGGCTTATGTTTGGGGATTAAAAATTTCCAAATACCAGAAAATCAGAGACATATTAACTGGTTCATATCTTACTTTTTTTTTTACAATAAGACATGACTCAATCACAGGCAAATATGGAAAAATAAACTACAAAATTGGAGAAAAGGATGTGGTATACAGACTAATACATCCCCCTAAAGATGTTGCAGAGTCCTAGTCCCTTGAATATGTGAATACGTTACTTTATTTGGCAAGAAGGCCTTTGCAGAGGTGATTAAGTTCAGTATCTTGAGAAGTGGAGAGTATCCCAAATTATCCAGGTGAGTCCATGTAATCACAAGGGTCCTTACAGGATTGAGGCAGGGATTTAAGGTTAGACAAAGAGATATGAAGATGGAACGAGAGGTCTAAGTGATGTGGTCACATGCCAAGTAATTCACATGGCTTCTAGTAGCTGGAAAGCAAGTTTCACGGTCCGTAAAATAAGTGTCTTAGTCTATTTGGGCTACTATAACAAAATATCAAAAACTGGGTAGTCTATAAACAACAGAAATTTACTTCTTACAATTCTAGAGGCCAAGAAGTTGATCAAGGCACCAGCATATTCAATGTCTGATGAGGGTTTACTCTCTGATTCATAAATGGCACCTTTTATGTCATCCTCATATGACAGAATTTTCAAGGCAGCTCTCTGGGGCCTCTTTTATAATGGCACTAAGCAACTGTCAAAAAGCTCTACCTTTCAATATCATCACTTTGTGGGTTAAGACTTAACATATGAATTTGGGAGGTATGCATTTAGACCAAAGCAGCAAGAAACAGATTTACCCCTAGCACCTCCAGAAGAACTCAGTTCTGCTGACACCTCGATTTTAGTCCTAGAAGATGCATTTCACATTCTGAGTTCCAAAACTGTACAATAATAAATCTATGTGCTTGAAAGCCACTAAATTTATGGTATTAATAATTTGTTACAGCAGCAATAAGAAATGAATACAAAGAATAACTGTTTCCCAGCCATTTGCTCCTTGCTCTCACAGGCATTTTGTTATTGTTATTGTTGTTATTTTTATTTTTATGCTCTACTTTATCTCCAGCTCCTTGTCCTCTAGCTTCTATGAAATCGTAACCAACCAATGGGTGGGTAGGTAACTGGAGAGTGAGAGGAAGGAAGCATCCAAGGCATTCTCCTCTTATTCAGGGGAGTTCCCTCTGGACTGTGTCTACCCTAAGATGCCAGCTTCTAGTGGATAGAACTGCCCTGTTTACTTAAAAGTAGAAGTAATAATTTATATACCTCAAAGAGGTTAACATTTTTAGAGCAGATATTTTATGACATTTATTTATTTATTTTTAGTTCCAGTATATTTGTTATCCTACAAATGTATGCTGGGTGAAAAAAGTAATTTGTTAAAACCTGCACATTTTGTTCAGAATGTTCTCCCAAATTTATCTCAAGCTTGCAATATGCCACCCACACCAGATCTCCCATTATCCCAAACTCAGATTCTTGTACTACCTAATTTTGGATTGTTATAACTTATAATATTTCTCAGCTTGTGGTTTATTTTGAAATTTGCAACAATTGCCCAGCTTGGATCTACAGTACATGCTATCTCCTTTCCTCTTTTTAAAAAATTTATTGTGTATATTTAAGGTGTACAACATGTTGTTTTGTATACATATAGATAGTAAAATTGTTACCATAGTCAATCTAATTAATATGTACATCACCTCATGTTGTTACCCATATTTTTGCATGTGTGGCAAGAGCACCTAAAATCTGAATATGATATAATGTTATGAGCTCTAGTCCTCATGTCATATATGTCTAGACTTGTTCATCCTATATATCTACAACTTTGTATCCTTTGACCTACATCTCCTTGTTTCCTCCCCACCTCCGCCTCAGGTAACCACTATTTTATTCCATCTGTGTCTTCAACTTTTTAAGCTCTCCTTTCCTCTTTAATTCCACATTTTTTTTTTTTGAGACAGAGTCTTGCTCCATTGTCCAGGCTGGAGTGCAATGGCAAGATCTCAGCTCACTGCAACCTCCACCTCCCAGGTTCAAGCAATCATCCTGCCTCAGCTTCCCAAGTAGCTGGGATTACAGGCACCTGCCACCATGCCCAACTAATGTGTGTGTGTGTGTGTGTGTGTGTGTCTGTGTGTGTTTGTGTGTGTGTGTGTGTGTGTGTGTGTATTTTCAATAGAGATGAGGTTTTTTCATGTTGGCCAGCCAGGTCTCGAACCCCTGACCTTGGGTGATCCACCCGCCTTGGCCTCCCAAAGTGCTGGGATTACAAGCGTGAGCCACAGTGCCCAGCCTAACTCCACATTTTAACTGCCTCAATATTCTTCTTTAATTTGACCGGGAAATACTTTCCACCTTCCAGTTCACTGAACATTATCTCCATCTTTTTTCTGGAGCACTCTATCAAGGCAATTGATCTTAAAAGCTATAGCACATGCAGTTTTATTAAAAAGATACAAAGATAGTTTTCACATTGACAAGCTGTTAATGAAAGTCTAAAGCAAAACACCTATTGCTTTCATAAAATTATGACAAAGTGGTGCAAATGTACCACTAAGTATTTTTTAATAGATAGCTATTAAATAGATACAGTCATGCACCACATACCAACGTTTCAGTCTATGTCAGACCACATAGACAATGGTAGTCCCATAAGATTATAATAACCCTGAAAAATTCCTATCAGCCATAGCTTCCATAACGTCATAGCTCAATAAATTACTCACGTGTTTATGGTGATGCTAAGGTAAACAAAATTACCGCACTGCCAGCTGTATAAAAGTCTAGCATATACAATTATGTACATCCATAATATTTGAAAAGGATAATAAACAACTATGTTACTGGTTTACGTATTTACTATAGTACACTTTTTATCATTTTTTTTTTATTTCTGGAGACAAAAATCTTGCTCTGTCCTTTAGACTAGAAGGCAGTGGCAAGGTCATAGCTCACTGCAACCTCAAACTCCTGGGCTTAAGTGGACTTACTCCTCCCGCCTCAGCCCCTGAGTATCTTGGACTACAGGCACATGGCACTATACCTGGCTAATTTTTTTGTTGGGGGGACAGGGTCTAGCTATGTTGCCCAGTCTGGTTTTAAACTCCTGGCCTCAAGCAATCCACCTGCCTTGGCTTCCCAAAGTGGAGATTACAGGCATAAGCCACCATGCCTAGCTTATTATTATTTCAGAGTGTACTCCTTCTACTTAAGAAAATTAACTTTAAAACATTCTCAAGTAGGTCCTTCAGAAGGTGTTCCAGAAAAAAAGGCATCATTATCACGGGAGATAGCTCCATGTATTATTGCCCCTGAAGACTGTCCAGTGGGACAAAACGTGGAGGTGGGAGACAGTGATTTTGATGATCTTGACCCTGTGTAGGCCTGAACTGATGCGTATGTTTTTTCGTAGTTTTCTTTAAAAAAAGTTTAAAAATTTTTTTAAATTAAAAATTTTTTAAATGAATAAGGATAGAAAGAAAGAAAATATTTTTGTACAGCTGTACAGTATTTATGCCTTAAGCTAAGTGCTATTGTAAAAGAGTGAAAAGAGTTTAATAAAAAGTCTATAAAGTGAAAAATGTTACAATAAGCTAAGTTTAATTTATTTTTGAAGAAAAAAATAATTGTATGAATTTAATGTAGCTGCAGTGTATAGTGTTTATAAAGTCTATAACAGTGTACAGCAATGTTCTAGGCTCATCACTCACTCACTGATTCACCCAGAGCAACTTCCAGTCCTGCACACTTTATTCATGGTAAATGCCCTATACAGGTGTGCCATTTTTTATCTTTTAAACCATATTTTTACTGTACCTTTCTTGTGTTTAGATATACAAATACCATTGTGTTACAATTGCCTACGGTTTTCAGCACAGTAATATGCTGTACAGGTTTGTAGCCTAGAAGAAATGGGGTGTACATAGCCTAGGCATGTAATAAGCTATATCATCTAGGCTTGTCTAAGTACACTCTAAGATGTTCATAGAGTAAAGAAATCACCTAACAAGTATGTCTCAGAACATATTCTCATAATTAAGTCATGTGGGACTGTATTTTAATAAAAAATAACCACAACAAAAATAAGAGCACAGTAAGTATGCACAATGTGTTGTTCAAGTCCTACATTTTTCAAGGCAGTTTGTTTGCTCTGTTTTTGTTAAATACAAAAAAACTCTCTTAGAGATGTCAATAATTTTTGAACAAATTTTTATTTTAAATTATTTTCAGAATTTTTTTAAATGCGATATTTTACCAATAATTTAAATGAAACATTTTTACCAGTTTTTTCTACTATAGGAAAAATACATAAAAATATAGGTACATTAATTTACTTTTCTACTCACAAATGACTATCACTCTTCCCAGACATGAATTAAAAACCTTAATATCTTCACATTGTGAAAGGATGTGTTACTCATAGACTAAATACTTGATCAACTCCCTCTTAACTTCCTCTCAAAGCAAACTGGGATTTCACCGTGATAAACTCACAATTTTTTTTTCTATATATGCCTATATGAGTGTATTACTTGCAGGCAAAAAGAAAAATAACATTAAGATGTATTCAATTTGGGTCCAATTTGAAAAAAAAAAAAAGAAACACCTGAACAAATAGCATTACCCAATTTGCATAGTACTCTTGGAAAAGCAGCAGGGTGTCCAAGTGTGATTAAGATTGGTCCTTAAATCACAAAATTACATCAACTCCAGGAGTTATGGTTACTTTCATCAGAAAGGTGAAAGTTGCCTGCTCAGTCAGATTACTTTCAGCAATATGCCAGCGCTTGTTGGCCATATGTTTCAAGTTGTAAGATGTCCTGTTAGAGTTATGGATGCAGTTTTGCAGTCAAGAAAATGACGGATTTCTCTCCCTTGAAGACATTAACTTTATTCCACTTTGTTCTAACACTGTGTGCAGACAATGAGAATGATATAGTAGTCCCCTGTTTCCTCAATGAATATAATTCAAGATGAGCCTACTGCTACATTCTCACACGGCTTCCTTCTGACCTTATGAATTCCAACTTATTCTCGGCCTTGTTTTCTACCAGTGTTGTCTCACTTATTCCATTATCTTATTCATTTCTCATTTATTCAATAATAATTATTATGCATGAAATGAAAAGTATTTATTATTATTGCATGGTAGTCAAACCAGTTAGCTCACAAGCAAATATTAAGTATCAAATGGATAACCAAAAAATCCAATTACTGAGCAGTCCCATAAAGAACACTTTACTCTCATAATAAAATTTCAAAAGATGCAAATATTTTAACACCATAACTTGCATCTATATATTAATTCATAGGAAAATTCTTTATTTCTATCCCAAATGCTGTAAATGTTTGTTTCATCCAAATGTACACGATTTTTTACATTTTAGGTTTTTCTAATTATTCATACTCAAATGTAAAAAGTACTATTTCTGTCTAGGATTTCTTGATCACAGAATCATGCCAGCACCCTAATCTTTCTATTCTGCTTTAACATTTTTTTCTTGCATTCTACTGCAAAGTTTGCTTCTTTACTGCATGTTGATCAACACAAATATTTTTGTTCATTTTTACTAGACAAAGTCAATAGAGATTGGAAAAAAATTTTGAGGGGTGCAAATTATAATTTATTGCAATACTTTTTCAAATTCTTTAAGTCCTTTGCCATAGACTATATCATTCTCTATCCTGGAAGAGTTTCACTGGCTAACGTACCACTGACTCTTCCAAATCTCAAATGAACTCATTTTGGTTGGTTTATGCATTCATTGTCGAGTTTTGTTTTTCTGTAAAATGAAGGGTGAAATACTTGTGTCATATTAATTGTATTTTAAAACTGAAATATTCTAATTTCCTTCAGTGCAAGTGTTTTTCCTCTCTATTGTGATATGGAATCAGCTAAATGGCAGCAAACTATACATAAAGCAGAATTGAAATGATGACATCCTACTGGCCTCAGCCCTCCAGGATTAACTGCTGCCCCACATTTTCACATTTCAAAGCTACGGTTGAAGACCTGATTTTGTCTATTTTTTTTATATCTTTTGTATTTTATAGAAAAACTGTCAAAATTATGACTCTGCTTATTAAGTTTCTGTGGTTATAATTTAATGATCTTTTGTAAAGAAGGCTAGATTCTTAGGCATTTGAGTTCTTGGAAAGAGGAATAAGTCTGGAAGCAAGATGGGGAGAACAATTTTGTTGTTTTTGTTTGTTTGTTTGTTTTGTGGTACTCAGGCTGATATCATGATATTGGTTTAATATGGTGACTTCGTTAATCCTCAAAACATAGGATCACCAATTCATGGTTTTGAGAAAAGAGAACGTGGTTGTTCTCATATAAACACACCATATACCTAAGAGTTATTTTTCCCTCTGGTAACAATTTAATTTTCTTCTGAGGTTAAATATCGTCATTTAATTTATGTCTTAAAGCAGATTGGTTAATCATGTATCTGATCCTGAAACTAGTCTGAAGTTTCCAAATTTTATTTGAATCTTCCAGTCTCATTTGGAAAGATGGAGGAAGGAGGTAAGCCTTGTATCATGTGGGAAACCAAGACCCTCACAGACATTTTCAATGATGGCTAAAGCAAGCAGAGTCAATTTCACATTCCTGTTAGGGAAGCAAAGCTGCCTACAGTGGTATATTTGGGAATTATGGCCAAATTAAGAGGAAGGGCCTTTGTAGTAAAGGAAAATCTGACTAGATTTAGTTTCAAAACTATAATGAGGGCCAGGAGTCTAGAGGGAGGTCAGTTCCAAGGAGAAGTAGTAAGTTAAATTGCAAGATTTCCATAGCCTCCTCCCTACTGTTTTAATACAGAATCCATTGCAGCTGAAACTAGAACAAAGTTTAAGCATATTTGGCCTACTCTAAGACTCATAATCACCCTACTTTGCCTGGCACTGATAGACTGGAAGAGACATTTCCCATTCTGAAGTTCAACAATTACATACATATCTGGATTAAAAAGGACAGCAGTGACTACACAGAACGGCTTTCCACTGTAGCCAGCACATCAGGTTGAGAGCTGTCATCTGTCTTTGGCTCTGTCCTGCAAATTTTAAAAAATAAATATAACTAAGGGGTTTGTTCATTCACTGGGTTAATACTGTAAGCTAAGAATTTTGTTTGAATATGCTAAGAAAGAAGAAAAGTTACAGGCATAGGGTAGTTTTATTAATATGCATCATTTAGAAGGAATTCTTGAATATATCTGTAAATTTACTCTGCTTTTAATTCGTTCCTGAGGTAAAGTAAGTGGAAACCAATGTTTCAACAATTTTTATTTTTCTCTAATTGATGTTGGTGAGAAATAAACCTTGCAAACTTCTACTGCAAATTAGTTGCTGACACAGTGGTGACTAAAGTTGGTCTTGATTTTTAGCAAATACGAGTTTGCTTGTATTTGCTATAAAAATGTTTATAAAAATATAAAGCCAATAATTGTTCATGTGAGATAGTCAAACAGTACAGAAGTATATACAATGTTAATAAACATTCCATTTCTTTCCTATTGTCTTCACATGACTCCTAGTCATATAACCCAAAAGTGGCCATTTTTAGCAGTTCCTGACGTGTTCTTCCAGATATTTGTTATGCATGTGCAACGTTTATGGGGATATTCTTTTTATTTAAAAAATAAAATTAAAAGCAATACTTTGAACTTTCTTTCTCAATAATATTCAGAATTATAGATATGTATATGCTTCCATTAAACAGATTTATCAACTCAAAGGCTTTCATTTATTTATGGCTACATCAGAAAGCAATATAAGAAACTCACAAATTTAGTTAAAATATGGATATTTTCCATTTTTAAGATTATCTATTTTTTTAAGAAAATGATAAATAAGTTGAAGGGTAAATAAAAGAAGGAAACAGGAACTTCTGGCCCACAAAATCAAAGAATAAAACATAAAAACCCACCTTTTCTCCCAAAATACAAGTATATATAATAGCAAATGTGGAAACACATATCAACATGGAATAATAAATTTTAAAAAGAAATACTATTTTTACTGTAGTTGAAAAACTGTTAAATAGAGACCTTGGTAAAAATTAAGTGAAGAAAAGCTAATGACTCCATTGGTCTGATTCTCTAAGTACACAAGTTACTCTCCAGAATTTAAGTGTCATGACAGGAGCATAAACTCAGTATCCTACAGCTGCAACATAGTCTCAGGAGTGAAATTTACACACAGAATTTCTGGCTCATGATCAAGAAAACTTTTATCCCAATAAATCAAAAAAATTGTAGTGCTAGAAGGGACAATGGATTTCCCAAAAGAGATGTAGTCCATTTCTCTATATCCATAGATTCCATACCTTCCAGGGGCAGTTACCTTCCTTGCTTTTAAAAATTGTTGCAATATGATTAAAAATCATTCTTCAATATTTTTGTGTGATGTAGCCTGTGGCCTTACACCGTTATGGTTAGAGACACAATGGTTTTCCACAGGTCTAATTGCAAATTATTTCAGCTATAATTCGGTCAATCCGACCTCTGTTGTTAAAGAGAAAATATTGAACACAATCTTGCACTTCATTTAGTCTGAGAAGAATATTCACATGTGTCAGTCTGGAATATTCCCTAGAGAAATATTATTTCCAGTTTACCATAGTGCTTCTAAAATCTCAGCAACAGCTTTGTGAAAAAAATCAGCATTATTTGCATGTGTTGCACGCAGCTTTGTGAAATCACAGTTTTGATCGTTGTTCTAGAATCTCTTACATAGCAGGAAGCAGGAGAGAGTATACAAAATGAGAGATCTCATCCCTGCTGGAGATCTGTTTACTCTGTGGTGGATAAGAGATAAAAGTCATTTTGAAATGTTTGCTGTGGCCACAGAATAAATAGGTTTCAAATAAAATGAAACATCTGAAGGGCCTTCATCCTGATTAGTCTAGATCAGTTGGTCCTAAAACAAAAATGCTACACAAGGTCCTTAAAGAAAGTAGCCAAAAGAGCCCCAGGAGAAACAGGGTACAGTATGATAAATGTGTGTTCCACTAAAGGAAATACGTTGCAAAACAGAGTTATAAGTGAGCTAGAGCCTAGAGGGGGAAACACACACGCACACACACACACACACACACACACACAAAGTGAAGTATTCATGGGTTGATTTCAGGGAATTCAAATAAATAAACTTTTATGTGAAGTTGTAAATGATCCATATGAAGGGCCAGGGAAATGGAAAGAATGATCAAAGACCAAAAAATAAGAAAGAAAAAAGGAAAAGTACATAGAATATTAACCTTGCAGAAAAAGCCTGCTTGATTCAAGAACACATGAAAACAATCTAGAAAGTAAAGGAACAAAATGAAATGGGAAATACAAAAGGCATTGAGATAGAGGATAAAGGTTTTACAGATAAATAAAGCAGTAATAAGCTCATGAGAGCCATTGTACTTCTTGAGGAACCAAAGGCAACTGGTTAATGGAAGACGAGGATAGGGGAAGTGTTACTCCCTTTGCTCCATTAGAAAAAGAGAAGAAAACATCCAGAAAACAAACTCATTTTTTTCCAAAGGTAATTAGGTACTGAAAAAAAAAAGAATTATAAGTAGCTCACAAATATGGTAGAAAAATCATTCTTAAGTCAACGAAAGTAGAAATCTAAAGGGACTGTTAGTGATAAAAGAAGAAATAAACATTTGCATCCATTTATTAGTACAGAAAAATAAAATGTACAGGAAAAGTATATTTTATATGGGTGAGTAGTTGTTTTCTTGCTATCAGATATAATATTTTCAAGTACAGCATGAGATAGTTGTAACCAAATAAATGATAATTTCCCTTCTGTTTAAAATAAATGAAAATAAAGAAAAGACTGATGAAAACATGTTATTGATATAAGTAATGTGAAAAAACACATAAAATTATCAACATAACTCCTATTGAGATATCATGGAACCATGCTTACCAAATATCTTTGTTAACTGCTGGCTGAACTTTATTTCTAAAATACTGAATTATTTAGAAAATTTCTATAAAATATCCAAATAGTTTTTGTTCCTTAATGTACCAATTTAAGTGCATTACAAATGAATGTAAAGGAAGTCAATATTGTAAGTCAATATAATGAGATATATAAAATATATGCACTTTTATTCATTACGTTTCATATCTGTCATTTGCATTCAGATGACCAGAAAGCATTTACATAGTTAATCCCAAACAGCAATTGCAAAATTCAGAATATGCAGTTTATATGCATGCTTTCTTAGTCTACATTTTCATATCCCATAATAATTTTCAGTATCGAATGGCATTTTTTCCCCATTTTAGAGGAATTGTCAACATGGAATCCAGTGTTACGCATGACCCTATACTTGATCCAAGGCATTGAACCCAGACATGTAAGGTTGTTTCTATAACTCTATTTATTCACCAGAAGCAAGAAAGGGAAAGAAGTTTAAGTTTTCAAGTTTTTGCAACTTTTTATAATCAAAAGTAATGTATTTCCTCATTATTACACCATGTAAGTCCAAGAAAGATTTATTATATAGTATTCTGATATTTTAAAAGTATAACTTCAATGATAGCATGAAAATACTGCAGACATATAACAGAGTTAACAGAAAACTTGGGGAAATAACCTTAATATATTCTTCAGAGAGTTAGTTCAAATATCTGTAGAACATTATTCAAAAGAGTGGTTCTTTAATGATAAGTTCTACAAGCTATGCAGAAAATGCTTTCAATTGTGGAATGATGGTAATAGAAACACAGATATCAGGACACCAACCCTTTCATCTCTTGGCTGTGACTCATTTCACTAATGCTCTGAAGTGTTGTATTCAAAGAGAGGACCTCTGTTGACCATTCAGTCTTAAATTATTTCCCATCAGTAAGTGCCATATTAAGGTAATACAATTTATACAATCTACACTGTGGCACAGTGTTGATTTTAAACTGATTCAACTGTATAATGCATGTATTACCATCAAAGTAAATATTCCAGAATGGATAGACTAATACAATGCAATATTATGTTGATATAATTAACAATGTAAACAATTTACCCTGCAATGTCTTGCCATGCAGCTAGCAGATTCTGAAGACATAAACTGATCATCTTCTGTGACGGTCAATGAGCATCTGACTTCTGCCAAATATAGTATTAATTACCATGCCAAAGTGTCGCATAGTGTCAATTCTTTAGTAATCTATTTGTCAATTAACCTACTATGAGGAATGTAAATTGCTGAGAAAGCTGCCTCTCTTTCAGTGAATGGTGTCATTCAGATTCCCCTGATTTTGCTTTGCTTTTTAATCAACAAGCTTAACTGTAGCTTGTAAATCAAATATCAAAGATGAATGGAGTTGTGGGGTATTTTGTTCTCATGTGTCGCTAGCCTCAGTCAATTTAAAAAGATGTTATATAAGGCTGCCTTTATTAAATTACTTAAGGAAAATAATAAAAGCAGCAGGGGGTTCTACTAACACTAAACATTTTTCTATAAGAAAAAAATATTTTAAAATCATGTTGAAGTGGAAAACACAATCATGTATCTCATTATGTCACTGAAAACTAAAAACATCAGAAATAATACTGTTAGCCAGGAAAGAGGGTCATAGAAAGGACCTTATTATTGCATTAAATTTTATGTAAAAGATACTTATTATAATAAGATATTTATATTATTATAAGTATTACATTATAATAAAGGTATCTTATTAATAAGTTTTAGTACTTTCACTAGTATCTGTATTATATTTAGTTTCCAAAGACACGTATTTAACTGAACATACTATTAATTTTATATCACTGCTACCTTTGGACTGATTCAACCCCAAGTAAGCAAAACAAAGACATCACCATAGTCATCTTTTGAAGCCCAGGCATGTTTACAGTGTGAAAGAAATACAGGATCCAAAATATCACAGGATGTGCCCAAGCCACGGTCTCCATGTAGCATAAGCCACGTTCACTGGGTACTCTGAAGAAGCCACAAAGTTGTGGACAGAAGCATATATTTCAATTCTATGAAATAAATTCTAAAGAATTTCTGTGCTATTTCTGAAATTAAAATAAACTTTTTCTCAAATGGGAAAATCTTTTATTGCCTTTGACATCCAAAGGCTAAGTTTAATATTTTGCCTACTATGCTTAGCATAAAAAATATCCGAGTGTGGTGACAGACGCCTATAATCCCAACACTCTGGGAGACCGAGGCAGGAGGATAGCGTGAGGCCAGGTGTTAGGGACCAGCCTGAAGAACACAGCAAGACTCTGTCACTACAAAAAATTAAATAATTAGCTGGGTGTGGTGGTGCATGCCTGAAATCCTAGCTACTTGGGAGGCTGAGGTGGGAAGATCACTTGAGCCTGGAAAGTCGTGGTGGCAGTGAGCTATGATTGTGCCACTGCACGCCAGCCTGGGCGACAGAGCAAGAAACTCTCAAAAACAAATGAACAAAAAAATAAATTGATGAGTAGAAAAGACAAGATATGCTCTTAATATGGGGGAGGACAAGAATTATATGGGAAACTCTGGTCAGATGAATACTAAAGATAAAGGTAAACAAAGACAAAGACATCACCATAGTCACATCAAGAAAGTTCAGAAAATAAATATTGCATAAACAGCCTACACTATTCGTTTTAAGCTAAATCCATAGAAAGTGCCTGGCGGCTCTAATGCTTTTCTCAAAGTTTTGTGGTTAAAAGTATTCATTTAACATAATTCCAACTTTCAATGCCAAACACAGTGAGTGACATTGTTTCCAGATGTAGCTTTTAGCAGATCATGTCTTGAGTAATTAAGTGCAGTCGGATCTGAAAAGACTAGCAATTGAAGCAGCACAGAATACAATTTATTGCCAAACAATTCCAGACACTAGGAAAAAAGTACAATTAAAGTGCTTCAAACATCAGACTCTGTGTTTTTGAAAGCTGCAATTATTCCTTGAAGCAATAGCATCCATTTGTTTTAACACACAAGCGTGCACACATACACACACACACAATAAATAATAAAGTTAGTTAACTTGAAGAGATGAGGGAAGTTTATGAAAATATATCATCCCCTCTGAAATACCCTTTGTTTTATTGTTACTTTGTTTGGTTGGGCATGTATATATGATATTATTTAGGGCGGTAATTACACATATAATGGAAACTCTTTAGATGTACACTTTATTCTATCCCAGTTAGTCCTAAGGACAGACAGTTTGACTCCAAACCTGGACATCAGCTCTTAGCTCTCAGCTCTGAAGTGCTCAAAATAGTTTATGTCCATGTATAAACTGAACCATCAGAAATAGGAGCTCAATCCATTAAAATGTCAGAAGATCAAGTCCACAGTAAGGCAATGGCTAAATTTCCAAGCCCACAGCCTGCATCATTGTCAGAGTCCCAAGATTATTTAGGTAAGTTGATTTATTAACATGGCAGCCAACAAGATTTGTGTTCTTGAAGGCTGATTTATAGACTGAATTCATTGCGTTTCACAAACTGTAAATAATATCTACTTAGAAACAAAATTTCAAACAGGCCGCTTTTAAATATCAGATAACCATACAAAAGTCCCAAATGTTTTATTCTGTTGCAGGATGGATGTTAGAGCCCTAGGCAAGATCTCCTTTAACACAATATCACTGAAAGGCCTAAAATGATGAATTTTTTTAGTGTTTTATAATTGTCATTTCTCACTTTGATTTTTTTAACACAACTGACCACAACAGAAAAAATAATCATATGAAAGTTTTCTTATGCTTTATTATGAGCTTACTACATCTTATTTTTAAATTAAAGACTGAAATCAATAAACTTTGGGGAAATCTAGTTTATCAAAGCTCAAGGTAATCATTGCTAGTTATAGATGAAATGCTTTTGTTTCAACTAGACTGACATCTCTTTTCAATATTTATTTCCTCTTCAAAAGTTCTTGAAAAGGGTTACCTTTTCATTTTTTCCTGATAATCTCAGATAGGAGGATATTCCATGAGTTTTATGGACCAATCATAATCTATTGTTTTAAATAACGCTTGTATTTGAACATTTTAATATTTGTCTCCTGTATATAAAATGCAGGCTTATTCTTACTTGTCATTTGAGTAGTCATTGCCTATATATTATGACTTCAACAACAGGCAAAATATAAGAGTAGGATAACAAAAGTTATCTATTAGATTGCATTTATCAAAGCTGTGAAGAAATTATTTAGCAGAGCTTTAATTTAAAGTAAAACTAACACTACTTTTGACAAAAAGTTGGTAGAAGAAATACGATTTGCCCTTTTTCCCTAGAATATTTTTACTTGTCATCTAATAGCATCCCTGCTATTCTTGGGTCAGCACTGCACTAATGGGCATAAAACCTGAGGCCCAGTAAGCAAGATTATCCCTTGGAAAGTTATTGGTTCAAAATAAGTGTATAACCAATGCAGGCTAATAAAATTTTTCTTTGGGCCAATTACCTGAGGTACTTAATAAAATGTTTTATTTCTTCCAGGGTTACCAGGCTGGTTGGATGTATATTTTAGGAAGTCAGAAAATTGCTATTCTGTCACGCAATCGAGTCCAGGTGAAGACAAAAATGGAACCCTATATATTATATGAGTCCCTGGATCCAAGCATACCAGAATCAAACTAATCCCTGGCTTATCTCATTATATCAATCAATAAATGTCAAATTTTTGCTACTTAGAATTGGGTTGATTTTGCTTGTAACTGAAGAAATTTGACATATACTATGATTACACTATGTGACATCTAACCGTTAGGGCTATAGTTTGGTTGAACTATTCAAAATTTCTTTTTAGTTATGTCTTGGCTGTTAACTAAGTCCTCTGAGGGATTATTTGATGGGTTTTTGGGGTAGGACGCATCATGAGATAAGAGGATTTCATTTACTCCACAATAATTATTGATTGTTAACTTGCCTAAAAGCCAAGCAAACTAAACAGCACAGTCTCTGGTCTCAAAGATTTTACATTAATTAGCCAGGGGTGGTGGCACATGCCTGTAATCCCAGCTACTCCAGAGGCTGAGGCAAGAGAATAATTTGAACCCAGGAGGTAGAGGTTGCAGTGAGCCAAGATCACACCATTGCACTCCAGCCTGGTCAACAAGAGCAAAACTCCATCTCAAAAAAAAAAAAAAAGAGTTTACATTACAGTGAGAAGGATAGACAAAAACAAAAAACAAAAACAAATTTAAAAGTTTTTTAATTTTCCAAGTTTTATGAAGGAAACAAGCAAGGGCATATTGGGGCACCAAGGTGGAGTTTAATTGTAGGAGTAAGATGAACAAATAATTCTCTAAAACATTAATATTAATGTAGGACTTTAAGGTTGAGACAGAATTAGCTACTAGAAAAGAGAGGAGGAAAATTATTCCAGGTAGGAGGACCAATATATGCAAATACCTTAAGGCAGACTAGAGAGTGGCTTCCTCCAGGAATGAAGAGAAGTCCAGCATGAGTGGACACGGTCCTCTAGGGAGGAAATAATAGTAAGAAATGACTGGAAAGAAAATAAGGATCACAAATAAATTCAGATATTGTAGATCACCAATATTATTTTGAAATCTTTTCATTGTTAGCACAGTACAAAACCACTGAAGATTTTTAAGCATGAAATATTGTGATTAGAATTATGTTTAACAAAATCACTTGATATTTTGCAAGTGGGTAAGTGTAGAAGTACATGAGGCAAGTTTGAAAACTGTTGCATAGTCCAAGTAAGGGATGATGGTGTTTCTTAAAGAAATGGCAGAGCTCTGCAGGAAATATCTTGAAAATGAAGTTGATGGGACTTGTTGATGGACTGGGTAAGGGTAAGGACCTAGACTTCTAGCTAATGTTAATTATGTGATTACTGGTATCATGTACTAACACAGAGAATACTCAGTGAGGAGAAGATGTAGATGGCAGGAGAGACAAGTGAGAAAACAAAAAATATACCAATGTTACCTCAAAGGTCTGTAACTATCAATTGCTTACTATAAACCAATTGAACTCGACCTGGTCTAGTCTAGTTCTAGACTCTGATCTCTGATCTCAGTGTTTACATTACAGTGAGGAAGACAGACAAAAACAAATCAAGCATACAAAAAAATGAAATAACAATGAATTTTGTAAGTTATATGAAGAAAATAAAAAAGAGTATAAGGCAGTGGGAGTGGAGAGACAAGGCCTGAAGATGTAAATTTGACCATCATCAACAAGAATATTATGTTTGAATTTGTAGGACTGGATGAGATGACATTGGAAGAATACAGACAAAGCACAACAAAGGCACAGAGAATACAACAGAGAAATACTAGAGGAAAAGCTGGCCTCTCACACTCTGCCTAGTACCACACAATCAAGTCTTTTCCTGCCTGGGTTTCTGCTTTACTGATTTAGCAACTATCAATCAAAAAGTGAACTCTAATGATAGAGTTTAGTTATATTTCATTGTATTTTTATAGACTCTATAATCTTTGTCTAATTAAAAGATAAGATATTTCTTATATATAATTTCATTATGTATGTTTCTTTTTTTATTATTATACTTTAAGTTTTAGGGTAAATGTGCACAACGTGCAGGTTTGTTACATATGTATACATGTGCCATGCTGGGGTGCTGAACCCAGTAACTCTTCATTTAACATTAGGTATATCTCCTAATGCTATCCCTCCATGCTCTCCCCACCCCAAAACAGGCCCTGGTGCGTGATGTTCCCCTTCCTGTGTCCATGTGTTCTCATTGTTCAATTCCCACCTATGAGTGAGAACATGTGGTGTTTGGTTTTTTGTCCTTGCGATAGTTTACTGAGAATGATGGTTTCCAGCTTCATCCATGTTCCTACAAAGGACATGAACTCATCGTTTTTTATGGCTGCATAGTATTCCATGGTGTATATGTGCCACATTTTCTTAATCCAGTCTATCATTGTTGGACATTTGGGTTGGTTCCAAGTCTTTGCTATTGTGAATAGTGCCGCAGTAAACATACGTGTGCATGTGTCTTTATAGCAGCATGATTTATAGTCCTTTGGGTATATACCCAGTAATGGGATGGCTGGGTCAAATGGTATTTCTAGTTCTAGATCCCTGAGGAATCGCCACACCGACTTCCACAATGGTTGAACTAGTTTACAGTCTCACCAACAGTGTAAAAGTGTTCCTATTTCTCCACATCCTCTCCAGCACCTGTTGTTTCCTGACTTTTTAATGATCATCATTCTAACTGGTGTGAGATGGTATCTCATTGTGGTTTTGATTTGCATTTCTCTAATAGCCAATGATGATGAGCATTTTTTCATGTGTCTTTTGGCTGCACAAATGTCTTCTTTTGAGAAGCGTCTGTTCATATCCTTCACCCACTTATTGATGGGGTTGTTTGTTTTTTTCTTGTAAATTTGTTTGAGTTCATTGTAGATTCTGGATATTAGCCCTTTGTCAGATGAGTAGATTGCAAAAATTTTCTCCCATTCTGTAGGTTGCCTGATCAATCTGATGGTAGTTTCTTTTGCTGTGCAGAAGCTCCTGAGTTTAATTAGATCCCATTTGTCAATTTTGTCTTTTGTTGCCATTGCTTTTGGTGTTTTAGACATGAAGTCCTTGCCCATGCCTATGTCGTGAATGGTATTGCCTAGGTTTTCTTCTAGGGTTTTTATGGTTTTAGACCTAACATTTAAGTCTTTAATCCATCTTGAATTAATTTTTGTATAAAGTGTAGGGAAGGGATCCAGTTTCAGCTTTCTACATATGGCTAGCCAGTTTTCCCAGCACCATTTATTAAATAGGGAATCCTTTCCCCATTTCTTGTTTTTGTCAGGTTTGTCAAAGATCAGATAGTTGTAGATATGCGGCATTATTTCTGAGGGCTCTGTTCTGTTCCATTGGTCTATATCTCTGTTTTGGTACCAGTAACATGCTGTTTTGGTTACTGTAGCCTTGTAGTATAGTTTGAAGCCAGGTAGCATGATGCCTCCAGCTTTGTTCTTTTGGCTTAGGATTGACTTGGCGATGTGGGCTCTTTTTTGGTTCCATATGAACTTTAAAGTAGTTTTTTCCAATTCTGTGAAGAAAGTCATTGTTAGCTTGATGGGGATGGCATTGAATCTATAAATTACCTTGGGCAGAATGGCCATTTTCACGATATTGATTCTTCCTACCTAAACCAGGAATAAGTTGAATCTCTGAATAGACCAATAAAAGGCTTTGAAATTCAGGCAATAATTAATAGCTTACCAACCAAAAAAAAGTCCAGGGCCAGATGGATTCACAGCTGAATTCTACCAGAGGTACAAGGAGGAGCTGCTACCATTCCTTCTGAAACTATTCCAATCAATAGAAAAAGAGGGAATCCTCCCTAACTCATTTTATGAGGCCAGCGTCATCCTGATACCAAAGTCTGGCAGAGACACAACAAAAAAAGAGAATTTTAGACCAATATCCCTGATGAACATCGATGAAAAATCCTCAATAAAAACTGGCAAACAGAAGCCAGCAGCACATCAAAAAGCTTATCCACTGGGATGCAAGGCTGGTTCAACATACACAAATCAATAAACGTAATCCGGCATATAAATAGAACCAATGACAAAAACCACATGATTATCTCAATAGATGCAGAAAAGGCCTTTGACAAAATTCAACAATGCTTTATGCTAAAAACTCTCAATAAATTAGGTATTGATGGGACGTATCTCAAAATAATAAGAGCTATCTATGACAAACCCACAGTCAATATCATACTGAATGGGCAAAAACTGGAAGCATTCCCTTTGAAAACTGGCACAAGACAGGGATGCTCTCTCTCACCACTCCTATTCAACATAGTGTTGGAAGCTCTGGCCAGGGCAATCAGGCAGGAGAAGGAAATAAAGAGTATTCAAATAGGAAAAGAAGAAGTCAAATTGTCCCTGTTTGCAGATGACATGATTGTATGTCTGGAAAACCCCATCATGTCAGCCCAAAATCTCCTTAAGCTGATAGGCAACTTCAGCAAAGTCTCAGGATACAAAATCAATGTGCAAAAATCACAAGCATTCTTATACACCAATAACAGACAAACAGAGAGCCAAATCGTGAGTGAACTCCCATTCACAATTGCTTCAAAGAGAATAAAATACCTAGGAATCCAACTTACAAGGGACATGAAGGACCTCTTCAAGGAGAACTACAAACCACTGCTCAATGAAATAAAAGAGGATACAAACAAATGGAAGAACATTCCATGCTCATATATGTTTGTTTGACCTGTAAGGTCCATATGAATAAGAAGATAGTCGTAACTAGTCTAAGAGTTTTAAGTAAATGTGTGAGCAATCAAGAATAAAACAAAAACTCTAAAAACTGACTCTAAAGTATACTCTAATGGGATCTAATTGTTTAGATCTCATATATTGTGTATTTTTGAATGCCTTGTCTTGCCTCCATTAAAAAGGCAAACAGATAATAAAACTTCATTTAACAGAATTGAGGTTCACTAAGCTTTGTGAGATACTGTTGGTTTCTCTGGATATTTGCAAGGAAATTATTCTGAATCACAGACTTAAAATTTGCCAGAGGATTAATGGCTGAGTTTCTGAATGTACAGTGATCATTAGTGTACTTTTTTGAATTTGAGGTATTTCTTACTGAGTAGCGAATCACCATATATATTTATTGTCAGTATTGCTTTACATTTTACTTACAAAATTTGTTCCTTCACTTCTAACCAAGGAAACTATGACATAGAAACTTTGCAAATAGGTTTGGTTTTGAGGTCATATATATGGAAAGAACTATATTTAATTTTATAAGGTGTCACTATTTAAAATATTTTTTATTCTGACTACTAACAAGTGTGAACACGAGGTGTTCTATATATAAAACTTCTACTATCTATGAAGCTATTTAGGAGATATGAATACCACTAAGGATGTATGTTTTAAAAGACAAAACTTTCTTCTTCCTAGATATTTCTTAATTTAGAAAGCCCATACCAGAATTATCTTTAGAATAAACAAGAAGCAATAAATTTGGACTAAATTACATCAATTTCCTTTACTATAGAATTATGCCACAAAACTTTGATAATAACTTTTAATTTGAATCACATATTATAATTAATTAGTTGCTTGTCATAGATAAATGCATAAAACTAAAGCTGAATTAAATTACGTTTTCAGAGAATGTAGAGTAATGCTCTGTTGGCTTCTATTTTGTTGAGTGAAGCTATACAATAAGCTGGTCCTTATTTTTTAAAGTATAGGAAAAGATATTCAGAATGAAAATTTTAAGGATTTCTTACCTACCTTTCCCTTAAAATGAAACTGACAAATGGTAGGCAGTACTTGGCTATTGACTGGTGTACAAAAAAAGAAACATCTCAAAACATAAATGAATAAGTATACAATTTTTATTCTTTAGAAAGACATATAGAGCTATATTTCCCTTAGAAAAATATTAGATGTCACCACTAATTCACTTTTATTGTATCCCAAATTATCAGAAAGTCAAATGAGATATTTCAATCAAATACATGGCAATGACTGTATTTCACACAACCATGTTTACATTTTGAATTTGGTGAGTGAAATTCATGATTGTTTAGCTCCTATTACACATCATCCAAAATCTTCATCACAGTTCAGATCTGATAAAATATGATAATTGAGGATGCTAAGTTAGAAGTTAGATAATATCTATTCCTGAGTCTGATTCTGATCAAAGTGTGGTAGCAAAGCTTTGATATGCATCCTGAGTACAAAACACTGTCAAAATAAGTTTCTAAGGCAGATTAGATGTTGCTATGAACACCAATATAAAATCCATAATGCTTTAAAACATTATAACAGTACACTGTATATTGTTTTTCATTTCATGCTGCTTAAACACTGGACTCATTTTCTGAGTCAATCTTCTTTACTGTTTTATAAGCCTTTGGCAGATACTATTTTTCTCCATGCTACTTACAAGCTGAATTCCTTGCTTGCCTTTGAGAGTCTTTAATTTTTTCTTTGTTTTTCCTCAGATTTGTTTATTAAGAAAAATTATATTGAATAGATATATTTGAGCTTATGTGATAAAGTGTCTTACATATCTCGGTTATAAATAAGTCAACATATAGAATAATATATGGATATATATTAATCTATGTCTAGAGTAATAGGGTACATAATTAGGCATTTCTTCTATATAGCAATGGTCCCCCAACCTTTTTGACACCAGGGAACAGTTCTATGGAAGACAATTTTTCCACGGACCATGGGGGTTGTGGGAGATGGTTTTCGGATGACTCAAGTGCATTACATTTATTGTGCACTTTATTTCTATTATTATTACATTGTAATATATAATGAAATAATTATACAACTCACCATAATGTAGAATCAGTGGGAGCCCTGCGCTTGTTTTCCTGCAACTAGACGGTCCCATGTGGGGGTGACTGGAGACAGTGATAGATCATCAGGCATAAAGAGCATGCAGCCTAGATCCCTGGCATGCACAGTTCACAATAGAATTCATGCGCCTATGAGAATCTGATGTCACTGCTGCTCTGATGAAAGCTACAGCTCAGGTGCTAATGCAAGTGATGGGGAGTGGCCATAAATATAAATGAAGTTTTGCTTGCTTACCTGACACTCACCTCCCGCTGTGTGGCTCAGTTCCTAAGAGGCTATGGACTGGTATATTGTATATATTGTATATTGTATATAAGGATATACTTTTAAATATTTTGCCTAGTTCATCTTTCTCATCACACTCCCTAACAAAGTATACTTTAAATCTCTTACGCAAAATTCATCTTATCACTTTGTTCTTACCAAATTGATAATTATTTATGCATGTTAGTAATTCTAAATCTCAGCGATCCCTGTTGTTCCATAACAGTACCACTGCTGGAAACTTTAGCTTATAGTATTGGGTCAAAAGGAGAATGCTGGGTGCTTCAAAATAAAAGAGAAGTTTGCAGTGATTGTCATTTTATAGCCAAGATGAGACTTAAAGACTTCCTCAAAGTAGATACTCAATAAGCATACTTTATTTTTATTACTGCACTCACATTAGGTTTTATAATACTGTGATATTTACAATGTATATTTCCAAAAATAATTTTATGTGTTTTATTTCATATACTTCTGAGAATTTCTCTGAAATATAGAGGCAGATATTATTAGGTTGGTGCAAAGGTAATTGTGGTTTCTGCTTTTAAAGGTAATGGCAAATATTACATTTACTTTTGCACCAACCTAATACATATTCTTCTTAGATTTTCTTAGTCCCTTATTCATCCTCCTTTAGTATAGAGCCAAATCATAGCCATAGACATATCCTTATCACTTAATCACATGATCAGTTAGATTGTAATGAAAAACTCAAGTAAATAAATGTAATTGAGTACACTAACTCATAGAAAGAAATGTTTTGATTAAGGTCACACTATTTTTTAAGAACTAAAAAAGCCAGACGTTGATTCCAGAAGTACAGACACCAGCTTTCTCTCTCCTTTAGAATACATTTCTGAGAAAAGTTATTTATCTACCTGAAAAGAAAAAAAAAAAGATTCAGTGCCTGGCATCTAGATAAAAATATATATCTCGTGTCAAAATTCAAGCAAAGTAAAATAATGTGTTGTCAGCCTAAAAAGTCCAAAACAGAATGCTTTTGGTGCTGTTGTATTAACTCTTGCTGAATTAAGAGTACCTTACCAAAGCAATATCTACTTGTTCAGGGATTTCTTTTCAGTTGATCAGTCACCCCCAGACTGGTGGATCACACATTTGTCTTTAACTGTAAAACATCATAGGGCAGGGTTTCACTCTTTAGCAATTGAATCTCCGCAGCTGTATTTACATATCAATTATGGTCAGTCCTGCTGCTTCTCAGTACACATCCTGTGATTGTTAAATTGATTAGAAAGTTAAGACACTAAAGAAACACTCTTTACATTGCTTCTTGAAGACAAAGCTGTCACTGTGACATTAGGAGGATGTACTATCCTATAACTTGTCTATTTTCTTCTCAACCTTATTGTGACTTATTCACAGAAAATAAAGTTATTTATCCTTTTCTTGGTCGAATTCCACCCTTAACTATATTGGTTGAAACATGAAATTACATTTTTATGGGTAAAAAGGATGGTTCAGTCTAATATACTTGCCTAGTGCTTGTGGATGCCATACTAAGAACAATTTCATATGCATTATTCTGTAATAGTTACTAGTAGTGATTCTAATATTAGACTGCCTGGGTTCAAATTCCCCTGCTTACCCAATGTGTGACTGAACAAATTGCTATATAGATGTCTGTGTATCTGTTCCTTCAATTTTAAAATGAGAAAAATAATGGCTCTTACTTCATTGGATTATTTTAGAAATCAAATGAGTTAACATTTTGTAAAGTGCTTGGAACAGTGTCTGGACTAAAAGTATTTGTTAAATTTAAAATATATGTTTGTGTGTCTATTACATATAAATATATACATATATAGTTACATATACTTATATATTGTATATACTATATATAATATATAATTATACCATATTATATAATTACCTATAAAATTACAGTATAAAATAACATACATATACTTTACTTCTGGAAGTATTACAGTATATATTTCAAAAAACTATCATGCATTTCATTGTATACACTTTTAAAAATTTCTCTGACATATAGAGGCAAATATTTTATAGATATAAAAATTTATTGTTTGACTAGGAATTATTGATCTACTCACTCATCAAATTTATATTATAACTTTACATTCTGGGTGCTATGTTTCCTGAAATGTTTTCACAGACTGGTGGAATAGTTAAGACATAGTTTTTTTAAAAAAATTACAATAATTTGATGAAGAATATGGGGGGAAAAGCACTGACAAAAAGTGTTCAGGGTGGCAATTCAGAAAAGAAGTGGATGTTTTGTTTGTTTTTACAATAACAAGCACTGAAATTCACAAACTTCAAATTATCACACAATTGTGAGAATATCTATATTTAGCACAGTCTAAATGGTTATCAAAGTAATGTGAAAATTTAAGAAAAATTGGACTTCCTAGTAAAGGCTATCTTTGTAAAGCATATCTCTATATGAGAGTTGGGTCAAATATTTGGAGAAATAATCTGGTGACATTCGAATTGTACTACTACAGTCCTGGTTTTCTATTCTGCTTTCTGAAAAGAAAATAATAAATTTACGATCTACTGGGAAAAAAAAAAAAGAAGAAGGAAGAGAGCTCCACAGCAGCAGCTTATGACATTGTTTAAAAGCAGGGTTTCTGGAGCTTGACTCCCAGGGTTCAAGAGCTAGTTTTGCCACTCTCAAGCTGTGTGAGTTTAAGCAAGGAACTTTATTTCTCTGTGTACTCATTTGTCCAAATGTTGAATGATAATAATAATAATGGGGTTCTTTTTCTTTGTAAAACATTTAGTTCAGTGCTAGATATAAAAGAGGCACTCAATAAATAAGTAAACCACATAGCTTAGTGACTAAGAGCATAGCTTCTGGAAAAAGACTGGATTTGAATCTGCCTTCCAGAATTACAAGACATGAAACTTTACAAAAGTTACTCAAATACCCATAACTGTCAATCAAAAGCAGATTTTTTAAAATCTACAAACATTGTGGGAAGGATAAAATAAAAATTTGTTTTTAATTTTCCTGAAAAGGATAAATAGCTCATTCACTAATAACATCAGAATAACTCCATACTTTGTAGCTTAAAACAATAATAGGAAAGCTTCTGGAAGGTTATGTGGGCCTGGAAATATTTCTGAAACCATTTTTTGAAAACTACATTATCTACTCTATGGTCATAGCAATTCATTTTCTCCTCATATGCAAAATAGAATCACCTGTTCTCCTAAAGATTTGCCTCATAATGCATCAGTTTCAGGATGGAGGTTTACGATCTCATTGCCTAAATTAAATCCAACTACAGAGGAAGTTTCTATCCTGTATTTCTCTAGTACTGTCTCTAGAGAATAGTTCCTATTGATCTGATGACCTATAAGCTAAATAGGCAAGTTAGCTTCCCCTCACAACCTCAATATATTATGGTTAGACATGCAATATAGATCATTTCATTTGAAAGGGAGAGAAATCTTAGACACCCAGAAATCACTCTTCACAGAAATTCTAAAGTACAGCTGGGCACATGTTACAAAGAGTGAGTCTCCATAGCTACTGGAGATTCAGTGGCAGCTCTTGGTTTTGTCTCGTGAGATTTTGCTTAGAGCCTCTTTTAAGTCATTATTCCTTTGCCATACAATGTTGGTATTTGTAGCCAAACAGTTCTCTTTTTAGCTGGTTTCCTATCCACAAAAGTTTAAAGCTACAAAGACCTATTTTCATTGTATCTTTTCCTCCAAGCTGGCAAGGTTTCAACCAATATCATTCTCCTCAAAAAATCTATGAATTGCTTATAAATGTTATCGTAGTTTGCCCCATTAGATAAAATCCACACTCACAAGTCTCCTTGAAATAAGTCTTCCTGTATCTTAGGTTTTCTAAAAGAGTACTTCAGGGCAATGTTCTTAATAGTCTTAGAAGCCTAATTTTTTTTTTAAGAAAATATATACGAGATACTTAAAGGAATTTTTGTTTAATCTGGGTACCTCAAATCTCTGGACTCTTAACCAAGTGTTGTGCAGTTGCACCCTTGTCTTCATCTATACATCATGTTTTCATGGCAATACCCTGATGCTGTCTTTGCCCAGAAGCCATTTATTAAATTTAGTATTGTTTCCATCTGAAGAGGATGGGAATTGGGAGCAAGTTCATTTTCAAACCCAATAAGTACTTGGTTCTTTGTATTTACTAGTTCTTTCTTCAGTATATCATTCTCCTCAGGCATTTTATGATAGGTAGTGAGAACCCAGGAATCAACTTCATCCTTCTGCCTGGAAATCTCCTTAGCTAGGTCATCAGTTTATCAGTTATAATTTCGATATTCCACATCACTACAGGCAACTCTTCTAAAACTTTCTGCCACTACAAAACAAATTTTCCCTATCCTCGAGCTTCCAATAACCTCTTTTTCACTTCCCATTAAGTTATCAACAGCCAACTCAAGTGAATCAGACTTTTTACTTTTTGTACTTTCGGCTTCTTCCTGCCCCGCAGTCCTAGATCCACGGGACTAAATTTGAGTTTTCCTTAAATTAATATCTCATCTTACTTCTGATTAAAAACCTGTAGATATATACATAGATAAATACATAGATATGTATATATAGATATCTATCTATATACAGTTTACCTATTGCTACTCTGTTAACCATCACTTTTTTATTTCCTGCATCGTGGTGCTTTGGTACCTAGAGCCTTGCTGACTCTGGACGGTCTGCCCTTCCCAGGGGCAATTCCTAGAGATAGCAAATAGTTCATGCTCAAGCAGGCCTTTCAAATGCAAATCAGAACCCACACCCCCAACTAAGTCCTCTGTCAGGCCCCCCCATTCAGGGTCACTATTCCTGTTCCCTAATCACTCCAGAGCCAGGTACTAGACAACTTGGTATAGCCTTTCTGCCCCAGAAGCAGCTGAAATTATTCAAACTAGGCAATCCTAAACCTAGTTATCCTGCCTGCCATACCCACTTCTCCCCACAGACCCACAATAAGGGATCTTGTCCATGTTTTCCCCACTCCCTGACTGACCCTAGTGCTTCCCATGTGGCCTCTTGTGGCCTCTCCTCTTGGGATCTGAGAGTATAAAGAACCATATTTTCAATGGCAGTTGCCTTTTGATCTGTTAGCCTAGCCATACCTAAATAGTAATAAAACACATATATTTTAAAACAGTATATAACAAACCACACCAAAAGTAGTAGCTTAAAGCAACCCATTAACATGTTTCACAAAACTGAGTTTGGTAGGGCTCAACTGAACAGATAATTTCTGCTTCATTCATTACCATCTGGGGTGGCTGGAAGGATGAGAGTTGGAATCTTTTAGTCTCATTCACTGAAGTCAGCTGCAGCTGATGCTGGCTGTCAGCTGGGACCTTAGGTAGGAGCTTTTGAATGAAACACTGCATATGCCCTCTCTTTGTAGACTGGACTTTCTCAATAATGTGGTAGGTGGATTTCATCATCAAACATCCCAAGACAGAAAAGTAGGTACAAGCCACATCTCATTTATGACCTAGACTCAGAATTCACAGTACATCATTTCTGCCACATTACGTTCATTACAGCAATTACACTGTCCTATTCATTTTCTTGGGAAGGAAAGGTAGCCACCACATTTTGATGGGGAAATGGTAAGATTGTGGAAGAGCAGTATGTTGTCAGAAATAGTGAGGAAGACATTTTTGAGAAATACAATCACCCACATGAGCCATAATTGAAGAAAAAAAAAAAAAAAACTAAGGCATATTTTCTATGTCTTCCTATTCTGGTAATTCTACAAAATAAACCAAGCAGAATGTTTGATATTCATTGTCGAAAGTATTAATATTCCTAAAAATCAGTTATCTGGAACTTTGTTAAAATTTGAGTTAAAGCAAATTATTCTTGTTCATGAGGCATTCCTCTCATAATCCTCTCATATACTTATGTGTTTCAATTCCGGATGTTGTAACCCACAACTTTTTTCCTGTCCAAATATGTAGGCCAGGTGTGGTGGCTCATGCCTGTACTCCCAGCACTTTGGGAGGGTAAGGCAGGAGGATTGCTTGAGTCCAGGACTTTAAAATGAGCCTAGGAGGCATAGCAAGACCTCGTCTCAACCAAAAATGACGATAATAAAAAAAAAACAGCAGGACGTGGTGGCATGCATCTTTATTCTCAGCTACTTTGGTGACTGAGGCTGGAGGATCACCTGAGCCTGGGAGGTCGAGGCTGCAGTGAGCCATGATTGTGCTACCGGACTCCAGGCTGGGAAGAGAGCAAGCAAGACCCCATCTCAAAAAAAAAACAAAAAGTTATCCTATTTAAAAAAAAAATTCCTTATAAAGTTTTTACCTCAAATGCCATCCATTTAATTCAACATTTAAGAGTAAACAGTAAACTTCTTTTCTCATAATTTGGTACCTAGGATTACACAGCCAATAACAGATTTTTCTCAATTTGCATTTATTTTTCCAAAGGTTGAGATTTGCAGAAGTGTGATTTCAATAGCGGTTTGATATTATATATATAAAATTGAATTTAAATTAATTTTTCATTGTGAACTTAGAAATTGTATTTTCTCTTGAAATAATCAGAGATCCTCTGGGGGTGTTGGAACAGCAATCAATTAATCAGTCATGGTATTGTGTCATAATAAAGTTTTCATTAGTATCTATCTCTTCCTATCTTAAGTGGTTGCTGGTGGTGTCATCGGAATTATCTAGATTGTGAGATTTTTATTTTTTCATATATTCAACAAGAAATATCAGGGGGAAAGCAGTGGTCTGATTAGGCAAAAGATACTTTTTCTTTGAGTTCTATGTTTAAATTGCTTTTGATAAAGCAATTAGAAATATCTATTTAATTCCAACTTTATAAGTACATAAATAAATTCTTTTTAAATTTATTATTTATCTACTCAAGTTTGAAAAGATAGTGATGCAATACATAAATACTGAATTCTTATTTTAATGGAATAAAAACATTTTAAAATTGTTAAATTATTATAAGAACTCCAATTTAAGACTACAAACAATTTCTTTAATAGGTTGAAATTGGTCATTGTTGACTTGTTATTGGAATTTCCTAATGGTATACAAGGAGTTAAATTGCTGTCATTTTTAGGTACACACTGAAGAAGAAAAATGCTTTTTAAAACACAGAAATTGGCTGGGCACGGTGACTCACACCTGTAAATCTAACACTTTGGGAGGCCAATGCAGGAGGATCACTTGAGCCCAGGAGTTTGAAACCAGCCTGGGCAACATGGGGAAAGCCTATAACTACAAAAATTAGCCAGGTATGGTAGTGCCTGCCTATGGTCCCAGCTACTCTGGAGGCTATGGTGGGAGAAGCAGCTGAGCCTGGGGAGGTTGAAGTGGCAGTGAGCTATGATGACACCACTGCACTCCAGCCTGGACGACAGAGTGAGACCCTGTCTAAAAAAACAAAACGAAAAAACACCCAAACAAACAAAAACACTTCTTTAATTTATTACAGAATGATAATATAGCGGAATACTGAATACTGCACTTTTCACCTGTGAAGAGTAAACTGAAGCAGAGCCAATGGTATAGTACAAGTAACGTTCAAGAACTTAATGAATGTGAGCTCCATAGAAAATGATGAGTGCAAATCATGATAACTGTACAGGAATGTTAACGTACCATGTCAACAGGAGGACATTTGTTCCTTTTATGCAGAATAAGCTTTGTTTTGAGCAATTTGGGGAAGAGCAACTGATAAATCACCATGTATTCAGTCAGGTCTTTGAGCCAAAAATTTACATTTTTGTTTCAGCTATGATCAAATGTAGCCAATGCATTTAAAAGAAAAAAATCTCATTTTGGATACCTGATGAATAGTTTACTTATCATTTCTGAGATTCTGGAATGACAATTTATCTATATTTTGAAACACAAAGTATTGAAACATTATTCAGTATAATAATTTCAAAATATTACCTTACCATTTTCTAGAAACCCTCCATTTTCTTGGGTTTGTTGAAAATGCACTTCACCATTACTGGATCTGTGCTAGCAAGGACCTATCCTCATTCTTGATGTCCTTCCTATTTTACACTGACTCTCTCTTAGCTCACTTATTTTTCGGATCCTTGTTTTATGTTGTCATAAATGAGAGAGCATTTAGGTAGGTACAAACAAACAACACTTCATCAGAAATTGCCTTTCAGGTAAACGACAGAGAAAATTCAAAGGTGTTAAATTTAGCAAAAGACTCACACTAAATCCAACTGGCCTAAGTGTCATGATTATGCCAAACCAAATACTCTTTTATTTTTTTTAGAGATGGGATCTGACTATGTCGCTCAGGCTGACATGTAATGGTATGATCATAGCTCACTACAGCCTTAAACTCCTGGGCTCAAGCGGACCTCCTGCCTCAGCTTTCTGAGTAGTTGAGACCACAGACATGTGCCGTCATGCCTTGCTGATTTTGTTAATATATATATTTTTTGGAGAGATGGTCTTGCTTTGTTGCCTAGTCTGGTCTCAAACCCCTGGTTTCAAGTGATCCTGCCACCTCCGCTTCCCAAAGTCCAAAAATTACAGGCATGAGCCACTGCACCCAACGCCAAATACCCTTCAGATCCCAAGTTAACATCAATATAGAAGTTAAACTGCTTCATGTTATAGACTCACAGAATAACTAATTTTCGATATAAACAAGAAATTGTTTGCTAAGTTCTTTATAAAGAGTCTACAAAGAACTAAAAGCACAAATATACAACTGAAAACATTCAACTCAAATGTAATCATATCACTAACCTTCAGCTGTGAGAACTGGAAAGGAATCAAAATCTGAGCAAGAGACTGAAAGGCTTTGAAAACAAGTGCAATGGAAGATACTCTACTGGAATGAAACCAATTGTATTCCAACAGATAAACTAAAGAAATAACCATTGAGAACTATGTCTCTACCAGAACTAGCAACAAGCACAAACTTATTTAAGCCAACTATTCCAGATGTCCACCCACGGGCACAGAGCCGCAGAATCAGATGGTATGACCTGTGTGCCAAAGAAAAACCTTACAAAGCACCATGAACAGAAAAAAAGGGCAGTTGATCTTAATGCCACATAACAGATGGCAATAGAATGTAGAAACAATTTTTTTTTACACATTGTGCCAAGGTTGGAGAGAAAAGGAGGCAATAAGCATTCTCATTTGTGGTAAAAAAGTATATTGCCGCCATGTCAAAACTAGGATGTTCTATAGTCCTTTTCAAAATGGTGTGAAACACTGAAAAGTTTATCTTTATTTCACATCAGAGCATACATTTTAGTTGAGTGATATTATACATATGGAGACCACTTCTCTTTGCCTATAACCAATGCATGTAGAGAGCTTGATACTGCTCACAAAACATTTCTTAAATGTAACAAGCGACCAAATGAGAGAAAAATATGTATGAATTTTACTCTAGTCAAAGGATAGATGGTGGGATTTTTGCTTCAACACTTTGCTTCTCTACTTTATAATTTTTATCATTTTCTTAGCATCCATTGTATACAGAATGAGATTTATCGTATACTGCAGGTGGACAATGCCTTAATACAGGTGCAAATGGTATAAGACTACATGGATCAGTTTAATACTATGACAACATCTTGGTGTAATTTAGTAATATGGATTGACAGGAACATATAGTTTATTCTTAGCAATCCATATGTGAAGTGTCTGTGGAAACATTTCACAATGCCCATTAGTATTTTTGGCTCTCTGGACACTACCTGCCTATCATTGGTTTGCATGTATTCGGGGAAGGCAAATTAATGATGATATTACTCGAAGTAAAATCTAAGTAGAAAAATATGCACAGATCAACTAAACAAGAAAGTGACACATACCAAAACAAAAGAGCAAAGTTTTTTGATTTATCGGTTGCTTTATGTGCCATTGTCTTCTGATGAGTTTTCCAATTAATGTGCAATATGACACACTAATTAGAAAATAGCACATAGTACTATTTTAGATGCTTCTTATGTTTCATACATGTTGCACAAATTATCTTTAAAGTTCATAAGTATTTCTACCTAAAAGAGTAAACTAATGAATACAGAGGCTACATAAATTGACCAAAACAGCACAACCAATAAGCCACATTACTGAAATTTAATATTATCCATCTATCTTATTAATCTAAGGAAAATTCAGGAAGAAGTAAGGAATCCTTTAGGTACCTAAGTCTGAAATAATGAATAGGAGTTGTTGTGTTAATTTTATCAGTGGCAGCATGTTGTTGGAAATCATTAAGACATCCAGTGGGGATCATTAAAAATTCTCCCCAAATATTTTACTAGGCATCAATAACAACGATATACATGGCTTTAAGTTTTGTCCTTGAAGACCTAATTAGGCTAGATGGTAGATTCCAACAGACTGCATTTCTAAGCTAAAAGGCCACCAACACTTTTATTATCAAACATATCTCTTAGGCAAAATAAACTAATAGTGGTGTTCAAGCAATTATGCTATAGAAACACTCTTTGTGTAAAGAAATGGCTTATGAATGACATCATGCTATAATATTTGGTTTTCAAATATGTCTTTATTTCATATTTTACCATCTTAAGTAGGTTTGCAAATTCAAATGCCCTCAGCAACCAGACAAATAGTGTAAATATGTGAAGGGACTGGCATTTTATAGTAGGAATTGGTGGTTACCTAAATAATACAGCCTAAATAATACAACTCAAGGTATTTTTAAATTATTATTATCAATACTGAGTATTAATTATAATATGATACATCTATGATACAGATTACACATTCCATAGATATTAACCTCATTTTATTGATATAATAATTGGTAACTTGACCATGAATTTATCCACTCATTCATCAAATTTATATTGAAGCTTTACCTCCTCGATACCATGGTTCCTAAAACCCAACCTGAAAGTTGATTATTCTTTACATGAAACCACAACACATAATTTAAAAATCTGGATATCTTATGGAAACTTCATTAATTACCATTTGAGATTTAAGATGTTTTCTTCTTACTGTTATATATATACCCCCATATTTGATACGATGCTATGAACATCATAAGAGTCCTGATATGCTTAGTAATTATTTTAAACATTTAATTGATCATCTACTACAATGTCATGCTGAGGATTAATATCAAGCTTGAATCAATTCCTGCAATTTACTTAAAATAAGATGAAAATGGTACACTGTAGACTGTAAAATGAAATTTGTTAAAATAATTCAATGTCAATAACTCCCTTATGGCATCAAGCAGGGTACATCATTGGCAAATAGTAGACCATCTTTGAATGCTGAGAAAAGAGAAAATGTAATAACTGTTCTCATCCTACCAGGTGCTATTTCACTAAGTGCCATAACTTATAAAAAATTCTGTTCAGAATAGGCAATATAAGGTGAGGAGGATGTGATCTCCCTGTTGATAGTTCTAACCAGTAATTTAAGCCTGCTTCATTCTGTACCACCTGTAGACTCCATGTGGGCCTAGAGAATAGAAAGCAGAATCAGACCCTTAAGCCTGGATGAGTCAATGCTACTCCATGCTCTGTTATAATTTACTGTAGTTACAAACGTTATAAAGAAAACTGGTATGAAAATTCATCTTTTAAACAAAATCCAAACCATACTTTAGAAGCATTCATGCAATTTCCATCTTGTTAATGTCTAATTTCTATGTTTTTACATATTTTCCTGTTATTTTTATATTTTTTATTAACTAATATTTGTTTTTCTTTCCTTCTCCATTCCTTTGTTTTCCCTGTAGAGAACCATCCCCCAGTTGGATGTCAGTCAGTGTAATCAACTTTGTTCATTTTATTATTTCTTTTTCCAATTGCTAGTATCCAAATCAGCTATTTAATAAAGGAAAATAAGGCATTTGGGAAGTTTGCTTGCCCCCCACTTTGGTGTCCCCCACCCTAATAGTTTTCAAGAAGTACCAGGTTTAAAAATGGAATGCTCTCATCTGCTCCTTCATTGTTTCTTTTTTTTTTTTTTTTTTTTTTTTTTTTTTTTTGAGACAGTCTCACTCTTGTCGCCCAGGCTGGAGTGACGTGGCGCGATCTCGGCTCACTGCAACCTCCGCTTCCTGTGTTCAAAGGATTCTCCTGCCCCACCCTCCTGAGTAGCTGGGACTACAGGCACCCGCCACCACGCCCGGCTAATTTTTTTTTGTATTTTTAGTAGAGACGGGATTTCACCATATTAGACAGACTGGTCTCAAAACTCCTGATATTGTGATCCACCGGCCTCGGCCTCCCAGAGTCCATTGTTTTTTATAAGAATAATAGATTCTGTGCTAAAACCCTGCACTTGTGATTCCTCATCTGTACCATAATGGAACAGCTCACAACTACAGAATTTTGCTTGGGAATCTGTGGGAAACAACTGCTCCCACTTGAGCTATTCAGAGCTGACTGCAACGATCAGTCAGCTTATGGGACTTCAGAAGTTGCAGTAATGAAAGTTCATTCCACAACAACTTGGAAAGTGAAAATATTATGGAGATGGCTTTGCTCCCCCTCCTTTCGAGTCCCTTGTGAATTTTTGGTCAAACACCCATTCCTGTCTAAAACATTCCTCCTACAGACCAATCACCTGGATAATTGCATTTCCACTAAGAAAGATGCAAGGGAGAAAACAACCAAAAATAACACACAGTGACTCACAGTCATTTGAAAAAATGTTTCTGATTAGGTTTCATATTCAGCACACATATTTCTAAAGGCCCTGGATCTTGAGTTAAATCACATTGAGCAAGCATGTTGTTTCTTTATGGTCTTTAGTAGTTATTTTGTGTGTGTGGGGTGTGTGTGTGTGTGTGTGTGTGTGTGGTGGGGTTGTGTTTGTGTGTTACCAAGGCATTGAGTATTATAAATTCCAGCAGATAGACTGAAAAAGACAAAAAATGCAACTTTTTTACCCTTTAGGCCTCAGCTAGATAGCTAGGAGAATTTATCTCTCCTGCCCTGAGGAGGCATAAATAACGACAGGACTGATATGGGGAAAGCAGACAAGCCACTCCCCCCATACGAGGAATTCCTTTCCAACAAGGTCTTCTTAGTGCATTTTTTTTTTTTGTAGTCCAGGTGCAAGCTATTACCTTGTTTGTGACAACAAAGCATGTGATCTCAGCCTGCGTATTTACAAATGAGTACAGGTGGCATTACAAAATAGACTTTGGAATAGACATTAGAAAGCAGAAAAACAGCAGTGTGTCACAGAGAGTTTTTTCAAAATTGTTTTACTACAGTTACAATCTTTTCTCATTCAAAGACCAAACTTTCTGGCTAAAACCATTATTACTATTATTATTATTGTCAATATTATTGCTACATATTATTGTTACTTATCATCACAAAAGGGCTCACCAAAGCCACCATCAGTTACTTACATTATATTTACACATACCAAAAAAGAGTTGCAAGAAATAAAATCTGAAGCTTAGGCAGCAGTGATTAGCCCTTTTTCAAGGTTATTAATTTTGAATAATGCTTTGTTTCCATGGAAATGATTTAGTGATATTAATACAAAGAGAAATAAAAATGAGAAAAATGATTTGAAATGAAGATGAATTAGTGATTCCAATCTCTATATGTGTCTTTTTACCTCTTATTCTTTAGGTAAACCACATATACATGTCACACACAACATAAATGTTACTCATAACGTAATATCACATAAAACAAATAGCCTAGCACTGTCCATAGCATTTAATTGTTGCACCACGGACTATTAGTTTCTGTGAATTCATTTCTTTTTACCCTGAAAGAGCATTATTCACAAATATTCAACTTTACTTTTTTTTTTTTTTTGAGATGGAATCTCACTCTTGTCACCCAGGCTGGAGTGCAGTGGCACGATCTTGGCTTACTGCAACCTCCACCTTCCAGGTTCAAGCAATTCTCCTGCCTCACCCTCCCAAGTAGCTGGGATTACAGGCACCCACCACCACGCCTGGCTAATTTTTGTATTTTTAGTAGAGACTGGGTTTCACCATGTTGGCCAGGCTGGTCTTGAACTCCTGACCTCTGGTAATCCACCCTCTTTGGCCTCCCAAAATGCTGGGATTACAGGCATGAGCCACCATGCCCAGCCAAATGTTCTTTTTTTTTAAAGATTGAGAATGGTGAGTAAAAAAAGAGATGAGAATATGCCTTTATGACTCAGAGCACTGAATGAAGAGCAGAATGTAATTATGTAACTTTGACCTTTAAATTCTCTTAAATCTCTTTAGTGTATTTTATAAAACAGTTGTCTTTTTTAAAGTACAAGTTACTAATTGGAATAGTTTTGGATAATATAGAAAGTGAAACTATATTTTTCGGAATTAAATACTATATTTACTATTCTATGCTAGAACACTTGTTCCTTGAATGTCTAAATCAGCAGCTACTAGTAAAGATTGTCACTTGTAATAGTTTATAAAACTGTTTAAAGAGTAAGTAACAAGATAAATTAGCCCTGGACTTTAAAACTTTGTTCAAATTGTGTTTAACTTCCAGCTAAGAGAATTTTAATTATTTGTGGAGATATTCTATTGCTCCAAGACTATAATGCAATATTTCTTTCCAAGATACCTTACCTTAAAAAGAAAAGAAAAAACTTTGTGCAACATTTACAAAAATTGCGTTTTGCTTCAAACATAAAAGTTGATGCCATAGAACTCTTGCCAATAATATCTTAAATAAGAAATAATATTTAGTGCCTTGTACCAAAACTCATTAAACATAAATTTCCAAATACTGTTATATCAAGTAATGGCTTTGTCTGTGTTTGACCTACCCTATAATATAACTAAGGAAAAAAGTAATAAGTGTCTTTTAGATGCTCAGGATGTTTTTAATTGGGATGAAAGGAAATCTCTCAAAACTCAAACCCATTCAAACTTTTGAATATCTGCTATATAACTCGAAAGAGGTAATGATATGCATTTACATATCTTTCTTAAAATTTTTAAATATAACTAAGAGGTATATGACTCACAACATCCATAAAAGTTAAACCCAAATCGGAAGGTAAGTTGTCTTAGCAAACTTGGTAATTAGAATGATTTTTTTTTCCTTGACGCTACTTTTACTTGAATACATGGAACAGATGTGACATTATAAATTATCTATCCCAAATAGATCTGATGACTAAGACATTGCGTAAAAAGCTAAAATTAGAGACTATTTCAAATATATTTAAAATTTAGAAAAATCCCAATTCATTAAACTATAATTATGTAGCTCATCTATCAATAAATGCAATAAATCTCATTTATATCTTCTATAAAGGAAAAGGTCATGCCTCCTACTTAGATTTGTTCTGTTTCTACATTACATAAATGCATGTGCACATTCCTATGCACACACAGAACTGCCGCCACATTTCACCATCGTCAATTTGCTTCTACCACCATCATTTTGAAAGACATTTTAAAGGAATATTACTTTAATAAAATTTCAACAGGAAAACTATAGGCAGAATATATCCATATTGTCTGTCACTAGTCAAGGATACTGCAGACAAAAGCCAACAGTAGAATTACATAAATTTTAGAAAAGTTTAGCAAAATAATAGCAAAAACGTTTTAAAGGATAAAATAATACTAACTTTAGCATGTCTCACAAGGAAGTAACTTTGTTTTATTAACTGAATAGTCATGGTAATATTATCATCATTCAAGAACTACATGAATCATAAGATATATTGGTTATAATAAAAAGAAATCAACTCCTTACTTATAATTTAGCTTGTTTGGAATAAGTATTTGCTATGAAAACTGTATCTTTCAAATATTTAGGAAGCTAAAATACTTTTTACCTGAAAATTTTCTATCTTCTGCTGTAGACTATTGTTGCAATAATATTAATAAAATTAAAACAGTTCCAGTTAAAATCACTGGCTGGTTGTGAGAATTTATTAGGTGGCCTTATTTTGACATATCACAGTTCATCTCCTCTTTTAGTATCTTTCCTTATTAATTCAAATTTCACTTCCTCAGAAATAGAAAGCTTTTTCCTATTATGCAGAATGTGAAATGGAATTAGTAGTTTTAAAGAAGACTACAGTAGAGAATTTTTAGTATCTCACTGAATAAAGTAAATAAACCACAGTAATAGGCTGACATATGTTTGCATTGTTAAAAAAAAGAAACAGTTGACATAGAATGTTTAATTCTTCTTAATTAATGAATAAAAGTAGGAGAGTACATTTAAAAATAAATATTCTTTGATCTCAGAAACTGGAAATATAAAACAATGGCTGTGGGTTTTTTTCCAGAACTGTTTAATAGCACATGTTGTGCTCTCAGTTTCAATGTGGGTTAGTGTACTTTGTCTCTGTGATGTAAGAAAAACCCCTTCCTGAAGTGAGAATATGGTGACAGATTCCGGAGGAAAGCAAAGCTTTGGCTGTATTAAATTCAATCCAAAGAAGAAAGTGAACTAAAAATCTATTTGCCACATTCTACATTTATCCATCTAGCTGTGCAAAGAAAACATATTTCAATGTAGAAATCCTATCTAAATTCATATAATGATCTACATAGATATCATGTTGTAAATGAGTAGATTAGCTCTACCAGTTAGCTTCTGCTGCAAAAAAACCACCCCAAATCAGTGACTTAAAACAACAACCTTTAGCCCACAATTCTGTGGGTTAGCTGAGCTGAGCTGAGCTCAGCTAGGCTGTTCTCCTGATCCCAATTGGACTTACTCACATGTCTGCAGGCAATAATGCAGCTGTGCTTGTATTGGCTCACTGTTGGCTGGAGAGACAAGATAAACTGGGCCATATGTATCTCACCTTCCAGCAGGTTAGCTCAACCTTGTTCATGTGCTAGCTGGACAGGTTTCCCTGGAGGCTCTTGTATGTAAGATCTTTTGAGGCCTATGCTTGGAACTGGTGCAATATTGCTTCTGCCACATTCTCTCTTCCAAAGAAAGTTACAAGGCCAGCTCAGATTCAAAGAGTAGAGAAATAGACTCCATCATATGGTGAGAAGAGCTGCAATGTCACATCGCATTGTTTATGGATACAAGCACAAAATATTATGTGACCATTTTTTTGTAGACTACTATGGTAGATTACATATATTAACCATTTTATAAAGACTTGCTATTTAAATGGATGAGTTAATAACCACATGAATAAGTGAATAATTGGATGATGAAGAGGAGAAGTAATATAACTCTCCTCAGTAAAGTAATATCTTCATTAACTGGTCATGGTCCAGGTCAAAAATATTGATAATATTTTGTGACTACTGTTTATTCATACCAATAGGCTGTTTTGACTAAATTGAGTATTTGTTTCAGTTTTCTAATCTTTTTATTTATATGCCACTCTCTGAGTTTTCGTTTCCTGAATTGTTAATATAGTTCAGTTATTACTAAAGAATATTTTTTAAACTCATTTTTGAATAAAAGTTTCAAATTTCTTTTGTAGTTATTTATCTCATTAAATTATTTATGCCCATTATATAGTCATTTATTATTCTCATTTTGTCAAACTGGAAAACTAAAATTTATAAGGAAATAATAAAGTATTACTTATATGTATATAATACAAATAAAACTGATATCAAAGGTAAGTTTAAATTTAAAACCTTAACTTTTAGGCAAGCTTTCACTATATTTTTAATGTCTAATTTTCCTTCTACCTCAAAGTAAGAATAATTATTTGAATAGGTCTTTTTCATCCAAATTGCATCTTCATTTCTCCTGGTGTACTTTTATAAAATGAAGAGCACTCTGATAATGAGCTTTAAAAAAAACTGGAAATCATCCATAACTAAATGTCTGCCCACATGCAATACATCTCAAAGTATGGGCACAGATCTGTAAGAGCAGCAACAATGCAAAGATAATTCAATGTCTAAGTAATTATCATGCGAGCTTCTGAAATTTTAGAATATATATGACGACATTTACTATAGATGGTAAAAAGTTGCTCAAATGCTTATGTGAAATGCATTAATTTAGAATGCATGCAGTATATAAATTTGATTCGGGCTGGCATTCTACCTTGGTAGGTCCATATGTTAAATTAAGTTCAACCTCATAATTGTCCCTGCAGTTAGGATATCAGTACAAAAAAAGATCAATGCTAGGTTACTGTTTGAGCACAGACAAGGTGCAGGGTTTTATGGTCCCTTAGCTTGCTTCACTATGTGACACTATTAAAATTTTCATAGAGCATAGCATTATACAGAGCTCAATTTGAAAAAGGGTAATGCCCCTTTGAGAGAGTTAGCTCATTTTGTTTTTATTGGTTGTAATGTGTGTGGTGCCAAGCCTCTAGTTTTATCTTCACTGCTTTAAAGAGAAAAACTTGTCTAAGAAGACAAACAAATTAAAATGCAACTACATCTGCTAATTTCCTTTGTTCTTTGTTTATGAAAAAATTTAGCTTTGTGGGAAATTTTTTTTGTTTGTTTTATTTTATTGTAAGGTGCATCCCAGCTATCTCCTGTGTCCTGGAGTTGGAAGGAAAACAAAATTTGGGATTAGAAGTTCTCTTAAAACATCTCTGAAAGAAGAAATAGTCTATCTGAACGTAACTCAAATTAGGTATAAGAAGATTATTTATAATAGCTCTCAAGAGATACTATATATTATATGTATACTACATCATCTATAATATATCATCTGTAACACACACTGTATACTACTACTGTATATTATAGTCTACTAATATTCAGAGGCCCTCTCTGGCTATACATTGGCAATACTGTATGTGAGTGTATGGATGTTGCCATCTGTACATACAAATCACAGTTTGTATACAGCATGTGCTTATTTCTCTGGTCCTCGTCTATGGTTAAAGACTCAAGACTTCTTTATTAAAAATGGATCTTGGGCAGTCGCGGTGGCTCACGCCTGTAATCCCAGGACTTTGGGAGGCCAAGGTGGGTGGATCACCTGGGGTCAGAAGCGAGACCAGTCTGACCAATATGGTGAAACCCTGTCTCTACTAAAAATACAAAAATTATCCAGGCATGGTGGTGCGCACCTGTAGTCCCAGCTACTTGGGAAGCTGAGACAGGAGAATTGCTTGAACCCGGGAGGCGGAGGTAGCAGTGAGCCAAGATCGTGCCACTGCACTTCAGCCTGGGTGACAGAGTGAGACTCCATCTCAAAAAAAAAAAAGTGTGTGTAGGGGGTGTCTTTTCACTCTAATTTAAGTTGTAATATATTTCATTTACAAAATACGCACAATTATGTGTCTTACATATTGTACTCCTTGATGACCTCATTACAGAAGTTGGTGATTTTACATAAGAAAATGGTCCTTTTAATTAAACAGAACTACCTGAAAATACCTATACGGGAAAGTTAGCCTGTGAGTAATCAATGTATACATGATCTTTATTTTTTCAAAAAACTTGGAAAAATGGTAATAGTATTTTTACATAAGAGATTTCTTACACTCAGAAATGTGATTTCCTAAATCATCCAGGAATACATAGAGAAAAATCAAAATTTCCTCTATCTTCATCAAACAAACTCTTCAGACTCACTGCAGCAATTTGAAAGATTGCCTTATCAATGTCACCCAAGCTATACTTTTGGACCAGGCTCAGACTGATTTCATAGCAACATTACTTCACATATTATACCAACTTTACAAATTTGTAATGACAAAAGAGAGTGAATGAAAGTCACGATATGTATTATTTTAGTTTCTATAAATTATGATAACCTATATTTTAAGTATTTATTTTCTCAAGTAGAAATTTTTTTTAAAAAATTTAGAAACACAGGCTCTTCAATATTGAAATAAAATATAGAGATTATCTCAGAGAATCTAACATTCACTCTAGGATTCCCTTATATATGATCCCTCATGTCTGCTTAAAAAAATCATCTGGTGGCGGGCAAGTGGCATCAGGGAGATATTGGTCAAAGGACATAAAATTTTAGGTAGATAGAAGAAATAATTTCAAGAGATCTCTTGTACAATATGGTTACTATAATTAATAATAACCTATTGTATTCTTGAAAATTGCTGAATGTAGATTATAAGCGTTCTTACCACACACAAAAAATTGTATGAAGTAATGCATATGTTAATTAGCTCAATTTAGCTATTCCATAATGCATACATATTTTAAACAACATGACGTTGTTTAAGATAAATGTATACATCTTTTATTTTTCAATTTAAAAAACAAATTTAAAAAATTTTCTGTGAACTGGAGTTTATTACATCAATAGAAAGACCATGATACTTTGTTTTAAAATTCTTATATTGTACTAAAATAATATTCCTCACATTAAGCCTAACTTACCATTAGTAGTTCTCCTTTATGAAACTAATTGAAGTTCTTGATTTCCCTTCTATATGAGCATCTTTTCAAATATTTAGTAGTAACCGTATTAACAATAACATTAATAATAAATTTATTGATTACTCTTCCAATATAATAATTTCAGGAACAGTTTTTGTTTTTTGCAGATCTTTTAACAGTAACAACATTCTTAAAAAGTAGACCCAGTTATTAATGTCATTTTACAAATATGGGGAAATGGGGAAAAGATATGAACGATATTTGCCAAAGGTTAAGAAACTTGCCTGATGGGACTGGATCAAACCTAAGGAACCTGGTTCCACAGCTGAGAAAGCTAAATATTGTGCTATAATAATGCAGCTCTTATATTGCCTTTAAGTCTTTCCTTCTCAAATACGTGCATTTCTATCATTTTTCATATATCAAGAATTGGAGTGTCTTCACAATCTCTTGAATTATCCTGTGTGTAAACTGCTACTTTTCAGAATCAGATACAATAGGTTGAATGTGGCATAACTCAGGAAAATTTTTGAGGGTTGATTTTTCCACTTCGTCTAAAGACCATAGCAGTGTAAATGTAGTTTAAGCTAGCACAAGCTTGGGGTAGTCAGGTCATATGGTTGACTCTAATGGAGGAGAAGATCAATGCAAAGACTCAAGACTCGTTCACAAGAACTATTGTCAATTAGATCTCCTTAAATCTCCACTTTGTAGTTACACTATTGAATGACACAAAGCTATAAATTTATATTCAGTAAATTTTATCCCATACAATTTAACTTGTCAAAAGTCTTTGAACTCTGTACTTTCATCCAGAATATTAGCTATCTTTTTAGCATTGTAGGGTTTATCTTATTATAGTTATCAAACAATTTCTATTCATTTATTTTTCATTCTTGAACTAAAACAATGTTTTCGGTCCAATGGTCAGCCTAAGGTTACTCTAACATCTTATATTTATCCTCACAAAGGCAGTCAGGCAAAACTTATTAAAACTTAAAACAGTTTTGAAAACTCATTTGGTTCTCAAACATTCACTCTCCATTAATGTTGCAAAAGAATTGCTTACTTGGTAAGGCTTCACTTCCTTTTAGACTTATTTACCTATTCTCTTCCAATTTATGACATTCTTAGACTAAGACAGCGACAACTCCTTGCAGGAAACAAAAAAAAAATCACCTAAAAGTAGGAAACCTTTTTCTCATATGTACTCTAAGAGGAACCAATAAAGAGAATAAGGCCACTGTGATAGGAGAGATTTTACTTGTGTTTTCTGCAAACTCAGTGCATAATTCCCATTGGCATAGTCATTTATCTTAAGTCACTTGGAACTTCGATTGTTTCTATGGCCCCCTTCTGGGATTATTTTTAAATGCTTATGAGAAACTAAAAAAAAGTAATGAAAAAACAATTTAAACTAATCAGTCTCTTTATTTAGTTAGCATTCTGTTTCCAAACTCTTCCCATAATACTTTCAGAAAACACATTCATCTTGTTCTCAGAGATAATTCTTGGTAATCAACAATTACAGAAAGAGAAAAAATCAAATACACTACAGGAAAATATAGAATTGTGCAGGACCGGGCTCTTATTTGAAGTGAGCCTGGTACACAGTAATTTCTCATCTGATATAGAGGATTGAAAGATAAGTGAAAATAAAAGTTTTAAATTAATTTATACCAAGAATAAAAATCTATTCTTTGGTAGAAACTCAGCTTGTGTAAACTCTTTAATAATATACTTAAGAATTCAACAACGCTTCTGTATGTAATTCACAGTTACAAATGTCTACAGCTCTGATTCTGACCTTTCAAAACCCCATTAAGCTATGTAAATACAGTACAAAGAAATGTCTACTGTGAATAAACAGTATTCTAATGTCAACTAAACAAGGACACATTGCCTCACTCTTGTCTCCAGTGCTTACAAGGGCAATGCTGATGTCATAACACATCCTTACTGTTGATTTATATGACAGATCTACCATGAGACTCATGTCATGGCCTTCCTGTTCAATGTGTGGTTGGAGAGTAAACCCTACTTATATTATTCTCATATTTGACAAATATCACAAACATGGTTAGTGGTCCAATGAACATAATAATAATGAAAATTTTTGAAAAGGGAAAGAAAAGTAAAGGTCCAGGACCTCACATTAAAAAATCATAAAATGTTGGTAGGACAGCCGTTGATTAGCTTGTTATAGATGTATTAATATTTTTAATTACACAATTAATATTCACTATGGAAAATATAAATCACCACAATCCCGCCAACCACTGGACATTTTTCTCAACATTTCAACACTTACCTTGCAAAGTATCATCTGTGTATGTAGTGTGTGTATGCATATATGCTCACAATCATATAAACACATATAAAAAAGAAAAGAAATCAAATACCAAATATAGTTAAAATACATTTTTCAATTAACAATATATTTGGATCATACTTTTACGTCAAGTAATATACTTCTAAAATACCATTTTGATGAATAATTAATATTCTATTTTGTCCTTAACCCAAAGGACAAAATTTTTTGCCCTTGCTTTAAGGCTGCCCGTGTTGAATAATGAATTCAAAATAAACAACAGTAGAATTTCTAAAGACTTGGCAAGAAAAGTAATGAAGATATCACTTATTCAACTGTATTAGTTTTCTATCTTTGTGTATCTTAGTTCATTTCAGCCAGCATAACAAAAATATCGTAGACTGAGTGGCTTCAACAACAAACATTTATTTGTCACAGTTCTAGAGTCTGGGAAGTTTAAGATCAAGTTGCTGGCACATTTGATGTCTAGTGAGGATTTACTTCCTGGTTCATATATAGATATCTTCTCACTGTGTCCTCATATTGAGGAATAGGTAGGCAAGATGTCTGGGGTCTCTTCCAAAACGGTAATCTCACTCATGAAGACTCCACCTTCAAGAATTAATTACCTCACAGAGGCCCCACCTCCTAATACCATCGCATTGGGAGTTAAGATCTCAACATACAGGTTTCAGGAGGACACGAACACTCAGACCACAGCATTCCATGCCCGGCTTCCCAAAAGTTATGTCCTTCACACATGAAAAATGCATTCATTTCATTCCAACAACCCCAAAAGTCTTAGCTTGTTCCAGCAATGAAATCTAAAGCCTAAAGTTCAAAGTCTTATTTAAATATCAGCTAAATCAGATATTGGTGAGATTTGAAGTACAATTTATCCTGAGGCAAAATTCTTCTCCATCTGTAAGCCTGTGAAATCAAATAATTTATGTGCTTCCAAAATACAATGCTAGGATGGGCTTAGGATAGACAACTCCATTCCAAAAGGGACAATAGGAAAAAAGAAGTGGCAGGTTCCAAGTAAATAAAATACAATAAGATAAATTCCTTTATACCTCAGGACTCAAGAATAATCCCCTTTGTCTTGACGCTCTGCATCCAGACCCACTGGGGTGATAACATCATGACTCAGCATCGTGCTATGCACACTGAGGCTCTCTGCGATGACCCCACTCCCACAATGACTTTGTGGGGCCATACAGCTCTCCCAGACTGGAGTTACAGCTCCATGTTCGTGACTGTCCCAGGCTGGGGTTATGGTTCCATGGCTCTGGATGACCTCTTCCTCTTAAACCTAAGTGTAAACAGCCTGGTATCCCAGGCCCATGCACTCTGGACCTGTGATATGAGTGGTGGCCCTGATGATCTTTAAATAGCCTTTGGGGTCATTTCTCCATTATCTTGAAGAATAGTGCCTGGCTTCTTTTGGATGGTTGATCTATACTAATCTACTTATAAAACAGCCACTTGTCCACACACAGTGTTCTCATTATTTGCAAAATACATAGGCTAAGAATTTTCCAAATATTTAAGTTCTGCCTTTTTGCTTAGTAATTTCATCTTTAAATCACTTCTCTCTTCTTGCATTTTACTATAGGTGGTCAAGAGGAACCAAGTCACACTTCAACACCTTGCTTAGAAATTTCCTCAGCTAAATATCCAATTGTATTGCTTCCAAGTTCTAGCTTCCATAAAACACTAGACTACAAACACAATTTAGCTAAGTTTTTTGTCAATTTATGACAAGAATTGCCCTTCTTCTGTTGTTCAATGACATGTTCTTCATTTCTATCTAATCTCTCATCAGAATGGCCTTTACCATCCGTATTTCTACTAAAATTCTGTTCATTATTTAGTTATCCTCTATGAAGATTAAGGCTTTCTCTCCCATACTCGTCTTTTCTTTCTGACCCCTCAGCAGAATCAACTTTAATGTCCATATTTTTAACAAGCACATCAAAACCCTTCTAGCCTCTACACAGTACCCAGTTCTATGGCCACTTCCACATTTTTAGGTATTTGATATGGTAGCACTCCACTTCTGATACCAATTTTTATCTAATCTGTTCAGGCTAGTATAACAAAAATATCATAGACTGGGTGGCTTAAACAACAAACCAGTTCATTGATCTTGGACTTTCAGTCTCCAGAACTGAGAGAAATAAATGTTTGTTGTTTAAGCCACCCAGTCCACGGCCACTAACAGAAATAAGTGTGTGGTGAGGGCCCACTTGCTGGTTTATAGATGGCCATTTTCTGTGTTCTCACATGGTGAAAGGGTTGAGAGAGATCTCTGAGGTACTAATATAAGGGCACTAATCCATGTAAAAGGATTCCACCCTTGTGACCTAATTAACTCCCAAACGCCCCTCCTTTTATTTTATTTTTTTTTTCTTTTTTGGAGATAGTGTCTCACTCCATCACCCAGTTTGGAGTGCAGCAGCACAGTCACAGCTCACAGCACCCTTGACCTCCTCAGCTTCAGTGATCATCCCACCTCAGCCTCTTGAGTAGCTCGGACCACAGGCATGTGCCACCATGCCTGGATTATTTTTAAGTATTTTGTAGAGACAGGGTCTCACCAGGTTGCCCAGGTTGGTCTTGAAATCCTGGCCTCAGTGATCCTCCCATCTTCACCTCCCAAAGTGCTGAGATTACAGATGTGAGCCACCACAACCAGCCACCATCTTTTAATATCATCAGACTGGGGTTAGTATCTTAACATAAGAATTTGGGAAGTAAACAAACATTCAGCCACAGCACTGTGTTACAAATTACTATCAATGTAACAATTACAAAGAACATTAATTTACTATCTCATAGTTTCTGTGACTCAGAACTGTGGGTTAGCTGGGTCCTCTGCTCAGGCTCTCTAAAGGCTGAAATCAAAGTGTTGGCAAAGCTGCATTCTCATCTGGAAACTTGACTCAAAAATAATTTGTTTTTTGTCCTTGTGATAGTTTGCTGAGAATGATGGTTTCCAGCTTCATCCACATCCCTACAAAGGACATAAACTCATCATTTTTAATGGCTGCATAGTATTCCATGGTGTATATGTGCCACATTTTCTTAATCCAGTCTATCATTATTGGACATTTGGGTTGGTTCCAAGTCTTTGCTATTGTGAATAGTGTGAATAGTGCCACAATAAACATACGTGTGCATGTGTCTTTATAACAGCATGTTCTCACTCATGGGTGGGAATTGAACAGTGAGAACACATGGACACAGCAAGGGGAACATCACACACCGGGGCCTGTTGTGGGGTGGGGGGATGGGGGGAGGGATAGCATTAGGAGTTATACCTAATGTTAAATGACGAGTTAATGGGTGCAGCACACCAACATGGCACATGTATACATATGTAACTAACCTGCACATTGTGCACATGTACCCTAAAACTTAAAGTATAATAATAAAAAAATTGTTTTCAATCTCACTAGAGTTTTGGTAGAATTTATCTCCTCGCAGCCACAGGGCCCAGGCTCCTGCTTTTTTGTTGTGTGTCAGCTGTGAGTCACTCTGAGGTTCTACAGGCTGCACATTGCTCCTTGACACATGGCCCTTATAGGCAATTCCAAACATATCAGCTCATGTCTTTATCCTCAAAGATAGGAGAAGTGTGTCTCTCTAAATTTTTTGTCACCTACCTACCAAAGAAAATTTTCTACTTTTAGAGAAATTACCTAATTAGGTCAGGCTCATCCTAAAAACTCTTTTTGCTCTACAATATGAAATAATCAGGAGAGTAGTATATCATGATATTCACAAGTTTCGTACACATTCATGAGGAAGAGATTATAAAAGGGCAAGGGTTATTGGGGGTAATCTTAGAATTCTGCCTCCTACATCTGCATACATGGCAGAAGTTAATTCATTCAAATATATTTAACATTTTATCTAAAACAAAAAATACATATTTATTCATCAAAAAGTGGATACAGAATTGTATTGTTTTTCTTAATAAATAATGCACACATCCAGTTTAGAATACTGTAAAATAAAGAAAAGCGTTTTGGCTGGCAATTAATAGTATAATTAGTATTTTCCTTTTCACCCAAGATAGATTTGTTAATGTTTTATTTGTCTTTCATCAAAACTAACTTCTAGACCTATATAATATAAAATATGACCTTCACAATCTTAAATTTTTTATAGTTTACTGAGACTTATTTTTGTGGCCTGGGTAAAAACAAGTTTCATGAATATTATATAAATGTTTGGAGGAAAAATGGAATTTAGGCTTTACAATAAAAATTTGAGTTAATCTAGCGCAATAAAATTTTGTCAAACAGTGTTTTGTAATCATAAGTTAGTTGCATTCTTACAGTGCATAATATAGCACTATAACTACTGTGGACAATTACATGTCTCTTCTACTGGGACAAGTCTCCATTTTATTTGCATGTTCCCTGTTCTTGGTTCCCTACTTTCTATTTAACTCAATCCCCTGTACTCTGCAACAAAAATTGTGTAATTTTAGATGTGCAATCTATCTCTTTATGGTTGGATCATTTGTAAAAATTCTCTTTCTTCTATAAGGTTTCTCCCATGAGTACACTCTCCTCTTGGGAAACCACATTTAATTTGACTCGACTGCACATATTTGAGCTTAGTCAATATCAAATGACTAATTGATTGCCTTTTGCAAAAGACCTATCTCCCTAGCCATATACTATGTGCAAAAATTCTCAAAAGGAAATAAAAATATTTTTTGTAGCTTTCTCAGTTACTGTCTAGCTGTATTAATGCTAATAAGACTGTCAGTTTATTTTAACAGTTCAGGAATTTTGAAAATGACCATGAAGTCTGAAGGAATTTAACAATCTCACATAGAGTGCAATGAAAACAAGTGACTGTGTCTCTAGTACACACTGGAGAATGCTTGGTAACTTCCGATCCTCTCAAGTCCAGTTTATTATATCTCTCTTGATAACATGGGACTTTGAAATGCTATGGCTTTATATCATCTGCATATTAGGATTATTACCTAATAAATTATGAATGAAATGCAAAGCATAAACTGGTATTAGTATTCACATTGTAAAAATGAAGCCTCAAAAGCGATAATTAGGGAGTCTAAAGTATAAACTCCTTCAAAATAAAAATGAGGTTAAAGATCATTTTTACCTGTAATTTTAAGGTTAAATATCTTTATGCTTAGTACTCTGAAGAACACCTTGATTTGAGTATCCATGCATAAGTGATTTATAAGGAAGTGTTATTGAGGAAACCAAAAAACGATGGCAGCAACAAGAGAAGGAAGAGGAAAAGATCAAGTGGAAAAACGTTTTGAGGCTAAGAACCAGAGCAGTAGTTTCAACCTGACACTTTGAACCTGACCCTGCAGAGATACTCTGGAGTACACATTATGCCCAGGAGTTGTACCAAGCTAAGTAAAGGAAGGAGGCTGGTATTTTTAAACTCCAGCACCCAATAGTCATTAGTTCAGGGGTGTCATCTAGGTGAGCAAAGAGGCCTCCAGAATCTAAGGCAATCTTCCAAGAAAATCTCAAACTATTGAAAGCAAAAGCAAACCAAATGGTACCCTCCATGCACACGAACAGGGGTAAAAGGAATGCTGGGAGATCTGAATGAAAAATCAAAATTACACACTATAATTATTATTTTAAACCAAGATATAAATTTGCAAATTATAACATTTTATACATATAAACTTAGGCAGATAGAATATAAAAAAATGCTAATGAATAAATAACTTTCCACTAGCTATCTATCATGGTAGTAAAATACACATATATAGATATTTTTATTCTCTCTATATATATTTTGACAAAGTAACAAAGCTTATATATCTATCAGCAAATCCAAAATGAAAGATATGATCAAAGTATGATTAAGCTGCCTCAGAAACATGAGCCAGTAATGCTGTCACGGAAAAAACTATTATATCATGGAATTGTTTACTGTGATCTAGGGTTGAAGCATTTCAATACTTTTCAACTTGCAACTGAGGATGCCAACTGAAGCATATAGCATGACAGCAGCAGAAACATTAGACTCAATGTCAGGCAGAACATCGTATGTTTCATTTGCTTGCTTATGTTTAAGTTTTAAAATTCGCATGAAACTTGTTATTGGTACCAACAGAGGACTTACATCATGCCCCCCTAACAGCTCCCTGGTAGTTTGTGTTATACTTTCATCCTTACACAGACCAAATAAATACAGGTAAACTGGTTTATTTTGTTATCCAAGCAAATTTGAAAAGGATGTGAGTTTAGAAAGACATATTCTGAAATCAGAAGGAATAGGTTGTGTATGGGAATGGCCAATTTATCTTAGCTGAAGGAGAAGTTCTATCAAATTTAGTAATTTAAAAAAAATTAGTTTGGGATTTTTTGTCCTTATTTTCTCTTTCCCTTTGCTTACCCAGACTCTCCATCCAGTCAGCCAGAAAATTCAGTATTCTTTGCTTCAGGGAATAACTATAATTTCACAGAGCAGAGAATAAGTACTTTTGTTTCCCCTCTTTTAAGTTTCCATTGTGTAGGTTTTAAGGAACTAGAAAGAACACTTGACTGAAAAAAGAAAAATGATCATTTAGAAAAATATCATGAATAAAATGTTAAACAAATGTGTAGAGGTCAGACACTCAATTGTTTTTAAATAAAAAATTTGATTAGAAAAGTGCAGTACATAATTGAGAAGAAGCCCAGGAACCTATTATTGTCGTTTTCAATTGTTGGTTTGAGTTCCTAAAGTTCTAATCACATTGAATTTTAAATGAAAATGACACGAATTTTCTATTTGCTAAAATGACTACCTGGTTCAGTCATATGCTTATACACACACACACGCACACACACACACTTTTTACCCAACAGTTAGAGAATACATACTATTCTCAAGCCCACATGAAATATGATCACAAGTTGACCATAAATATGTTCTCGACAAATTTCAAAGACTTGTCATAATATCAAATTCTACAATCATTATGAAATACAATGTGATGGTTAATTTTATGTGACAATTTGACTGGACCATGAGGTGCCCAGACATTTGGTCAAACATAATTCTAGGTGTGTCTATGTGGGTGTTTCTGAATGAGATGAACATTTGAATCAGTAGACTGAGTAAAGCAGAACACTCTCCCTAATGTGGGTAGACTTCATTAAATCAATAAAAAGCCTGACCCTCTCAAAAGTAAGGAAAGATTCCTCATGCCTGCGGCATCAGATTCTTCAAGCTGCAGCATCTGCTTTTTCCTCCCTTCCAATTTGGCCTTAAACATCAGCTCTTTTTGGGTTTGGAACCTGCCCGCCTTTGGACTGGAACTCATCAGTAGGCTCTTCTGGGTCCTCTACTCTCTGACTCACCTTGCAGATTCTGGGACTTTCTTCCATAATTGCATTATACACACATAAACACACATACACACACACACACACATATTTATCATGTTGGTTCTCCTTATATGAAGAACCCTGACTTATATAGTTAGATATTAATAAAATATATAATTTTAAAAAATGTTTCATACATTTACAAAATAACAAACACATGTTTAAATAATTCTTGAGTCAGAGAAGAAGTCATAGTGATAACTACAATACTTGGAACTAAATGATACAGACAATATTATGTATCAAAACTTGTGAAATAACTGTGAGGAATTCCCCTCTTCCCCTAGCCACCAAAATTCATAATGACGCGTAAGTAGCAATATGGTTTTCATTGTAATGATGACATTTGAGCCACTAAAAATATCTCCTCAATAATTGAATGCTTGTTTCCAATTTCTACTGCTTTCTTTGGAAAAGACATTATTTTTGAACTATGCGCTCATGCAAACTTTTACCTCCTGTGTTGCAGCACCTATCCCATCAGACTGTAAATTATCCGCTTTATGTGTTCATCACTCACTGTGGAATATAAAGTTGATGGACTTGACAATTAGTGTTATGAGTTATTCAACTTCTTTATCAGAGTACATAGTAGGAACTAAAAAAACTTTTTAACTATTTTGAAAATCTAAATATAAAACTTTTTTTAAAGTTTCTAAATGGTTATATTTCAAAATAAAAAGATGAAAAATTAAGTATCCACATTAAGATGTTAGCAACAGAACAACAGAATAAATTCAAAGAAAATAGAAAATAGAAAAAATATAGAAAAGATGAAAGTAAATTCTATTAAACTTTCAAGGATAACATCCCATTCTTATAAAAAGTATCCTAGAAAATAAAATGCAACCATTCTTTTAGCTCACTTTATGAAAGCAAAATTAGACAAGCATAGTGACTAAAGAAAAACAACAGTCCATTTTGATTCATAAACATAGCTAGAAAAAGACTTTCTTAAACTAATAAAGGTTTGCCACCAAAACCTTACAACAAATACTTTTTTTTTTTTGGTGAGATAAGGTCTTGCTCTGTCACCCACGCTGGAGTGCAGTTATGCAATTACAGTTCACTGCAGACACCAACTCCTGAGCCCATGTGATCCTCCCATATCAGCCTCCTGAGTAGCTGGGACTACAGGCTTGAGCAACCATACCCCATTCCCATTCTTTTTATTTTTCTTCTTTGTTTGTTTGTTTTTGGTAGAGATTGGGTCTCTGTTTTCCAGACCGATCTGGAACTCCTGGCCTCAAGAGACCATCCCACCTTGACCTCCCAAAGTGCTGGGATTACACATGTGAGCCACTGCAACTGGCCTAAATATTGCCCTTCTTCTTTAAAAAATAATTTCAACTTTTATTTCAGATTCATGCAGTACATGTGCAGGTTTGTTACTTGGGTATATTGTGTGATGCTAAGGTTTTGGGTATCAATTATCCTCTCACCCGTGTACTGAGCATAGTACCCAAAAGTTAGTTCTTCACCCCTTGCATCACTCCCTCCCTCCCCTCTCTAGTAGTCACCAGTGTCTATTGTTGCCATCTTCATGCTCATGAATATCCAATGCTTAGCTCCCTCTTGTAAGTGAGAATACATGGTATTTGGTTTTCTGTTCCTACATTAATTCACTTAGGATAATGACCTCCAGCTGCATCCATGTTGCTGCAAAGGACATGATTTTCATATTTTTTATGCTACATAGTATTTACTGGCACATAAGCACCACATTTTCTTTATCCAGTCCACCAATGTGGGACATCTAGGCTAATTCCATGTCTCTGCTATTGTGAATGGTGCTGTAATGAACATACAAGTTCATGTGCCGTTTGGCAAAATGATTTATTTTCTTTTGTAGTAATGGGATTGCTGGGTCGAATAGTTTTGTTTTTAAGTTATTTCAGAAATCTCCAAACTGCTTTCCACAGTAACTGAACTATTTACATTCCCACCAACAGTGTATATGCATTCTTTTTTCTCTCCAGCCTCAGCAGCATCTGTTGTTTTTTGACTTTTTAATGATAGCCATTCTGACTGATATGAGATAATGCCTCATCGTGGTTTTGGATACGCATCTCTCTGATGATTTGTGATGTTGGGTATTTTTCCATGTTTGTTGGCTGCTTTATTTCTTCTTTTGAGAAGTGTCTGTTCATGTCCTTTGCCCACTTTTTAATGAAGTTTTTTGCTTGTTGAACTGTTTAAATTCCTTACAGACTCTGGATATTAGACCTTTGTCAGATGCTGTATTACTGTGTTCTCACTCTGTTAATAACGACATACCTGAAACTGGGTAATTATAACGGAAAGAGGTTTAATTGACTCACACTTTCACGTGGCTGGGGAATCATGGCAGAAGACAAGGAGGAGTAAGTCACATCTAACATGGCAGCAGGAAAGAGAGAAGTTGTGCAGGGGAACTCCTCTTTATAAAACCATCAGATCTTGTGAGACTTACTCACTATCACAAGAACAGCATGGGAAAGACCCACCCCAAGATTCAGTTACCTCCCACTGGGTACCTCCCAGGACACATGGGAATTGTGTGAGCTACAATTCAAGATGAGATTTGGGTGGGGATGCAGCCAAACCATATCAGATGTATAGTTTGCGAATATCTTCTCCCATTCTATAGGTTGTCTGGGTACTCTGTTGACTGTTGACAGGTTTTTTGTTTGTTTGTTATTTTGCTGTGCAGGAGCTCTATAGTTTAATTAGTTCCCACTTGTCAATTTTTGTTTCTGTTGCAATTGTTTTTGAGGACTTCATCATACCAAATTTTATTCTCAGTGAAGAAACATTCCAACAGTTTAATTCAAGATCAGGAACAAGACAAGATGTTCATCTATTCTATTTTACTCTTTCGTTTACTGAAAACATATTGATTAAGCCTATACCAGGAACCTTCTTAGGCATCCTATGATACATAAGTGAATAAATGGACAAAGATCCCTGATTTCAAAGTACTTACATTTATTAAGAGATAATAGAAAACGATCAATAAATACAGTGAATAATTACATAGAATGCTAGCATCTAAAAAGTGATATGGTAAAAAAAAATAAAGTTGAACAGATCAGATTAGATCAGGAGTGCAAGAGGGTGGAGGGGTGTGGAGGGGTGCAGGAGGTAGCATTAAATAAGCAGTCATCTTCAGCCTTACAGTGAAAAGGTTGTTTAGCAAACACATGAAAGGCATGAAGGAGTTGACCCAGCAGATATATGAAGAAAAATAATTCCTCTCAGTGAAATTTTGCTAAGGCATTAACATGCCTTTGTGTTTGAAAAATAGCAAAGAAGTCAGTGTGGCCAATGCAGTATTCTTGATTGGGTTTCCCTGGAAATAATCTCATTATCAAGGAATTGAATGAATGTAGTTTGCTTAACAGGTGATCCTGAGAAGCAGGCAAGGCAACAAGGCAGAGAAAGAAGAATGGCTTATAAAAGGTGAGTGGATGAGAGTTTATCAGAATGGGCAAATGCTGCCCCATCTTGTAGAGGACTTGCTGAGGACTAGCTGAGGATGCATTTACACAGCATCTCAGAATTTTCCACCACAACAGAGGAAAGCAGTATTTATCCACAGATTCCCATGTCTTACAGATTAACAGTTGTCCTTGGATCATTATATCCCAAACACTTCTGGGCTGTCCTGCAGTGGGCTCAGCAAATTTCCATGCTGCCAGAGTCAGCCCTTGGGCAGAGAAGCAAGAGGCCAGATACACAAGCTTTTGCAGTGCAATCATGCTAGTCAGCATAGAAAATACCCATCACCATAGCTGTAAGTGAATTCAGAGGTAGGTCAATATGATATGAGATGGGGCATCAACAGTGTCTGCTGCAAGCAGTGAGAACAAGAGGAATGGAGAAAAACAGGAGGAGGCTTCAGGAAAGGGAAGCCTTATAAAAGCATTGTACATCTTGTAATGATTTTAAGTTAAATGTGGAACCATTAGAGGGTTATGGAATCATATATATGGCTGTGGTATTGAAGATAGACTGTGGTTGATGGAGTAGAAGCAAACTTAGGGACAGGAAGAACTGTAGAAAGCTGTTAAAGTAATTCTGGCAAGAGATAAAGATGACTTAGATCAGGGTGGTGCTGGGCAAGTGGTGATAAGTGGATCAGATTCTGCATATATTGCTTAAGGTGAAGACTTTTCCATTTTAAACTGTACTAGAAGTACTTAACATTCATTAAGAGGAGAAAAATAAACAAATACCTAAGGATTAGAAAGAATATAAAGCTATTTTCCAATACTGATGACTTGATTGTCTACCTGGAAAATTCCAAATACACTGCAGCCTAATTATGAGAAATAACCAGAAAGTTTGGCAAGGTGGGTTGCTCTGAAATTAATATTTAAAAAATCAATTGCATTTTATACATCCACAACACATAGAATATATAATTCTTTGAAAATGCAGTATGTACATTAGCAACTGATGTGGTACCTAGGAATATATCCAATAGAAGATGTGTAAGACCTGTACTAAAAAATGCATAGCATGTTTTGACATACATTAAAAACACAAACAGACAAATATTTTGCATTCATGGACAAGAACGCTTAATTAGCAAAAAATGTAAATTTATGCCGAATGAATCCAAAAAGTCAATTCAATTGAATTTTAACAAGAATTTGAAATGCAGATCCTAAAATTTTTGTGGAAGTAAAAAAAAATGCAAAATAGAAGCATAAAGTGAGGGGATTTGTCTTTACAGATATCAAAACCCAATATAAAGCTATGTTGTTTGGACATGTGGCATTTGTGCCAGGAGATAAAAAGTAAGCAATGTAACAGGTAAGAGAGCCCAGAAGCTGACCCAAATATACACAGGACTGAGACATATGGTGAATATACTATAGCAGATGAGGAGGGAGCAGGGGGAAAGGAGATACTAATAAATGTTGTTGATAGAAATTTTGAATCCATTTTGGACCAAAAAATTAAGAATTTCTATCTCATACTTTTATGGAAAACATTTCAAATGGATTAAATAATTAAGTATTGGGGGGGAAATACAGGATCTTTATGAATAAAACTATAGAACAATATTTTTTCTGATTTGGAATGAGAGAATAATTTCTTAAATGTACCCACCCCCAAAAAAGCAATAAACTTGTTTATTTCAATTCAGTTCCTCAAAAATATGTCAAAGATGGTGAAAAAACTAAGCCACAGAGTGTGAAAAGATACTTGTAACACATACAACTGACAAAGATTCAGTATCCAGAATATATGAAGAATGCTTATATATCATAATAAAATGACAAATGGATTACATTTTACATCTACTTGCTTGGCAAAATGTAAGAAGTCCACAGTAAGAAGGGATGTGGATCAATAGAAAGACTTATGCATTGCTCAAAAAATGCAATGTGGCATTTTCTGGAAAAATCACACATTCACATACCTTACTACCCAGAAATTTGATTTCAAAGTACATTTCAAGAAACTCATTCACATGTATACTAAGAGACTTGTACAAGAAAGATCATGGAAGTATGCAAAGTATTAAATATGATATAAAATGTCCATCAATTAGAGAATAAATTTTAAATTCCAGTATGTTCACATCCATATGATAGAGCAGTGAAATAAATAAGCTACAGCTACATTCAACAGCATGGATGAATCATTAAAGCATAATTTTAAGTTCCAAAAGAAGTCTCAGAAAACTAAACCTATATACAAATATGATACATTTCTATAAAGTTTAAACAGACAGAACAAAATAATAAATTTTTCTAGCATACATACATATGTGATAAAATCATAAATGACAAAAATGAAATAATAAATCCAAAATTCAGAATAATGATTACCTCACAAAGGAGGCAGCGGGTGGTATATGAAATTTGGGGATTATTGGTTTGGATACACGTTTGTTATATCATTAAGCTTTATAATTTATATAAATATAGTAGTCAAGGTTCTCCAGAGAAGCAGAACCAACACCAATAGGATGGAGATATTTATATGCATATATCATCTATGTGTGTTTATAGACACATACACAGAGAGAGAGAGAGAGTTTAATGATAAGAAATTGAGTTATGTAGTTGTGGATGCTGGTAACTCCAAAACCTACAGAGTAAGCAGGCAGGCTGGAGAGCCAAGGAAGAGTTGCAGTTGCTGTCTGGAGCCAGTCTGCTAGCAGAATTCCCCCTTCTTCTTATTGGGATTTCAGTCTTTTTCTTTAGCTCCCACTGATCGGATAAGGTCCACCCACATTATGGAGAGTAATCTTTACTCAAAGTGTATTGATTTTAATGATTAATGTCATCTAAAAACTACATTCACAGCAACATCCAGACATATTTGACCAAACATGTGGTTATTATAGTCTAACCAAGTTGATGTGTATTATCAACCATCACAAGGCCAAGCATGGTGGCTCATGCCTCTAATGTCAGCACTTTGAGAGGCTGAGGCAAGCGGATTCCTTGAGGCCAGGAGTTCAAGACCAGCCTGGGCAATATAGTGAGACCTTATCTCTACTAAAAAAAAAAATAGCTGGGTATGGTGGTGCATGCCTGTAGTCCTAACTACTCAGGAGGCTGAGGCAGGAAGATCACTTGAGCCTGGGAGTTTGAGGCTGCAGTGAGCTATGGTCATGCCACTGCACTCTACTCTGGGTGACAGAAGAAGACCCTGCCTCTTTTATATACATATATATATGTGTGTGTGTGTGTGTGTGTGTGTGTGTATATGTGTATATATACAAGATATTATGTATAATATAATATACATTATATTATATAGTATATATTATATATATTACCATAACAAAAAGTAGTACCAGTATTGTTTTGTATATATCGATATATTGCATATTATATGAAAAAAGCAAATAATAGAAAAAGTAAGTTGGAGACTGAGGTAAGAGAGTGAGCCATGGTTGAAAATAAAATGAGAAGAAATAAAAGGGGTTCTGCAACCAGAAGGAACACTTTTAATAAGATGTGTCTCTCTTTGGGCTACAAAACAGGATGATAATTGGTAGATATGAGTTTAATTCATGAATTTTAAAAGGCCAATATTTGTATTGGGCTTTTAAATAACCAGTCGTTTAACCTGGATTACTGTGGACAAGTTACTTAAGCTTTCAGTACCTCCATTTCCCATGAGTAAAATGAGAATAGTAATGGTATCTGTCTACTAAGACTATATTCACAACTAAATAAGGTCATCTATATAAAGCCTTAACAATGGTATCTGGAATAGAGCAAATGGAAAATCTTACTATTATCATTAGTAAGATTAGAATTTATATGATGGAGCCAGTGGTGCAATGGACAGCACGTCTGACTATGGAACAGAAGATTATAAAATTTATATATCTACCCATATCATATTATTAGTAATATTGTTATATATTGAGGTATGTAAAAGGTACAGTTTCCTCATGAATGTTAGTTTAATAAAAGAAAGAGACAAAGCTTCTCTTGACTTCCTTCTCAATCTGGCAGAACCTCACCTATACAGAAATTATCGCTGACATCTATAGGCCCAATGGTACTAAAGGGCAAGGAGAAGGCTACACTAAATTGTGTCATCTATGTCTACTGTATCTTGCTCCTGTTCATTCTTAGAACGCTGGCTAAATAGATCAAACAGTAATAGCTGATCAGTGGGTTGCCCCTTCTCACCATTCCATACTCCACCAGATACATAAACTTTCAACCATATCATTTTAAAGATATGTGGTTTATTTCCTTAGTTTGTAAAAGAAAAACATTTAAGACATAGCATGATAGCATAACTAACCAAATATGTCTGTATTACCTAAAATCCAGGTTTCACTAGGTATAGATCATTTCTAAGATTTTATTTGCAAGTAGGGGTATACATAAAATTAGACAGAGAAAAAACTCACCTCTTGTGATCTTTCAAGTCCTTAAAAGGATATTGATTATTTACGGTAAAATAATCTTTAAAAAGTGTATTATGTTTTGCCAAATTACAATTTCTCCAGAGAAACCACCAGCTTCAGATACAGTAGCCTTTATCTATTATAAGAATGGTTCCCTCTTTCCTCAGGACATTGGTATAAAAATAGTAACTCTGGTGAATTGTAAATAATGCAGTCAAATTATCTATATTAATAAATGGTGCTACGTGTGTGATTCTCCTTTGCTTTCAGAAATTGTTTGAAAACCCCAAATGTCACTTCAGCAGCCCGCTTGAAATTTTTCCCCTACAATGACACTGGGAATAATTAAGTTGTTAAAAGAAGATTCCTAACAAAGCAAAAAACACAAAACTCGTTAGTATTTAAAGATCAGAAAACATTTATAATTTAGAGAAAAAAAGGATAAAACATAAATACTAATTTCCCCTTGCCTTAACTGGAAAAAAATATTAACATTGCTTTGGAATGTAAACCCAAAAGCAATTAAAATCAAATAATAATCTATAAGATTAATGTATGATGTATAATTCATTTGCAATTTTCAAAATCTCAGAATTGATGGTAGACCTAATGCTGTATTATGATAATGGTAGGTTTTAATCTTTATTCTTAAACAACCAAATAACTTCCCCCTCAGTATTATTCAGAAATGTTATACAGCCCCTTTTACATGGCCGATAGGATTTACATTCTCTGTGCTAACCCTTTCTGACCTTACTCAGATAAAGGCCATGCAATCTGGGATTATCTACTTAATCATAAGACTTGAAAAGCTCTCGTCAAGATTAAGGTTCTTGGTTAGGTCAGGAAACCAATAAATTTATTACTGATGTTGAAGTACATTCTCTGATATTGTTAGTTTATTATCTCATGAGAATTGAAATCTGCATTTTATTTCACTTGGGGGAAATATATTAAAGATCCATTTCAATTAGTATTGTGGGATATTAAATGGGACCAATTTTAAAGGGCCTATTCCCCATAGCAAATACTTTTATTCCTAAATTAAAACATATTCTTATATATAAGACCAAAATTCTAAACAAATTTCCAAAAACCATGCATACTTCTTATTTCTTTTCTTCTAAATTATCAACTATCAATGATATTCCTGCTACTACATTTGATATAAAAAAATGACATCAAATCAACCGCAGAATTCTATGGTAAAAAAGAGATATACATTTCAAAGATTAACACAAGCATTGTAAGTTTAATTAACTCAAAATCTCTTGGAATTTTCAATACTTTAGAAGAGATTTCAGTTGAAGTTCACCATCTTTTATCTATCCTATCCATTCTTTAACAGATTCTATAAATGTGTGGCGCAGGGGAATCCTTAAATGACACCCCTCTCTGTACCTCACCTCCTACCCTTGTGATCTCCCATCCTAACTCCCAGAGCTGGGACTGTGAATTGGATGGGATATTATGCCTGTGATTATAGTAGACTACAGGCCAAAAGAGATTTTGCAGATTAAATAATGCTGTGAATCAACTGATTTTCGTTCGTGGAAAGACAGACTTTTTCAGTAAATTGGCCAGTTCTAATCACTTGAGTCTTCAAAAGCACAGAATTTTCTTTAACTGGTAGCAGAAGAGAAAATCAGAAAGATTCAAAGAATGAAAAATACTTGACTTGCCATTGTTGGTTTGAAGGTGGAGAGGACCACGTGAGAAAGAATGCAGGTGGCTTCCAGTAACAGAGCATAGGGCCCAGATGACACCCAGCAAGAAAGAAGCAGGGACTTCAGATCTACAATGCACAGCAAGGAACTGGACTGCCCATGATCTGAATGAGGATGGAAGTGGACTCTTCCCGAGAGCATCCAGATAAAAGCCCAAAACTCCTGACAACTTCATTTCAGCCTTGTGAGACTAAGTAAAGAATCTAGCTGAGCCTTCCCAGGCTTCTAATTTACAGAACTATGAACTAATAACTTTGAGAAAATGTATAAATCCTCTATGTTTATGTGACATTGCTATCTTCATTTGGGTCTTATAACCACAGCACAATATTACCCTTAGTATAGGACAAACTTATTAATAATTGGGACCTCCATGTTAAAATAAGGAAAGTTTATTAGTGTATCGGGTTTCTATTTCTTGAAACAAATTTAGTAGCTTAAAAGAACACAAAGCTACACATAGAAAAAAAATAGCTCTTTTATTCTCTAAACCTGGTCTAATTTTCTGCTGGAGCCTACCCCACACAAAAGAAAACTTATTCTTGCCAAATAACAATATTTCAGTCTCTTCAGGTTTTTATACTTAGTCTCTTCAAACTCCATATCCTTCACAGACATGTTTTAAAGAATCTTTTTTGGATCATTCAATCTTTTAAGATGGATGCTCCATCTTGACATTCTTTCCCCTTCACTTTTTTCTTCTTCCTCAGAGGAGGATGTGAGTATATGAGGAGACTTACGTCGTTCTCATGACAGCGAGTGAGGGGTGCAGTTATACCTTGTGTCCTTGGGCTCCTCCAGTCTCTTTGACAGGTTTCTCATCTGTCTGACTTCTGCTCCCTCTGCTGGAACTCACTGTCAGGTTTCTTAGGGCTTCATCAAGGCCTAATGATGAGCTCTAATTCCCAAGGCAGTACCTCAGCCCTTGCTGGTATTGTGAACTTTCTCAGGAACCTCTGCTATATCTTCCATCCACGCCAGGAATAAGCAACCCATTCCTATCCTCTAATCACCGCAGTTGGATCATATCACCTCAAATAGTTTCACTTGGAGCAGGGTCATGCAGGAACACTGGATTCCACTTACACTTCATACGTACAGCAAGCAACTCAAGAATAATTACATCTCTTCTTCAGCCTAACCATGTTGAGTCCCAAAATTTAGGTTTTTTGTAACCTCAGAGACGAAATCTCCTTCCAGAGTTCCACAACCTAGAGACTCTAAAGTGCTCCCAGCCTTGGTAATTGCTTCAACTTACACAAGATGCCTCCTCCTGTCCAAGACAAAGTCTGAAAATAGGAGACTGGGTGTACCAGATTTTTCAGCCCTTCACTCATCTGCCTTTCTCTCCCTTTATCTCTCAAAATTCCTTGTGACCAAAGGACAGGTTCTGCACTATCTATCTACTGCTTTTACATCAATGCATTACATGGAATGTAAAGATAGGAATGATTCTCCCTATCATTGGTACCAACCTATGAGGACTATCACTGAAGCTGAAAGGTGAGTCTTCTCCATGTTTAGGAAAGAATTTTCAAAGTGTGAGCCATTGATGTTTCCGCATTGGTATGTTAAGCAAATTTAGAAAATATCCACTCCAAAGTTTTCCTTCCAAACCAGTTTTCTTATGGAAATATTGTCTTTTGGTCTTTAGAAATTCAACATTAATTCTATCTTAATCTTTGCAAACTGCTATAAGATTACTAATGCTACCTACTCATCTTCTAAAGCTAAGAGAAACTAGTTTATCTAAAGAACGTATAAACAGAAAGTCAAAGAGAAAACCATAATAATATAATCAAAATACCACCCAGGTATTTGAAAACATCATAAGGTTGTGCAAAGAAGTCTCAACATGGGAAAATTTTATTATTTTCTCATCTTTAGTAGAGATAAACCAGTTTAAACATTTGCAAAAATAGATTTTCCATGAATCTCACCGTGTCACTGGACGAAAACAAAGGTTATTTTTCTTACTACATTGAATGCTGTAATAAGACACCTAGTCTAATCATAACCTCGATGACATAAAAAATAGTAGGATTTAGGCCGGGTGCAGTGGCTCACGCCTGTAATCCCAGCACTTTGGGAGGCCGAGGCGGGTGTATCACTTGGTCAGGAGATCGAGACCACGGTGAAACCCCGTCTCTACTAAAAATACAAAAAATTAGCCGGGCGTGGTGGCGGGCACCTGTAGTCCCAGCTACTTGGGAGGCTGAGGCAGGAGAATGGCGTGAACCTGGGAGGCGGAGCTTGCAGTGAGCCGAGATTGTGCCAGTGCACTCCAGCCTGGGTGACAGAGCCAGACTCCATATCAAAAAAAAAAAAAAGAAGTAGGATTTAAAGACAGTTTTTGTAATGATAATACATGATTGATTTAGAATATATCACCAAATGGCCATTATGGGAAAAGGCTTCCTTCTCTAATTGAAAGCAAAGGTAATCTTTCCACATGCCTGGCAGCTTTTAAAACATCCAAGATCACAATGGTGGACAGAAACATATGTAGCCCCGTGTAGGACACTTCTCTGCTGATATTATATAATCTTAGATTGTAACTAATTTCCAGCAATGGGTAAATTTTCAATACTTAAAAATTAAAATACGTTTTTTGAAGACTTGTCTCGTATGCAGTGTTCATCCTGTTTTCTTATAGAGACGTGACTGAAAATAACTTAAGGAACAACCTTTCTTCTACATTTCCAAGGCTCTAAGTATAACGATAAAATGGAAATACAGCATTGTCCTAATTTATTTTTAATCTTTTCCTATGATTTATTATGTAGGACACTGGACAATCCCTAGAGAGCTAGAATTCTGCGCTACAGCATATTCAACATTGCCATTTATTCATTTAAGTCTATATTTCTTTTTTTTAAAGTCTATATTTCCGAAGTTGCAGTATCTAATATTTCCAGGAAGTTCTCATAGTTTTAGTGTTTGTTGAGTGGAAACTCCACTGTGTGGTCTTTCAGTTGCAAAAATTTCCAGTTTTATGGAGAAATATCAGTAACAATTTAATTTCCTTCTGTTTTGTGAGCATCTTTTCTGTGAATATCTTTCATTAACAAAATGTTTCCAATAATCACATCACATTTTTGAATGCTGCTTTTGATTTATGAAGACTGAAGGCAGATGACGAGTTAATTGAAAGAAAGAGCAAAGGGTATGGGGGAAAAATTATATGATAGAGAGCTCAGTGACTACTAGCTGTGTAAGAAAATGAAAAATGTGCAGATTAACTCATCTATTTCTATTAGGCTCATTTATTAAAGCTGTAGCAAACTGTTTACCCTGCTGGTTAGCTCTTGCAAGAGTAACTCTGATCCCATGAATGTCAGCACTTGCCCTCCAGGTTTCCTCAGCTTTCAGCACAGATACCTTTCTTGTCCAGCTCTTCAAAGCAAAGAAAAGAAGAAAGGAAAAGGAAAAAAGCATCCAGTGGGAGATCACAACATCCTCCACAGGGAATCCCTCCTGCGATCTGCTGACTGTAAGAACATGTTGAGACGGTGCTCAGTATGCCATAATCCATTCTGAATGTGACTGGAACCTTCTGTGCAAAGTAAGCCAAAGTTCAGTCTGATGTCAACACAGAAGGGAAACAGAATCCATATTTTGCATCTCTGTCAAACAATTAGTTGTCACCTATAATTTCTTATTGTCAAAGGGCGAATTCATTCTTTCTTAAGAATTTTCTTGTTTTGTCAGCTGAGTAACAGCAAGGCAAAATATTCACCTAAAGGCACTTCAGCAATTTTAATTTGTTATTTCAGTCCTTGTAAAATAACAAGTTTCAGCCTCAAGAACCTGAGACTGTTTTTGGAGTAGTGTTCCAGATGATCTTATCTCTAGAGAAATCTCAAGGAAACTTAAGCAGTTTCATAGTCACCTTAAGGCATAATCAAATGGAACTATATTCTTATGCCATTCATGGTTTTTCTAGGTCCGCTTCATCTAAGCCCATTTACAGAGGGTCTGTTTTATTACCAAAGCTTAGTGAGTCTATTAAGAGAACCAATTAATTTTTAGATAAATGTGTATGTATGAGACAAATGTAAATGACTGATACATTGATCACAAGATGTTTATCCAACAGATTGAAACATTACTTTTTCTATGTTTCATATCACCTCCATGTGTTAATTTCCCTTGTAGTCCATGTAGAATTCCTTAACCCAAACTACATAATTTCTCACATTAAGTATTTCAATAGCCTGCCATTGAGTCTGCCTTCTTCATCTCCTCTCTTGTATTAATGTCCCACACCTTCATTCTGATGCTACCTTTCGCTTTCTAAAATAAAGTGGTGATCATGTCACTTTCCTGCTGAACTTTCTCTGGATTTTCGTTTCATACAAAACGAAGTTCAAACAACTCACCATTCAAATATATTTGGAGACTCTTTCAACTACATTTTCAGGTTCATCTACTCCTTCAGTGTCATGCCCACTTACAAACTCTACTCCTTATAATGTAAAATACACTCTAGCTGCTGCCAGTTACCCAACACAATCCAGTAAAAGAAGATAATTTCTACCTCTGTGTTGCTGCACATATTCTACATACCTAAAATATCAACTACAATCTCACACTGAAAGTTGCTTCCCTTACAAATATTATCACATCCCTCCCTGATGACTCCAAGTGGAATTTATTTCTCCCACTACTATGCCTACTTACAAGACAATTCTTTATTTAGAGACACTTAATTCCCATAGACTCTGATCTCCTCAATCAAGGGTTTCATTTTATTCAAGCTTTTTAAAATAGGAATTATATAAATTTTTGAACTATCCATTAAATAAAATCATAAAATAATCTAGTAAAATAATATCTGATATTCTTCCCTATGGATTTATCCATCCCAAAGTAGCAATACTATTGGCTCCTTCATTGTAAGGCGATGTCATTTTCCATTAACACTTTAAACATAATTGCTGAATATATTGCTATAATTCCATTGATATAAGTAAATTACAATCATACCAGCTGTGGTAAACAGACACAGGAGCTTTGCTAAAATCTTATTATTTGATTGTAAATGAATTACGTTGAAATGAAACAGTATAGTAGTTCAGGTTAACTGCATTTTGGACTTATTTGTGACAGCATCACATGGTTTTACCTGAATAACACAGTTTTCACCTATCACAGGGCACTATTAAGAACATCTACATGAAACAGTGAGCATATGTATTATGGTTTCGTATCCAATTTTTTACGTATGTAAACCTGATCCCCTTGAAAAGGAGCTTTCATAATAACTAGTACATTAAAGAAAAAGTTTCTTTATTCTTAGAATTGTACATTTATATTGTTTACTTTTATTTAAAAACAAGGAATTCATTCTATTAATATACAACAAAAGCATGCCAGATAGCAGTAATTGTTTCACCAAATAATGGTATGCTTTTTAAAAAATAATTAATTTCCTGAATTCTAAATTATTTATATTATTTCAGTTATAACTAAGGATGAGGTATACAATACAATCTTTCTCTGCCACTTTAACTACCAAATGGATATCATTTGTTATAAGTTTAAGGATACTTGAACAGCTGAAAACTGTTGCAAAGGCTTTTATGAAGGTGCTTTAGAAAGCAAAGTCGTTGACACAAAAAAAAGGCAAATCTTTGAAATGCTTACATAATGAAAAAGAATTTAAATTATAGGAAAGACAATCAATATTAAAACAATTAAACATGGATTTTTTAAAGGCATTATACAATCTCCCTGTTTCAACCAACAACTAAAATCAGTGACAGTGAAAAGTAGCAAACAAAATTACGGTTCTATTTGCTATTTGATTTCATTAACATATCTCAATCGATTTTGCAAATCAAACTTCCTCATGTCATCTCTTAAGTGGAACATATTTTAGTGATTATTCGTTTCTAACCAGCCCATAGATTCTTGTAGGCTCAAAATCTTTTAGTTTCATTCACCTTTGAATGCATTTCAGTTGCATAAGTTTAGGAAAAATATTTAAAGGTAAGACTTAAAAATAAATGTGTATATTACTTAGTTATTTAAGTGAAAGAACTCTAAAATCAGTATAAAGAATTGAAGGAATTTATTATTTTATCATTATAAGTTATCTTCAAGAACTGTACAAGCAAGAGAGTTTGAGATGAAAATCAAGATTCTCTTTCAAATTAATTCTGTTTCAAATGAATTAATGCTGCAAGTTGGATTTAAAGTACAAAAAGGTTATCATCACCATCAAGTAACATTTAATAAGCATTTAAGAGAACATGAAGCTTCTCTTTTGATTATATTGAAATTCTTCATAAAAAGCAATCTACTTTCAGGATCCAGTACTAAAAGAGCCTATTATTATAGCAAATGTGAGTAAATTGAATAACAATCAATAAGCAAATAAACAAAAAGTAAGGAAGATATAGCTGCATTAGGTTAAAGCAAGAAATACCGTAGAACAATTATCAGTAATAAATAAGAGTTTCAAGCTTGAACAAAATAAGTATTTAACATTTCAAAATGTAATTAGGCATTATCTGTGCATTTGAGACCCTGGATATGAGGTCCACATGTGTTTAAGCAGGAAATAGACCTTTCATTCATTCAAAAGACAGACAAAATCAAATTACATTATAATTTGCACAAACCAGGACATTTCTCACTCCTAATAATTTTAATAGTTCCAGCAGGTCAACAAGAACTTTTGCAAAGTTGGTCAGGTTATCAGAGTTGAACACTTCTGAAAGTACAATTTGTCTTTTTACCAGTTTCATGTATTATCTATTTCTGCATTGTAAACTGGAAATATTCTGATTGCCTTCTGGTACACTAATATTTCTTCATCATTTCCCTTACACTTGATTAAATGGCATGTTCATCAACATTTTTTAAAGCTTATTTGTTATTACAGTTCAGTTAACAACCCATTTTAGGGATGGATAAAATGAGGAATAAGAATGCGGAGTCAATCAGATAAATTCAGTCAACTTGTTCAAAACTTGGAATCAGAACTTAAGTTTAAAAAACGGAAGAAAAGTATTAGGCCCAAGATCAGCCCAGCTTAGCAAATAGAAAGAGTAGTCAGCCATGAACACAATATGATATATTAATCATTTATACTTTTGAGAATAATTAAATCCAATTAATGGCTAAGAAATACTTTTTTTATGACAGAGTGAAGCTGGGAGGGGAGGTTTGGAGAGAAATGAGATATTGAGCTCCTTCACTCTTCTACTCATAAATAAAGGTAGAAGAGTCAGTTGAGGCTTCTTCACAATTGTCTCAAGTTTTGTGTTTCAGAGCCATAGTATAATTGGTTCTCAAATACTTTCTAATTCCTTTTCTGTATACTCATCTGTACAGATCATTTTTTAATGTGAACCTTTCCAATGTCTTTCTACTTCACACCTGCATCCATCACTGGCAACATATATCTGATTTTCTTTCTGGATTACTTTACTAAAGTGTTAACTATTTGTTTTATTGCATATGTTTCGGGGTGACCTTCTTTTACACTCCTTCTTTTGTTTTTTTTTCCTGCAGCTGAGACTATTTTTAAATCAACAATAAGCCAGGCTGGGATCATCCTCACCTTCACTTTCATAGGATTTAAGTGTCTCTCGTTGTACAATCATAGGATTCAGCCACCCTTGCTTTTAAACAAGTTCTTAAGCTCTAGTTCTGACTTATTTGTGAAATCATCTTTTAAAATACCAACAAGAGGCTATTTATATAGACACTATGTCTAAATTTTTCGTATAATTATGTTTAGGTCTTATATTTTAAAATTATATAATAACTTATGTGTTGTTTTCACATAATAAAATATATATTTTTAATTTATATTATCAATTTTAAAGACAGATATTATATTTCCTCATAATAATATACAAACATTACCCTAAGTCAAATAATTTAAACAATATTGCCGTAAATGCTTAGAGGGATGCTGTAAAATTTATCCAACTTCTATTTGAACACATTCATTATTCCCTTCCCATCACATATGCTCATAATTTTTTGAATAACTATGGAGTCTAGCTTTGTGTCTAAAGTTTTTAATTTCAAATTCTCAAATTCTTTTCAACGAAAAAATGATAATAATGACAACAGTGTCAGACACAATAGTAAATCTTCAATATCAAATTCTCCATAACTGAAAAAAGGGATTATATCTACTTTGTTACCCAAGTTTTCCTCTATTTTGTTGATATCCTAATGTAAAGGATGTTATAACATTAATCTCAAATTGTAAAAGTGGAGAATAATGAAAAATAGTGTTATATCTCATCCTATGAAGTTCTTATAAATGTTTAGTAAAACAGCAAAACGAAATTCAGCTTTAAATGTAACTATAATCAAAAGTTACACATTTCAACTAGATTCTCACAAGTCTAATAAGAGCAAACTTCTGCATTTGAAACAATATGAAATAGAGATTAATGTTGCCAAGATGTTGTTAATAAATTTGTAGATTCCAATTTAATAAAAAAAATTTAAAACGGAGAGGTAGGGAATTATATTCAAGCATTTTCAACATTTAATATCCAATGTAGTTGAAAGCGCCTGGAGCAAATGTGAGTATATAAACATACTGATAGTATTTCTAACTTAGCCTGTCCCTGGAGACTTCGATAAAAGTCAGACAACATACTTTAGGACAAATACGCTAAAGAATGGGAAATTAACTTCTTATGATTCTCATTTTTAAAAATCCTTTTGCTTGAAGTATACCTTTCAAAAACCAAAAGCATTATGTCACATAGAGTATGTACTTTACTCACAGGATATCTTCATCCATAATTTTTGATGAAATCCACCTAAGTTCTGTCTTATTTTACGGAAAAGACTTTTGATCATTGCCTACTGTCAGGTTCTTAGATGGGAATATCTCAAAGTTTTAGAAATAAAAGTGAGTCTGAAATGGAAGTTATTCTTAATCCGACTGAAGAAAAATTATAGTAATATTATTAAGAAATTGAGCTTTCATGTACGTACCACTTTCTATAAGGCAGTCATTGTTCTGAGTGCATTACAAATACAATCAATTTAATTTTATCATAACTATGTGAGGCAAACTATTATTATTCACAATTTACAGATGAAGAAATTCACAGACAGCATAGAACTAGTAAGTGATTACAGATCTGACCTAGGGAGTTTGGCTCTAGAGGCCATGAGCCTGCTCACTACACAGCTCAGTTTCTCATTATGAAAAACTACAGATAGCTAGGAAAAATAAAAATCGCTGCCTGCATGTGAGTAAAACACCAAGCCACATACCTTTTATTACATATCATAAACTCCACAAAGCACTTTATCTCTTTCTCTCTTAAGACACTTATTTCACTCTACCTAGTATTATAAATATTTTTTACATAAATTCTCTCACATAAGTTTATATCAAGACTCTATATTCCCTGACATAAAAACTGTGCCTGGTTTTTTTAATCTTTCAAAATCCTAGTACAGTCTTCCATATTCTTTAAACATTCATTAAGCATATTTGCATAATAGAACAAAAATGTCTCCTGCATCAGGAAATTGGGTAAAACAAAAATTTACTTAACAAAATGAACTACTGATCTGGATTAAATTTTGACTCTCCATATAACAAATGATTCTTCATATAACTCCCTCCTCTTGCCAAAAATAAAAATAAAAATAGATATCAGTCCTTTGAAATATCAACCCCCACTGAGAGAATTCAACCCATGAGAACTGAGAAAAATTAAATATAAAATTTTAGCCTGTGGTATTGTTTTCAATTCTTTCAAATTTTAATAACTTACAACCTATTTTATTTAAAATTCAGCATGCTTTCACTTAGCCACTGATTTCTAGTCTTTCTAATTTAACTGGTTTAAAAATTTTTAGCAGCCATGGAATTTATGCAACAATTGTAGTTTTAGCATTTTGTAATGAAAAGAAAGGAAAATGGCTGAAACCAAAATCAGAGAATGACCCAGATCATAAAGGTGAGAAGCATCAGACATGTTCATGTTACATTTGCCCTATCTAAGGGAGTAATAGGAAATAATAATGGAGAAATGGTAGAAATCAGGGATAGATATAGATTTGTAATTTACCCTCATTTGAATGATTGTTGAAGCCATAGAAAAGAATTTAATGAAAAGAAGAATGGAAAATAAAGAAAAGTGAAAAAAGATGAGGACAGAATATTGAGTAGTGACTATGCATCCTGGCTTAGGATAGGGGTGTGAAATGCAAAGGAAAGGGAGAAATAGGAAAAGAACTCGTTGACATAACTAGCACAGATAATTTTAAAGAAAGCAAAAGAACAAGAATTTCAGGAAATAGGGAATAATCAAACTTCAAGTACTGTGGATGGTTCAATAAGAATTAAAAAATGAAAGAAGTCTTCAATTTTGGTGACGAAAACAGTTCTTAGTGACAACAGAACTTTTTTTTTTTTAATTATACTTTAAGTTCTAGGGTACAAGTGCACAACGTGCAGGTTTGTTGCATATGTATACATGTGCCATGTTGGTGTGCTGCACCCATTGACTCATCATTTACATTAGGTATATTTCCTAATGTTATCCTTCCCCCCTCCCCCAACCCCACGACAGGCCCTGGTGTGTGATGTTCCCCTTCCTGTGTCCAAGTGTTCTCATTGTTCAATTCCCACCTATGAGTGAGAACTTGCGATGTTTGGTTTTTTGTCCTTGCGATAGTTTGCTCAGAATGATGGTTTCCAGCTTCATCCGTGTCCCTACAAAGGACATGAACTCATCAGCTTTTATGGCTGCATAATATTCCATGGTGTATGTGTGCCACATTTTCTTAATCCAGTCTATCATTGATGGACATTTGGGTTGGTTCCAAGTCTTTGCTATTGTGAATAGTGCCGCAATAAACATATGTGTGCATGTGTCTTTATAGCAGCATGAGTTATAATCCTTTGGGTATATACCCAGTAATGGGATGGCTGGGTCAAATGGTATTTCTAGTTCGAGATCCTTGAGGAATCACCACACTGTCTTCCACAATGGTTGAACTAGTTTACCGTCCCACGAACAGTGTAAACGTGTTCCTATTTCTCCACATCCTCTTCAGCACCTGTTGTTTCCTGACTTTCTAATGATCGCCATCCTAACTGGTGTGAGATGTTATCTAATTGTGGTTTTGATTTGCATTTCTCTGATGGCCAGTGATGATGAGCATTTTTTCATCTGTCTGTTGGCTACATAAATGTCTTCTTTTGAGAAGTGTCTGTTCATATACCTCGCCCACTTTTTGATGGTTTTTTTTTTCTTGTAAATTTGTTTGAGTTCTTTGTAGATTCTGGATATTAGCCCTTTGTCAGATGAGTAGATTGCAAAAAATTTCTCCCATTCTGGAGGTTGCCTGTTCACTCTGATGGTAGTTTCTTTTGCTGGGCAGAAGCTCTTTAGTTTAATTAGATCCCATTTGTCAAGTTTTGCTTTTGTTGCCATTGCTTTTGGTGTTTTAGACATGAAGTCCTTGCCAATACCTATGTCCTGAATGGTATGGCCTAGGTTTTCCTCTAGGGTTTTTATGGTTTCAGGTCTAACATTTAAGTCTTTAATCCATCTTGAATTAATTTTTGTATAAGGTGTAAGGAAGGGATCCAGTTTCAGCTTTCTACCTATGGCTAGCCAGTTTTCCCAGCACCATTTATTAAATAGGGAATCCTTTCCCCATTTCTTGTTTTTGTCAGGCTTGTCAAAGATCAGATAGTTGTAGATGTGTGGTATTATTTCTGAGGGCTCTGTTCTGTTCCATTGGTCTATATTTCTGTTTTGGTACCAATACCATGCTATTTTGGTTACCGTAGCCTTGTAGTATAGTTTGAAGTCAGGTAGCATGATGCCTTCAGTTTTGTTCTTTTGGCTTAGGATTGTCTTGGCAATGGGGGCTCTTATTTGGTTCCATATGAACTTTAAAATCGTTTTTTCCAATTCTGTGAAGAAAGTCATTGGTAGCTTGATAGGGATGGCACTGAATATGTAAATTACCTTGGGCAGTTTGGCCATTTTCATGATATTGATTCTTCCTATCCAGGAGCATGGAAAGTTCTTCCATTTGTTTGTGTCCTCTTTTATTTTATTGAGCAGTGGTTTGCAGTTCTCCTTGAAGAGGTCCTTCACATCCCTTGTAAGTTGGATTCCTAGGTATTTTATATTCTTTGAACCAATTGTGAATGGGAGTTCACTCATGATTTTGCTCTCTGTTTGTCTGTTATTGGTATATAAGAATGCTTGTGATTTTTGCACATTGATTTTGTATCCTGAGACTTTGCTGAAATTGCTTATCAGCTTAAGGAGATTTTGGGCTGACACGATGGGGTTTTCTAAATATATAATCATGTCATCTGCAAACAGGGACAATTTGACCTCCTCTTTTCCTAATTGAATACCGTTTATTTCTTTGTCCTGCCTGATTGCCCTGGCCAGAACTTCCAACGCTATTTTGAAAAGCAGTGGGGAGAGAGGGCATCCCTGTCTTGTGCCAGTTTTCAATGGGAATGCTTCCAGTTTTTGCCCTTTCAGTATGATATTGGCTGTGGGCTTGTCGTAAATAGTTCTTATTATTTTGAGATATATCCTATCAATAACGAATTTATTGAGAGTTTTTAGCATGAAGGGCTGTTGAATTTTGTCAAAGGCCTTTTCTGCATCTATTGAGATGATCATGTGGTTTTTGTCTTTGGTTCTGTTTATATGCTGGATTATGTTTATTGATTTGCATACATTGAACTAGCCTTGCATCCCAGGGTTGAAGCCCACTTGATCATGGTGGATAAGCTCTTTGATGTGCTGCTGGCTTTAGTTTGCCAATATTTTATTGAGGATTTTGCATCGATGTTCATCAGGGATATTGGTCTAAAATTCTCTTTTTTTTGTTGTGTCTCTGCCAGGTTTCGGTATCAGGATGATGCTGGCCTCATAAAATGAGTTAGGGAGGATTCCCTCTTTTTCTATTGATAGGAACAGTTTCAGAAGGAATGGTACCAGCTCCTCCTTGTACCTCTGGTAGAATTCGGCTGTGAATCCGTCTGGTCCTGGACTTTTTTTGGTTGGTAAGCTATTAATTATTGCCTCCATTTCAGAGTCTGTTATTGGTCTATTCAGAGATTCAACTTCTTCCTGGTTTAGTCTTGGGAAGTTATATGTGTCCAGGAATTTATCCATTTCTTCTAGATTTTCCAGTTTATTTGTGTAGAGGTGTTTATAGTATTTTCTGATTGTAGTTTGTATTTCTGTGGGATCGGTGGTGATATCTCCTTTATCATTTTTTATTGTGTCTATTTGACTCTTCTCTCTTTTCTTCTTTATTAGTCTTTCTAGTGGTCTATCAATTTTGTTGATCTTTTCAAAAAACCAGCTCCTGGATTCATTGATTTTTTGAAGAGTTTTTTGTGTCTCTATCTCCTTCAGTTCTGCTCTGATCTTAGTTATTTCTTGCTGCTAGCTTTTGAATATGTTTGCTCTTGCTTCTCTAGTTCTTTTAATTGTGATATTAGGGTGTCAACTTTAGATCTTTCCTGCTTTCTCTTGTGGGCATTTAGTGCTATAAGTTTCCCTCTACACACTGCTTTAAATGTGTCCCAGAGATTCTGGTATGTTGTGTCTTTGTTCTCATTGGTTTCAAAGAACATCTTTATTTCTGCCTTCATTTTTCTATGTACCCAGTAGTCATTCAGGAGCAGGTTGTTCAGTTTCCATGTAATTGAGTGGTTTTGAGTGAGTTTCTTCATCCTGAGTTCTAGTTTGATTGCACTGTGGTCTGAGAGAAAGTTTGTTATAATTTCTGTTCTTTTACATTTGTGAGGTGTGCTTTACTTCCAACTATGTGGTCAATTTTGGAATAAGTGCAGTGTGGTGCTGAGAAGAATGTATATTCTGTTGATTTGGGGTGGAGAGTTCTGTAGACGTCTATTAGGTCCACTTGGTGCAGAGCTGAGTTCAATTCCTGGATATCCTTGTTAACTTTCTGTCTCATTGATCTGTCTAATGTTGACAGTGGGGTGTTAAAGTCTCCCATTATTATTGTGTGGGAGTCTAAGTCTCTTTGTAGGTCACTAAGGACTTGCTTTATGAATCTGGGTGCTCCTGTATTGGGTGCATATATATTTAGGATAGTTAGCTCTTCTTGTTGAATTGATCGCTTTACCATTATGTAATGGCCTTCTTTGTCTCTTTTGATCTTTGTTGGTTTAAAGTCTGTTTTATCCAAGACTAGGATTGCAACCCCTGCCTTCTTGTTTTCCATTTGCTTGGTAGATCTTCCTCCATCCCTTTATTTTGAGCCTATGTGTGTCTCTGCACGTGAGATGGGTCTCCTGAATACAGCACACTGATGGGTCTTGACCCTTTATCCAATTTGCCAGTCTGTGTCTTTTAATTGGAGCATTTAGCCCATTTACATTAATGACATCCACACCAAAACCCCATCTGTATGTCACCATCATCAAAGACCAAAGGTAGATAAAACCACAAAGATGGGGAAAAAACGGACCAGAAAAGCTGAAAATTCTAAAAATCAGAGTGCCTCTCCCTCTCCAAGGGAACGCAGCTCCTCATCAGCAACGGAAGAAAGCTGGACGGAGAATGACTTTGATGACTTGTGAGAAGAAGGCTTCAGATGATCAAACTTCTCTGAGCTAAAGGAGGAAGTTGGAACCCATTGCAAAGAAGCTAAAAACCTTGAAAAAAGATTAGACAAATGGCTAACTAGAATAACCAGTGTAGAGAAGTCCTTAAATGACCTGATGGAGCTGAAATGGCATGAGAACTACATGACAAATGCAGAAACTTCAGTAGCCGATTTGATCAACTGGAAGAAAGGGTATCAGTGATAGAAGATCAAATGAATGAAATGAAGTGAGAAGTTTAGAGAAAAAAAAGAGTAAAAAGAAATGAACAAAGCCTCCAAGAAATATGGGACTATGTGAAAAGACCAAATCTACGTCTGATTGGTGTACCTGAAAGTGATGGGGAGAATGGAACCAAGTTGGAAAACACTCTGCAGGATATTACCCAGGAGAACTTCCCCAACCTAGCAAGGCAGGCCAACATTCAAATTCAAGAAATACAGAGAATGCCACAAAGATACTCCTCGAGAAGAGCAACTCCAAAACAAATAAGTGTCAGATTCACCAAAGTTGAAATGAAGGAAAAAATGTTAAGGGCAGCCAGAGAGAAAGGTCGGGTTACCCACAAAGGGAAGCCCATCAGACTAATAGCGGATCTCTCCACAGAAACTCTACAAGCCAGAAGAGAGTGGGGTCCAATATTCAACATTCTTAAAGAAAAGAATTTTCAACCCAGAATGTCATACCCAGACAAACTAAGCTTCATAAGTGAAGGAGAAATAAAATCCTTTACAGACAAGCAAATGCTGAATAAGACGGTTTTATTTGAATTGAGGAAGCTAAACTATGGCCGGTAAGGAAGAAAAATTGTATAAATACAAGAAAGCAAAATCATATGGCCATATTTTTAAAGAAATTTGGAAATAAAAGAAAAGATAGTGGCTGAGTGGTTCATTAACTTAGAAGTTTGCAAGATCATGGTCTGATCATTGATAACTATTGTTAAAACTTTTAGCAGAAGGAAAGTTATTTCAACTCAAAAAATTAAAGCTATGAACACTTAAGTTTAAAGTCATCACAGTTTTCTAAATATCCCCAATAATTTACCTGTTGTACATTTTGATTCTGAAATACTTACAGAAATATTTTACATTTATATTACACTTTGAATTTTACAGCAACTTTCCTGGTTTCAAAGCACTGTGATGCTTACAATAATCATATGAGTAAAAACGATGTGTAACCTTTTGTTTCCAAGTGGGGAAATATGTTTTCTGAGAAACCACTTGACTTTGCAGAATGAGAGGCATTGTTCAGGACAAACTCAGTACTAATCCTAGCACTAATTATCTCTCCACTACAACCAGTAGGTTCCCAAGCAGTTGCCTTCAAAATTTATGACCAAGTAGTGACTTTGAAGATCCTAATAACCTAGGTATGTTTAAATGTACAAAGGTAGGTGTCCCATCACTACAGTTCCTGACGCAATAAACAATTTCAATAGCAATCATTGGTCACTAGTTTCACACCCCTTTTCATTCACTATTCTTTCTCATAAAACCATTACTTGAGTCGATATGGCAGTCTCTATTTTAGAACAGAAAGAAATAAACTGAGCCACTTGTGTTAAGTTCACAAAATAGGTCAGTGACAGAGCTGGCACTAAAATTTAAAAATACCAAATCTTTATCCAGCTGCTTTAACTGAGTAACTCTATTTTTATAAAACTCATTCTACTTATTATAACAGGTTTATGGTGCTACAGACCTTATATAAGTACATATTCCACATGTATATGCATACACACTTATAAAATATTTGATTTTATATACTTGAATTATGAAATATTATATTTTCAGTCAACTTGTAGGATAGAAAATTTCCTTTTCCTCAACTTGTAGTATAGAAAATTCCCTTTTACTTCCTATCTACAAAAAAAAAAAAAAAAACAAGAACTGAAAAAGTTTCTCCTCATTTTTTTTTAATTAAAAAAATACACCCTGTTCCAGACATGCCTTTGGTGTCCATGGAGCTATGCAAGCTCTTAGGTAATATATCGCAAAGTAAGAGGAGAAGTTTATAAATGTGATAGATCTAAGGAAATTATAAATGTGATAGATCTAAGGAAATAAAAGATAATTATAGCTTAGATATCAAGCATCATTTCAGAATATAAACAATGTGAGTTCAGGTTGTCTGGCTTCTTATCACTACCTAAGGGGAAAGTAATGACCCCTGTAAACATCTAGTACCCATGAAACTGTAACAAAATGTTGTTTAGAGATGTCTACTGATTGTGAAATTAACTTCATGGAAAATAACTTAATGTATATCGCACCAAAGACAGAGGAAGCATAAAATATATAATATTGCAGTTACAGGCTACATAAAATCTTATTGGCTCAGTGATAAATACTTGCACTCCAGCGATTTTACTGTTTTACTGACTACCTTCTTTGGGAATGTTTACAAAATACATGGACAACTTATTAATCATTTTAAAATACAGTAATTTTAAATCTAGTAGCATGAAATTGTGTGCAAAGCAGTCACTCTGAAAAGTTTTTAATTAATGGGATAATTTTCCAGTCAAAAACTATCTTGCCTAAATAAAGTTCCCTGTATACAGAGAAAATATTTACAAGGCACATGAAGACTAGAAGGCTCTTGTCCAGAAATTAATGTTATACAATAAAAAGTGATTTTGCTTGTGATGCTAATCACATTTTAAAATACATTGGTGTTTATATTAAATATTGAATAGCAAGCTTTTATTATTTATGACAGATATCTGCATTTACTTCTTCTGGTTCCTGAATTTTTAAATATTTTTTGTGATTTTTAGTTCTTATTTCTGCCAATCAGATTCTACCGTGGTGTTACTGGTTCACAAGGATGTCAATGAGCTATTTAGTTTTCCATTTAATACTCATGTGATTAATTTGGGATGATGAGGATGTGCTTATTTCATAAATGAATTATTCATGCCAAAGACAGTATTACCCATGAATATAAGCAAGTAATATTAAGCAAGGAAGGGTTATGACCATAAAGCCATCATACTTAAAATCTAAAGACAGAAAAGAGGAAGAAGTAAATTTCAAAAAATGCAATTAGTTGAACAATGAAAATATATAGATTTACATATATATAATTTCCCCTCAAGTAGTATCATATGTATGCATATATATGTATATGCATATACATATATATGCATACATATATACGCATACATGTATACATATACATATATGCATATACATGCACATGCATACATGTGTATATATGCATACATATACATGCATACATGTGTATATATGCATACATACATACATCTTGCCTATATATGTATACATATATATACATACGTAGATACATATACATATATAGATATACATATATGTATATACATATATACATATACATATATACATTTACATGTATACATATATACATATACATGTACATATATACATATACATATATACATAAACATATATACATATATACATACATAGGATATGTATGTGTATATACATATGATAGGATATGTGTGTGTGTGTATATATATATATGTAATTTCTCCTTAAGTATCATAAATAACTTGTGACACCTCACAAATGTCATTTCTCAAACTCCTAGGGCTCAATTGATCCTCCTGACTCAGCCTTCCAATACTGCTAGTATTAAAGGAATGATATAACTGTTGTGAAAACTCTTATTAAACAATAGATTTGTAGTTTAATACACTCTAATTAAACCACAAATCTCATTTTTTTTTTCTTTTTGAGACAGAGTCTCACTCTGTCTCCTAGGCTGGAATACAGTGGCACGATCTTGGCTCACTGAAAACTCTGCCACCTGGGTTCAAGCAATTCTTCTGCCTCAGCCTCCCAAGTAGCTGGGACTATAGGCACGCCACCATGCTTGGATAAATTTTGTATTTTTAGTAGAGACGGGGTTTCACTATGTTGGCCAAGCTGGTCTCAAACTCCTGACCTCAGGTGATCCTTCCATCTCAGCCTACCAAAGGGCTGAGGTTATGGGGTGAACCAACATGTGCAGCCCACAAATCTCATTTCTATGGATTTAAATACTTATTATACCACTGCGATTTTATGCTCCCTCTATTCACTATCACCTCATCCCACTCAATCTTCAAAACTGAATTCAGCCTTCTCATCTATATTTCAGATGTAATCAACTCCAAAATTGTGATTCGTGTTCTCTTCAAAGCAAATTCTTTCTGATTGGAAAGGTAGAACAATAGACACTTTGGACCATATTGTTTTTATTTCGAGCCTGGATGATGATGATGTTGATGAATACAGCCACAAAGAAGCAAGCCAAAAAAGCACTGTCTCTGTCTTTTCTCATTTATGAAATAGATATTATTATGTATGTTTCCCCATTGAGGAAACAATGCTTCAGAGAAAATATGTAACGTCATTATTATGCTGTCATCAGTGTGACATAGACTCAGTATTTGAACTAAGTCTCCTTAGCCCAAAGTTGTTTTATTTTTACCGTGTTGACTTATTTCTGAGGAATTACACATTAAGATCAAACATGCTGGATTGAATAAGTATATTTCTGTTTGCTGCCTCCAAAATCCCACGGAGATTATAGTAAAGGGAATATTATCAAAATCAGAAATTCAAGAAGATAGAGGAAAGGAAGAGACAATACATAACAGAAGCAAATGTATGGAAAATTAAGAGGAGATGTAGGGTAACTAATATGGCAGAAAGGAAAGTTCAAACTCCTGCTGGAATTCCCAGACTAGATTAAGGCCAAAGTGTGGGTCAGGGTTTAAGAAGTAGTTATGACTGAAAACTTGAAAAAGATTTAAAACTTACAAAATTCCCCATAAATTCCTTTCCCTAATTTTCCCATTTAGGCAATTACTCTATTTCAGCCTAGCAGAAGACCACAGTTTCAGGGGAAAAAATGAAGCTGAAAAAATGTAGTGTAGGGAGAATAAGCACAGTTTAGGGTAGAAGAGATGTGCTATCCTGAAAAGTAGACACGGAGAATTCACATCTGAATGTGAATTCCCTGGCCCACCTAAGCCCCTAAACTCTCAGAATGCTGTCTAGGAAGTTCACACCACATCAACACCACCAAAGCTATACCTACTCTGCCCCAGTCATGAAACTGGAGGATTCCTCTCTGGAATAACTGATCAGCCCAGAAAAAAAGCCCTGTAGAATTTTCAATTCAGTCCCTCAGGGAAACAGCAGTCTCTGCCCAATCATTCTGTGGCCTTTCGTATATTCATTGGCTTGTTTTATCTTTTTTTTCTAGTTTTATTGCAGTATAATTGGCAAATAAAAATTGAATATATTTAGGATGTACAAGGTGACCATTTGATACATGCAGATGTTGTGAAATGATTACCAGAATCGAGTTAACTTGGCAATAATAGTATAGCCACTTTAGCTTTCTTATCATTGCTGTTTGCATGGTCTATTTTTTCCATCCTTTCACTTTCACCCTCTTTGTTTTTGTTTTGTTTTGAGACAGAGTCTCACACTGTCACCCAGGCTGGAGTGCAGTGGCACCATCACAGCTCACTGAAGCCTTAACTTCCCAAGCTCAAGCAATCCTCCCACCTCACCCTCACGAGTAGCTGGACCACAGGTACATGCCTCTACGCCCAGTACTCTTTATTTTTTGTAGAGACGGGCTCTCACCATTTTCCCAGACTGGTCTTGACCTCCTGGGCTCAAGCAATCTGCCCACCTCAGCCTCCCAAAGTGCTTGGATTACAGGCATGAGCCACTGTACCGAAATGACTTTCAACCCACTTGTATCTTTGAATCTAGAGTGTGTATTACAAAGACACCATATAGTTAAATCCTGTTCTTTTTCTAAATTTAATCTAATAACACCTGACTTTTGATTTGATTTTTAATTCATTTATATTTAATGTTGTTATGACTATAGTCAGATATAAATGCCCTTTTACATTTGGTTTACTATAAGGATCATGCCATTTTTGCTCCACTTTTACTGTCTTTTTTTTTTAATCACATGGATACTTCCTAGTAACATTTTAATTCCTTTAATAATTGTCAAATATATTTTTAAATGTTCTTAATGATTATGCCAAGACTTAAAATATATACATCTTAATTTATCAAAGTCTACCACAAATTTTTATTATCTTGATTCCAGTGGAATATGAAAATTTTACACCTGTATAGCTACATTCCCCACGTTTTTGTGCTATTATATTTATACATATTATATTTATGTATGTTACAAACCTGAAAATACAATGGTATAAGTATTTTATTTTGGAATCTTATATCTTTTTTTTAAAGATGAAAGAAGACATAAGAACAAATGCATATTTACAGAGTTTGTTATATTAATCTTCCTATTTATAACAGCTGATTTAAATTTTTTTATTCCTGTGGATACTAGTTACCATATGGTGTCATATACTTATACCAATAACACTTTGCTCTCACCCACTCACTCTTTTTGTCAAATATTACATTTCTATGTGTTAAAAGCTCAACAATTTATATACATATTATTTTATCTAATTACTTTTAAATCAGTTTTTTAAAAAAGAATAAATATGCAGTTATAATGACTTGTATTGTTACCAATATAGTTGCTTTTACTGGCACCCTTTTGCTTGTGTGTTGATTCAAATTACTGTCTGGTGTAACTTGCTTGCAGCCTGGAGAACATTCTTTACTTTTTAATAATTTTCTAAAGCGGAACTCCTACAAACAAATTTTGTGTTTTTGCCTATCTGGGAAATTCTTTCAATCATGTGTCATTTAAAAAATGGGATACAGTCTGAGAAATGTGTACTTAGGGAATTTCATTGTTGTAGGAACAAATTTCATTGTTGTGGGAATCTATACCTAGTCTAATGGTATAGCCTTTTGCTCCTAACCTGTACAGCATGTTACAGTACTAAATACTGTAAACAATTGTAATACAATGGTAAGTATTTATGTATCCAACTGTATCTAAATATAGAAAAGATATAGTAAAAATATAGTAATACATTTTTCATGAGACCACCTTAAGATGTGGTCCATCATTGACTGAAAATTCATTATGTGGCACTTGACTGTATTTTACCTTCATTTTAAAAAGATATTTTTGCTGGATATAAGATTGTTGGTTGAAAGCTTCATTGTAGTTTGTTTTGTTTTACATTTTCAGTGCTTTGAATGTATTGTCTCACTGCTTTCTGGCCTTCATAGTTTCAAAAGAGAAGTTAGTTGTTAATTTTATTGGGATTCCATTCATTGTAATGCCTCATCTTATTCTTATGGCTTTCAAATTTTGGCTTTTAATATTTTGACTATGATGTGTCTGGGTGTGATTATCTTTGTATTTATTCTACTAGGAGTTAATTGGTCTTCTTGGATGTGTAGATTATTGTTTTTCATCAAGTTTGGGAAATGTAAGGTAATATAGTCTTAGGGGTACTATTTTTAAAAGATGGTAAAGAAAGACCAATCTTTGGCTGTGAAATTTGGCCACAGGCATGAATTACGTGCTCATGTACTTAAATAGCTCATGTACTCAGAGCTTTCAATCTGCTCTGTGGTGTTTCTCCCTTAAATAGCAGAAGGTGTAGCATGATCACCAGATGTATTAGTGTTCTACTGTTGTGTAAGAAATTATCATATTATAAACTTAGAAGCTTAAAATGATATCCATTTATTGGCAGTTGATCCATGTTTCATTTTCCGGCCTACAGAACTATGAGCTAATAAATGTGTCTTAAAGACTAAAATCAAAATGCCAGTCAAGCTGTATGATTGGAGCCTGATTAGAGAATAATCTGTTTGTGAGATCATTCAGGTAGTTGGTCACAATCAATCTCTTACAATATGGTTTTAGAACTGAGGTTCAAGTTTTCCTGCTGATTTTTTGGTTGGAGGAACTCTCAGCTATTTGAGACTAACCTCAGATCCTGGCCACAGACCAGTTTGCTTCTTCAGGACCAACAGAAGTATCCCTCTCTAGTCTGCCAAGATGGAGCACCGTACAATGTAATTTAATTAACATAGCCAATCAAGGGAAAAACGACCCCATCATATTCATACACAAGGAGAGAGGTTTATATAAGGCAGGTATACCAGAGGCAGGAATCTTAATTCTTCATGAACCACTGGATATTTCTACATATTTGAAAAATCCTTTGCTAATAAATTCATAGAAAATGAATAAGAAAGGAAAAGGAATCAGAGGAAATAGTGGTACAACATGAAGCAAACAAAAGTAGGTGGGAATTGAACAATGAGATCACATGGACACAGGAAGGGGAATATCACACTCTGGGGACTGTGGTGGGGTGGGGGGAGGGGGGAGGGATAGCATTGGGAGATATACCTAATGCTAGATGACCAGTTAGTGGGTGCAGCGCACCAGCATGGCACATGTATACATATGTAACTAACCTGCACTATGTGCACATGTACCCTAAAACTTAAAGTATAATAAAAAAATAAAAAAAAAAGATTTTTTTAAAAAAACCTATAATTAATATCTCCAGAAGGATAAGAAAATACCTTTTTTTCAAGAAACAAGAACAGGAAAGAATAAATAACATAATCAGAAGAGGATAAAGAGATATTTGAAACTAAAACTATGATATTGAATATTAAAATCAATATCATATTTTGAAGGTAAAGAAAATATTCCAAAAAGCATGACAAATAAAAAATAGATATTAAATGAGAAAAAAACATAAGACAATTAGAGTCACAATACAGTAACTCTAATATCTAAATGTTACCATTTCTAGGAAGAAAAAAATTAGAAAAGTAATTTAGGTAGGAAATAATACAAGAACATTTTCCTGAATGAATAAAAATATTTCCAGATTAAAAAGACCTATCCAAACCCTTGTAAAACAAGTGAAAATACATTTACAACAAATCATATAATTATGTAAATTCTGGTAATACAGAGAAAATCCTAAAAGTTTTCAGTAATAAAAGTAAAAAAAAAATCACAGGAAATATCTGGTATCAGAATGGCATAGAACATCTCAACCGCAGCACTAGAGATAGAGGAAAATGGATTAGTATCTCCAAAATTATTGAAATGGGAGAGTTCCCTGAACCCCACCCCTCACCCCTCCCTCAGGGTGTGTGACAAGGGTGTGGCTTATCTTTTCTGCCACAGTGTGCTCAAACCCCTTACAGGAGGGGACACACGCAAATGGGCAGGTGCAGGAGCTGTGGTGAGCTCTTTTGGGCTCTGGCCACAAGGTAGCATCTAGGGTGGATGCCTGCAACTCCTGAAGCCCCAGTGGGAGTGTTACAGTGCTCTTTTACCTCTGCCATCTGCAGATGGCTTAAGCGTTAACCAGCTCAGTGTCCTCTTGGTACCCAGGTCCTTGTCTGACATTCAGGAAGAATCAGGTCCCATGGAGAAATTGAAGGATAGTAAATATGTGGGATTTTATTGCTGGATGGAGGTAGCTCTCAGAGGAATGGATGGGGAGCTAGAAAGGGGATGGAGTGGGAGATGATCTTCCACTGGAGTTCAGCTGTCCCACAGCTGATCTTCTCTCTGATCACCCCCAGCCGAACTCCTCTGAATGTTCAAATGCTCCTTCTCTTCTCTCCTTCTCTGTCATGCTGCTCTTCTTTTCCTCTGCTCCTCCACTCATCTGCTTGTGGAGCCTGGGATTTGGGGTTAATATGGGTATAGGATCGGGGGGCGGGGTGGGCCAAAAGGCAACATTTGGACATGAAAACAGAAATGCCTGTTCCCATTTAGGGCGGTGGGTTTCCAGGCTTGAGGGTGGGGCATTTGCTGGGGAACTGCCCTCTTCTACCCAGTATCTCCTTTCCTCCTGTCCATATCATTATGAGGAAAGAATATTTGCAGTATAAACTCTTATATCCATCCCAAATATCAATCAGTGAAAGAATAGAATAAAAACATTTAAACATGCAATATCTAAAAAAAGTATAACTCTCATGCCACGTTTCTTAAGAATCTACCAAGCATGTGCTCCATTGAAATGTGGGAGTAAACCAAGAAAGAGGAGAAAATGATATTTTGAAACTAAGAGATTCAACACTACAGAAGAGAAAGGAAATATCCACAATTAAGGCAAAGGGAGATCTCAAAACAATATCTATTCCAGCATTGAGAGCAATCTGTAATTTATAGGTAAAAACCTCCAGGAAAGATGACTTCAAGAATAAAAGTTATTCTTGAATAACTTGAAGAATAAAAGTTATCCACATTTATTCTAATGTGGATAAATGCATTGATAGGAGCATTACAGATTTGCCATAAATTTTGGAATGTATTAATGACAGATACATAGATGACTTTGTATTGCCCCTCTGAAAAGACAATAAATAAATACCTACAATGGAAATGTAGAGAGTGGCCACAGGACACTTTATAAAAAGATAATATCATCATCATCATAATAATAGATAATAATCATAGTTAGCTATGTGGCCCAACTTCAACATTATTCACAGGGTCATAATTAAGTAAATATTGAATGTTAATTTAAACCAGAAGTGTGGATATATAAATAATGAGAAGTGGGAGATGAAATTATTTATGTTTGAGGAAGGATGGTGTAAGAGAACTATGTTGGAAGTCATAGGTAAAATTTAAATTAGAAAAATCGAAGCATATCACTAGGAGTGTATTATTTCAAAATATACAGTTTATCAGCAGAAGAACCAGGAAAAAAAAAAGAAATCGGTGTTTGCCACCATGGAATAGAACTAAGGGGAAGTCAGCATGTGTCCTTTGTTACTACAAACAAAATTAATCCATTCGGACTTATATTACAAAGTGCTATAAACTGGAGAGCGTATAAACAACAGAAATGCATTTCTCCCACTTCTCAAGACTTGTAAGTCCAAGATCAAGGTGCAGGCTTATTTAATGTAGGGTGAGGTCCTGCTCTGTGGTTCATAGGTGGTGCCTTCTAGCTGTGTCCTTACATGGTGGAAGAGAGATATCTCTCTTGGGCTTCTTTTAGAAGGGCACTAATCCCATTCATGCAGGTTCCGCCCTTGTGATCTAATCACTGCATAAAGGCCTCATTTCCTAAACTGTCACTTTAGGAGTTAGGATTTCAACACATAATTTTTGGAGAAACACAAACATTCTGACTGTAGTGAATACTAATCTGGGGTGCATTTCTTAAAGAGAAACTTCCCTGTGTCCTAAAAATGAAGCTTCACCTCTCATGCTTAGAGTTGCAGCAATTCATCATTCAGTTTTTGGAAACCCACTGTCATTAATCCTCCATGCTGAAGCAAGATAATTAATATAAAGCCTGCCACATGAAATGCATTCATGAAATGATGGTTCCCTTCCCGTCTTCCTTCATTCTATGTTAGATCATGTCATCCCTCTGCTTAAATTCCTGAATGGCTCTCTTTAGTTTTCACATACAATTTTTAAAGTGTACTTAGCACTCAAATGCCTTTGATATTTGACCTGTGTCCACTTTTCAAGACTCACCCTACTCGCTGCCCTCTGCCCCATACAGTCCCATCACCAGTCATGCAATGAACCACTCATGATATTTAATTCCCCTGCACCTTTGCACTTGCCATTCACTCTGCTGGGAAGCATCTCCTTGACCAACTCCACGTCTCCGTCTATATAACTCCCACCTTTTCTTCAAGTCTCCACACCAAATTCACTCTGTATAGATATTTTCCTGAATATTCATTCCCAAACAGCTCCTCTTCCTCTTTTTAGTATATTTTCTAGCACAATAAACAATATTAAAATCCACAGTTTCCCAAATTCTGCCTCGATGCTATTCAAGATTCCTTCTTCTCATCTATGTCCTATGTGAAATCAAAGACTAAATTCAGTGAATTCTACTGACAATATCTCCCCAAGCACATCTCTTTTCTCCTATCAACTGCCTGTCTCAATGTCAGTTTAGAACCGTATCATTTCTCTAGAATATTATAGCATCCTGTGTCTTTATTTTCTGTCTTGCCTCCTGTTCTAATCCATTACCCATACAGTAGCTACAGTGTGAAAAGAGTTGCATGTTTACTGCTTCCCTAGTTCACAGAGAAATTTCACACTGATTACATCTAGCTCCATCCTGTGCATGAAGCAAGGTTTTCCCTTCATTTTGCCATGACCCACCAAGTTGCCTAAATCTCTACTTTCCATTCTAGTAGAGAGCTCAGTTAAAATTGTAAGGACCATCTGTTTCTGAGTTTTTTATAATCAATAGAATGATAGGGTTGAGGGAAAGCAAAAGCTGAGGAAATGTCACTGTGTTGTTTTTTGTTTTTGTTTTTGTTTTGTTTTGAGACCAAGTCTCACTCTGTAGTCCAGGCTGGAGTGCAGTGGTGCGATCTTAGCTCACTGCAGCCTCCAACTCCTGGGACCCAGTGATTCTCGTGCCTCAGCCTCCCAAGTAGCTGGGATTACAGCTGGGATTAGCCCACCCGGCTAATTTTTGTATTTTTAGTAGAGACGCGTTTTCATCATATTGGCCAGAACAGTCTCGAACACCTGATCTCAAGTGATCTGTCTGCCTAGGCCTCCCAACGTGCTGGGATTACAGGCATGAGCCACCATGCCTGGCCAGAAGTGCCACTTTGAATTGATGGTCCATAAGCTGACCACTGATGTATTTTAATTCTCTCTGCACAAGAAAGAGAGTCAGTTTCCAAGTAGCACCCTAGTACTTTACAGCCTTACTACTCAAACCAGGGTTCATGGACCAGTAGCGGTGGCATCTTCTGGGATCTTGGAAGAAATAATGCAGATTTTCAAGGCTCATCCCAATCCTACTAAATTTAAAATATGCATTTTCACCATATATCAGGTGACACACATGTACATTAAAATTTGAGAAACTACTCTCTAAACGAAGTTTCCTCTTCATCCACCCTCCCATCCTCACCCAGGCCCTGCTTCCTCCAAGATTAAATGTCTTTCTTTTTCAATTGCCATGGCCTCTTTCTCCATTCTCGCTTTGAACTTTATCTAGATTCTGAAAGCAGAAAAACATACTCTGCTATCATGCATGTAAATCTTTGTTTGGAACCTTGGTCAGAAGGTTCTTTTGAGTCCTCATCTCTGTTTGTAATTCCAGAATCTGTGAGTCACACTCATCAGATTGATCTGGAAAGGGAAATGGCCCTCAGGGTACAGGTGAAAGGATTCTTTGAGTGCTAAGGGGCAGAGAACCTCACAGGAAACACCAGTTTAAATATGTGAAATTAATCCTAACACTTGAATATATTAAAATACAAATATATAAGCATGCCAAGTTATATCATAAAAAGCCTTCAGTGGTAATCTCAAGCTCTCAGGAGAACATTCTCTTCGAAATGGCTTTCAAGGCTGTGTTGAACATTTATTATTTTCATGGGCCATTTATTTTTCTTCTGATTTTTTTCTCGAAGCAACTATTATTCTCCCATTTTAGACCACCTGCTTCAGATAAAGCTGCTTCTATCTTTAGTTTCAGGGGTAGGCATGAAACCTAAAGCCAGCCAATCTGCACGTGGCCAGTGTGGCTAGACAGCTATAGTCCCATGACCCAAGCCAAATCAGTCAGACTCAAAAATAATCACAGGACTTTCACCTTAAAAAGGGAGTTGGCAAACTTTTTTATTATTATTATCATACTTTAAGTTTTAGGGTACACGTGCACAATGTGGCAAACGTTTTTGTAGCAGGCCAGATGGTAAATGGTCTAAGCTCTGAAGACCCAGCCACAAACTGTCTCAATCACATATTTATATTTCTTTTGTTTGTTGGCTTACAAGTCTTGAAAATACTTGTTAAAATCTTAGCTTGCTAGTCTCATAATAAAAAGCTGTAGAACTGATTTGACCCTCAGGTCATAGTTCACCAACCTCTGCTAAATAATCAGGACAAAGGACTTGTCTTTTCTCCTGTATTAGAAACTGTGAGAAGGTAAGTCTTCCCACCATGAGAGGATAAATGCTTGGAGAAGAAGTCAGAGCAGAAGGATAGAGAAAGATAAGATCCTGAGAATTTTGTTTGAACTCTATCAGTTCTACTCCTGGACTTCTGAGCTGCAGGAACTTGGAAATGTTCTTTTTACTTCAGTTATTGTAGATAAGATTTTCTTTCACTTGTGACTAGCAAGAGTCCTAATATACAGATCCTTCTTGTTCTTGTCCCCACTTAGTTCACCAGTATCAGTGCTTGTAATAACCCAGCCTCACACTCTGTGCTTTGGTCATGATTTCTCTTGAGTTTATAAATGAAACATCACAGATCAATAAAGACATAATGCTGAGAAACAGATAATGTTGAAAACACTGGCTAGCAATTAGGGAAAATTTCCAAATAGATTCTCACCTCACCTCATATAACAAAATGAATCTCAGATAGATTAACTTGTTAAATGTAAAACTGTGTATAAAACCGGAGGTTTACCTTCAATAGAATTAAACAAATGTCATTTTTGTCAGTCAAGTTAGTAAATATTTAGAGGAATTATAATTTTTAATTCTGGAATAGGTTCTGGGGAAAGATATAATCATGCACTCAGGTGAAAGTATAATTATTTACAACTTTATAGAAAATATATTTTTAATATGAATAAAGATATTTTTTAAAGTTCATTCTGTTTAACCAGCCACAGGAAACTAGTCGTAGAGATATGTAAAACTATGCACAAATAAAAATGTCCACTGCTTTGTAATTTAACGTAGATTATAAAATTCAAAAATTTCAGAAGTTTAAAGATGGAAGACTATTTTAGAAGGCGAATATATTTTATTAGCAAAGAAGTTATTAATAATCTTAGACCTTTTAAATACTTAAAGATCTAAAAATTTGATACATAACATATTCACAATTAAAATACCATCTTGTCAAATAATTATAATTCCTGGCAGTTTATAATAATTACAAAACATTAATAAATTGAGCTTTTAGCTACACCATTTACAAATTAAATAATAGATTGAGCTTTTATCTACATCATTTGGTAATTTGGGACATTATACAAGGTATTCCTGCTTTCTAACCTTTATTTCTAGTAAGCAACAGGATCAAAAGAAAGCCTAATACTACAGTTGTTTTAAAGATTGTGTAAGATTATTATAGTAGATGTTCCATAAATGTGAGCTTTTTCTACACACACCCCCACCTCCCGAATTTTTTTTCTGGAGTTGTATCTTATAAAAATGTATGTGGGCATGCTTTCCAGTTGAATTATAATACATATACAGAGCATCATATGAATACAGATACCCAGTTTTAGTGATGAGACAATTGAACCTTAGAAACATGGTGATTGTCCAAGGTCACACTGGCAGTAAGCTGCAGATCTGAGATAAGGATCCATGTCTCCTGGTTCTCAGTTTCTTGCTGCAGAGTACCCATGAAATATCAATGCTAAAATTTAGGCAGCCTGTAGAAACTGGAATGCCTAAAGGACATCTTCCCACTCCCACATTTTAACAATTACCTTCTTGTTTCAGAGGTAGTATCTGTGAAGCACCCTGATTTGGCTGTGCCCCAACTTATTGTCTTGGTTTTGTTTTGTTTTTAATGGGGATTCAAATTCTGGCAATAATAAGGCTTGCTGGCATGTGAAATGCAAGAGTAGACTTTTCTTGACCATCTAGATTGGATACCTTTATAAGGAGGAGACTGATGATAATGAAGAAGAATTAATGCTAAAAAACCTATCATTCTTTTAAAAAATGGGTTAGTTGATGTCTATCAACTAAGAGTTCATTTTAAAGACCGAATAATACTAGGAATGCATTTGTTGAATATTTTTCAAGATCCTCTATGACCACAAAGATTATTACAACATCATCATCTCTATATCTGCCTACTCACCTTTGGAAAACAAGAATATGAAACTAGAATAGATTATGCTTCATTCTGCATGATTGTTCCGAGCTGTGTGGGAGAGCTGTGTGTGTTCTTTCTTGCATATCTTTGTGGAAATATATGATAGTGATCCTGCTGGCCTGAGGACGGGTGGGTGTTGTACCATGTGGAGTTAGTTGTATGTTTGTGGGAAGAAAGCTGTGGGAGGCTGGTGTGATGTGTCTGGAACTCACATCAGTGTATGAGTTAAGGATGAGTCAAATGTGTACCTAACAGGCGGCAACATCTTTATATGTGCATAAGTGCAGCAAAATTTATTCTCTGTATACCTGGAATTAGATTTGAGCCTACCCATTGAAAAACCCAAGGAATCACTTCCATTATTACCTTCACAGTTAAATATAAACCAAAAGTAGTCATGGTAGCACAAGAGGTACCAATTTTCAAAACTATGGAAACTCTATTTCCATCACTACCAAGGAATGCAAGCAAACTTTCTAATTTACTTCCAGTTTAGAATCAGTGGTGCATTTCAACATGCTGTGCACAAAAGAATGTCAGAGAAAAAATTAAAATATATAGGACAGACTCAGAATTTAGCATAGAATTATGTTTATCTTAAATGTTTAAAATTTGTTCTTAATAATATGATACATAGTGCAGAGTTTAAATAAATTGAAAACATACTTTTAATTACTCATTACTACTAATAATATTGCTTTGAGAGTTTATTAATCAATGTATTGCACATTAGTTGAAGCCTATTAATTATTCCTAGGTGTACAAAGTGAATAACATCTTCTTCTGGCCCTGCAATCTACTCTAAATTAAATGCATTTGGTTTAGTTTAGTTTTTTTTTTTTAACTGTAGGCAATGTATATCTCTATGCCTATATTTCCTGCAAAATATTAAAATTCTAGTATTACTATTTCCACAAATATGCTGCACATTTTTTAAAGGAAGGTTGACATATTTTATTTGCATATCAGTCTTAATATAGCAGGCACTCAATAAATATTGATAAATTGAATATTAATTGAAGCATTTATAAAATGTTGTGGAAATAGAAGGGAAAGTGAAAGCAGGAAAGTGTCTAAATCACATAGGAGCCTGGGTCTTGATGGGTGAATAACAGTTTCAATTATAAGTGTTAGTGTTTATCCTCCTGAAAGGCTATAGCATTAATCCCCACTTCTAATTCCAACACATCTCACTCCTAACTATAGAAAGAAGGTATGTGGTAGTAGCCTTACTGGCCCCTTCATGAAAATGGTTTCCTATAGAAAGCATGTATCTGGTAGTAGCAGCCTTACTAGTTCCCTCATGGTTTCCTATAGAAAGAAGGTATCTGGTAGTAGTAGCCTTACTAGCTCCCTCATGAAGATGGTTTCCTGGAAGGTAGTGTATAGCATTGAGTCAACATTTAAAGCTAACATAAAATGAAGTCAAACTCATTTTTCAGCCAGCAGCCACATCAAAAAGGTGTTTTATAACAAACAAAATAAATAAAAGATATTCTGTAAACAATGACAACCTAAATCTTACTTCGTTCATTCATTCATTTGGCAAATATGTATTGTGTACCTACTGTGTACCAGGTACTCTTCAAGATTTGTGGGGAAGAACTGTTTTCAAATTCCTTTTATTACTTCCCTAAAGGCAGAGACTGTGGGCCTAGCATGGCATACCTCATTCACAAAGAGATATTTCTCCCAGCTTTTAGTTGACACATTCTAAAGTTAGCAAAAAATTACTTCAAAACAATGAGAAGCTTGTAAGATAAAGTTTGCAGGTGATACATGTTTTTCTCTTGTTGAAGTTGCTTAGCCTGACTTTGGCAGGAGAAAGCTACAGATTCTGTTTAACATATTAAGCTCAGTAGTTAGTCCACTAAGCTTTCTCTAAAAGAAAATCAGTAATTTGGAGATGTCAGAGGATCTCTGCACCCATATGCAGTATCTTCCCAAGGTTTTCCCATAACTAGCCCTTCTTGACATGGACTCTTCAAAGTGATAATTCAATGAGCAGACCCTTTAAAAAATCAGATGTCATGAAAAGAAATTGCCTGCCTATATACTGGTATCATCTCAAATTGTAGGGGGAAACGTTAGAATGAAGTCATCTTGAAATTTACATGTAATCAATCCTTGTATAGTCTATGGTCTGGACCAGTCATACTGAATGGTGCTTGATACACAGTATTGATAAAGCAATTTCCAGTTAATTTTTATGAGTTGTCCCTAGGAAGCTGTGTTAGATTACCTTTTGTCAACTCAGTGAGAGTATCTTCTCATTTCTATGCTGTGACTTTTCACAAGGGCTACAAGCCTAGGAACTACATTTCCTGGCATCTCTGGGTTAATTTCCACCAATGAGAGGCACTCAAGGATTTGAAAGTAAGAAGCAAAGCAGGATGGTCTTCAACAAAAGTAAGATTTTGCGGAAGCTTCCTGTGAATCACCCACCTCAGTTCTAGAGCTGTGGCCATCACCACATAGTTTACTGCACATTTTTAAACTTCCATAACAATTCAAAAGCAATGGGACAATTTCCTTTTTTATTTTGATCCATTGATTAGGAAAGATTTATTGAGTGCTTTCTATGACTCTGATACTGGCAAGGCTCTGTTTGTAGAAAATCAAATAAACATTTCCCTGCCCCAAAGGAACTTATTACAATTTTTATAAATATATGATGACAACAAAAAACACAAAAATACTCAAACCTACAGAGATTGGTGAGAGATTTCTCTCATTTACAGATAAAGAGAAGAGGCAGTACTGGTTTTTCTTTCACTGAATATTGCACTCAGCAATTTGATCCTGTAAAGTTGCCAAGGCAATGCCAACGGACTATGACAGCATATGGGAGAAGACAGACATTCACATACACAGACACAGTGATTTTGTAAGCCTCCTTTATTAGATGCCACACTAAAAATAAAAGTTTCCATCAAGATTATGTTTTATCACATCAAAATAGCCTAATTTGCCAGGCTGTGGAAAATAGATGCTAAACCACTTCTGGCAGTTTGAAATGTGATCTAAATGTATTAGAAGATGACATTTCTTTTGCCACATGCACTTCAGAGGCTTCCGGCTAAATAGTAATACAAGTAGCACAAACAACAGAGTGAGAATGTTTATCACACTCTTTATTCTTATGTGTCCTAGTCGACACCCACCTCCTTATATCAGACTGAAAAGACTATAATGAAGAAATGATGAATAAATCATTTAGGTCAAGTATCTTTCTATATATAGTTGAAGCCATGATTTTAAAACTAAAGCACTTATAACCTTAAAATACTTTGGGCTACATGCAGGATGTCAATTTTACCTTTAATGTAAGTAAGAGACAGAGAGTTGTTTTTATAAGAGATGAACGGAGCATGAAACTTTTGATGTTATCTTTTCACTGAAATCATTGACAAAGCCAAAAAGAAACAGAATAATTTGTTTTTCATTTTGTATTTCAGTCTGGTCATTTCTCTTAAAAGAAAAAAATTTCCTTTTACCCTTATGACACTACTTAGTTAAGCATGAATGTTATATATGGAATAACTCATTAGATTAACTGACAGATTAACAATAATGTATTCAGGAGCACTTGATGATAAAGAAAACAAGAGCTCGAAATAACCTTAGCCAATAGAAGTCACGGACCTTTTCAGCACACAAATTTTTCTCTATTAATGGCTCTGTGGGTTCTCCACAGCCTTGTTCTATTTTTTTTTAAAGTGTATTTTCCTTCCTTAACTTATTGTGAAGGGCCAAAATAATCACCTTCTTAATTAAGAAGCAAAGCCATAAATAATGGAAATCTCAATTATGTTAAGGGGAAAATAAGCCATTAATAACAAAATGGTGAATATATCCAGAGAAAATTAGGAAGTTCAATTAAATTATCTTAAAAGAAAATCTGATATTTTTGTAGAAGAAAATTACTAGTATAAGATTACAGTGAAACATAAACACCAAAGGCAGGATCAGATAAACAAATGAAGTTCACTTTAGGACCATGATCTGATCCCATGAAGACGCTTGAGTAACACCATCAGTGCCACCAGGTAGGTGCTTGGGATAGTAGACAAGGCAATGTCATGATGTTGCCAAGCAGGACATCTGTCTTTAGTTGGTCCCCAAACTAACTGTGACATTGCTTATTACGATGCTTGAAATAGTGAATGGATGAATGAGTGAATGAATGAATGAATAAATAAATATAATACCCTTGATCAATCCAAGAGCACAGAAGATAAAGAAAATAGCAACAAACACAAGAATAACCTACTTCAGTTAGAGAAAGGCCATTCTCAAACTAAGTAATTGTAGACAATTTGCAGGAAATAGTGCAGGGAATAAACATCCAAAGAAAACTTTTGATAAAAACCTGATGCTTGAAACAAAAATAAATATTTTATATTCGGTGTCTCCTGCTGAGTTTTACCATTCGCACTTTACCCTAATATTAAATCCTTACTGGAATTTTTTTACATATGAACATGATATTCCTAGCAATTTCTAGAGAACAGTATGCAAGTCATAGTCATTATGCAAAAACTAATGATATGAATAAATATTTATCTCAGAACATATTAGTTAGTGTCAGAAATATACATACAGGATGTATCAGAATTATAAAAAAATCATTTTATGAAGGATTCAGAGTTAAAACCACATTGAGCTCTATTTAAATGTTATTAGCATAATAACTAAAACAACAAAATAACTTTCTAGTCAGGGGAGTAACAGGACATCATGGATGTGTAACAATATCTCATTCAACCTACAGTATCTATGAATATTTTACATAGTTTTTAATTCCTAAATTTGGCTATTTTTTCAATACTGTTTTTACTTACACAAACATTATAGTAAGAAATATTCTATATATTCACAATAAGATTCTGGACTGCAAGTTAGTGAAATAGCCAGACTGGACTCAGGATAAACAGGAAAATATTGTTATGTATATATATATATATATATACACACTCCTGTAATATTTATAGAAGTGGGGTTTCAACCAAGACTCTACATTGGAGTCATCTAAGGAGCTTTTCAAGATTACCTAATGCATAGGACCCATCCTAGAACAAAGGAATCAGAATTTTTAAAGTTGGGACAAAAATGTACGAGGTTGTACTAATGGTGCAGCCAAGATTAAGAACTGCCAGATTTAACAGAAAATATATATATAGTTAAAGTAACATCATCTCTCATTAAACTTACCTAGTGAAAGCATAAATATGGTTTTCTGTAACATAGGAAAATATTAAGGATGGAAAATTAGCCTGCAAAATATTCTATGTAAAGGTAAAACATTGAATAAAATGGTGCAATAATAGTTACTTAAATTGCAGATCTTAAATTTTGTAATAATTTTCTCTATCTGCTATCATTTAGATCAAATTATAAATATCTAACCAGCCTAAAGGCCTCTCAACATATAAGAGGATCTGTATCATCAAACTAGATGAGATAGCAGTACTTAATAAGCAATGTTGAGAAGGAATGAGGTAAATTCATTTACAACATACTCTTTCTTCTCTTCTTTCTCTCAAGAATATTCAAGGTTTTGCTCAAGCCCTCTAAAAATGAAACATCAAAGTTATAGATTAAAATCTTAATCAACACTTATCTTTTAGATTTTTATTCTTTGAAAACCAATTATTATATTGAGTTTTACATACCAAAGCCATATATACTCATTGTCTTATTTTTAAAAAACATTTTAATGTATATCCATATAACTCAACTAAAATACAGGAGTCTTTTATATGTTTTGCCTTTAACTATGACTCCCTATCCTATATATAGAAATCAAATTATTTTAGAACTGAAATGGACCTTCAGGTTCACACTTTTTTTAAATTCCTCACCTCAAGCATATACCATTTCTTTGTGCTACAAGCATTCGAATTATACTCTTTGAGTTATTTTTAAATGTACAATGAATTATTGTTGATTGTAATCATCCTGCTGTGCATAATAAGATCAAGTATTAGGTCTTATTCATTTTTTCTAACTATATTTTTGTACCCATTAACCATCCCCACCTTACCCCCTACCTCTCACTTCCTTTCTCAGCCTCTAGTAACCATCCTTCTACTCTCTATCTCCATGAGATATACTAATTTCCTTTCTTTTTGTTAGATAATTAGAAGTGGGGTTGCTGGATCACATGGTAGCTCTATGTTTACTTGAAGAACCTTCAAACTGCTCTCTGTACTGGTTATACTAATTTACATTCCCACCAACAGCATATGAGGCTCCCCTTTCTCCATATTCCCTCCAGCATTTGTTCTTGTCTGCGTTTTGGATATAAGCCATTTTAACTGGGGTAAGATGATATCTCATTGTAGCTTTGATTTGCATTTCTCTGATAATTAATGATGTTGGGCAACTTTTCATACGCCTTTTTGCCATTTGTATTGTGTTCTTTGGAGAAATGTCTATTTGGCTCCTTTGCCCATTTTTTAAGAGGATTATTAGATTTCTTTTTCCTATTGAGTTGTTTGAGCTCCTTATATATTCTGGTTATTAATCCCTTGTCAGATCAGTAGTTTGCAAATATCTTCTCCCATTCTGTGGGTTGTCTCTTCACTTTGTTGATGGTTTCCCTTGCTGTACAGAAGCTTTTTAACTTGATATGATCCCATTTGTAAATTTTTGCTTTGGTTACCTGTGATTGTGAAGTATTACTCAAGAAATTTTTGCCCAGATTAATTTCCTGGAGAGTTTCCCCAATGTTTTCTTGTAGGAATTTCATAGTTTGAGGTCTTAGATTTAAGCTTTTAATGCATTTTGATTTGTTTTTTGTATATGGTAAGAGATAGTGGTGGTCTAGGTTTCTTCTTCTACCTACAGATATCCAGTTTCCTCAGCACCATTTATTAAGGAAAATGTCCTTTCCCCAGTGTATGTTCTTGGCACTTGTTTCAAGAGCAAGTTCGCCTTAGATGTTTGGATTTATTTCTGAATTTTCTATTCTGTTCCATTGATCTGTGTATCTGTCTTTATGCCAGTACCATGTTATTTTGGGTTACTATAGATCTGTAGTATAATTTGAAGTCAGTTTATATGATTCCTCCAGTTTTATTCTTTTTGTTCCAGATGGCTTTGGCTACTCTGGGTCTTTTGTTGTTCCATATAGGTTACTGATTCAGTAATAACACATAGACCAATTCACTTTGTGAGAAATCCAGAAGCCAGTTAAGATACTGTTGTACCCCCAAGCAAGTGTGAAACCAGTCACACTGAATCCAGTAGGAAACTGTGGCACTCACTTACCATAGCCCCTCATCTTGACTCACCCTGGCACAATCAGAAAAACTTAAGCTCCCAGCTTAAATTTTCCCTCCCTCCAAATTTCACAGGGAGGGGAAAAATGAAGATTGAAACATCATCCAACATTCAGACTTTTGGGGGAGGCTGCCCAAAGAACTATTTTATATTTTGCCTGAATCTACATGTTGACAGGAAAAGGCACTAGCCTGGGATATCTGAGAACAAAGGCAATGGTTTGAAGTACTCATTTATTGTAGTATCATTTTCGAGTTCAGCATGGAATGAGTAGGAGAAAATCTCCAACTCCCAACTTCTTTCTGGGAATGGAAAGAGTTGGAGTGTAAGGCCAGTTTTCCAGCTTTTTGAAGGGCTGTCCATGGACTGGTTTCTGTCTCATCCTACTAGGCATGCTGATGAGACCTGGAATACTATAGATGGCTGAAGGCTGCTGAGGACAAAAACAGTTTGGTTGCATGCTGTTGTTCCAGAGAATGTGCAGTGAGGCTGACAGAAGCCAATGTAGCTGGACAGCCTCTCCCTCAAGGGGTAAAAAGAAGAGTGGAGCATGCATCCAACATTCTAGCATTTTAGTGGGCTAGCCAAAGGACTCATATCTGTCTCGCTTGACTCATAGCAGTAACAGGATTTGGCATACTCTAGAACCTGTAGTCACTGAAAACAGAAGAGTTGAGTAGCCTGCAGCAACCTCAGAGAACCTATAGTGCCACGGGTTTATTAGAGACAGCAAGAGATTGCAAACTTCTAAAAAGAAAAGATAGGCAAATGCTTCAAATTGGGAATCTGCATGTGTGAGTACAGATAAGATACATTGACAGGAAAGGCTCTAGACACCTCCAAAATCTCTAGCAAAACTGGTTAATGAAGTTCTTTTCCTACACAAAGGCAGTCCATAGAGACTGGAAGAGGTGGCTGCATTTTCAAATACAAGATCACAACACAAAATTACAAGACACACAAAGAAACAGGGAAACACAGCCCAATCAGAGGAAGAAAATGAATTTCCAGAAACCTACCACAAAGAATCAGAGAAGTATGAATTACCTGACAAATAATTCAAAATACAGATCATAAAAATGTGCAGTAAGCATTCAATATGCATGAATAAAGTGAGACTGTTAGTAAAGATATTGAAAGTATAATCCAGAACCAAACAGAAATTTTTGAGCAAAAGAATACAATAATTAAATTGAAAAGTCCACGGGGAGAATTCAACAGCAGATTTGATCAAGCAAAAGAATCAGTTAGCTCAAAGATTGGTCCTTTGAAATTATCTAGTCTGAAAGCAAAAAGAAAAAAAGAATGAAAAGAGGGAAGAAAGCCTAAGGGACAAATGCTACACCATCAAACAGACCAATATACACAGGAAAGTTCCAGAAGAAGAGAGAGGAAGGGAGTAGAAAGCTTTATTGAAGAAATAATGGCCAAAAACTTCAGAAATCTGGAGAAGGAAATGAATATGCAAATTCAAGAAGTCCAGTGAGGTTGGGCGTGATGGTTCACTCCTGTAATCCCAGCACTTTGGGAGGCCGAGGCAGTGGATCACTTGAAGCCAGGAGTTTGAGACCAGCCTGGCCAATATGGTGAAATCTCAAAATATAAAAATTATAAAATATAATACCATTATAAAATATAATAATAATTATAAATTTAACCCCAAAATACAAAAATTATAAATATAATACCAAAATTATAAATATAATACCAAAAATACAAAAATTAGCTGGGCATGGTGATGCATGCCTGTAATCCCAGGTACTCAGGAGGCTAAGGCAGGAGAATCACTTGAACCCAGGAAACAGAGGTTGCAGTGAATTGAGATCACACCACTGCACTCCAGCCTGGGCAACAGAGCAATACTCCGTCTCAAAAACAAACAAGCAAACAAACAGAAGGAAGCCCAGTGAATCTCAACTAGGAGGAACTAAAAGAGGCCCACAACAAGACACTTTATAATCAAATTGTCAAAGTCAAAAACAGAGAAAAACTTGAAAGCAGAATGAGAAAATCAACTTGACACAAACAAGGGAGCCTTCATGAGACTATCAACAGATTTCTGGTGAAAACCTTATGCTGAGAGGAAAAATGCCAAACAACACTATATCCAGAAAAACTGTTATTTAAAAATGAAGGAGAAATAGACTTGCTCAAATAAACAAAGGCTGAGGGAAAGCATCACTACTAGATTTACCTTAGAAAGAAATGCTGACATTGGTCAAGTTGAAATGAAAGGATGCTAGAAAGCAACACAATAGCGTATGAAGGTATAAAGTTTACTGGTCAAGATAAAATATGTAGTCAAATACAGAATATTACATTACTGTAATGGTTGCATATAAATCACATTTACTTTGGTATAGAAGTTAAAAAAGAACAGTATAAAAATGAACTATAACTATAAAAAATATGTGAATGGATCCACAATATATAAAGATGTCATTTGTGGCATCAATAATGTAAAGCGTGTGGGAGAAGTAAAAGAACAGAATTTTCCCATGCCATTTGGTATTATTTTAAAACAGATTGTTATAATTACAATGTGTTTTATGTAAGCCTCATGGTGATTAAAAAGAACATACCTATAAAACATACACAAAAGAAAATGAGAATGGAATCAAAGCATGTCACTACAAAAAAATTAAAGAAACACAATGGAAGAGACCAAGAGAGAAAAATAGGAACAAAAAAAACCTACAACACAGAAAACAACAAAATGGCAATAGTATGATTCTTCTTATCAATAATTACTATAAAAATGCATGGATTCAACTCCTCCATTAAAGACATACAGTGGCTGCATGAATTTAAAAAAAAGACAAAACTATATGCTGTCTACAAGAGACTCACCTTAAATGGAGCACACATATGCTGAAAGTGAAAAGATAGGAAAAGGTATTACATGAAAATAGTAACCAAAAGAAAGCAGGGTGGCCTTACTTATACCAGAGAAAATAGACTTTAAGTCAGAAACTGTCACAAGAAATAAGGAAAGACCCTGTATAATACTGAAATAGTCAATTCAACAAGAAGATTTCACAATTACAAATACATACACGGTCATCATCAGCACACCCAAATGTATAAAGCAAACATTGACAGAACTGAAGAGAGAAATAGACAGCAACACAACATAGGGGATTTCAATACCACAGTTTTAACAATGGATAGAACATACAAATAGATCAATAAAGAAATAGAGGACTTGAACAATACTATAGACCAAATGAACCTAACAGATGTATACAGAACACTCCACCCAACAACAGCAGAATCCACATTCTTCTCAGCACACATAGGACATTCCCCAAAATAGATCACTTTTTAAGTCACAAAGTAGACATTTCTCAAAAGAAGACATAAAAATGGCTAAGAAGTATATGAAATGATGCTCAATATCACTAATCATTGGGTAAATGCAAATTACAATGAGATATCCCTTTACAACTCTTAAGATGGCCATCATCAAATAAAAAAAAAAAACAGAAGCAGCAAGTGGTGGTGAGGATGTGGAGAATTGGAACTCTCATGCACTATTGGCAGGAATGTAAAATGGTGTAGCCATTATGCAAAGCAGAATGAATGTTCCTTAAAAATAAAACTACCATATGATCCAGCAATCTCACTCCTGAATATTTATCCAAAAGAATTGAAATCAGAATCTCAAAGATATTTACATTCTCATATTCATTGTAACATTATTCACAATAGTCAAGAGGTGAAAACAATCAAGTGTCTATCAATAAATGAAGAAAATGGTGTGTGTATATACATATATATGGAATAAATGATGAAATATATAATGGAATGGAATATGGAATATTATATATTATATATAATTATATACAATATTCCATATATAATATATAATGGGATGGAATATATTATATATAATATTCCACATATATAATATACAATGGGATGGAATATAGAATATATATATATGTGGAATATTTTTCAGCCTTTTTCAAAAAGAAAATCCTGCCATCTGCAAAAACATGAATGAACCTAGAGGACATTATGCTGAGTTAAATAAGCCAATTGCAAGGTAAATACTGCATGATTCCATTCATATGAAGTATATCATCAAAGTAAAACATCAAAGCAGAAAGTAGAATGGTGGTTACCAGGCACTGGTGAAAGGGGTGGAAATGGGAAGCTGTTGTTTCATCAGTAAAGAATTTCAGTCATGCTAGATGAAAAAGCTCTAGAGATCTGTTGTACAGTACTGTACATGTAGTTAACTGCACACTTAAAAGTTTAAGAGTGTAAATTTCATGTTAAATGTTTCTGCAACAACCAACCAGTCAGTTATCTTGCCTAAATATCCTATTTAAATATTTTAAAATAGGATAAATATATCTATGTCATAAATGTATTATGAGGATTAATTTGCTAATATATGTAGACTTCATAGAACAGTGCCAGGAATGTTGTCGGGTGTTAATTTTATATAAATATGTATATAAATATAAATAAAATTTATTGTTCATTTTTGTTGCTATATAAATTACTGATGCTTAATAAATTTTGATGATTGATTGATAATAAAGTGTTCAAAGATGTCAATAAAGTAATTGAACCAAGCACTAACAGGGCTATCAATTAAACCAGTGGCAAAATCCTCTAGCAGGGTAAATTTTTAAAAGATGATTGAATGAGTGTATGTGGTAACCTATTATACTTTTCTCATTTTGTTGTTGTTGTTGGCTTTTTTTTTTTTTTGAGATTGGGTTCTCACTCTTCCACCCAGGCTGGGATACAGTGGTGTGACCATGGTTCACTGCAGCCTCAACCTCCTGGACTTAAGTGATCCTCCAACCTCAGCCTCGTGAGTAGCTAGGACCACTGGTATGCAGCACCACACCCACCTAATTTATTTTTGTTTTTTATAGAGATGAGGTCTTCCTATATTGCCCAGGCTGGTCTCAAACTCCTAGACTCAAGGGCTCCTCCCGCCTTAGCCTCATAAAGTGCTGGCATCACAGTTGTGAGCCACTACACCTAGCATCATTGTTTTTTGTTTTTGGGGGTTTTGTTTAGTTTTTTATTTGTTTTTCTAATTTATACTTTTAATTCAACAGCTTTTGGGGTGCAAGTAGTTTTTGGTTACATGAACTAATTGTGTAGTAGTGAAGTCTGAGACTTGTACTTGTTAATCTTTGTTCAAAGTAACTGGTAACAGATTACTATTATTCATTATGTCCTCCTATATTAACATTCAATCCATTTTTTATCTTACCTAACTTCAATTTAATGGCACTCAATAATAAATTGAGTATATTAACACCATGCAACTGTGTAGCATTAACTGAGATTATGTGTAGATTTTGAAGCAGGAGCAAGAACCTTGGAACTAGTGCTGGATTTTCCCTATTAGCTGTGTGACTTCAGGCAAATTACTTAACCTTATCTGGCTCACGTCTCTCATCTGAGAGGATAAGGATGGAAAACTAAGGTGCCTTCCAGACAAGTGTTTTCTCCTGAGTAACCTCAGTACCCAGGCCTTGCTGCTTCTGCCTTGAGGCACATTTCCACATACATCACATTCAACTAATAAAAGTTCCACATTCCAAATGCACTAAAATGTATTTTTACTCAAGTTTCTGAAGGCAAAGGGAAGTACATTGCATGACACAGAGTAAATGCTCTAGAATTTCTCTTTGCTACATTCTGTCCTCCAAATATCCCCTCTCTGACCCATATTTTACTGCCAAAACTCTTTCTCCTCAAACCTACCTTTAATGATTCAGCATTGGCTTTTGTTGTAACATGCTCTCTCACTGCACCCTTCCACATTCAGCTGTATGTTATGTAGATCAATTTAGTCTCTTTAGATTTCAATCAATTATTTTTATGAATTATTCCAATCGGCCCCACAGAACTAAGTAAGAAAACATTTATAACTTAATTCTTTTCCTTTTATCTGTATGAAATTTTAAAGTTTGCCAACAATTCTCTGTGTCCCAATTCTGGTACAATCATGTATAACATTGAACATAATCCTAAGGAATATCCTTGAAAAGAGACTCGTAGCTTTGGCAGTACCAAGAGCAGCATTACTGCCAGACACAAAATGTGTAATTAAAACAGAATGACACAATGCTTTTTTCTTTTAATCAAAAATGTGGTTGTTTGAAGAACGCATTGCAGAGCTCAAATCTTGGCTAAGAAATAGAAAATAATAAATGAGTTAGAGCTATCCTTTCTTCCATTTGCAGGAGATTCTTCCATTATGTTTGTGCTCAAAATAAGATACAATCTTCTTAATGAAATTGCTTTTTGAAATAAGTTGCAAAATTTGTTACCAAATACCACAATAAATGAATTACAAATACCTTCAGAAATAATCTTCCCATCATTTTTGGCTATTTTTATTTTTACTTATTTATGTTTATTAGATAAGAACTATTTAATTGTTGCTACATGTACTCAGAGATACAGTCTTAAAATAAGGAACTCCAATGATATGGAAAAACTCAATTGACTAAAAGTCATTCATTTATTATTTCAGAGAATAAGACACTGAAATGATACAGAGACTTACCTAAAGCAAAGATTGAAATGCTAGTATTTCACATTTTACCCTTGCTGGCCAACCTTGCTAAAAAAACAACAGTAGGTGTAATACAAGTTTCAAAGATCTTTTCAAGACGTTTGACATTTCTAGGCATTATAGTTGAATTTACAAACTTACCAAAATTACTTCTCAATCATCATGGGCCCAAATAGCTATCATATTATTTTTATCAACTCAGGTATACAGTGGCTTGTCCTTCAGTAAATTAAGAAGGCATTTATAGACTTTTCTAAATGGAATACTATTTTTGCTCTATGTCCACAATTTCACACTTTCAAAACAAGAAGTTTTGGTCCAATATAAGCCCATTAAAAAAAAACAAAACAAGAAGTCATGCCTTTCTCCCACATAATTGTGGCTTACTAACTAGAAAAATACATACACACACGTATATGCACACACAAGTTATAAGTGCCTAACTATGAGTTTTCTGACCCTTGTTCTCTGGTAGTATGTTGCTTTTTTCTCACAGTTTTTTTTATATATTTCAGTAGAAATAACCAACCATAAGAAAAATGTCACATAGCTTTACCAGCATGCCAATTCTGATATCTGGTACTCTCAGGGCTCCAGTTAAGTGAAACCATTTTTACTCACAGCTCCTCACAAGGAGATAGCTTTAGAAGGCTGGGACTTGTGCAGCGTGACTTAGCTCTCTGTTGGCCAAACCAGAAACAGGCACTTAATTCAAGTTCAACAATAATCTATAGATTGTTGTCCAGCAACACATGATGTTGCCTGCTAAAACAAGGTAAGCTTAATTAAGCTGATTTTCTCTGGAATGTCTGCTTGGAAAGAACTGAGTAATAGATGGAGCTAAAGCTGAACAGATGTATACACATGATCAAGAAGGTATAATCTGGGCTTAGATGCAGAAATCAAATCTGAGAATGAAGAATTACAGAAAGCCAAATTCATGAGCACACAGAAGTTATGAGATACAGAAAAGTTGAATAAAGGAAGAAGAGTAAATACTGAGTCAGAAGCAAAGGAAATACCGAAAAAAGAATAACAGAGTTAATGCTTTGACACTAGATAGAAGGTATATGCCCACTCCTATTTGGAGTACCGCAAAAGCATCCTAATTGTTGCCCTGTCAGGCTAGCTCACTAGGATCCACTTATTCTCCTACAATAGCCAGTGTAGGCTTTTAAATTAAGCATCATTTCACTTGGCACCCTTGCTTGAAATCCTCCAACATCTTCGCATTTTACTGAGAATACAATCTAAGGTCCTGTAAGAGCTACCCAGTTCCTCCTGCTCCAGCCCATCTTGTACCATTCTCTCTTTCTTCTCGCTTAACATCTGTATTTTAAACATTTTTGTCTCCAAATCTTCTCTGTATTCAGAGCTCTGATCAAATGTCAGCCCTTCTCAGAGGACTTCCCAAACCACCCATTCTAAGGTACTGTTAGGTACCACTGCTACCCCCCTAAACCCTCTACCACTCACTTATACATAACCTAGTTGTATTCTCTTTTTAGCACTTGTCACTAGCTGCAGTTCTCTTATATGTTTACCAGTTAAGGTTTTCAGCCTTTCGCCTCCTAGGAAATGTAGGCAAAGACCTTGTCTATATTCCCAGTGCTTAGAACATAGTAGTAACTAAGTAAAATGCTTAAGAAAGGAATGATGAAAAGATAAAAGGAGAAGAGGATGAAAAGAGGGAGGTAGGAAGAAATGAAGGGAGAATGGGAGGAAGGAGGAAATATAATCCCTCTTAAAGAAATCTAGAGTGCTGTTTGGGGTCTCTTTCTTATTGTAGATACTGCTTTTCCTCCATGAGACCTTGAATTTTCTATAATTCTGCAGTTCTGCTTTGTCTGTGTCCTGATAGTCTATGTTTTCCTGGTCATCTGATGAACCTAGAGCTTAATAAATTTGTACTTATATGAAGTAGCTTGCATATATTTCAATTCCTCCTTAATAACAGAAGGAAGAAAATCTTATAAGAGTAGCAGTAATGGCAGAGAAAAACTGACCATTTAAGGATACGGCAGTTCTACTTATTTCTTCACTGATAAAAAACGCAGAAAAAGTTTAAATAATTTTATTTGGTTCTAGTTTCTATTATATCCTACAAATTATTTCATCAAATGTTTCTAAGAACAAGCAAAACTGTATTATAATCTTACTACCCATGGAATATTACTGATAATGCTTTTTGCATGCATTTTAAATAAATGTTAAGTCACAATGGCTGCAATTATTTATAACTTGATTTTTTACTTATTAACATATCAGCAATATTCCCATGTATTTATTTTCCTATATGCTTCTTTTTATGCCTATAGTTTATTTTATACAATGTGAATGATGTCATGTGGCTTACCATTATGTTTTTCCTTTAGATTATGTTGAAATTTTCACAAGTATAAATAATACTGAGATGAACTTTTACAAAATTAGATTTTTATATACATCCATAATTTTTCCTTGGGATCAATTCAATGAATTATACTTTGCCATGTATTTTAATGTCATCTGAGTCACAATCATATAACTTTAAAATAACAAAAATTCAACAATCAAAATTCAATTGAATTACGTTCCTTGTTAAAAAATGGGTAAGAAATAATATTTGTAGGCATCATGAAATAGCTGACTCTTTTCTTTTCTTTACACTACTGTAGCATAGTGCAGATATAATGACCAGTTTAGATAGCAGAGGAGAAAGATACGGCCTCAAACTATGCACACAGGGAACATTAACAGGACTTTAATGAGCCTTTCTTAATTGTCTGGGTTTCAAAAGAACAAAACCTATAGTGAGAAAAGAAATATAAAGTAAAATTGCCAATCAAATGACAGATTGGCAGAATTCTCATTTACAATCATAGAAGCCATTAAGGTTTGCCTATCAACACCCATTAAATACAATTTTCTAAAAAATTCTGAACGTTCCCAGTGACTTGAGATCAGTGTTTACGTTCCTTCAATTACAACCAGACAAACCAGGGGAAAGGAAGGGGAGAATAGGTACAGAAAGAATATGTCCTTTCCATCCATTTTTTAAATTAGCCCGCAGTTTGAAATCCACTGAAGAACTGCCTCACATGCTGAAGGGATGAGGATAGGCCTTTCTTAATCAGGGATGACACAAAATCAAGACATTTCAGAGCAATACCTGCAGGAAAGGATAAGTATTCTGACAACGTCAATGTCTGCAAACATCCTCTAATGCCACCAGGTAAAAAATAATCACCATCAGCAGTATCCAATGCTTATTCAGCAAGCCATGGACCTAAATGACCCTCACTCAGATTTCTGCTGTAAGATTTACAGAGATAAAGAAGCTGAAATTCAGCTTAAAAAGAAAAGTCACTAAAAAAGACGACTCAAAATCAGATATATGATCACTAATAATCAATGGTGTCCAAACTGCCAAACAGCAGGCAGTCGGTATGCATCCTATATTTATCGTTTCAGAACTTGCCATAGTGTTGTGAAAAGCATTTTGAAGGACATAGAAACTGTATGTATATAATTAATTCTAATGGTGTGGTAAAGCCAGTGCCACAGCACATCTTCACTGGCTCTTCCTAACTCTATTTCTTTAGTGAAACCACAATGGTAGCTGGAAATTGGTCATGATGGAAGTATTTACATGAAAATTTCCAAACACTACATATTAGGACTCTCCTTCCCATAATGCCAATTGTTAATGTATTAGTACAACCTTGGAATCCTAATTGTATTTTTGTGGATTATATATTCACATATACAAACTCTCCTGATGGATAAAGTCTACAATAAAAGAATTAGTCATGGGCTATGTTGGTTAGTGATGTTAATATTAGGTACAGAAAACACATTTTTGGCTGGGTGCGGTGGCTCACACCTGGAATCCCAGCACTTTGGGAGGACAAGGAAGGCGGATTATTTGAGGTCTGGAGTTGGAGACCAGCCTGACCAACATGGTGAAACCCCATCTCTACTAAAAATACAAAAAAATTAGCTGGGCATGGTAGTGCACGCCTGTAATACCAGCTACTCGAGAGGCTGGGCAGATGAATCACTTGAACCCGGGAGGTGGAGGTTGCAGTTAGCCAAGATCATGTCACTGCGCTCCAACCTGGGCAACAGAGCAAGACTCTGTCTGAAAAAACAACAACAACAAAAAACACATTTTTAATACAGACTCCAGTGTCAGCCAAAGAAGCAACTTGATTTTTGCTTAAGCACGTTGTCTACTGGGACGATAATTTGCAAATACACTTTTTATGATCATATAATTTTATCGAGGTGTATTTTACATAATGTAAAATGCACATATCCTAATACAGCTCCATGAGTTTTAACAGATGTATAACTCATGTAACTTACAATAAAATCAAGGCACAGATAATTCCTATCACCTCTGAATGTTCTTGTGTTTCTTTTCCAGTCAAGAACCAAACTCATCCTACTCTTTGCTCAGGCAACCGTAGTCTGATTTCTGACATTATAGATTTAGCTTTATTTATTCTAGGACACCATCTAAAAGGGATATTATAATGAGTACATCTTTGTGTCTGACTTCTTTCACTCAGAATAATACTTCGAAACTCATTCTTGCTTGTTAACAGAAATAAGACTTATTCTTGTTTTTTAAAGATTAATCTTTTTATTTGCAAGTAATTTTAAATTTACAGAAAAGTAAAAAGAATTAGAGTAATACCACAAACAACTTTATGCCTATTAGCCAGATTTCTGTATCTGTTTTACCATTTACATGTGCTCTCTCTCTCTTGTTTTATACGTGCATATATACACACACATACATACACATGCATACATAGTTATTCATATATGTAAATATCTCCATATATACATTTTTATATAATAAATAGAAATTTTTTGAAACATTTGAAGAGTTACATGCATCATGGCACTTTACCAATATATATTCAGCATGCTACTTAAAAATAGATTTTCCCTTAGAAAATCTCATTACATTTTTCAACTAAAGTAACTTTGTTCTCAGCAAGATTTTTTAATAAACTACACCATATTCTCATTTTTTCAATAGACCCGGTAATGCTCTCTAAGCTATCCTTTTCTCCTATACACAGTCCATTCTAGAATCAGACTTATTTTTCATTGCAGAGGAGTATTTTTTTGTATGATTTAAATTGTTTATTTATGTATTCTTTGGGAGATATTTGGGTTGTGTCAAGTCTAAGGCTATTATAAATAAAGCTGTTGTAAACATTTTTGGCCACATTCTTTTGAGGACATGAGATATCATTCCCTTAGAAAAATAACTAGCAATAAAATTGTTGAGTCATAGGATAGATGTTTTAACTTTTTAAGAATTACTACACAGTTTTCTAAAGTACTTGCGCAATTTTACAGACTCCAAAAATAAATGAGCATTCCAGTTGCTCTATACTCTCCCAAACATTTATCATTGTCAGTCTTTAAATTTCAACAATCTAGAAAAATGTGAACTAGAATATCTCATTGTGGCTTATTTAACACATAATGCCCTGATGACAAATAATGTTAAGCAACTTTTCACGGCTTATTGGCCATTTTTTATATTTTCTGTTGTAATAATCTGCTCAAGCTTTTTTTCCCATTCTTTTGTTGATTTTGTTTTTATTATTGACTTGTAGATGTTCTTCATACATCATTCATGAAAGTCCTTTGTTAGTTATATATATTGTGAATATTTCCCTATTATTTGGCTTGCTTTTCTGGCAAAGATGACTTTTTATAAAGAAAATTGATAATTTCGCAGCCAACATGACCGAATAGGAACAGCTCCAGTCTACAGCTCCCAGCGTGAGCGACGCAGAAGATGGGTGATTTCTGCATTTCCAACTGAGCTACTGGGTTCATCTCACTGGGCAGTGTCGGAAAGTGGGTGCAGGACAGTGGGTGCAGTGCACCAGGCATGAACCGAAGCAGGGCAAGGCATTGCCTCACCTGGGAAGTGCAAGGGGTCAGGGAATTCCCTTTCCTAGTCAAAGAAAGGGGTGACAGATGTCACCTGGAAAATCGGGTCATTCCCACCCTAATACTGTGTTTTTCCAACAGTCTTAGCAAATGGCACACCATGAGATTATATCCCATGCCTGGCTCAGAGGGTCCTATGCCCATGGAGCCTCGCTCATTGCTAGCACAGCAGTCTGAGATCAAACTGCAAGGTGGCAGGGAGGCTGGGCGAAGGGCGCCTGCCATTGCCAAGGCTTGAGTAGGTAAACAAAGTGGCCAGGAAGCTCGATCTGGGTGGAGCCCACCGCAGCTCAAGGAGGCCTGCCTGCCTCTGTAGACTCCACCTTTGGGGCCAGGGCATAGCCAAGCAAAAGACAGCAGAAAGCTCTGCAGACTTAAATGTCCCTGTCTGACAGCTTTGAAGAGAGTAGTGGTTCTCCCAGCACACAGCTTCACATCTGAGAACTGACAGACTGCCTCCTCAAGTGGGTAGCCTAACTGGGAGGCACCCCCTAGTAGGGGCAGACTGACACGTCATACGGCCGGGTACCCCTCTGAGACAAAAGTTCCAGAGGAATGATCAGGCAGCAACATTTGCTGTTCACCAATATCCGCTGTTCTGCAGTCTCTGTTGCTGATACCCAGGCAAACACGGTCTGGAGTGGACCTCCAGCAAACTCCAACAGACCTGCAGCTGAGGGTCCTGACTGTTAGAAGGAAAACTAACAAACAGAAAGGACATCCACACCAAAACCCCATCTGTACGTCACCATCATCAAAGACCAACGGTAGAAAAAACCACAAAGATGGGGAAAAAAACAGAGCAGAAAAACTGGAAACTCTAAAAATCAGAGCACCACTCCTCCTTCAAAGGAACACAGCTCCTCACCAGCAATGAAACAAAGCTGGACAGAGAATGACTTTGACGAGTTGAGAGAAGAAGGCTTTAGACGATCAAACTACTCTGAGCTAAAGGAGGAAGTTCAAACCCACAGCAAAGAAGTTAAAAACCTTGAAAAAAAATTAGACGAATGGCTAACTAGAACAACCAATGCAGAGAACTCCTTAAAGGACCTGATGGAGCTGAAAACCACAGCACGAGAAGTATGTGATGAATGAACAACCCTCAGTAGCCAATGCGATCAACTGGAAGAAAGGGTATCAGTGATAGAAGATCAAATGAATGAAATGAAGTGAGAAGAGAAGTTTAGAGAAAAAAGAATAAAAAGAAATGAACAAAGCCTCCAAGAAATATGGGACTATGTGAAAAGACCAAATCTATGTCTGATTGGTGTACCTGAAAGTGAGAGGGAGAATGGAACCAAGTTGGAAAATACTCTGCAGGATATTATCCAGGAGAGCTTCCCCAATCTAGCAAGGCAAGCCAACATTCAAATTCAGGAAATACAGAGAATGCCACAAAGATACTCCTCAAGAAGAGCAACTCCAAGACACATAATTGTCAGATTCACCAAAGTTGAAATGAAGGAAAAAATGTAAAGGGCAGCCAGAGAGAAAGGTCGGGTTACCCACAAAGGGAAGCCCATCAGACTAACAGCTGATCTCTTGGCAGAAACTCTACAAGCCAGAAGAGAGTGGGGGCCAATATTCAACATTCTTAAAGAAAGGAATTTTCAACCCAGAATTTCCTATCCAGCCAAACTAAGCTTCATAAGTGAAGGAGAAATAAAATCCTTTACAGACAAGCAAATGCTGAGAGATTTTTGTCACCACCAGGCCTGCCCTGTAAGAGCTCCTGAAGGAAGCACTAAACATGGAAAGAAAAAACTGGTACCAGCCACTGCAAAAACATGCCAAATTGTAAAGACCATCGAGGCTAGGAAGAAACTGCATCAACTAATGAGCAAGATAACCAGCTAACATCATAATGACAGGATCAAATTCAAACATAACAATATTAACCTTAAATGTAAATGGGCTAAATGCTCCAATTAAATGACACAGACTGGCAAATTGGATAAAGATTCAAAACCCATCAGTGAGCTGTATTCAGGAAACCCATCTCACGTGCAGAGACACACATAGGCTCAAAATAAAGGGATGGAGGAAGATCTACCAACCAAATGGAAAACAAATAAAAAGCAGGGGTTGCAATCCTAGTCTCTGATAAAACAGACTTTAAACCAACAAAAATCAGAAGAGAGAAAGAAGGCCATTACATAACGGTAAAGGGATCAATTCAACTCTTCAATAGAAGAGCTAACTATCATAAATATATATGCACCCAATACAGGAGCACCCAGATTCATAAAGCAAGTCCTTAGAGACCTAGAAAGAGACTTAGACTCCCATGCAATAATAATGGGAGATTTTAACACGACACTGTCAACATTAGACAGTTCCACGAGACAGAAAGTTAACAAGGATATCCAGGAATTGAACTCAGCTCTGCACCAAGTGGACCTAATAGACATCTACAGAACTCTCCACCCCAAATCAACAGAATATACATTGTTCTCAGCACCACACCTATTCCAAAATTGACCACATAGTTGGAAGTAAAGCACTCCTCAGCAAATGTAAAAGGAAAGAAATTATAACAAACTGTCTCTCAGACCACAGTGCAATCAAACTAGAACTCAGGACTAAGAAACTCACTCAAAACTGCTCAACTACATGGAAACTGAACAACCTGCTCCTGAATAACCACTGGGTACATAACGAAATGAAGACAGAAATAAAGATGTTCTTTGAAACCAATGAGAAAAAAGACACAATATACCATAATCTCTGGGATACATTCAAAGCAGTGTGTAGAGGGAAATTTACAGCACTAAATGCTCACAAGAGAAAGCAGCAAAGATCTAAAATTGACACCATAACATCTCAATTAAAAGAACTAGAGAAGCAAGAGCAAACACTTTCAAAAGCTAGCAGAAAGCAAGAAGTAACTAAGATCAGAGCAGAACTGAAGGAGATAGAGACACAAAAAACCCTTCAAAAAATCAATGAATCCAGGAGCTGATTTTTTGAAAAGATCAACAAAATTGCTAGACCGCTAGCAAGACTAATAAAGAAGTAAAGAGAGAAGAATCAAATAGACACAATAAAAAATGAAAAAGGGGATATCACCACCAATCCCACAGAAATACAAACTACCATCACAATACTATAAACACCTCTACGCAAATAAACTAGAAAATCTAGAAGAAATGGACAAATTCCTCAAAACATACACCCTCCCAAGACTAAACCAGGAAGAAGTTGAATCCCTGAATAGACCAATAGCAGGCTCTGAAATTGAGGCAATAATTAACAGCTTACCAACCAAAAAAAGTCCAGGACCAGATGGATTCACAGCTGAATTCTACCAGAGGTACAAGGAGGAGCTGGTACCATTCGTTCTGAAACTATTCTAATCAATAGAAAAAGAGAGAATCCTCCCTAACTCATTTTATGAGGCCAGCATCATCTTAATACCAAAACCTGGCAAAGACACAACAAAAAAGAGAATTTTAGACCAATATCCCTGATGGACATCGATGCAAAAATCCTCAATAAAATACTGGCAAACTGAAGCCAGCAGCACATCAAAAAGCTTATCCACCATGATCAAGTGGACTTCATCCCTTGGATGCAAGGCTGGTTCAACATATGCAAATCAATAAACGTAATCCAGCATATAAACAGAACCAATGACAATAACCACATGATTATCTCAATAGATGCAGAAAAGGCCTTTGACAAAATTCAACAACCCTTCATGCTAAAAACTCTCAATAAATTAGGTATTGATGGGACATATCTCAAAATAATAAGAGCTATCTATGGCAAACTCACAGCAAATTTCAGACTGAATGGTCAAAAACTGGAAGCATTCCCGTCGAAAACTGTTACGAGACAGGGATGCCCTCTCTCACCATTCCTATTCAACATAACGTTGGAAGTTCTGGCCAGGGCAATCAGGCAGGAGAAGGAAATAAAGGGTATTCAATTAGGAAAAGAGGAAGTCAAATTGTCCCTGTTTGCAGATGACATGATTGTATATCTAGAAAACCCCATCATCTCAGCCCAAAATCTCCTTAAGTTGATAGGCAACTTCAGCAAAGTCTCAGGATACAAAATCAATGTGCAAAAATCACAAGCACTCTTATACACCAATAACAGACAAACAGAGAGACAAATCATGAATGAACTCCCATTAACAATTGCTTCAAAGAGAATAAAATACCTGGGAATCCATCTTACAAGGGTCGTGAAGGATCTCTTCAAGGAGAAGTACAAACCACTGCTCAATGAAATAAAAGAAGATACAAACAAATGGAAGAACATTCCATGCTCATGGGTAGGAAGAAACAATGTCGTGAAAATGGCCATACTGCCCAAGGTAATTTATAGATTCAATGCCATCCCCATCAAGCTAACAATGACTTTCTTCACAGAATTGGAAAAAACTGCTTTAAAATTCATATGGAACCAAAAAAGAGCCTGCATTGCCAAGGCAATCGTAAGCCAAAAGGACAAAGCTGGAGGCATCACGCTACCTGACTTCAAACTATACTACAAAGCTACAGTAACCAAAACAGCATGGTACTGATACCAAAACAGAGATATAGACCAATGGAACAGAACAGAGCCCTCAGAAATAATGCCACATATCTACAACTATCTGATCTTTGACCAACCTGACAAAAACAAGAAATGGGGAAACAATTCCCTATTTAATAAATGGTGCTGGGAAAACTGGTTAGCCATATGTAGAAAGCTGAAACTGGATTCCTTCCTTATACCTTATACAAAAATTAATTCAAGATGGATTAAAGACTTAAATGTTAGAGCTAAAACCATAAAAGCCCTAGAAGAAAACCTAGGCAATACCATTCAGGACATAGGCATGGACAAGGACTTCATGTCTAAAACACCAAAAGCAATGGCAACAAAAGCCAAAATTGACAAATGGGATCTAATTAAACTCAAGAGCTTCTGCACAGCAAAAGAAATTACCATCAGAGTGAACAGGCAACCTACAGAATGGGAGAAAATTTTTGCAATCTACTCATCTGACAAAGGGCTAATATCCAGAATCTACAATGAACTCAAACAGATTTGCAAGAAAAAAACAAACAACCCCATCAACAAGTGGGCAAAGGATATGAACAGACACTTCTCAAAAGAAGACATTCATGCAGCCAACAGACACATGAAAAAATGCTCATCATCACTGGCCATCAGAAAAATGCAAATCAAAACCACAATGAGATACCATCTCACACCAGTTAGAATGGCAATCATTAAAAAGTCAGGAAACAACAGGTGCTGGAGAGGATGTGGAGAAATAGGAACACTTTTACACTGTTGGTGGAACTGCAAACTAGTTCAACCATTGTGGATGTCAGTGTGGCGATTCCTCAGGGATCTAGAACTAGAAATACCATTTGACCCAGCTTTCCTATTACTAGGTATATACCCAAAGGACTATAAATCATGCTGTTATAAAGACACATGCACACATAGGTTTATTGTGGCACTATTCACAATAGCAAAGACTTGGAACCAACCCAAATGTCCAACAATGATAGACTGGATTAAGAAAATGTGGCAGATATACACCATGAAATACTATGCAGCCATAAAAAATAATGAGTTCATGTCCCTTGTAGGGACATGCCTGAAGCTGGAAACCATTATTCTCAGCAAAGTATCGCAAGAACAAAAAACCAAACACCGTATGTTCTCACTCATAGGTAGGAATTGAGCAATGAGAACACATGGACACAGGAAGGGGAACATCACACACTGGGGCCTGTTGTGGGGTGGGGGGAGGAGGGAGGAATAGCATTAGGAGATACACCTGTTAAATGATGAGTTAATGGGTGTAGCACACTAACATGTCAAATGTATACATATGTAACAAACCTGCATGTTGTGCACATGTACCCTAAAACTTAAAGTATGATTAAAAAAAAAGAAAATTTTTCATTAAGTGCCCGTTTTATTTTTCTATCTCAGAAATATTGTACTAATACAAAGTTTAGAACCTATTTTTGCTTATATAATTAGTTCTATAATCTGTCTTAATTTTGGAGAATGTTATTCAAAACAGTCAGCATTCTTCTTTTCCCCCATAGTTATCTAGTTGTTTCAGAAACATTTGTTCACAGGGTTTCCTTTTCCCATGGTACAGTATTGGCACATTTAAAAAGCATACTTCATCATATATTGTGGATCTATTTCTGTACCTGTATTATGTTTCATTCAACTATTTGTCTGTGCTAATGGTAATACCACACTGTCCAGATCACTGGTAAGCTTAAAGCAAGCCTTGGACTCAGATAATATATATCATCTCTTTTCTTTTTGAAGATTATTTTGTTTTTTCTTGGGCCACTTTGTTTTCCTATACATTGAAGTATCAGCTTATTCTTTAAAGAAAATTTTATTTTCTGGAAATGTGATAGGATTTTCATTGCTTCTATAGCTAAATGTGAAGTGAATTTACATCTTAAGCATTGAGACTTCCAACTGAGTACTCTGCATATTTCTCCATTTATTTAGTGATTTTTAAATTTGTCTCAACAATGTACTGTAGTATTATATAGTACTATGAAATGTAGCAATGCATTGTTGCTAGTATACACAAATTTAATTCTCTTTTATAAATTGATTTTATGTCATAGGAAGATGCTAAATTCAATCTTTATGCTTCTTATTTCTTTATTTTGACTGATAAGACCTCCAGAAAAATGTTGGGGGCAGGGCATAGCTGAACAAAAGGCAGCAGAAACTTCTGCAGACTTAAACGTCCCTGTCTGGCAGCTTTGAAGAGAGTAGTGGTTCTCCCAGCATGCAGCTTCAGATCTGAGAACTGACAGACTGCCTCCTCAAGTGGGTCCCTGACCCCTGAGTAGCCTAACTGGGAGGCACCTCCCAGAAGGGGCCGACTGACACCTCATATGGCCAGGTGCTCCTCTGCGACGAAGCTTACAGAGGAATGATCAGAAAGCAACATTTGCTGTTCTGCAATATTTGCTGTTCTGCAGCCTCTGCTGGTGATACCCAGGCAAACAGGGTCTGGAGTGGGCCTCCAGCAAACTCCAACAGACCTGCAGCTGAGGATCCTGACTGTTAGAAGGAAAACTAACAAACAGAGAAGACATCCACACCAAAAACCCATCTGTACGTCACCATCATCAAAGACTAAAGGTAGATAAACCCACAAAGATGGGGAGAAACCAGAACAGAAAAGCTGAAAATTATAAAAATCAGAGGGCCTTTTCTCCTCCAAAGGAATGTCGCTCCTTGCCAGCAACAGTACAAAGCTGGACAGTGAATGACCTTGATGAGTTGAGAGAAGGCTTCAGACGATGAGTAACAACAAACTTCTCCGAGCTTAAGGAGGATGTTCGAACCCATCGCAAAGAAGCTAAAAACCTTGAAAAAAGATTAGACGAATGGCTAACTAGAATAAACAGCATAGAGAAGACCTTAAATGACCTGATGGACCTGAAAACCATGGCAGGAGAACTATGTGATGCATGCACAGGCTTCATTAGCTGATTCGATCAAGAGGAAGAAAGGGCATCAGTGATTGAAGATCAAATGAATGAAAAGAAGTGAGAAGAGAAGTTTAGAGAAAAAAGAGTAAAAAGAAATGAACAAAGCCTCCAAGAAATATGAAACTATGTGAAAAGACCAAATCTATGTCTGATTGGTTTACCTGAAAGTGACAGGGAGAATGGAACCAAGTTGGAAAAAACTCTTTGGGATATTACCCAGGAGAACTTCCCCAACCTAGAAAGGCAGGCCAACATTCAAATTCAGGAAATACAGAGAATGCCACAAAGATACTCCTCGAGAAGAGCAACTCCAAGACACATAATTGTCAGATTCACCAAAGTTGAAATGAAGGAAAAAATGCTAAGGGCAGCCAGAGAGAAAGGTCAGGTTACCCACAAAGGGAAGCCCATCAGATTAACAGCAGATTTCCTGGCAGAAACTCTATAAGCCAGAAGAGAGTGGGGGCCAATATTCAATATTCTTAAAGAATTTTCCACCCAGAATTTCCTATCCAGCCAAACTAAGCTTCATAAGTGAAGGAGAAATAAAATCCTTTACAGACAAGCAAATGCTGAGAGATTTTTGTCACCACCAGGCCTGCCTTACTGAAGGAAGCACTAAACGTGGAAAGGAACAACTAGTACCAGCCACTGCAAAAACATGCCAAATTGTAAAGACCATCGATTCTAGGAAGAAACTGCATCAACTAATGAGCAAAATAACCAGCTAACATCATAATGGCAGGATCAAATTCACACATAACAATATTAACCTTAAATATAAATAGGCTAAATGCTCCAATTAAAAGACACAGACTGGCAAATTGGATAGAGTCAAGATCCATCAGTGTGCTGTATTCAGGAAACCCATTTCACCTGCAGAGACACACATAGGCTCAAAATAAAGGGATGGAGGAAGATCTACCAACCAAATGGAAAACAAATAAAAAGCAGGGGTTACATTCCTAGTCTCTGATAAAACAGACTTTAAACCAACAAAAATCAGAAGAGAGAAAGAAGGCCATTACATAACGGTAAAGGGATCAATTCAACTCTTCAACAGAAGAGCTAACTATCATAAATATATATGCACCCAATACAGGAGCACCCAGATTCATAAAGCAAGTCCTTAGAGACCTAGAAAGAGACTTAGACTCCCATGCAATAATAATGGGAGATTTTAATACGACACTGTCAACATTAGACAGTTCCACGAGACAGAAAGTTAACAAGGATATCCAGGAATTGAACTCAGCTCTGCACCAAGTGGACCTAATAGACATCTACAGAACTCTCCACCCCAAATCAACAGAATATACATTGTTCTCAGCCTCACATCGCACTTATTCCAAAATTGACCACATAGTTGGAAGTAAAGCACTCCTCAGCAAATGTAAAAGAACAGAAATTATAACAAACTGTCTCTCAGACCACAATGCAATGAAACTGGAACTCAGGATTAAGAAACTCACTCAAAACCACTTAACTACATGGAAATTGAACAACCTGCTCCTGAATGACTACTGGGTACATAACGAAATGAAGGCAGAAATAAAGATGTTCTTTGAAACCAATGAGAACAAAGATACAATATACCAGAGTCTCTGGGACACATTTAAAGCAGCGTGTAGAGGGAAAATTATAGCACTAAATGCCCACAAGAGAAAGCAGGAAACATCTAAAATTGACACCGAAACATCACAATTAAAAGAACTAGAGAAGCAAGAATAAACACATTCAAAAGCTAGCAGAAGGCAAGAAATAACTAAGATCAGAGCAGAACTGAAGGAGATAGAGACAAAAAAAAACCCTTCAAAAAATCAGTGAATCCAGGAGCTGATTTTTTGAAAAGATCAACAAAATTGATAGACTGCTAGCAAGACTAATAAAGAAGAAAAGAGAGAAGAATCAAGTAGACACAATAAAAAATGATAAAGGGGATATCACCACCAATCCCACAGAAATACAAACTACCATCAGAGAATACTATAAACACTTCTATGCAAAGAAACTAGAAAATCTAGAAGAAATGGATAAATTCCTCGACACGTACATCGTCCCAAGACTAAACCAGGAAGAAGTTGTATCTCCGAATAGACCAATAACAGGCTACGAAAATGAGGCAATAATTAACAGCCTACCACCCAAAAAAAGTCCAGGACCAGACGGATTCACAGCCGAATTCTACCAGAGGTAAAAAGAGGACCTGGTACCATTCCTTCTGAAACTGTTCCAATCAATAGATAAAGAGGGAATCCTCCCTAACTCATTTTATGAGTCCAGCATAATCCTGATGCCAATGCCTGGCAGAGACACAACAAAAAAAGAGAATTTTAGACCAATATCCCTGATGAACATTGACGCAAAAATCCTCAATAAAATAATGGCAAACTTAAGCCAGCAGCACATCAAAAAGCTTATCCAACATGATCAAGTGGGCTTCATCCCTGGGATGCAAGGCTGGTTCAATATACACAAATCAATAAACGTAATCCATCATATAAACAGAACCAAAGACAAAAACCACATGATTTCTCAACAGATGCAGAAAACGCCTTCAACAAAATTCAACAGCCCTTCATGCTAAAAACTCTCAATAAATTAGGTATTGATGGGACATATCTCAAAATAATAAGAGCTATTTATGACAAACCCATAGACAATATCATACTGAATGGGCAAAAACTGGAAGCATTCCTTTCGAAAACTGGCACAAGACAGGGATGCCCTCTCTCACCACTCCTATTCAACATAGTGTTGGAAGTTCTGGCCAGGGCAATCAGACAGGAGAAAGAAATAAAGGTATTTAATTAGGAAAAGAGGAAGTCAAATTGTCCCTGTTTGCAGATGACATGATTGCATATTTAGAAAACCCCATCATCTCAGCCCAAAATCTCCTTAAGCTGATAAGCAACTTCAGCAAAGTCTTAGGATGCAAAATCAATGGGCAAAAATCACAAGCATTCCTCCACACCAATAACAGACAAACAGAGAGACAAATCATGAGTGAACTCCCATTCACAATTGCTTCAAAGAGAATAAAATACCTAGGAATCCAACTTACAAGGGATGAGAAGGACCTATTCAAGGAGCACTACAAACCACTGCTCAACGAAATAAAAGAGGACACAAACAAATGGAAGAACATTCCATGCTCATGGATAGGAAGAATCAATATCGTGAAAATGGCCATACTGCCCAAGGTAATTTATAGATTCAATGCCATCTCCATCAAGCTACAAATGACTTTCTTCACAGAATTAGAAAAAACTGCTTTAAAGTTCATATGGAACCAAAAAAGAGCCCATATTGCCAAGACAATCCTAAGCCAAAAGAACAAAGCTGGAGGCATCATGCTACCTGATTTCAAACTACAGTACAAGGCTAAAGTAACCAAAACAGCATGGTACTGGTACAAAAAAGAGATATAGACCAATGGAACAGAACAGAGCCCTCAGAAATAATACCACACATCTACAACCATGTGATCTTTGACAAACCTGACAAAAACAAGAAATGGGGAAAGGATTCCCTATTTAATAAATGGTGCTGGGAAAACTGGTAGGCATATGTAGAAAGCTGAAACTGGATCCCTTCCTTACACGTTATGCAAAAATTAATTCAAGATGGATTAAAGACTTTAAATGTTAGACCTAAAACCATAAAAATCCTAGAAGAAAACCTAGGCAATACCATTCAGGACATAGGCATGGGCAAGGATTTCATGTCTAAAACACCAAAAGCAATGGCAACAAAAGTCAAAATTAACAAATGGGATCTAATTAAACTAAAGAGCTTCTGCACAGCAAAAGAAACTACCATCAAACTGAACAGGCAACCTACAGAATGGGAGAAAATTTTTGCAATCTACCCATCTGACAAAGGGCTAATACCTAGAATTTACAAAGAACTTAAACAAATTTACAAGAAAAAATCAAACAACCCCATCAACAAGTGGGCAAAGGATATGAACAGACACTTCTCAAAAGAAGACATTTATGCAGCCAAAAGACACATGAAAAAATGTTCATCATCACTGGCCATCAGAAAAATGCAAATCAAAACCACAATGAGATACCATCTCACACCAGTTAGAATGGCAATCATTAAAAAGTCAGGAAACAACAGGTGCTGGAGAGGATGTGGAGAAATAGGAACACTTTTACACTGTTGGTGGGACTGTAAACTACTTCAACCATTGTGGAAGTCAGTGTGGCGATTCCTCAGGGATCTAGAACTAGAAATACCATTTGACCCAGCCATCCCATTACTGGGTATATACCTAAAGGATTATAAATCATGCTGCTATACAGACACATACACACATATGTTTATTGCGGCACTATTCACAATAGCAAAGTCTTGGAACCAACCCAAATGTCTATCATTGATACACTGGATTAAGAAAATGTGGCAGTTATACACCATGGAATACTATGCAGCCATAAAAAGGATGAGTTCATGTCTTTGTAGGGGCATGGATGAAGGTGGAAACCATCATTCTGAGCAAACTATCACAAGGACAGAAAACCAAACATCGCATGTTCTCACTCATAGGTGGTAATTGAACAATGAGAACACTTGGACACAGGATTGGGAACATCACACACTGGGGCCAGTCGTGGGATGGGGGAGAGGGGGGAGGGATAGCATTAGGAGATATACCTAAATTTAATGACGAGTTGATGGGTGCAGCACACCAACATGGCACATGTATACATATGTAACAAACCTGTACGTTGTGCACATGTACCCTAGAACTTAAAGTATAATTTAAAAAATACAATGTGAAATCATCCTTGCCTTTTTTCTGATCTTAAGAAAAATGCATTTAAAACTTCACTATTAAAACTGAGATCAACTATAGGTTATTGTAGATGCCTTTTTATCAGAATGAGGACATTCTGCTCTATTCCTAGATTGCTGGAAGTTTTTACTATCAATGGGTAGTAAATTTTATCAAATCTGTTAATTTTTTTTCTGTTTGCATCTACTGCAACATCCACAGTTTTTTGTTCCTTATTCTGTCAATGTGGCAAATTACATTATGTGATTACAAATTTAATGAGTTATAAATTACTTTTTTCTTTTTTTGAGACAGAGTGTCCCTCTTTGGCCGAGGCTGGAATACAGAATGAGGTGTAAATTACTTTTAACAATCCACAATATAAGTGTACAATTTGCTATGCCCAAAAACAAAGAGAAGGTGGCAAAATTTATTAGAAAGAAATATTACATGTTGTTTTAAAGGAAAGTATGTTGACACTAGTAAAATTTTGAGGAGGAGGCAAGCTCTGAATGGTGAGTGATGGCAGTGGGTAAAGCTAGTCTTAAAGTCTCAGCAGCTTGTTTTAGTAGCTATTATATAAAACTGATTTCAGGTTATTACAAGGAATTTCAGAAGCTGGGCTTGCAGAGATAATTACATGCCTGGGGTGATGTTGTATACCTTGAGTGCTTTTTCCTCCTGGCCTCTTGATTCTGCTTCAGTTGGATATGACAAGAACGACCCAAGTCGTATGATGGACTTTCACAATGGAAATGTTGTATTTTATGATTGTGGTGGCTGTTACATGACTATACATATTTGACCAGACTAGTTGAATTGTAATTTTTAAATTTAGAGATGAATCTTTATATTTTGACTTTGACACCACAAACTCAAAAAGTTATTTTGTGTCTAAAGTCTTTCATTTAGCATAATGCTTTTAAGAAAATACGATCCTTCCTTATTAAATTTAATTGGTATATTTTTCAAAAATCAACTAACCATGCATGTATGGATCTATCATATTCCATTTATCTGTACTACCCTTAAACCAATGCCACACAGTCTAGATGCTAATCACCTTAGAATTAATCCTCAAATTATACAGCCTAAGTTCTTCAATTTTATTCTTCTTTAAAAAGTTATTTGGAAAGTCAAGATTTTTTACATTTTCATATTAATTTTAGCATTTGCTTGTTGACTTCTACAAAAAGTTCTGCTTGCATTTTGAATAGGATTGCTTTGAATCCATAGATCAATTTTCAGATAATTGACATGTCAATAATATTGAGTCTTCCATTCCATAAAACTAGGAAGCTAGTTTAGTTTCTTTGTTTAGTTTTGTTTAGTTTCTTTAATTTTGTTTAGTTTCTTTAATTTCTCTCAACTTTTCTTTGTATTTTTAGTGTTACATGCACTCCTCATAATTTGTAAAATATTTCAAAAAATCCATATTTTATTCATACATAGTGTTGTTATGTTTTCTTGATGAATTGACTTATCACAATGAAACTTACCTGTTAATCTCTGCTAATGTTCTTTGTTCTGAAATTTACTTTCTCCTGTACTAATGTAAGCACTCCAGGTTCATTTTGTGTATCCTTTTCTATTCTTTACTTTCATTCAAACTGTGACTGTATATATAAAGTGAGTTTCTTGTAGGCAGCAGTTGGATTTTGCATTTTTGTATCCAATCTAACAATTTCTGCATCTTAATTGGATTTATAGATTTTTTTACAAGTAATGTAATTATTGATATGATTATATTTCAGTTTGCTCTCTTGATATTTATTTTCTACCCATCCCGTTTGATCTTCATTATCTTTATTCTTTGTTTACTGCCTTCTTTTGGATAAATTGAGGACATAATTTTAACTCCATTGTTCACTTACTAGTAATATACCTTTTTTTTTGTTTTCAGGGAAGTTTCTAATGCTTACATGATAGACAGATAGATAGATAAATAGATAGATAGATAGATAGATGGATAGATAGATAGATAGATAGAACTTTTATTCTACCTTTAACAAACACTATACCTTTTGAGATATATAGTGTAAGAACCATGTAACATTATACTTCTATTTTCCCTGCCATCTTTTGGATCTTATTTTCATACATTTTACTTCTACGTATGTTATAATCCCCATAATACTTTGTTGTTTTTGCTTTAAATAGTCAATTACACTTAAAGAGACTAAAATCACATGATGATAATTTTTACATTCATCTAAATATTTACCATTTCAAATACTATTTATTTCTCCCTCTAGATCCAGTTTCTTTTCTGACATTTTTCTTTTCATGTTAACTTTCTGTAACATTTTTTGAAATGCATTTGTAATTCTCAAATTTCATCTATCTAAAAATGTTCCCATGGCCTTCATTTTTGAAAGGTAATTTCACCAAAATTTTAGGTAGACAGTTTTACTTTTTATTTTAGCAGTTTAAAGATATAATTCGATTTTTTTCTGGCTTCCATTTTTTGTATGACAAGTCAAACATAATTCTTTGTACTGTTCCCCATAGGTGATATGTTCTTTTTACCTCTTGCTACTTCCAAGTGTTTCGCTATAGTTTTGATCTTCAGCTATTTTAATATGACATTCTTATATTCTCTCTGTATTCAATCTATTTGAGTTTCACTGAGCTTGTTGAATCTATTTGTCATATTTTCCCAGTTTGAAAAAATTTTTTCTCCATTTTCTATTTCCTATCTTTCTGAAATTCCAGCTTCGTATACATTTGACCACTTGTTATAGTTACAAAGGCCACAAAGCTACAAATTATTGTTTGTGAATATATTATCTCTGTGTCTTGAATTTATATAATTTTATAAAATTTATATATTTATATGTACATTTTTATGAGTAAACATGTATAGATAAAATTTACCTATAAAGTATAATATATAATTAATTTATACAATATAGTTGCATTAGTCAGTATTCAAGTTTACTGATTCTTTCTTTTGCGTGTCTAATCTGCCCTAAATTTTATTGAATAAACTTACTGCTGATACTGTAAATTTTTCAGTTTTAAAATTTCTAATTTTTTTGCATGTTCGTATATCTCTAATAATGTCCTGCAGTTGTTTACCCATTCAATGTTCTATATTATTTGAAGTATTTATAATAGCTGTTTTGAAGTTCTCATCAATAAATTGCAACATCTGGGTCATCTTTGAGTCTACTTTTTGTTTGTTTACCCATTCAATGTTCTTCTATATTATTTGAAATATTTATAATAGCTGTTTTAAAGTTCTCATCAGTAAATTGCAACATCTGGGTCATCTCTGATTCTGCTTCTGTTGACTTTTTGTCTCTAGATTATGGTAACACTGAATTGTTGAGGTTTTTTGGTTTGTCTAGTAACTTTTGATAAAGGATATAATATATTGTGGATGATGCATCATAGAAACTTTGGATTTTGTTTTCTTCCTCTAATAATATTTGTCTTTGTACCGTGGTTTTATGGAAGTTTAGTTTTAGTCTTTGCTAATGTGGTTCTATGTTTATTTTTTCCTTAGTACTAGGGTATATCCCTCACCTAGATTCATTTCTACCAGAGTGTATATATATATCATTGAGTCACCTAGAGTAGCTGAGCGTCCTACTGGCTACATCTTCTAGAAGTAAAATGAAAAACATAAGGACGTACTAGTGAAACCCCTTCTTCTTACAACGTACTTTCAGTCCACTTTACTGACAAGGCCTAACCTTGTGCCAGTTGGCAAAGAAAAAATATTTGCAAGGTCCACCTCCAGTACCATAATGCAGAGCAAGGAAGGATGGATTTTGATAACTGACACAGATGGTATAATACTTTCTTAATTATTAAAAAGATAGAAAGTAATTATAGTAACATTATTTTCAATTTCTAGTCATCTGGTAGACCCAAACTCCAAATGTTGTCCCCTCATCCCATTAAGACTGTTATTTTTTGCTTAAATTCTATTCATCCATGCACCATCCCAAATTTGGAAATGCCTTGTCAGCTAATTGCAAAAATCTGGGCTATCTGTGTTTGTTAGAACCTACTTGTGGTTCAACAGAAAACCTGAGGTTTCCACTGAGACCCTCTAAATTGGTAGGTCTTGAACTTCAAACTCTTCTCACCAACATCTCAGCAACAGCTCTCTAGAGAGTCTCACCTCACCCCATTGGGCAGTATCCTAAAGAGTCTTGCTAACACCCCAACGGGAAGCTTCCCAGTCAGTTTTACCACCAACTTAGTAGGCTGTTTCCTAGCACGTTTTACTAGAACTGGAATGAAAAGATACCTAGAAAATTTCCCTGGAACTCCAGTGAGTGTTTTCCTCCTCACAAGTCTTGGCCTGTGACATCCTAGCAAACTTCTCCACCATTCAGGGTTCCACAGCCACTGCTTTTCTCTGAATACTCAATCTCAGCCATATTGTTGGGTACCTCTTTGAAATTTGTTCCTTCCTTGAGTACATCCCCCTAATCCTGCATACGGTATTCCAATATTCTCTCAGATTCCCTTTACTCTGTCTTAGTAGTTAGTCTGATTATACTATTTAATAATTATTTTCAAATTACTGGTATGGTTTTTGTCTCCTTAATGAAAACTATAGGTTTAGCTTCAATGTACGTGGTTGAAGTTAACTCAACTTAAGAGTTCTTCAAGCTAAGTTTGATGCCTGAAAATCTACAAATGGAATAATAGCAAGAAATCGATTTAAAGTGATTAAGATAGGGAGATAGGGGAAGCAACGTTCAACGTGAAGTCTTTGCACATTCTTCAAAAGTAGGGTCTAAGAAATATAATGGAGGTTTCAATGTACAATGCTCCTATGGTGGTGAGCACTTATGTTTTGTGATGAAGTTGAAAGAAAACAAACAAAATAATCTCCGTATTATGACAATCATCACAATCTTGAAACAGATGTTTTATCTGTAAACATAATTGAAAATAATCTGAGGTCATTTCAACAACAGCTAATTCAAAACTTTAAATTTATACCCTATGATAAGTGGTGCTTCTACTTGATTATGATATTTCTTTTTTAACTTGTGAACATGGGTTCAAATACTTCTTTCAAAGCCTTTTACTTAGAGTACCTGTGTTTTCCTCACATTCTCTCTCCCAAAACATTTCATGTATTTCCCTCCCTTCAGTCTCACTGCTGCTCTTTCTTTTTTATTTATTTATTTTTTATTATACTTTAAGCTCTAGGGTACATGTGCACAACATGCAGGTTTGTTACATATGTATACATGTGCCATGTTGGTGTGCTGCACCCATTAACTTGTCATTTACATTAGGTATATCTCCTAATGCTATCCCACCCCCCTCCCCCAACCCCACGACAGGCCCCGGTGTGTGATGTTCCCCATCCTGTGTCCAAGTGTTCTCATTGTTCAGTTCCCACCTATGAGTAAGAACATGCGGTGTTTGGTTTAACACTTGCTTTTGGCGGTGTTTATTCTTTGTTGTCACAGGTAGAGACTATGAGCCTAGAAAACTGGTAAGTACTGGGTTTTGTTTTACCCCTAGGTACTTGAAGCAACTAATTTCTTTTCTGCTGCCAATAGGAGCTGAATTTTGGGAGATGCACTGCTGCTTGCTATTCTTGAAGCTTATTGACTCTAAGTATTGACTCTAAGTGTCTAGAAACCACCTGCTGTGGCTAGGGAATGTGATCTGGCTTTCGCAGTTTCCAATGAAAAAGTGTTCGTTTTGTTAGTGATAAATTGTTTCCCTCTAGAATATTGTTGAAAGATCATTGCCACTAGCTACTGCTCTTTTCAGGAAAGAGAACTTTCATTTTGGCAGCATATTGACAGATATAGAGAAATAAAAGGACCATATCATTAAAGGACCCCATAGGGCTTGCAAACTTGTTTATTCAGAATGATGGTAATTGTCAAATTAATGAGTATTCTGACTGATAATCATATGAAGTCATTATGTTCAACTCAAAAGGTATTTATGAAGCATCTGGCATATGTTCAGCATCATATTAAATAGGAAGTATTTGTAATTTTAAAAATGTTAAGGCCCTGGAGTCAAACTTCCTATATCTGAAATTTAGCACTTGCATTTAATACATGTGTAAATATAGACAAGTCTTTCTAAGCCCCAAATTCCTCATCTATAAATAGAAATAACATTTTCTACCTCGAAGGGAGAATACATATTTCCCTAGAATTATTCATAATTATTTCAACAATTTTTTAAAATATTGTGGTATTATATGAAATTTTTCCTGCCCTCAATAAGCTTGCATAAAACAGAAAACAAATAAAAAATCACATAATAAATTGTCAGGTCCCATAAACCAACAATATAAGTTATACTAATGTAACTTATACATTATAAGTATATGTTATATATATTTTATATATATACCCTATACTATATATATATATATATATATATATATATATATATATATATATCCCACAAGATATTAAGTGGTTGCTAGCCCAAAAACAAAATAAGAATTATTTCATTGCCCAGTGGATTTGGCTAAAATATTGTTAATAAAATCAGGCACAACTCCAGCAGAAGACATCGGTGAAAAGCCAAGCTGGGTCTACAAGGAATCACACATTTTGAGACATATATTTATGCTGTTATTATCATCACTAGCATCTTACCGTATCAAGTAAAAAGATCATCACATTCTGGAGAGTTGGGCATGTTTTGCAAGGGAAATGATGTTTTTCTTTATTTCTATGCTTCTGTACTAATAGGTTGGTTCAGTAATATGGTAGATCATTAGTTTGAGTGAGAAAAGGGAACAGGTTGAACCTGCTCCAAAGAAAAGACCGACATAAGTTACTGATGTTGGAAGTTCCCCAACTTTCTCTCTTCCCCAAGGCTTGATTGTTCAGATTTTTCTGTCAATTTTGTGAGCGTCTCTATTTTCCATAAACTTCTCTTTTACTTAAATTAGATGAGTCGATCTCACTTACTAGCCATCAAAGTTCCTTAACCGTTGCAAATCTGTTCAAAAAGTGTTTCCCCAAGTGTTGACAGAAAATAAAAGGTACTCAGAACCTCTTTCAAGTTTTTTAATCCATGTCCAATAAAATGCATATATGACAGAAAAAATGATTACATCATTTAACACTTTCATGATCTCATTTTCTCTAAATCTGTAGCCACTGTTCTCAGATTAGTCATTTATTAATAATTTGTATTGATGTACATATCATAAAATTTACCCTTTCCAGTGTTTTTTTTCACTATCATCACAAAGTTTCACAACCATCACCACTATCTAATTACAGAATATTTTCGTGATGCTCCCCCAAAACTCCTCCCCTTTATCTGCCACTTCCCATTCCCTTTTTCCCCTAGTCCCTGGCAAACAGTAATCTACTTTTTCTCCCTGGATCTGCCAACTGTCAATATTTTATATGATGGAATCATATAATAGGTGCCTATCTGACTTTTCTTACATAACATGTTTTCCAGATTCATCTATGTTGTGGCACGTATTGGTACTTTATTCTTTTTTATGGCTAAATAATAAATAATATTCTACTGTGTAGATATACATTTGTATCCATTAATTCATTGATAAAAATATAGGTTGTTTCTACTTTTTCACAGTTTTGAATAATGTTGCTATGAATATTTATGTTCATGTTTTTGTATGCATTTTTTTTCAATTCTCTTGAATATATATATAGTCATCTCTTGGTATCCATGAGGACTTGGTTAAACCCAGGACCCCACCAGATACCAAAATCCATGGATGCTGAAGTCCCTTATATAAAATGATGTAGTATTTGTATATAACCTATGCATGTCCTCTCATATACTTTAAATCATCTCGGATTACTTATAATACCTAATACAATGTAAGTCATATGTAAATAGTTGTTATACTGCATTATTTAGGGAATAATGACAAGAAAAACAGAGTCTATCTGTTCAGTCTAGAAATGATCATTCTTTTTTAAAACAATATTTTTTTATCTGAGGTTGGTTGAATCTATGGATGCAGAACCCACAGATACAAGGGACAACTGTCCCTAGGAATAGAATGGCTATGTCTTATGGTAACTCTGTATTTAACTTTTTGAGGAACTGCCAAATTGTTTTCCAGAGTAGCTCTCAGGTCAACTCAAATACACAAATCAGTCTCTGAATATGATGCTTGCAAATAAGTAATTAGTAGGCCAAACTGCATGATATATCTGAACCTAAAGGATTCCCAGATGACAGCCATATTGCTGTTAGAGTATTGTGATGGCTAATTTTATGTGCCAAATTAACTGGGTCATGGGATGCCCAGGTAACTGGTTAAATATTATTTCTGTATGGGTCTGTGAGGGTATTTCTGGAAGAGATTAACATTTGAATTGGTACATGAGTAAAGCAAATGGCCCTCCCCAATGTGAGCAGGCATCAGCCAATCTGTTGAGAAAAGAGGAACATCAAATGAAGTCTTGAACTGAGACATTGATCCCCTTCTTCCCTCAGCACTGCAGACTTTCAGGCCTTCAGGTGTGGGTGAAAATCTATACCATGGGCTCTACAGCTCTTAGGCCTTCAAACTAAGCCATCAGCTTTCTTGAGTCTGCAGCTTATAGACAGCCGGTCATGGGATTTCTCAGCCTCCATGATTGTGCAAGCCAATGCATTAAAATACATCACTTACTTGATATATCTTTATATATGCCTTTTTGTTCTATTCAGCTCCTCAATGGATTGGATGATGGATACCTACTTTGGTAAGGGTAGATCTTCTTTACACAGTCTACTAATTCAAATGATCGTTGCTTCTAGAAATACCCTCATAATACAGAAAATATAGAGAGGAATATATGTAGATATGTCTCCTATTGGTTCTGTTTCTCTGGAGACTCCTCACTAACAGAAGTATCATGGTGGTTCCTTTTTCTGGACCTGTTAAGAGAGGGCTTAATAATAAGAGACTGTTATACTCTGTGATTGATCAAGTCCTTAAAGAAATTAACTGATTTGACAATGTTTATTTACTTGCCAAGAAGAATCCAAAATATTTTGATATGTGAAAAAAAAAGTAGGATTTAGTATGATAGCATGAAAGTTTTTTCCCAGGTGACTCGTATAAATGGTTCATGAAAAGTGCATGAAACCCTGTCAGGGGATTTCAGTTCCAGTTCCTGATTCCCTTACCTGTGCCACCTTGGTCCAGGCTCTTACATTCTTGGAAATGAGTTTTACCATCTCCAAACAAGAAGTATAACATTCATTCTGCTACACCTAATTCACAAGAGTCCTTTAGCTAAAATAAGACGACTGTATTTGTCAGGATTCTCCAGAGAAACACAGCCAATGTGATATAAATAGATATGTGAAAGGAGATTTATTATGGGAATTGGCTCAGGCAGTTATGGAGGTTTAAAAGTCCCAGAAGTCTCATGATGAGTTGTCTGTAAGATGGAGAACCAGGGAACCTGGTAGTGTAATTCACTTTGAGCCCAAAGTCCCCAAAACAAGGAGCTCCAATGTCTGAGGGCAGGAGAAGATGGATGTCCCAGCCACAGAGAGAATTCAATTCACCCTTCCGCTGCTGCCTTTTTGTTCTGTTCAAGCCCACAACAGATTGGATGACCACCCTACATTGGTAAGCGTGGATCTTCTTCACTCAATCCACTCATTCATATGATAATCTCCTCCAGAAATATCCTCACAGATATTCCCAGAAATAATGTTTAACCAACTATCCGGTCACCACTTAACCCAGTAATGTTGACAATTAATATCATATGATATAAAGACAATTTTTTAAATAAATTATCAGTTTCTTTAATAATGTTATGACCTATTATAACATTTATTTCCTGTCTTAAAAAAGACAATAGACAGTGTGATTATACCTTATTATGTTTTTATGGGTTTTAACACAGTCTACATTTAATTCAAGTAACCAGAAAGTATATTATAAATTATAATTATACAGTCTGTCTAAACTTTTAAGATGAAGATTTTACTCAGTGGTATTCAATATTCAAACTGACTTTAAGAAACTTAAGAAACTAAATTCTGCTAATTTCTGGTATAACTTCAAGTACAAGAAGATAATTCCTGTAAATCTTTTGTTGCTAGAGTTTTTTTGCATTTATGCTATATTTATATAAACTATTAAGTCCTTGGTTTTGGAGGCTGCAAAGCAAAGATGTTATACAATGGAGAGAGGACAGAGTTGGGTACAAAGTTCTAAATCTAGAGTCTGTTTCTTACCGCCTGAATGAACGTGGGCATAGACTAATGCTCTCTGGCCCATAAATTGTTCAATGGTATAAGGTATGCAATGATACTTCTCTCAAAAGAATGTTGAGGGAATTAAATAATATGCCATTTGCAAAAGCCACCTAGGAAAAAACTCAAAAAAAAGTATATTCTTCCCTTCTTTCTTTTTGTAAACCTTAGGCCTTAGGGCAGCTCCGTATATGGTAAACACTCAACACAAAATGTATTGAGGATGATGTAGTATACATTTATAAAATCTGATCTTGCAAGTGTGTCAGCTAGTTTTTTAATAATTATTTTTAATATATTCTCAAAGACGTGACAAATAGTTGCTATTTTAATATATATTTATTCTGAAACTATTAATAATTAGCATCAATGATCTATTGTTGAAAATACACTATTTTTTGAGAAATAAAAGGTATTCATTTTCCCACGAAAACATACAATACTACTGTGATAATAATTAGTACTGGCCCCCTGACATTGCTTTATTCTCCCCGTAACAGGATGGGGAGATTGTACTTCTCTAACTCCTGGAAATTAAGTATGACCACGTTTTGACCAACCAAATATGAGAAGTGGTATGAATCACTTCCTGACAGAGTCTGAAGCATCAACATGTGGTTCTCCACTTGCCTTTTCCCTCTAACTGGACAACTGGCAATGTTTTGAAGAGTACTGGTTCTCAATGTGGGCGATTTTGCCCCCTCAGGGGATGATTGCAATCTCTGGAGACATTTCTTGGTTGGACTGAGATGAGAAGGATGCTACCTGCATCTAGAGAGTAGAAGTTACATCTGCACTGAATATCCCACAATGTGCAGAATAGCCTCCTCAACCTTTCTCTGACCCTGGGGCGATAAAAATCATCCAGCCCAAATTGGCAGTAGTGCCACTGTTGAGAAACCCAGCTTGGAGTAAAGATTTGGATCTTAGCCCCTAGTTGTTCAGAAACAGAGAGGAAGTATAATCAAGAAATAAACCTTAGCTCTTTTAGATCATTAAGAGTTTCAGGTTGCGCGTTATCACAGCATAGCCTAGCTTTTCTTAACTGACACACTTATTTTGCAATTGGAGTGAAATTAGAACACAATGCACTTCCTCAAGTAATGTTTAAATAATGTGGTTTCAATATTTTTGGATTTAATATCCTTTTAATACATAACTGCTGGGCTGACAATTGAGGCAGGATTTACATAAAATGGAAAACAAATTGATCATTTCAAATTTCAAGATAGTTTAGCTTGCCTTTAGAGGAAAATGATTGTTCATAAGAAGCATCTGGCTTTAATGCTTAATGTAATTTCTCTGAGATACCCAAAAATTCAGGCAAATATTTGAAAAAAAGAGAGATTATAAAATCTGATTTTGAACACAAGACTGAAGCTTACACGCTTATTGAAAAAAACTTTTATATCATTTACAAATAGTTTAGCAATTTCTACTATTTGCCTGTGAAATAATTTCATGTACAAGTTGAAACAATCATAAAAAGGCTATTTTGATGTATACCTTTATGAAAGAAAGAAATTAAGAAAAAGAATAAATTTATAATGACAAGAGTTTATATAAGTATTTCTCTTAATGAAAAATATTAGTTGCAATATCAGGCAGATGTAAACAGGCAATTTTAATTTCTGCTCTCAAAGTCACGTACTTTCTCTCCTCCAGACATTTATTATGATTCCATTTACTTTTTCATTTATTACTTTAAATAGCTAATATATTCACATAATTCAAATAATTAAAAAGTATATAAATAGTAAAATGTTTTCCTCCCAATCAAGCCAGCCACCTATGACCATGTGGATGGTTCATGGCTGCTCACGAAGGGCATCATCTAGAACTGGGCACACACTCACAACACGTGCAGCCTTTCCTCACTAACCTCATTCACAGTAACCTTGTTATTAGATTCATATGGATATGCATATATTCATTTACTTATGCATCTATATGCATATATAATATATGCATAGTCATATGCAATATATGCACGCAAATATAGATACATACATCCATATTCATATGGAAATAAATGTAAATTAAATTGTTATCCCCTTTTTACTGTTTTTCTTACACAAAACACATGGCAGGGGAGAAAGTTATCTCCATGCCCATTCACAATAAAGGGCTCTCAAAGAGAATAACAGACTGTTCTACATGCCTTAGGAAAATAAACTCCAATAAAAGTCAAAGCAATTATTTAGGCAGACTGAAGTACGCATAGTTTATGCTTGTCAATTTCCAGCATCTCATTGCAGAATCTGTTGTCTCTCTCTTTATGTATACTTCTTCAGATAATATATGTCTCTTGCCACTCAAAGCCTCTCATTTTCAACTATTATTTTTGGCAATACTAAGTAATGAAGCTTTGCCTCAACAAATATCCTGTTGACCTTGTTAGCACATATATTTTATATTTCCTCAATGTTATACATCTGATCATCTGATGCATAATAATGTGTCAATTATTGATAAATGCTACAAGTGCTATCTTTGGAGATAAATATATACTGTGATTTATTATCGCTAAAATATTATATAAGGTAGCATTTCCAAATGTTTTATTATTGTTTTAGTAGTCTGGGGGGGAACAGATGGTATTTGATTACATGAATAAGTTCTTTAGTGGTGATTTCTGAGACTTTGGTGCACGCATCATGCGAGCAGTGTACACTGTACCCTATGTGTAGTCTTTTATCCCTCATCCCCCTCCCACCCTCCCCGCTGAGTCCCCAGAGTCCATTATATTGTTCTAATGCCTTTGCGGCCTCATAACTTGGCTCCCACATGTAAGTCAGGACATACAATATTTGGCTTTCCATTCCTGAGTTACTCCACTTAGGATGATGGCCTCCAACTCCATCCAGGTTGCTGTGAAGGCCATATTTCATTCCTATTTATGGCCGATTAGTATTCCATGGTATACGTATACCACATTTTCTTTATCCACTCATTGGTTGATGGGCATTTAGGCTGGTTCCATATTTTTGCAAATGCAAATTGTGCTGCTATAAACAAATAACTTCTTTTCCTCTGAGTAGATACCCAGTTGTGGGGTTGCTGGATCAAATGGTAGATCAACTTGTAGTTCATTAAGGAGTCTCCATACCGTTTCCCATAGTTGTACTAGTTTACATTCCCACCAGCAATGTAAAAGTGTTCCTTTTCACCACATCCACGACAACAACTATTAATTTTTAATTGTGGCCATTCTTGCAGGAGTAAGGTGGTATCGCATTGTGGTTTTGATTTGCATTTCCATGATAATTAGTGATATGAAGCATTGTTTCATGTTTGTTGGCCATTTGTATATCTTGTTTTGAGAATTCTCTATGTCCTTAGCTTAATTTTTGATGGGATTATTTGTTTTATATTTATTTATTGAGACAGAGTCTCACTCTGTCATTCAGGGTGAAGTACAGTGACATGATCTCAGCTCCCTGCAACCTCCACCTCCCAGGTTCAAGCAACTCTCTTGCCTCAGACTCCCGAGTAGCTGGGATTACAGGCACATGCCACCAAGGCTGGCTAATTTTTGTATTTTTAGTAGAGACGGGCTTTCACCATGTTGGCCAGGCTGTTCTCAAACTCCTGACCTCGTCATGATCCACCCACCTCAGCCTCCCAAAGTGCTGAGATTACAGGTGTGAGCCACTGCACCTGGCCTATTTGTTTTTACTTGCTGATTTGAGTACCTTGTAGATTCTGGATATTAGTCCTTTGTTGGATACCTAGTTTGCAAGTATTTTCTCCCACTCTGTGGGTTGTTGGTTTACTCTGCTGATTATTTATTTTGCTGTGCAGAAGACTTTCATTTATTTAAATCCCATCTAATTATTTGTTTCTGTTGCATTTGCGTTTCGGTTCTTGATCATGAAGTCTTTGCCTAAGCCAATGTCTAGATTTTCCAACATTATCTTCTAGAATTTTTGTGTTTCTAGATCTTAGATTTAAGTCTTTGATCCATCTTGAGTTGATTTTCATATAAGGTGAGAGATGAGGATTCAGTTTCATTCTTCTACATGTGACTTGCCGATCATCCCAACACCATTTGTTGAATAGGGTGTCCTTTCCCCCCTTTATGTTTTTCTTTGCTTTGTTGAAGATCAGTTGACTGTAAGTACTTGACTTTATTTTTGGATCCTCTATTCTGTTCCATTGGTCTACATGCCTATTTTTACACCAGTACCATGGTGTTTTGGTAACTATAGCCTTGTAGTATAGTTTGAAGTTGGGTAATGTAATGCCTCCAGATTTCTTCTTTGTACTTAGTCCTGTTTTGGCTATGTGGGCTCTTTTTCTGGTTTCATATAAATTTTAAGATTGTTTTTTCTAGTTCTGTGAAGAATAATGATGGTGTTTTGATGGGAATTGCACTGAATTTATATATTGCTTTTGGCAGTATGGTCATTTTCACAAACTGTTTAAAATACTGCATGTTATGTTTGAAAACTTCATTTTTAAAAAATTTGGAAAATTTTGTTTTGATTGATATTGAAATCACAGTATTTAAATCCTATCTTCTAGATATTAGTAGAAGCCTTAAAATATAGAAAAATAAACATTAGCCTTAGAAATGAGGAAGGTGTTATCCATATACTAAGATAGTCAGGGTGTTTCTAAATTATATAATGCAGATTGTCCCAGAGCAGGAGCCAACTGATCATCCTCACTGATATGAAAGGACAATATACTCAGAAAATAAATAAAGAAGGACTTGGCAATAGTAACCTCTAACTAAAATAGGTGAGGGCTTTGACTCATGATCAAAACAACAAGCTACTACAGTAGCTTAGTGGCTAGTAAGCTAACAGGAAACCACTGAACCAATGGAATGATACCACAAGAAAGGAGAAAGAATCCATCCTAAAGAATAAAAATAAAGTATTTTTCTCTATGTAATATATTTACAATAAGAAATTTTGTTGCCAGAAAAATATTTATTCTTGATCCTAAGTTTAAAAATATGCTGTAGCAGAGCATGATTGAGAAAATAGTCTATGTTCCACCTTAATAAAGATTACTTTTGTCTTTTCAACCGGACATACACACTTCATCCAAAATGACACAGCACAGAACAGAAGAAATGTGACCTAATGATGATCAATGAGACTTTATCTCCAAGTGACTAAATTTTGAGCAGAATCATGCAGAGAATGATTATCGTTTAAGCTGAGACATTTGATGACAATCTCTGATGACAAAGTTCTTGTATTTTTGAATGCTTATTTATTCAACTTGCCCTTCAATTTTCTAAATTAGCTCATATTTCCAATGAATCCCTTTAAGTGTTTCACTTCCTGAAACAACAAAATAATTTAATTGAATTTTTATATCCACAAAATCAAAACACATCTTTGGCATTAGAGCAAATAATCATGGGAAAAGAAAAACAATATGAGATCTTGAAAAACTTGTAACAAGATGAGAAACATGAGGTCAAGTTTTAAAATATGGTAGAAGCTTCAAAAAACAAATTAATAACTGAAGAAGATCTATTTAGTAAAAATGGAAGACTACTGTAAGAAATTCAGCCAGCATTCTGACAAGAACAATAAGCAATAAAAAGTAAATGATTGTTAAGGACCAAATGTTTCTACCCTTCCAAAATTCATGTGTTGAAGCCCTAAACCTCAGTTGAGGCTACATTTGGAGATGGGGCCTCTAAGGAAGTACTTAAGATTAAATGAGTTCAAAACATTGGGACTTTGATCTGATAGGTTTGGTGTCATTATAAAAAGAGATACCAAAAATTCTCTTTCTCTCTCTCTCCTGTCCCTCTCTTTTTCTCATGCACTGACAAAAGGCCGTATGAGAACCTAGCAAGGAGGTAGCCATCTGCAAGCTACTAAGAGAACCCTCGCCAGAAACTAAATCCAACAAACCTTTATCTTTCATGTCTAGACTCCACAAATGGGAGAAAAAAAAAAATTATCTGTTGAAGCCATCCAACCTGTTGTATGTCGTTATGGCCACCCATGCTGACTAATAAAATGATGAAAGAAAAAGGGAACAGATCCAGGAAATTCAATCTATAAGAAAAAAGAGAGGCCGGGCGCGGTGGCTCACGCCTGTAATCCCAGCACTTTGGGAGGCCAAGGCAGGCGGATCACGAGGTCAGGAGATCGAGACCATCCCGGCTAAAACAGTGAAACCCCGTCTCTACTAAAAATACAAAAAATTAGCCGGGCGTAGTGGCGGGCGCCTGTAGTCCCAGCTACTTGGGAGGCTGAGGCAGGAGAATGGCGTGAACCCGGGAGGCGGAGCTTGCAGTGAGCCGAGATCCCACCACTGCACTCCAGCCTGGGTGACAGAGTGAGACTCCATTTCAAAAAAAAAAAAAAAAAAAAAAAAAAAGAAAAAAGAGAGCTTAATGAATTCATGAAAATATAAGGCAAACAGATTCAAAATAATGATCAAAGAAATAATAGAAACATTCCTGAGCTGAAAATGAACATTAACTTGAATATCTAAGGGTTTTGCCAAGTACCAAAAAGAATAAGTTTAAAATAAATAGAAATATTTCTATGAACAAAGACCATTTCTACAGATATCAAAAAAAGTTACCCACAAAGAAATAAAAAAAAAAACTGTATTCATGTGACTATAATAATTAAAAAATTAAGAATGGATTAATTAATGTCTACAGTGTTTTAAGGAAATATTATTGATACTTCAGAATGCTATATCACAACTCCTAACATTTTCATAGGGCAATGTACTAGTTAAGTTGTGCTAAATGTTGTAACTAAATACTTCAACATATCGGATAATTAACACAATCAAGATTTATTTCTCATTCAAATCTCAGTTCATCTTAGCTTGATGAGGGCACCTATGATCTGTTCTATGCATTCAGGGACTCAAGTTTCTTCTATGCTTAGCCAAAAGAGACATATTATTTCCTTAGATTCCATGGATGAGAACTGGCAACAAGGTCAGACCTCAATGGAAGGGGATTCAAAAATGTATTTAGCTGCTCGCCCAGGTAAAAGAAACAAGTTTGACAAACATTTAGGCAGCACTATCCAAGAGAGCTTCTTATGAAAATAAAAATGTTCTATTGTGCTGTCTAATATGGCCTGCACTAGCTATATGAGGCTGTCTTACTCTCTTTAGTGTTGTTATAAAGGAATACCTGGGGCTGATTAATTTAGAAAGAAAAGAGGTTTATTTGGCTCACCGTTCTGCAGGCTGTACAAAAAGGATGGTGCCAGCATCTGCTGCTGGTGAGAGACTCAGGCTGTTTCCATTCACAGTGGAGTGCAAAGAGGAGCTAACATGTGCAGACCACATTGTGAGAGAGGAAGTGAGAGAGAGCAAGCAGGTACCAGGCTCTTTTTAACAACCAGCTCTAGGAGGAACTCTCATGGGAACTAGCAGAGTGAGAACCCACTCATTACCATAAGGATGACCCTAAGCCATTCCTGAAGGAAGGACTCACCCCTATGACCCAAACATCTCCTACCAGCCCCCACTTCCACAGCTGGAGGTCAAATTTCAACATGAGACTTAGCCGGCCAAAAAAACCATATCCAAACCATAGCAGAGGCTATTTAGCATTTGAAATGTTGCTAAAGTGACAGAGAAACTGACTATTTAACTTTTCTCAATTTTAACACGTTTAACTTAAAATAGCCACAGGTGATTAGCAGATTTCCTATTGGAGAGGACAGACCACCCATCTCTGCCACAAAGTAATAGAATGTGTGTTCAAGGATGTTATTGAGAATTACTAGTAATAATAGGTACGTGGAGGCCAGGCACAGCGGCTCACACCTGTAATCCCAGCACTTTGGGAGGCCAAGGCAGGCAGATCATTTGAGCCCAGGGGTTCAAGACCAGCCTGGTTATCATGTTGAAACCCCATCTCTATTAAAAGTAATAATAATAACACACAAAAAAAGTAGCCAGTCGTGGTGGCATGCAGCTATAATCCCAGTTACTAGGGAGGCCAAGGCACAAGAATCACTTGAACCCTGGAGGTAGAGGTTGCAGTGAGCCAAGATTGTGCCACTGCACGCCAGCCTGGGCAACAGAGCAAGACTCTGTCTCAAAAACAAAACAAAAAATAAATATGTGGAGACAAAACCAGTATCTACCAAGTTGGGAATGTGTGATATTACCTCCTCAGCAAATGGTTAAAGTATTACCTGTTGAATCTTGGTGCATAGTTCATATGCCTGTGCAGGCTAGAAATTTAGGAGACTTTGGGAAGAATATCAGAATATCAGCTTGAGTTGGCTCCTCCTAAAACCTCCACAGGGTTCTGCAAATAGTCCCATGCTTTGGTTTGAGGCAGTAGTCCTCAAAGTATGGCCTGGAACCAGCAGGACCAGCATCACCTGGGAACTTATTAGATAATGAAATTTTCCAGCCCCATCCCAGACCTACTGAATCAGAAATTCTAGGGGTGGGGTCAAGCAATCCGTGTCTAATAAGCCCTCCTGGTAATACTGACACTTGGTAAAGTTTGAGAGCCACTGATCTAAGGCAATAGTTCTCACTCTAGCTGCTCATTAGAATTACCAAGGGAACTACAAAAAATAGGGTTGCCATAGTGCCATCCTCAGAGATTTTTATTTAATTGTTATGTGGTAGGGCCAAGTATTTTTAAAGGCTCCCCGGCTGATTCAAATGTATAAACAGAATTGAGAACCAAAACTGAGGACACTCAAACTAAAAGCAGAAAAGGAAACAGAATACAACTCAACTTTAATACAAAAGACTTTTTCTGCCTGTTTCCCGCAGTGCAAAACTACTGAAAGTCAATCATGGATTTTGGATAATTATAATAGCTCGATTCTCCAAAACATTTTAAATTTCACATTAGCAAAGACAAGGGCAATAATAGTCCAAATAGAAGAGAGAGCCTGGGCCCTTTGTGGTGTCAGGAAATTGAGAAAAGTCTGAAGAAAAGTCTGAACCCCCTGGCCCAGCCTGCTACACAATCCCCCGACAAAGCCTCTCTAAGATGAATCCTGGGATATTATTCCCTTAGACTCCTCTTTTACCCTAGTACTGCTCACTGCTGTAAGAAGCCAAGGCCCATTCTGAAAGAAGTGTGGTCAGTGTGGTCACATGAACAGACTTAGGAACCAAACTGCCTTGGTAGGACCCTGGTTCTACCTCTTATTAGCTGTGTAACTTGGAAACATAAGCGAACTTCTTTATGCCTCACTTTTCTCTTCTAAAATAAAAATATATGATTTTACCTACATTATTGGGTTGCTTAAAATGATGGATGAATGAATGCATTGCTAAAACACTTAAAACAGTGCCTTACACTTATTATTAAGGTCAGAAATAAGATTAAAATACAGAGTCCATGCTAGCTTGTTGCTAAGAAACAAAAATCAGAAAGGCAGGTGAATGTTAAATGACAATGAGTTAGACACTGGTTATTAGCTATAACAATGATAAAAAGTGCATTATGCATTATATGAATAATTACATGTGTAGAAGCATAGTGCATTAATCCATTCTCAGACTATAAAGAAATACCTGAGACTGGGTAATTTATAAAGAAAAGAGGTTTGACTGGCTCATGGTTCCGCAGGCTGTACAGGAAGCATGACAGCTTCTGTGGAGGCCCTAGGAAACTTTCAATCATGGTGGAAGGTGAAGGGGCCACAGGCACATCTCATAAGGCCTGAGCAGGAGGAAGCAGGTAGGGTGTGCTGGGTTGAGGGGGTCAAGGGCTACACATCTTTAAACAACCAGATCTTGTGAGAACTCTATCACCAGAGCCCCACTAGAGGGATGGTGCTAAACTATTAGAAACCTCCCCCATTTTCAATCACCTCCCACCAGGCCCCATCACCAACATCAGGGATTAAAATTGAACATGAGATATGGGTGGGGACACAGATCCAAACCACAACTGATAGATAGAAAAAACTAGATGATAGATAATGATGGAGAGCTGGATAGACACATGAAGAGATACACAGGTAAAAATATTGCATGTACCATTCTAGAAAGCAGCAATGAACAAAATGGAAAGTGCCTTATAGTGAGATTATATTCTAATGTTTCAGAGAGGTGACAAAAAATAAATATACAAATAATAGATGTATCAGGTAATTATATGCATTATGAAGAAAAATAGAAAAATAGAAGTAAAAGGAGGTGACACTTAAGGAGCTACTTGAAAACAACAAGGAAAGCTTTGCTTACATCTGGGGACAGAAAGATAAAGGCAGAGGGAACTGCAATACAAAAGCCCTAGGGCATTACAAGTTTGAAGTGTTCGATGGACAGCAAGCCAATGTGATTAGAATGGACTGAATGAGGTAAAACCCATTAGAAAATCAATAGCCCAGACATATAGAGCCTTGCAGGGTATGTACAGTCAGGAGTTCAAATTCCATTTTACAATAATGAAAAGACAATTATTTGAGCAAGAAAGTTTGCTTTATCAGGCATATAACTTTAAAATCTACTCTAGCTGTATGTGATGAATTTATATTACTGGATGAGGAGTAGAGAGGGGAGGCTATTTATGAAGTTTTTGCATATGAAGCTTTTAGACCACACAAGAGATTACACTGGCTTGAACCAAGGTGATGGCAGTGGAAACGGTGATCAGTGGTCAGATTCACAGTGAAATTGGATTTGTGAATATGATTAATGAGAACAATTGGCCTGAGAAAAAGAGTGAATCATTAAGTCCACATACTAAGAAATGAGGAGACCCAAGGGTTTGGCCTTGTTAAATTTGAACTGCCCACATAAAGATTCCAAGGAGGAGTTGGGAATGCAAGTCTGATGCTCAGGGGAAATATGGGGGCTAAAGATATTAACCAGATTTCACAAATTTATTTACACTTTTAAGAATACACAAGATCACCTAGGAAGTATGTGCAAATTGAAGAAAATATCTAACTGTTTGGCAGTCCCACCAGCTACTTAAGTGATATATTTGCCAGGCAGGCCTATGACTACTTAATCCCTAAAGCAATTCCAAGATTCCCTAAACTTATATAGATAGGAAAAGTATTTCTAGTGTAGCACTGTCCATGGATGAGAAATCCTCCCAATCTGCTTTTGAAAAGTGATTATGGAGGACTTTGGGCAAGGGAGGCACTGCATTAGTCTGTTCTCATGATACTAATAAAGACACATCCGAGACTGGGTAATTTATAAAGGAAAGAGGTTTCATTGACTCACAGTTCCACATGGCTGGGGAGGCCTCACAATCATGGCAGAAGGCGAATGAGGGGCAAAGTCAAGGCTTACACGGCAGCAGGAAAAAGAGAGCTTGTGCAGGGGAACTCCCACTTATAATACCACCAGATCTCGTGAGACTTACTCACTACCATGAGAACAGTGTGGGGGAAACTGCCCCCATGATTCAATTATCTCCATCTGGAGATAATAATCCATCCGTCTTTGACATGTGAGGATTATTACAATTCAAGGTGAGAATTGAGTGGGAACACAGCCAAACCATATCAGGAACCAACCATTTTCAACTGTGGGAAATATGGCTGCTTCTTTGTGGAAGTCACTCTTCAGCCATGGGGGCAGAAATTACTAACCATTCTCTACCACAATAAAATCTGCATTCTAGAGCTCTGATTGTTGTACGTTGCTTTCCATTTTTCTTGTTTCCAAAGGGAGTTCTTATTGTGCTTATATTGTCTCTCAACTTTTATTTTTAAATGGTTTTATTTATCATTTAGCCCATAAATGGCCAGATCACAAAGTGGTACATCCAGACCTCACTCAGAAAACTGAACAGAACTCAGAGATTGTAAATTCAGTAATTGAACAAGATTTCAGGTTGTGTTCTGTTGGAAGAGATGAAATGTGTTTCCAGTTACCCAGAAACTAATTGCCTTGTCTTAGATATGAACACTGTTGCAAACTTATGTATTGTTAAAGGATATAATGTATTTATCAAAGAGTAAACTATAGTGAATATTTTAATTTTTGCATATTTAAGAACTCCTTCCCTTTTCTCTCCCCACTTTTCCTTTTGGGAACTACTCCTTCAATTCAACAGTATTCAATAACCCACCTTCTAGGTTTAAAAGGAAGGCATACGATCCAGGTCTAGACAGTCAATTTGTCAATTCACCTGGCCATGGTGATTGGTCCACCCTTCTTATATGATCGAATGCAATCCAAATAAATCCCTACCCTGAGATTTTTGTTTAAAGCAAGAGGAGAGGGGTCATTTGGGGTCATGGAGTTTGAAGAATGTGAATTGGTTGCTACTGGAAGCCATTATCTCTCACTCCACATTGAAAAAAGCTGTCTGATGTAAGGAAAAATGAAGTCAAGCAGAGGTAATTGCAGATGAGAAGAAGCTGAAGGGAATCCCATTTGTGTCAGGTCCCTAGTTCTGGAGTCTGACATCTCAAGATCTGTTCTTAATCCTGAAGCTCTTTGACTCTATGATCTTCCAGTTTCACCAATTGATAAATACCCTTGTATAAGCAGGCTTCATTTGGATTTCTGGAACTGGTAACTTTTAATTAATACAGGTTAATTAATCTTAATTTTATACATTAATCTATACAACTAACCTTAATTCTATATCATTAATGCTGAATATATATTTACATTACAATATTTAAGTTATGGGTAAAAAATAGTAAAGGAAATCACGGTGATTACATTCACATTAGAAGTCCTTAGGAGAGAATGCTGTATGAGACATATGCCCATGAGTCACAGGGATGAAGATACATTTCAGATGCAGGATGTGACCTTGATTTGGGATATAAATGCCCTGATTTTATACTACACCAGTATTTCCCAACTAGTGACCCCACATTGGTGGCTTGCATGAGGTTAAACGTGCTACCAAAAATTATTTGTTGCTTATATACATGTGAACAGTTACAGTTTAAAAAAAGAAACCAGTTTATTTTCTGTAACATTTCTCAAATCTTCTAATTACATTGTAATTCTTTACTGTGGTATAAAGTAACAAGAGTACCATCTATTCAAAAAAACACCTTATCATCTTTTAACATCTCTGCAGAATACAGTTTGAGAAATAGTGGACTAGTCTTATGTTGTAGATAGGGAAAATTGTCCTTAGGAATCTTAATCTTATTTGTTCTGATTTAAAAATCTTAGAAAGTAAGAAGAATGGGGCCAGAAGGAAAATACCATTTTTCCCCTGTGCAAAAATAGTTTCAGATAAGGATGCCAAGCCAATTCAGCCTAGCTGCCCAACATCTAGGTTGTTAAATCAAATCACAGAGAAGCAAAGCCCTAAGCCAAATAAACAAATCTCTAGTGATGGAGACATAGTGACTTTGACAGGCAAATCCAAGAGTATTTATGAATAAGAGGAAATTTCTTAGTTCCAAAAATGACTGATATGCCTGTAGTCCGCTGTCTCTGAATCCTGATAGGCATCAACCCTCTGATAAATAGTAGTCTAAACAAGCTGTTTTAAGTGTTAAGAATCTTCTGATAGCTATATAGTTACGAAATGATAGTGATTTTTTGAGGGAATGATGATATCTTTAGTTTCTATATTAATCCTAAAATATAAAGGAATCATCTTTAGTCTAAAGATAAACTAAAAAGAGATTAAATCAGTTGCTCTCAACTGTTAAGTTTAGTCCTGGCCTGAAAGCATGAGGATAGACTAACAGCCTTGAAAATCCCTGTGACTCGTCTTCTTTTAAGGTAAAATGCAGTGATATTTTGCTAACCAATGATATCAAAACTGTTTTACTTTGGCTCTTTCCAATTTTTGAAAGTGATGAGTAGCATTTAAGAAGAGAAAATAATTGACATATACCGTGAGAATTTGTAATTAAAAGAATTAAATTGACTCCAAGATTCCAATTTGAACCATCAATATGAAACCAATGTTAGTAGCATTGACAGAAATAAACCTAGAAATTGTCTGTCTGTATGTGACTGATGTGTGTAGGAACATAGAAAAACTAAGTGAAGTTGATTTAAGTGATATCTCAGGAAAGTTGGATTGTAATTTCCAAGTTCAAATTTGGAAACAAAATCATTTAGAAAATGATTTGATGAAGACAAAGGTAGTAGCAGAAAATAAGAAAATGATGCCAAATCAGCCTCAAGTTTACAGTGTTTTAAAAGTACTATACGGGTCCCGGTGTGGTGGCTTACGCCTGTAGTCCCAACACTTTGGGAGGCTGTGGCGGGCGGATCACTTGAGGCCAGGAGTTCAACACCAGCCTGGCCAACATGGTGAAACCCCACCTCTACTAAAAAAACAAAAATTAGACAAGTTTGGTGATGCGCACATATAATCTCAGCTACTTGGGAGGCTGAGGCACAAGAATCACTTGAACCCGAGAGGCGGAGGTTGCAGTGAGCCAAAATTGCACCACTGCACTCCAGCCTGTGTGACAGAGTGACGCTCGGTCTTAAAAAAAAAAAAAAAAAAAAAAAAAAAACTATACAGGTAAATCACATCACATATGAGTGGAGATATCACCCATCGTGGTTCACCATGGCCCAGAAGAAATATACCTCAAAATCACATATTCTAGTAGCTCTCAGTCCATGCAAAATAAGCCATTTGCAGATTACCACAATGACTTCCCATATATGACAAGAGGTGCAGTACTCTGAATAGAAGATGAAAGAATCCAATGACTGGAAATGCCTGCTCGCTATGGCAATGTAACCCATGTTTACCAGGCCACTCTAGTCCAGGATTTTAAATGAAGATGTATTAGCAGTAAATTCTATTTACTCTTATTCTGAAATGCAATTTCTCCAATTCTGAACAGAATCTTTTTCAGTTATATTGGCAAGGCTCCAACAGCTGTCTTGTATGTGCTCATAAACAATTCTATTCAGTACACATGACATCACCATTTTCCTGCTATTTGTTTGGTCAGCCTCCAGATATGAGTAGGGTCACTACCTCCATCTCTGCTGAAAGGCAGGAAGGCATTTCACCTCTATCTTAGGTCATGCTCCCCAGAAACAGAGCCTGAGTGGTATTTTGGAAGAGTCCATTTATGAAAAAATGGGATGAGACAGGCAGATAGAGCAGATAGAGCAAGGAAAAAATGCTAAACAAGGATGTGTCTCAGCAGGAGACTAGCTATACTCTGATCTCACTGTGAAATTTCAAAGTTTAAATTGCATCAGAGAGGTATACCCACATTAACAGAAGGAGCTGCGTTTTTGAACACTCATGTCCCACAGTCACTTGCCAAGGTCTGCTTGCAAGAGATGATGGAGGGGGGCTTCTGTGTGACCAATAATAATCTTTGGAAGAAGGGGAGAGCTAAGGGCTCGTATTAACCAACATTCATAGCCACAGGAAGATAGGTATATGTACTAGCAAAGGGATCTGTGTGATGCATCAACAACGTGGATTCCTTGCATCACTCAGATCCACTTGTCACATTAAATGTATCCCATCCAGACATAGCATCTCTAGGATTCTGGCTGGTCTCATTTTCTGGGAAAATTTACAAGACAAGGGCTAGTAGGATGAACTTCATCCCCTGCTGCTGTGGCTGATCCTAAAGCCATAACTATAACTCATCATGTCCCTCTTCAACCTAGATTCTTCTGCTAATTGTCTAGCATTTCTGCTTGTCAAAATCTCTGGCTTACCTTGTAGGATAAGCAAGACTACCATCCCTGAGAACCCTGAGCTCCTATTTAACATACATTTTTTCAGATCATCATTATGGCACTTGCCCATTTTCAGTTACAAATATAGAGATGTCCCATACTTTCTCATGGTGATCAAAATCAATTACCCCTGACAGTATGTTAACTCATTTCTTTTCCTGTTTTTTTATGATCTACAGGCTGAAGATATACAAAGAGGTCAAGTAGCATCTTTAGATTTGTTTGGTGTGAATCTGTGTCCTCTAATAGAAGTGAACTATTCTACAAATCAGAATCTGAGGATCTATGAGCCTAAATTTGCAGGAAGGGGAATTCCAAATTCCTAAGTGGATCCTCAGCAGAAAAGGTGAACCACTCTTACTTTCTATATATTCAAACTATTAGATACACAGTTTAATATACTAGCCATTAGTTTAAGATAAATATTATGTCCTAGACGACGGCACTCCATTCCCTCAGGGATTCATCTCCAAACTGATTCAATTAGGCCAGCAGCTTTTGGATGGTATTGTAGGTGGATTTTATGGTCAGAGTGTATTGATATAACTTATTTTCCAAAATGTTAATAGAAAAAAAGTTTCTTCATCCAAGAAAGTGTTCTACAAAATCCTACATTGTTGGATCAGACACTGTAGCCCTTAAATAATGTGGAGAGATGAGGCACTGCAGGCAAAGAAAGGTAAATACATGCTTGGATCCTATGTCAATCACAGGCACAATTATTTCCCTTTCCATAGTGTAATGGGTCTGATATAAACTACATGACACCAAGTCAATGATTGGTCTCCTCAAGAAACATTGACATGTGGGGACCTCAGTTTTATGTTTTGTTGTGGGCAGATTAAATATTCAGCCTTGATGAAAGGGAGCCTATGCTGCCAGACGCATGCATAGTCTCTTTCTCTGCAACCACAGTGCACAAGAACTGGGATAGCCAAAGACAGAAGCTGGCTGGCATCTATTAGCTGAGACATCTTGTGCATTTGGTTGTTTAATGCCTCATTTGCAGTGGATGCTTTCTGTGAATCAAAGATTCTCAAACTTTGTGTCTACTCCTATGTATCCATCCACATGCCTTTTCTTCAGACATTCTTGTCCTTAATCTGTCTTGCTCCTTCCAAGCTACTGACTGCAAGCTACACAAGTTGACACTGGCCCTGTGTCTGTATATACTCTTGCCTCAAGCCACTTCTTCACAATCACTGGATAAGGTATTACCCTTCAAGACTCAGTACATACCTTTAATCATGGGCAGTTTTAAAGTGGTATGTCCCCAGTATTTAGAATACATGGGTCTGGAAACCAACAGCTAGAAATCGAAGTGACTCAATTGAGGAATTTGCTTCCAGAAAGGAAAGAAATGAGTACCCATACTAGCAGGACCCTGATCATGGATTACTGCTCATCTTCTGTTGCATATTGAGAGCAAGGAGAGGACAATTCTACAGCTAAGGGGTCATATATGAGTTAGAATCAGAGAACATTTACAGCAACTGAGGCATGAGTATAATACCAGTCAACAGGATCTGAGAGAGGCACCAACAGCATCTACCCTAATTATTGCCTCTAGCATCTAGATATAAGTAAACTGATTTCTACTGGTTTACCCACTTCTTCCTGGTACAAACTCTTCTACTAGGCAATATAACCACTTTCAATGCACACTGCCACCATGCCTCTTCTAGGCAATAATAATGCTGCCTCTGATGTGTCAACGCTTCCACAGGGCACTGACTCATTTGTGACCAAGTCCACTTCTTCCACTGGATATTGTACTATCACCTCACCCAAGCACAGCTGCTTCCTCACTGTAGACTATCACCTTTTGAGAAACAACTGGCCCTTCTAACATGTACTGCTGCTGCCACCTGTCAATACAGTTGTTTCATGGGAGACATTGCGAAGTCAAAGCTCTCTTATGGTCTTTGGCTACATCAGAAAAAATGTCTCTTCCTTCTTTGTATCACGTTCTCTTAAAGAAGAATTTAAACAACATTGCCATGATGCTAACATTTTGAAGTGTTTACTCAAAGCTCTCTTGACTTAGGATTCAAACATGAGTTCATAAAAAATAGGCTCAGAATTAACTTACGTGAAAGAAACCGTGATCTTCTCAGAATCATTCTTTCTATCTGATAAGTGAGTCTGAGCTCCTTTATCCCTTAAGATGTGTTTTTTTTTTTTTCCTAGAAGCCATCTCTAATTCTCATACAATAGTTTGCTGGAAGCCCTGCCTGGCCAGTCTGTCTGTCTGACACTTTCAGATGTATCTGAGTCCCAAGAATGAATATTGCTTAGGCTTAAGGCAAAACAAAATATAGAATAACTTGGCCAATATTGTATATCCTCCAGTGTCTTCTAAATCTAACTGTCTTACCTGTCTCCCCAAGTCTTCTCAAAGACGTATTGAAGATTAAGTTTACATCCTGAACCTTCATTAATTCAACAAGGTAACACTATTCCATAAGACCTTACTGGAGACGCAATCAAGATTTATGTTTAAGGTACCCCAACCTTGCCATTGTTTCATTTCCTTCCTTAAACAAATAAATTTATTATTCTCTTTGTACTTTTTTATTCTGTTCATAAGAATGACATTTGTATCACTTTTTGTTTGATTTTTACAGCAGATGCAGATTATAAACAGCAGCAATGATTCAGAAGCTCCTGAAAACAAAATGCAAAGGTTGTAAAACATGCTGCATATGCTTTGTAAACATTTTCATTTCATAATTGTCTCTATGAAGAACTGAGATGTTTGAATTGTGGTTGAAGTTGATGGGATTCAGCAGTCTCAAAATTGATTTTTTGTTCTGCTTTTCAAATGTTAGATTGCCATTACCTTATGTGTTTTATATGTATATACTCTTTAATAATGATTAAAGCAATAAAGTATATCAGGTAATAAATATAAATTCTCCCTGGAAAAGAGACTTAATTCATTTTTAGGTGACTCTAGGTACAAGATTTCCTGTCATTTGTTTTCAAATGTAGATTGTATACTTTGGTAAGCAACATAAGAAGCATGTTTTCTCCTATTAAATCTATGCTTTTTAACTTCATGAGAAATAGTATTCTGTGACTAAAAAATTATGAAGTCTATGAAAAGGAAATAAAATAAGGTTACATAATTTGGACTCACATTTCATCTCTCAATAGTTTATTTGAAAAGAACAGAGTGTGTTTTCTATAGAATAATGCCATGAATATTGCTGTTTGCAAATTGATGAGAGGGTTCATGCTATTTTAGCACTTGTTTGAAGTCAGGAAACCTGAATTCTATTTACAAATTTGATTGACATTATCAGCTAAAACCCAACATTTCACTTAATCTTCCTGGAGTTTCTATATCTGTACCATCAAATGATTATTACTGTGCTTAATTATAATAGTAACAGAATGTTCTTGAAGTACATTTGGTACTTAGGAAGTAAAGCATGTATTTTGAGAGACCGCAGAGTATAGTGGCATCTAGCATATATTCTGCACTCAGAATGTATGAGTTCAAATAATGACACTACCTCTTATTATCTTACAACTTCAATAATTTATCATTTCTCTGCCTCATTTTCTTCATCTATAAAATAGGGATAACACTTGCACCTATCAGGTGGGGTGGTTATGAGGAGTCAAGCTGTGAATATCTATGAAGCTTTTAGAACCATAGTTTACACACAGTAAATGATGTATTTGTTAAACAAATACTTTTCAGGTAACTATCATAAAATGTAACATTCTTTATGTTATATACATGGGAGGGGGAGTCTCAGATAATTTTTTAAAAACATACTTCAAAATAATACATAAAATGACATTCAGCAGTAGCAAAAAACCAGTTAAGTCATCTTAGTAAAAAAGCAATTAAGTTGTCATAGTATTATGTTTCTTTTTTTTTATTTTCTTGAGATGGACTATAGCTCTGTTGCCCAGGCTGGAGTGCAATGGCACGATCTCTGCTCACTGCAACCTCTGCTTCCCGGGTTCAAGCAATTCTCCTGCCTCAGCCTCCCGAGTAGCTAGGATTATAGGTGCATGTTACCATACCCCGGCTAATTTTTGTATTTTTAGTAGAGAGGGGATTTCACTATGTTAGCCAGGCTGATCTCAAACTCCTGACCTCAGGTGATCTGCCCACCTTGGCCTCCCAAAGTGCTGGGATTACAGGTGTGAGCCACCAAGCCCAGCCTAATGTTTTTGTCTGTATAGTGGAAATACGGTAAATTTAGGACTTGTCTTAGATTTAAAAAATAAAATTTATACAATTGGTTACTCAATTTAGTATCAGTTTAACTTTTAAAACACTATAGAATTCTCAAGGTTTCTTAAATAATTTTAAGGCAGGCAATTAAAAAATTCAGAATTTCAGAGATGCAAGAGCCTGAAGTTTTCACTGGCAATAACACATAGAGTTTAAGGATTAATGGTCTTGCTTTGCTGGTAGGTAGGTGTATCTACATAATTAAGTTCTGACAATTAAAATCTAAGCATGAATGCCATGTGAGAGTTTTAAGAAACCTGCTTAAAAGGACTCTGTTTTTCCCTATGCTACCCTTGTAATAAAAATGTGATGGCAGGAGCTCCAACAGCAATTTTTGTCTAGGAGGAAACCCTAGGAATGGAGGTGGTGCTGAGGGTGGCGGAGTAGAAAGTTAGAATGAGACTGGGTCCCTGGTAACTCCACCAAATCAACCTGAGTCACCTACCTTGTATCTTTAAGTGTGAGAGAGAGAAATAAATTTTTACACTATTTAAACCAATTTTATTTTTATGCTTTTTAAAAAACATGCAGCCAACTGTAGTCTGAAATGAAGCCTGCTCCCACAGAAAGGACATAACCTGTATTTGCCTCATCCCTCTACTCAGTAAAATGTAGCAACATCTGAGAATTGTATTTGTATGGAAAGAGTGGGTGTTGAGGAGATATGTAATCATGCAAGCGTTATCCCACTTAATTTGGTCTGAAAAATATAGCTTAGTAAAAAGGAATGTTCTGCTTATCCAGCTCAACTTACTCAAATTTTCTGCATTGGGATTTATGGAAAATCCAATTTAAAAACTTCTTTTTTTATTAGCAGTCTTCCTGTGGATGGGCAACAGGATTTGATATTTCTGGGTTTCTTTTTTATAAATTCATTTAACATTGTAGATGCCTCCTGTCCTCTCCATAGACCCAGAGCGTCCCACCTGATCTCCTTACCCGTAGCTGATTAGAGCTCTAGCATCTAGTGAGCAAGGAGAGTCTCTGGTAGTGTGCACGTGCTAAAGACATTGCAGCCTCCCCTTGAGTAATGATAATTGCTCAAAAATATTCCTTACAGATGCCAATCTGTTATCAGAGAAAGAGCTATTTTAAAAATGTATATTTAGAGTAAAGCTGTAAGCAGGGCAGAAATGAGCAAGAAGGTTGAGGGCATGTGTCTGATTTTATTTTCCCTTTACATAATGCAAAATAGTTTGCCACCTAATTTACTAATAATGTGCAAATCCCAAAGAGACAGTGATTATAACATGGAGCAGTTGTTTATTCAATAACTAGAACTCGCTAATTTTCTCCACTACAAGATTCACCAGATAAATACATTTTCCAGATAAACAATTTATAATACTAGTATGAGAATTATAGATCTAATCAAAAAGAATAACGTTATTAGGTGAGAATATCTTGAACATAAATAGCTTGGCTAATCTCTAAAAATATTTATTTTAAATATTTCCAAATATGGACAATGCATTTGCAATACAGTTGGTCAATTCTTTATCAAAAACCACATTTCATATTATTTGTTTGGCAATAACTAAACTTACAGGATTCAGAAAATCCATCAACACATGGACCTTCTGTCACGCAAAAGAGTGTTTGGGGTTTGGGGGGATAATTTTTGTTTTTTCTTAAAGAAAGAAAGGGAAGAAGCTGGAAATAGAATGTTATTCCAAAGACACACAAAAAAGTGATGCCTAATAGAGACTCCTTTATTCATAGAAAGGATGCAACTGAATTAATCACTCTATATTCATAATCCACTTGGTAATAGAAGCACTTCCTGGGGTTAATGGGATGTAGGAGTAACACATCCTGAAAAATAATCAGTAAAAGAGTGTGTCACACACTGGGGGAAACCCAAAGCCTAATACAAATGACCAGGATGTAGTGTCAAGAGAATACAGTGGATAACAAAACTCATTTCCATGTCTAAAGTGGATAGAAGAATGTTTTAACTCTAGGGGATGGTCTACATGAAGTTTAGAAGAACCAGCCCAAAGAAAGAAAAGTTGGCCTATTTATGATTGTTGCCCAGGAAAATGGAAACTAGATCTGACTAGAAAATGAACTTATTCTAATCAACAAAATGCATGCTTAAAAAAAAATTTCACCCTGCTTTATTTAAAATGTAGTGCCTAAAAAACTGGCAAGCTATTATGATTAAACCAACAAGGTAGGTGGAGAAATGCAGGCTTCAGTTTAATTTTATCAAAAGGCACACCACTTCTTCGAACCTCCATGACTGCAAAGAGTCACCCACATTAAAAGAAACATAAGAGAAAAACAATGGCTAGAAACCAAAAAGATATATGTCTGGGAGTGGGGCAGTGAGAAGTGACTTACTATTAAAAGCAGCAGCTGAAGGTAGAGTACTATTTTTTTTTTTTTTTTTTGAGATGGAGTTTTGCTTTTTGCCTAGGCTGGAGTGCAATGGCACAATCTCAGCTCACTGCAACCTCCGCTTCCCAGATTCAAGTAATTCTCCTGCCTCAGCCTCCTGAGTAGCTGGGATTACAGGCACGTGCCACCATGCCCAGCTAATTTTGTATTTTTAGTAGAGACAGGTTTTTAACTTGTCTGTCAGGCTGGTCTCGAACTCCTGACCTCAGGTGATCTGCCCAACTCAGCCTCCCAAAGTGCTGAGATTACAGCCCTGAGTCACCATGCCTGACCAACATTTTCAATACAATTTTATCAGCACCTGCTTTCACCCAATCTCATTTCTATATCTGGTCTGGATGGAGGAGAGAGATATAATTCAAAAGATTATCAATGGAGTGTCTTGTATATAAGAACTACTTCTGACTCTCAAACATATTTGGTTCAAGTTCATGTGTTAGACTATAAGAATCTCTGTGTGTGTGTGTGTGTGTGTGTGTGTGTGTGTTTGTGTGTGTCCATTTCAAATAAGCACTGGGGAATGGATTGAGGACACAGGATTCATTATGGACAATATAAAATTTCCCTCAAGAATACCCACTCATGCCTATTATGGATGTCTATCATGTCTATCATTGCTACATGAGCAATTTCTCAAGTATTCTGACAGTAAGGAGGTGTGTGAGTATTGCAGTTTTTGAATCTTATCAAACATTTCTTAAATATACTAATCAATTTTTTTAATGTTTACTTGTGAGTTTAAGTAGCACGGAACCCAGATTAACTGAAAGTTACTGAAAGGCAGAGTCTGTCTCATTCAATGTTTCATTGGTGGCCTAGTGTGGTGGCTTGTGCCTATAATCCCAATACTTTGTGAGGCCAAGGTGGACAGATCACCTGAGGCCAGGAGTTCAAGACCAGCCTGGTCCACATGGTGAAATCCCATCTCTACTAAAAATACAAAATTTAGCCAGGCCTGGTGGTGCACGCCTGTAGCCCCAGCTACTCAGGAGGCTGAGGTGGGAGGATCACTTGAACCTGGAAAGCAGAGGTTGCAGTGAGCTGAAATTGCTCCACTGCTCTACAGCCTGGGTGACAGAGTTAGACTCGTCTAAAAAATATCTATATATTGTTTTACTAGCTGTGTTAGGCAGAATAATGGCCCCTGGAACCTGTGAATATGTTATTTTACCTGTTATACATGATCCAGGATTAAGCAGGTGGGCCCAATCTAATCACACGAGTCCTTTAAAATGGAAAGTTTTTTTTTTTTTTTTTTTTTGACTCAGAGAGGTGAGATAGAAGAAGATATTGGAAGACAGGGCTTTCTGGCTTTGAAGATGGAGAAAGGGATCTACCAGCCAAGGAATGAAAGGACTCTAGAAACTGCGAATGGCCCTCAACTGACAGATACCCAGAAAACAGGGGTCTTAGTCCTACTGCAAGGAAGTGAATTCTGCCAACAATGAAATGAGCATGGAAACAGATTCTCCCTCATAGCCTCCAGTATGGAGTGTAATCTTGCCAACACCATAATTTTAGCTTAGTGAGACCTGTGTCAGACTTCTGAACTACAGAACTGCATGATAATAATTTTTTTGTTTCTTGAAGCCAATAAGTTTGTTGTAATTTGTGATGAACATAAAATGTTGATGACTAAACCTGTGGCACTGAGAATACCAGAGCCCGCAGGTACTTTGTAGCAGTAGAGGGAGGGTAGTAACATGCATTGAGAGAGCAGGGGTCCTCATTTGATTCATAGTTCACGCTAATATAGTAAAGCCTCCAAGACATCCTGAAACAATAAACTTTATACACTGTATTAGATTTAGTGTTTCTTCAACTTATTTGACTTCAGAACCCCTCTCTTTTCATGTCAAGTACTTTAATATCCTCTGGAATAAGGTAGGGAACCACCATCTTAAGCAAAACCCTGCCATTTGCCTAACTTGAATTTCTTTTCTTTATCTTATAGGAGAATCAGTAAATCTGAAGGAAGAAGAATGAAATGATCAACATGTTTGGAAATTATAAAAGCCATATGGTTACTAATAATGCCAAAAGTATAATGTTATGAAAGAGCAGGCTGTAACCTTACAGGTCCATTTGTTCTTCATGGAAAATCACACTTACAAACCATTTATCTTTAACCATTTTTTGTGGCAACTTTGGTTCCTTATATATGTATAGAATTATTGTTATAATGTTAATAAGTTAAACACTTCTAGAAATCTATGTCTTTGACCTCATGATAATATTTTGTCATTAAAATGTCTGATTTTAAAAGGTTGAACATTTTATAAAATCTCAAAGATGGTGATATATAACCAAAAGCAACAGAAAATATTTTTATATTTTTTCTATTTTCATCTCTTCCAAGATGCCTGAGGATTTCTTTTGGGGAACAAATGTTCAATGACATAGACTAAAAATCTTATACTGTCTTTGACAATTAAAACTTCAGTTCATTTTTACACAGACATTCATTCAATAAGTGAGGTTTAATGTAAACTAAATAAAATAATAAATCATCCTGGTTAGCAATTAGACTATTAAATGTTATTTCAAATCTACTAAATAATTTGAAGCCTAATTAATCAAACTGGAAACCCTAAAAATTAAATGTTGTCTATTCTATGATGTGTTTGTTTACAGCATCCTTGCCTTCTTCTTTTTATTTATTTTTTATTTTATTTATTTATTTATTTATTTGAGACAGTCTCCCTCTGTTGCCCCAGGCTGGAGTGCAGTGGCATGATCTCAGCTCACTGCAACCTCTGCCCCCCGGGGTTCAAGCAATTCTCCTGCTTCAGCTTCCCAAGTAGCTGGGACCACAGGTACACGTCACCAGGCCCAGCTAATTTCTGTATTTTTAGTAGAGATAGGGTTTCACCACATTGGCCAGGCTGGACTCCAACTCCTGATCCCAAGTGATCCTCTTGCCTCGGCCTCTTAAAGTACTGGGATTACAGGTGTAACCACTGCGCCTGGCCACCTCGCCTTCTTCTAAAGGAGATTACTAATAATGGGAAGACAAGACTTCCAACTATAATTTCTTTCTATTAATGGTCTCATTAGAATTGATTTTATAATTCTAGATCACAAGGCAAAAAGCTTTCATTGTCCCAAAATTCAAAAGTCTACTTTGACAACGTTTATTGTAAATATTCTATCTGATATTAAGGACAGCAAAGCATTATGAAAATCATTGTTACCAAAATTCCAGCATTCCAGCATTGTAATATTATGATAGTAGCATTAGAAATAGTAACAAAAACATAATTTTAAATCAAAGAGAGTATATGTTTAAAATTCCAACTGAATGTTAGGATGGAAAAAGTTTTAATTTGTAAGTTGAAATTTTTCATCATGACTGCTTCAATTTCACTTTAGCCTAGAATTTTGGCTCCTCTTCTCATCACATTATTTAAAGTCCTGTCTTTACATGTGAAATATATGAATTGTGGCACAGTCAATCCATTATTTCAGCAGGCATAACAGCTGATATCAACCACTATTAGGCTGATGTAACTTACAACTATCATGAACATCACCAAAATAGATGTTTTTTTCAGGGCCTGGTGTCATGATGATCAGCAACTAAAAGCAATGCCTGACTGTGGAGATCTCCATGTATGAGGTAAAAACAATTAAATTGTAGCTGGAGGTAGAAATGGGCACTCCTGAAGGAACAGTTATTTTAAACACCTCAAAACATATTCCCTACAAGATTGGAATAAACTTCCATGGAAATAATCATTCTTACAGATAAGAGAATTATTAGCCTAACAATTGCCTTTATTTCTTGTCTGTTAGAATCTTGATCAAGATGATTTAGGAATATGAAAAGGTCATCAGGATGAATTTTTGAAAAGAAAAATTCCTTTCTCTCTCAGAAAGTTCATATTCCAAACACACAATAAGCTGAGTCATATACTTGACTGAGTCGTTATAAATTGGAGATAACAATTAGACTTGTCCTTCCATTTCCAGACTTTTTGCTCTATCTATACAAGTCTGCACTTCAATAAGATCCAGCTTAGTAACCTTAAACACTATTTTCTCCTTTTCTTTCTTGTATGAGTTGTGAGGATTAAACTGCCTGTTTAACCCTGGGAGGCAAGCAGGCCTCCCAGAGCCCTCCCAGAGCCCATGGAAACTGGGTACAGCTGAGTGTTTAAGCCAACCAATCCAAGTAAAGGATGGAGGTGGTCCACTAGGCCACTGGTCCACTCATCCAGAAAAGCTGTAACAGAAGTCCCAGAACCCAGCCTTCCTAATGATAGCAGGGGAAATTCTGGTGCTCCTCCACATTGGAGGTAGGTAGAACAGCATGGAAACCAGGTTTATCATTTAGTGATTCCGTTTTTACCTCCCAACTTCTGATCATATATGCCCTGGGAGGGACTGGTATTTCCCAATCATGATGCTTAAAACACCCAAGCACACAAGTGAGTAGCAATGACAGATACTGTTCACTGTCCTTGAATACCATGATCAATAGTGGACCACTATGGCTCTGGTTTCCGTGAGGGTCCCCCCACCAAATATTTTCCAAAAGGCTGGCTCTGTGTCTGCTCTGTCTTGCCATTTACTGTTTGTCTGACTTGCCCCATCATCTGAAGTACCATGAGCCTGTCTTTCTTTCTTACAAGCTGAAAGTGCACGACTTTAATACCCTTTTACTTAGTTCAAATAGAACTAAATTTCTAGACATTTTTTAATGAAAACACAGATCTTGCCAAGAAAACAAATATTGGCAACAGCGGAGAAAGAGCTTAAGATGTTACTGGCAAATTTTAATGTTAAGACCTGAAATTTCTCTGGAGAGATATTTCATATTTAGGGTTTCTTACCACAGAACAGTATGTATCCTCTTTTACAAACTAGGGGGCAAAATGATGTCACCAAAAGAACTTTGGATTAGAAGTCAATAGGCATACATTGTAGGCCTGTCTACGAAAACAAATCAACAGTGTAACTTTGAGCAGGTCACTCAATGTTTCTAGAACTGTTGAAAAGAGACTTTTTAAGAGAAAGAGCAAGAACTGGCATGGCAAATGAGAAAACCTAAGTTGTTTGTATCTTGTGGCTTGAAACTTTGAACTAGTAGAGAGCATGTATTAACATAGTCCTGTGTGGTCAAAGAGGGGCACTCAGATATTTGCATTTTGAAAGGCCCACCAGCCAGGTGTGAGGGCTCTTGCCTATAAAGGCAACACTTCAGTAAGCTGAGGTGGAAAGATCACTTGAGCCCAGGAGTTACAGAACAGCCTGGGCAACACAGGAAGACTCCCATCTCTACAAAATATTAGGAAAAAAAAAAAAAAAACAGGCATGGTGCACACACTCGTGGTCCCAGCTACTTGAAAGGGGAAGCTGAGCTAGAAGGATCTCGTGGGCCCAGAAGATCGAGGCTGCAGTGAGCCATGATTGCATCACTGCACTCCAGCCTGGGTGACAGAGTGAAGAAAAGAAAGAGAGAGAGAGAGAGGGAGGGAGGCAGAGAGAGAGAGAGAGGGAGACAGAGAGAGAGAGGGGAGGAAGGAAGGAAGGAAGGAAGGAAGGAAGGAAGGAAGGAAGGAAGGAAGGAAGGAGGGAAGGAAGGAAGGGGAAGGGAAGGGAAAAGGGAAGGGAAGGGAAGGAGGGAGGGAGGGAGGGAGGGAATGAAGGAAGGAAGGAAGGACGGGAGGGAGGGAGGGAAGGAAGGAAGGAAAGAAGGAAGTTTTTGAAATGAGTTTTTGAAAAGAAAAATTCCTTTCTCTCTCAGAAAGTTGATATTTCAAATACACAATAAGCTGAGTCACATACTTGACTGAGTCGTTATAAATTGGAGATAACAATTAGACTTGTCCTTCCATTTCCAGACTTTGTGCTCTAGCTATATAAGTCTGCACTTCAATGAGGTCCAGCTTAGTAACCTTAGACACTATTTTCTCCTTTTCTTTCTTGTATGAGTTGTGAGGATTAAACTGCCTGTTCAACTGCAAGCAGGCCTCCCAGAGCCCATGGAAACTGGCTCAATTTTTCTTTCTCCATTTTTCTTCCTCCAAATCTCATCTCTCTACCCGTCCTGGCAAGGTCACAAATGTTTCACAGACTGATAATTGTTGGGAAATGATGGTTTATATAAACACTAGTGTGGAGGAAAACAAAAACACCCCCTAAGGAAGAGGACTACAGTCTTCTCTTGCCAAGATAGTGGGAGCACAAATTGGTTCTGTGTCTCTTCAAACAACAATTTTAACAGTGTTCCAGAGTCATGCTATATCTCTGCATCATATTAGCATATTCTTTCCTGACAATATCCCTGCTGGTGTTTCTGTGCTGTAATTAAATGTTAGACATTCTAGATCTGTTTACCACATTACACAGTATTCTGAAAATGTATAAAACAGTATGAAATATATTTTCATATGGGTTAAACTGAGCAGCATCTCTCCAGTGCCTTCCTTTAGATAAATTTTTGTCCCAATATAAGAGTGATAGTTTTACATTGTTTTATCTTTAATAGAAAAGATATTTTATCCTAGGTAGACAGCAAAGAAATGAATCACACAGCCTTCTATTTTGGAAGATATGTCAATCATCCTAAATTCCCTATTCTATACAAATAAATAGTAGAGTTCTCAGAAACTTATTTATCTCTTTTTATAAGCTTGAATTTCTAGGTGATAGATAAACAAATTAGAATTTTTTACAAAAATCCAGAGTGGGTTCTGACACAGTAATCTATTTATACTGTAAGCCTCTTCTCCTGATTCTTTTATTGGTCAATTCATGGCTTCATTATAAGAAATATTGAGCATATTGGCTTGTACAAATAACAGTATTAGATGTTAAAAGAAAGAAACAGGCTCTGACTTTCAAAAACTTACACTCTGCTAAGCAGAAAGACAATAATATTGATAATTATAGCATAAGATAGAATTTGGAAGTAGGTACTAAAAATATTTTAATAATATAGAAATGATTAGAAGAAACATATAGTCACTCAGGTGGAATCATGAAACCAACTGAAATGGGTCTGGCAATGTTGATATCATTATGGTATCTACGGATAAGTGGAAGAAGGCATTTCAAACACAGAAAATTGAATGGGCAAAAGCTCGGGCAATGTAAAGGGTCGGGCTTGCTTATTCTACTGTGGGCCAGACACTGGGCTTAGCAGTGGCAATATGATGATGAATATTAAGTTTCTACATTATGGAGTTCACAGTTTGAGAACAATCTGGGAATAATATGTAGATAAGTATTGCTTGTAATACCAGTACCAGCCAATGGAATCACAAAGTAAAGAATATTGAAAGCCAGGCTAAGGAGTTTATTCAGTGAAATGCTGGTGTGTTTGTGCATGCGTGTGTGTGTGTGTGTGCAAGTGCACTTTAAGCAAGAGAGAGATAATCGTACTTGTGATTTAGGAAGATTAATTTGGCAGAAATAAATGACACAGGGTTGAAAGAATGGAAGTAAAGAGGCTAGGGAAGAGTTTACTTTGCACATCAACTTCACTCTTTTTTAAAGCAAGGTTTTACATTTCATCTCTCTCCCCTTTAATCTTTTTTTTTTTTTTTAATGGGAGATGGATGATGGTGAGCAAGGTCACTTGCTTTTCCTCAACCTGCCACCTGCTTGGATTTCTCTTATCATATATATTACATGCACTTTCTCCACTTCTCACTGTGTTTATTCTTGCATCTGTTGTCTTTTCTCTAATCTTCTTTGTCCCTGATGCCAATCCCAAATACTCAAAGGCTGGCTACATATATTACTGCCCACTTTCAAACTCTGATCTTTAAGTTCTTATATGGATGTATGTTCCATTCGGGTTGGCAGTTCAACTTATTATAAGCAGAGCTTATACTGACAGAATCATATATTCAGGTCTTTTCATTTTAAAAAATATAAAAGAAGGGAAACTGGTGCTTCAGATAAAAGGGCTGCCCAATTACAAGATGGGACAGGACCATATGTATGAGTGTGGAGAAAAGGGATCAGGAATCATAGTAGATAAGATGACAATGAGTCACCAGTGTGGGACTATAGTTAAGAAAGGGAACATGATAGTGGGATACATGAGTAGGATCATAAAATGTAAGAACCATAAGGTACTCAGCATTAATCAGGCCCAACGGATCTGGGCTTAGTACCAAAAGGAGTGTGATGACAGGGTCTGCCTAAGGCACAACCACAAGGTAAGTGAATTAGACTTTAGCAGCAGCTGCACACCAGTCTTTTCCATATTCTGCTTATCCTCACTGATGCCCACACCTCCAGAGAGTTAACACTCAGTACTGTCACATGGGGCCACCACCCAGGCACCCTCCCACATTCAAATACCATCCGCCTCTCTTTTTACAATGCTGGAAATTTGAGATCTGGATCCCAGAATTCTGACAAAATACTGCAGAAAATGAAAGTAGTTGTATGTTCAAAGGAGAGGTTGGAATAGTGAGACTTAAACTCAGTGTAATGACTCTGCAATGGTGCAATTTCTGGCAGTATGGCATGTCATAGAGTGATACATTGGCATGGGGAGATGTAGTAAGGAAGGCTTTCAGTTTTCTCCTATAAGGAATATTTCAACCAAAACCACATTATGCATGCAGCTAGTTAACATAACACATAAATCTGGCATAAAATATTTTAGAATGACTTTAGGTAACTAAATGAGTAAAACACACACACACACACACACACACACACACACACACACTTCATTTAATCCCAAAGCGTATTGTTCTGCATTTTTTCCTGCTGAATTTCAATATGTTTCTCACCAATTGTGCAAGTTAATAAATATGATTTAAATTCAGATTCTAGTCTGTAAGTACTATAACCATCTAATAATCATATATAAGGTGTTATGAGCAAACTACATATATGTATATATTTACATATTCTCCAGTATGAAATTCAGTCACTCACTAAAATATTCAAAAACACCAAACCAATTAGAGAGCATTTAATTTCATGTATCCCCTTTTTCTGGACTGGTAAATAACACTGTATATATTGATACAGTCAAATCTCTCAAAACACTTATATATATCTCATACTACATAAAAGTCTTCAGGACTATATTTTGGAAGACATGATCAATAGGATATTTGCCACACATCAATATGAAATAACTGAGGAGTAAGTCCTTTTAAACCTATGATCTTTACAGGGGCTTCTATTTAAAGAAGATAATCACAGTGTGCTGTTACTCTGTTTTTGTACCAGTTAGGTCAAAATCTGCTCTCTAAATGTGTACATTCACTCATTCATTCATTCAACAATTTTTTTTAATGTTTTCTATGTGCCAATGTAAATAAGACCAACAAAGTCTTTGTTTTCATGGAATTTAAATTCTAGTTGAATGAGAAAGAAAATGAACACATAGAATAAATATCAGATGAGGATAGGTGCTATGAAGAAAATAAAACATGGTGCTTGGAGAGTGATTAGATGATGCAATGAAACTTCAGATAGGAGGACAGCAAAAGGCCAGCTTCAGGAGGTAAACTGTGAGCTGAGACCTGAATTTTGCCAAGGATTAGCCATTCAAAGATCTGATGGAAGAGCATTTCAGACACAAGGAAGAGAAAATTCCAAGGTCCTAAGATAGGGAACAAGCTTAGAAAATTTGAGGAATAGAAAGAAGGCTGGTGCACAGGCACAGTGGCACATTCTATAGTCCCAGCTACTCAGGAGGCTGAGAAAGGAGTATGCCTTGAACCAAGGAGTTTGAGGCCAGCCTGGGCAACACAGCAAGACCCACATACCTTTAAAAAAACAAAACTGATATGACTACAGTATAGTGACCAAGAATGTAAGAAGAAAGGTGACCAGGGAGAAACCATTAGGGGCCAAATGAGGTAGTGCTTTGCCAGCCTTGGTGAAGAGCTCAGATTTGATATTGAGTTAAAGCAAAATCTATTTAAGAGTGTTACACAGAAGAGTAAAAATGCCTTATTTTTGTTGTTAAAAGGTGAATCTAGCTTCTGTGTGGAGCTTAAATTGCAGGGACAGGAGTGTAGAAACAGACAGTGGGGAAACTATTGCAGTTCCCAGGCAGAATATCCAGGGTGGTAATAGTTTAGAAAAAGAACAATGAAAAATTCAGGCTACATTTTACTGGCAGAGCCAACAGAGCTTATTTTCTATTGAAGGTAGGGGGAGAGAGATAAAGAAAGAGGACTCGAGTTTAATTCTAATCCCAGTCAAGCAGGAAAATGTAAAAACTTATGAAAAAAAGAAAATATCGTTTAAAAAATAAACACTAGATGCATATTAAAGTCACTTGTTAAACTAACCCTACTGAAATCCAAAAAAAAACTCCTTTAATTTTAACACAACAATATTCAATTCAAAAACATTTCTTAAGTGCCTACTATGTACAAAGCACTTTGATAAAACTTACAGATAATACAAAAGATGCAGTTCCTGCTCTCAGTAACTACTAAAAATAGAAGACATATAATTAACCAGAGAATTAATTTTTGGATAACGCTTTCAAATCAAGAAAAACATTTATTGAATGCCTACCATGAGCACAGCACTGCTAAGAATAAAAAGTGGTTATATAAAGATGAACAAAATGTGCCATTGGCAGCAAGTAATTTAAAATCAAAATGAAATACATAATTTCTCCTGGAATTAGCGAACAGAAATTATAAAATATACATCTATCCATTCCATCTTCAATAAGTTGGGAATCATCATTACTTCACTTTTGAAATCCATCTCTATACTTGCCCAATGGCATCTGGTAGTCATTTTCCCTTCCTCTTTTATATTATGGCTTAGCAAACATGCTGAAGGGACTATAGCAATCAGCACATTGTGTTTTTCTTATAGTCATACTTTGCTTGGCTCATGCTGTTTTAGGTAGAGAAGCTGCACTGCTAAATTAAAAGGCTATGTACTCACAGCGAGTGGGTTCTGATGACCTAAATGATTGGAGGGAGAGTAATGTGCTATGCCATCTGAACTCTGAGTGCACAAAGCTGAGTCGTGCATGGGGCACAGCTCTGCTTTTCTGTGCATTCATGCACTAGGACTTCCCATTTCACATAATTAGTCACTTTATATTAAAATAATTAATAAGAAAGGGGTTTAGTATCTTGCATGTTGCTAATGGTCTGTTGCCATGAGCATAAAAATGTTTCAGACGTATCTTTGGAATATAAAAATGTTTCAAGCAAGCATTGGGCATTTTCAGAGCTGGGTGGGAGAATAGTGACAGAGTGCTTGTGTTTTTCAGAATGACTGAAACTACCTCATCTGCTACTTATAATTGTAGGTGTTAAATGCCAATTGTCTGTTTTCATTTGGAAGGGAAATTTTGTATTATGTCAAAGCCAATGGTATGTTTATATTCATGAGATTTGTGGCAAAGGTTGGTAAAAATGCTTAAGGCATGGAATTTTTCCATATGGGAGCAATTGAAGGGCAAAATGCAGAATCTTACAGAACAAGCCGACTTTCAGGGTATTCTGAGTACAGCTGACTTCTCTATGAGTTCAGATGAATACCTAGAGGCTGGATCTGGCCCTCATAGTGATAAAAATACCATGTTCCCACACTTATGATGATAGACACCTGTTATTTAGACAATTTCTACCAACAGCAAAAAAAAAAAAAAAGTGAAAATCTTCATTGCCAGCGCTTCCCTACACACAGCTGCTTTCATCCCATACTAATCACAGCAAAGCAGACACCCATCTTAAAATTGACCAGAGAATGCAAATGGAAATTAAAATCACTAAAGCATCTGAATATGATAACTGTCTGGTGACAGTACTAAGGCAATTAAAAAAAATAAAGCAAACAGAAATAGAAACAGACAGAGATAGAAAAAGTTATAACATTGCAAATTGTTAAGTCATCAGATTTAAATGTCCTATACATGTATACATATAAAGTAAAATATATCTGAGCATAAATGTCTGTTTATCTTTTTGAAAATGACACTACATTATTCATTTAACATTTAGACAGTATCTATCATGAGAAAAAAGAAAGAGTTCAGAATGGACTTCATGGAAAATGAGAGTATTTGTCCTGTGTCTTAAAGAAAAACCAAACTCTTTGTGGACGACAAAGACAGAAGATGATAGTATTGAACTAACAGTTCTTTTCATCCTGTGGGCACGTAATATTCATCCTACTGCCGTGAATGTCTCACCTATGCCTCGCGAAGCTGCCTTCTAGACTTAAGGTTAGCTCCTTCTGCCAGCATAGCTGGTCCAGTCCTTACCTCGACTGCCAATTTTCCAGCTGCAATTGCTCCTGAGTTATCTAGAGCTGTGCTTGTGGTTTAGGATTGTGCAACTCAGAATTCCATCAGCATTTTCTCCTGCCTTTCCCATAATTGTCCCAGGGGAACTTAGAACAAAGCAGGTGCTCAGATATCCTTCCATCTTCCACTTTTTACATATGCCTCATTCAGCATGTGAGAATTATGAACATTGTGGTTTCAATGCTCAGAAAGTGGCTGTGTTCTAGGGATGAGCTGTTGTTTGTATTGATCTTGTCCTGTCACTTGATATTCACAAAAGTGTGGAGACTCTAGTGTCATGAGGACACAGATGATGAGAGAAAATGACTACTTTGTGGATGTTTCGTTTCCTGTGACGTTTACTGAGTGAGTGTTTGTAAAGATAACTTGCAAACTAGAAAAGTCCATACAAATGTGTGAGAGCAGTTACAATGGCATTATCATGCTGTTGGCCTTCCAAAGGACACGCTGACCTTAGGTCAATTTTCTCTCTTTTTCAGTGATAGCACCATTAGACAATATACATATTTCTACATGCTTTTATATAACTTATACCTAAACCCTATCAGCCACAATTGGAGTTTGATTATTGTAACTTCGAAGCACATTTGGCTCACTGAGAAACTTAACATACTAAGGCTGTAGTTGATATTTCAGCATAGACACTACCTAACCTGGACCACTCTCTAAGAGTGAAGGGAAAAAGAGCTGCATGTTAGTTTCAGTCAAAAGCTCATACTGCAAGCAGTAAGCAATTGACACAAATTTGTTGAAAGGACAGCGGACATGTTTTGAGACACTGGTATATTCTTTCTTGTCTTTCTCTGGTTCATTTGCCATTTTCCCAGGTGATTATTTCACCACTTCTCTCTCTTCAAGGCTAGACTTCTCCAAAATTGCTGGTGTCTCCATTTGCCCCCACCCCTAAGATCTACATTCTCCCCTTCTCTGCTCCTCTGTCCTCTGGGAATTGACCTATAAATGCCAAAGGAACCTTAGAGACCATGTGTTTGACAGATCCCAACCTGGAACCTATGCTGTTTCACATATTTTCTAAAAATGATAAGATAAATAGGATTTTTTTTCATATAATGACATCACACATGGAAACAAAAATATGTTTACTTGATTTTAATTGGAATTATGTGAACATGTGATAGAGGAATCAATAAAAAAAGGAGTCTTTGGTGAACTATTAGTCAATTAAATAGTTAATCAATTATTAACTATTTTCATAACAATTGATTTTGAAACAAATCATTAATTTGAAAGAAAATCCCCCAGTTATCTCCTGTCTTGTCCTCTTTTTAACACATGCTCCAAGCCACTACATTGTGACATTTCTTACAAAATTAAACCTGATCAAGAGCTTCCTTATTTGTATAATCCTTTAAAGATTCTCATTTGCCTAGGGAACAAAACCATACTCTTTATCAGCGCACAGAAGACATTCAGTGTCCCAGCCCCAGCCTACCTTTAGAGCCTCATTTCTCACTTAGCTTCTCATTTCCTTCTACCCACTAACAACGCCCACTCTTCCCAACCTCAAACCATACAAAACTGCATGACTTGCAGTTCCTCAAAAATGCCAGGATATTTCAAGCTGCCTCGCCTTTGCATACACTGCTTCTTCTGCCAGGAGTGTTCTTCCCATCTTTGTATGCCTAGCAAACAAACACCTACTCATCTTTCAAAATTCAGCTCAAGTATCACCTTTCCTAGGAAGAGTTTCCAGATTCCCCCCTCCTGGATGTCCACCCCAGTAGAATTATCATTCCTTCATTTAAAGTGTAGATATCGTAATACATTTAGCATCGGGCACATATTCTCACTTACATGCCTGCTCTGGTGCCCCTACTCCATTCAGTCTCCTTCCTGCCATTGCCTTGATTGTTCTAATGGCCAGGAAATTTACCTTATCCTAGCATCCCCAGTACTAGCATCCTACCATTTAGTGTTTGTGAAAGGAACAGAGAAGGTAGAGATGAAGGAAGGGAAGGAAGCAAAGCCAGAAAGTCCTAGCACCTGTACCTAAAATTATATTTCAAATCTAATAACTCAGCTGTCCAGGAGCATCTCAGCTGCTACTCCTCTCATCCAAGCTGCTCTCATCTGGACTTCTGTAACAGTCTCTCTCTGGTCTCCTTCTTTCCCCTTTGGCCGTATGATGGTCTATCCTTCACACATCTGCCAGAGTAATCTTTCCAAAAAGGAACTTGGATCATATTATTTCTCTGCTAAAACCTTCCATGGTTTTACAATTTTTTTAAAAAAAAAGCACCTAAGTGTTTCATGCCAATTTACCTCTCCAATCTCATCTGGCATGGTGCTTCTCCTAGTTCAGTACCATACAGCCACACTGTGTTTATTTCTTTCTCACCAAGACAGCAAAGCTTTCCTGTCCCAGGGCCTTTGCACTTAATATGTCAGGAATATTCTTCCTAGAACTCCATGTGGCTGCTTCCTTGAGATAATTAAAGATAAGTTCAAATAAAATCTTCAAAAAGAAGTCCTCTCCACCACATTGGTTAATGTAGCCCAAAACCCATCCCAAACACTATAATTGTATATATAGAATGTATGGCTATCTAGGTTTATCGTTTATCTGTTTACTGTTTTCTGCCTGTTTTTCCCATTGGTAAAATGAAGAATAGCTTTGTCTTGTTCATCACTCTATTTCCAGGGCTTAGAACAAGTCTAGGTACATGCTGCAAGCAGTAAGCACTTAACACATATTTGTTGAAAGGAGAGGAGACATGTTTTGAGTCACTGGTATAATATTTTTGTATTTCTCTGGTTCATTTACTCTGCCATTTTTCTAGGTGATTATTTCACCACTCCTGTCTCTTCAAGGTTAGACTTCTCCAAAATTTCTAGTGTCTCCATTTGCCCCCACCCCTAAGATCCACACTCTCCCCTTCTCTGCACCTCTGTCCTCTGGGAATTTACCTATAAATGCATCATCTAGGGTGCCCTACTGCCTGGCTTCCCAGAGTTTGTCAATGGGAATCTTTGGAGGGACATCAAAGGGCAGAAGAAAGAGATCATGATAGTTCCTGCCTGCTCCCTGCCTGCTGTGGACTGTGGTTCTGGAAGTTGCTGCATCCTTAGAAATATACAGCTTCTGAAGGGCAGTTTCTCCCCTTGACTTCCTCCTGTAAGCATAAAAGCGAACTCATTTCCTGCTCTTGTTAGTCTCCTTTGAGTTTTCCTAACCTTTCCAATACATTAAAAAGCTTTTTGAACCATCTGAGTTAGATTCTATTTTCTGGTGTGGCCTGGACTAAGGCATTCATCTCAAGCCAATGATACTGCTTTCCACTTTACTAAGAAAATTGTGACACTCAAAAGAGAATTCCAAAGACCTATCCCACTACATTACCAGCATCTGTTTCAATTTCCTCTGCCATCTTGCTTGAGAGTCTAGAGCTGCCTGTCCAATGTTGTAGCCACTAACCGCAAAGTGGTCATTGACCAGTTGAATGTGGCTAGTATGACTGAGAAACTAAATGTTTGATGTTATTTAACTTTAATTAATATAAATTTTAAATTAGAAAACATAATTCAGTTATTGACAAATTTTAACCATGTTTCAAACACCTGGATAGATAAATCATGTTCTGGAACAATACACTTTTCAAAATCCAAATACCAATCATGTATTAATGATGAAAATTTAGTAACTACATTGAGATGAGGTGTAAATATAAAATAAAAAAGAATGTTGAAGATTTAGTACAAAATAAAGAATGTAAAATAACTCAGTGATTGTTATGTTATTGTATGTTGAAATAATAAAATATTTATTATGCAGAATAAATAAGTTATAAAATTAATTTACCTGTTTATTTCTTTTTTTGTTGCTTTTCTAGACACAGGGTCTCACTCTGTTGCCCAGGCTGGAATGCAGTGGTGCAATCATATCTCATAGTAACCTCAAACTCCAGGCTAACATGATCCTCTCATGTCAACCTCCCAAGTGGCTAGAACTACAGGTGTATGCCACCATGTCTGGCTAATTCCTATTATTATTATTATTATTATTATTATTATTATTATTGTTATTTGTAGAGACAGCATCTTGCTATGTTTTCCAGGCTGGTCTTGAACTCCTGGCCTCAAGCAATGCTCCGACCTTAGCCTCCCTATGTAGCTAGGACTAAAGGTGTGCTTCACCATGCCCACCTAATTAAAAAAAAAATTTGCAGAGGTGGGATCTCTCTATGGAGCCCAGGCTTATCTTGTACTCCTGTCCTCAAGTGATCACAAAGCTCAGAGATTACAGGTGTGAGCCACCGTGCCTGGCCCTGCTTTTTCTTGTTTAAAATGTGGTTACTGGGAAAATGTAAATTATAGGTATGGCTTCTATTCTTTTTCTATTGCACAGCACTGCTCCAGATCTATTCTCTGTTCCCCTAATTTTACAAAATTGGTCCCTTGTGTACTAGCTTACACACCTCTTACCTACTCAAACATACCCTCCAGCAATTCTCTCTCGCTCCAAAATTATCAAGGTCTCCACTCAGTTCAATTTTTCGCCTCTGCACATAGACATGTAATATTTTTCCATTCAAGAAAAATCTTCAACCCATTTCAATCAATTTCACTTACACCCCTTGGTGTCAAAGTTCCTTGAAAGTACTGTCAATTCAGCCTCCAATTCCACTTCTCTTCTTCTTTTTAAATCCTCCACTGAAACTGCTCTTATCAAAGTTACCAAATGCTTTTACACTGCTCACTCATTGGTCTATTCTAAGTCCTAATGTTTGTTAATCTACCAAATGAACTTGAAAATGTTGCCAACTCCATCCTCTTTGTTTTCTTTCCAGTAGTTTTCTTTTCTTTTTTCCTTTCTTTCCAGTAGTTTTCAGGGCATCACATTCTCTTGGCTTTCCTTCTATGTCACTGGTTACTCCTTTTTGAGCCTTCTTAAATTAATCTTTCCTCATTTCCCAACCTCTTAACATTAGACTGCTCCAGAATTTAGTCCTTGGACTCCTTTCTCTTTGGTCATTTATTTGGCAATTTATATTGTCTTGTTGCTTTATGTGTCTTTCATATGTCAATAATTCCAAAATGTATTTCTCCAACCCAGAGCTCAACCTTGAATTTTGACTAATAGTTCTCACTACCTACTTGACATCTCAAAATTGAACTCCAGTGTTTCCAATCTCCATTATTAGCAATTCTATCCTTTGAGTTGCTTGGGTCAAAAACTTCAGAGTCATCTTGGATTTCTCTCTTTCTCTATTCCCTATAGCACTTCTCTCTTGAAATCCTATTGGCTATAACTTCAAAATGTGTCAAGAATCTGACCACTTTTCATCAGCTCCACTGTTATCATGCTGGTACAAGCCCCTGCCACCTCTCACAGAGATTATTGCAACAGCTTCCTAACTGTTCTCTCTGCTCTCTGCTTTTTCTTCCTTTAATCCCAACCCCCAATAGTCTTTTTTTTTTTTTCTGTCGCCCAGGCTGGAGTGCAGTGGCGCGATCTCGGCTCATTGCAAGCTCCGCCTCCCGAGTTCACGCCATTCCCCTGCCTCAGCCTCCCGAGTAGCTGGGGCTACAGGCGCCTGCCACCCGGCCCGGCTAATTTTTTGTATTTTTAGTAGGGACGGGATTTCACCGTGTTAGCCAGGATGGTCTCCATCTCCTGACCTCGTGATCCACCCGCCTCGGCCTCCCAAAGTGCTGGGATTACAGGCGTGAGCCACCGTGCCCGGCCCAATAGTCCATTTTTAAACGGCAACCAAAGTAAGTATGATAATAAGAAAATCATATCTTGTATTTTAACAGCTCAGGAAAATCCAAAGATTCCCCATTTATTTGGAATAAAAACCAAACCCTTCACAATGACCAGCAAACTCTTATGTGATATGGCCAAAACAATGTGATAATCACATCCATTTTTCTCCTCTTTTCTCACTGTACTTTAGATACGCCAGGCCCTGAGTTCTTTTTAAAGCACACAAGGCATGCTCCTATCACAGGCCCATGCTCTGGATTTTCCTTTGCCTGGAATAATTTTCCTCAAGATATCCACATGCTACTTCCTTCATATACTTCAAGTCTTTGCTAAGAATTCACCTGTGCTTGAAAGCCTGAGCTGACTCCCTATTTTAAACTGCAATGCTCACCTAAATCATATCTCTCTTAGCCTGCTGTTTTGTGTTGTTGTCTCCTAGTACTTACCACCTTTTTATGTATTATATGTTCTACTTCTTTTTAACTTTATTTTTTTTAATTTCCCACTTCACTAGCATATAAATTCCACAAGGGCAGAGGGTGTATCTATTTACTGTGTACCTAAAACAGTGCCTGGCAAATAAGAGAGATGTTCATGAAGTATTTGTTGAATAACATCATCCTGCAACTCATTTATTTAGTCTTAATTATATAATTCTTAATAGATGCATTTTCCAATGCATTAACGATCCCAGTTACAGTTTAAGGAAAAATGCATCTCAGACTCATCCTGCTTAACCAAGATTTAGATAAGCCTTAGATGTACTTGTAAGTCCTAGTACACAGAGATCATAGTATGAAAATAATATTAAGAAGATAAAAGAGGCTAGGCACAGTGACTCATGCCTGCAATCCCAGCATTTTGGGAAGCTGAGGCAGGTAAATCACTTGAGGCCAGGAGTTTGGGACCAGCCTGGGCTACATAGTAAAACACTGGATCTACAAAAAATACAAAAAAAATAGCTGGGCATGGTGGCACACACCTATAGTCCCAGCCACTCAGGTGGCTGAAGTGGGAGGATCACTTGAGCCTAAAAGGCAGAGGTTGCAGTGAGCTGAAATCATGTCACTGCATTCCAGCTGGGTCAACAGAGCAAGACCCTGTCTAAAAAAAAAAAAAAAAAAAAAAAAGAGATAGAAGATAGGTGAGGGTTTTTTTGTTGTAGTTTTGTTTTGTTTTTTTCCTAAGATGGTGAATTATAGGCTTTTAACATGCCTCATCCACTTGGAGACAGCAAAATAGGCAAAACAGTGTGTAAAGTTGAACACTGTGAGATTTTATTCAAGAAGGAATATGGGAATTCACCCAAAGAGCAAAGAACACTCCATATTCTGGAGAACATAAGGTTTATAAGCAGCCGGTGTGAAAGCATTTGGATGGGAAAAAAAAAAAAAAAAAAAACTTAGTGCAGCCAATGCCCTCTCTGCTTTATAGATGAAGGAGAAATAAAGTATTTCTCAGACAATCAAACACTAAGAGAATTCATCTCCACTATACCATCCTTACAAGACATGCTCAAAGGAGTTCTAAAGAGGGAAACAAAAAAGCAATAGTCATCATCATAAAAACATATGAAAGAATAAAACTCACAGGTCTTATAAAACAGTCACACAATTGAAACTTCAAAGAAACTAGGTAATAATAAGTACTATGACAGGAACAAATCTTCACATATCAATACTAACCTTAAACAAAAATAGGCTAAATGCTCCACTTAAAAGATATAGGCTGGTGGAATGAAAAACAAAACCAAAACAAACAAACAACAAAAAAAACACACAAAAAAACCAAGTTCTAACTCTATGCTGCATACCAGAAACCCACCTAACTGGTTAAGACATTTCAAGACTCAAAGGAGTGGAAAAAGTTATTACATGCAACAGAAACCAAAAGAAGGCAGGAGTACCTAGACTTATGTCAGATAAAACAGACTTTAAATCAACAATAGTTTGTTTTTTTTTTAAGGGCAAAGATCATTATATATGATCTTTATATATGATCTTTGCCCTTAAAATGATAAATGGATTAATTTGGCCAGAAGATACAACAATTCTAAGTATATATGCACTCAGCACCAGAGCACCCAGATTCATAAAACAAATACTAATAGACCTAAGAAAAGAGATACACATCAATACAATAATAGTGGGGAACTTCAATACTCCTCTGACAGCAGTAGGCAGGTTATCAAGGCAGAAAATCAGCAAAAAACTCTTGACTTAAATTAGACTCTGGACCAAATGAACCTGACAAACATTTACAGAACGTTCTACCCTACAACAGAATATACACTTTTCTCTCCTGCACATGGAATATTCAAAGAAATTTAGTCTTAATTATATAATTCTTAATAGATGCATTTTCCAATTGATGGTCAAAGAAATTGACCATATGCTAGGCCACAAGGCAATTCTGAATAAATTTTTAAATATAAAAATTATATCAAGTAACTTCTCAGACCACAGTGGAATAAAACTGCAAATCAGCACTAAAAAGGACCCTCAAAACTATACAAATAGATGGAAACTAAATAATTTCTTCTGGAAAGATTGTTGGATCAATGATGAAATAATGGCAGAAATCAAAACATTTTTTGAAATTAATGAAAAAAGAGACATAAAATACCTAAACCTCTTTGGCACAGCAAAAGCAGTGCTAAGAGAGAATTTTCTAGCAATAAATGCCTACATCAAAAATATAGAAAGAACTTAAATTAACAACTTAACATTGCACCTCAAGGAACTAGAAAAACAAGAACACACCACACTCAGATTGGGCAGAAGAAAAGAAATAACAAAGACAAAAACACATCTAGATGAATTTGAGACCAAAAAAAAATGAAAGAAAAGATGGTTCTTTTATAGGATAAGCAAAATTGATAGACTTCTAGCTAGATTAACAACAAAAAATGAGAGAGGATTCTAATAAATCAGAAGTGATAAAGGTGTCAGTATGACTGACACAACAGAAATATAAAAGATCATTAGAGACTGCTATGAGCATCTATATGTGCACAAACTAGAACATCAAGGGGAAAAGGATACATTTCTGGAGACATACAACCTCTCAAGATTGAACCAGGAAGGAATGGAAATCCTGAACAGACCAATAATGAGTAGAGAAATTTAATTAATAACAAGAAGACCTCCTAAGAAAAATAAACCTAGGACCAGCCAAGTTCACAGCAGAATTCTACCAGACATACAGTGAAGAACTGATACCAATCTTACTGAAACTATTCCAGAAAATCAAGAAGGGAATCCTCCCTAACTCATTCTGTGAAGCCAGTATCAGCCTGAAACCAAAGCCATGCAAAGACACAACAAAAAATAGAACTGCCTACCGATATGCCTTATGAACACAGATACAAAAATCTTCAATAAAATGCAGGGAAACTGAATCGAGCAGCTCATCAAAAAGATAATACAATCAAGTGGGGTTTATTTCAGGGATGCATGGATGGTTCGACATACACAAACCAATAAAATGTGATTCACCACATAAACAGAATTAAAATGAAAACCATATGATCATATCAACAGATGCAGAAAAAGCACTCAAAAATCCAGCATCCTTTCAAGATTAAAAAAAAAAAAACCCCTTACCAGAATAAGCAGAGAAGGAACATACCTTAAAATAATAAAAGCCATACATGGCAAACCCACAGCCAATACCATAATGAAAGGGGAAAGTTAAAAGTATTCTCCCTATGAACTAGAACAAGACAAGTTTTCCCACAGTCACCACTCCTACTCAACATAGTACTGGAAATCCTAGCTACAGCAATCAGACAAGAGAAAGAAATAAAAGGCATTCTAACTGGAAAAGAGAAAGTCAAGTTATCTCTGTTTACTGATGATACGATCTTATATCTAGAAGATGCTGAAGACTCTTCTAAAGGACTCCTGGGTTTGATAAAGACTTTAGTAAAATTTTAGGATGCAAAAATCAATGTACAAAAATTAGTAGCATTTCTATACAGCAATAATGTGCGAGCTGAGAAATTAATAACTCAATCCCATTTACAATAGCTACAAAAAAGAAAAATAGCTAGGAATACATTTAACCAAGAAAGTGAAAGATTTTTAGAAGAACTTCAAAATACTGATAAAAGAAATAATAGATGACACAAACAAATCAAAATACATTCCATATTCATGGATTGGAAAAATCAATATCATTAAAACAACCATATTGCCCAAAGCAATTTACAGATTCAACGGAAGTCCTATCAAACTACTAACATCATTCTTCACAGAATTAGAAAAAGTTCATTTAGAACCAAAAAAAAGTCTTAATAGCCAAAGCAATCCTCAGTAAAAAGAATAAAGCTGGAGGTATCACATTACCTGACTTCAGATTACACTACAAGAGTTTAGTAGCCAAAACAGCATGGTACTGGTATAAAAATAAACACATAGATCAATGGAACATAATAGAAAATAAAGCCACCTACCTACAACCAACCAATCTTTGACAAACTCGATAAAAATATACATTTGGAAAAAGAAACATTATTTAATAAATTGTGCTGGGATAATTGGAGAACCACATGCATGACTATCTGTCACCATATACAAAAATTAACCAAGATGGATTAAAGACTTAAATTTAAGCCTTGAAATGATAAAAATTCTAGAAAAAACAAACTAGGAAAACTGTTCTGGACATTGGTCTAGGTAAAGAATTTATGACTAAGTCTTCAAAAGTAATGCAGCGAAAACAAAGAGAGAACAATGGGACTTAATTAAACTAAAAAGATTGTGCACACCAAAAGAAATAATAAACAGAGTAAGCAAACAACCTAAAGAATGTGAGAAAAAACTGACAAAGTATTCATCCATTCAACAAAGGACTAATATCCAGAATCTGCAAGGAGCTCAAACAACTCAACAATAAAAAAAAAATCATTGAAAAGTGGACAAAGGACATGAATAGACATTTTTCAAAAGAAGGCATACAAGCAGCCAACAAACATATGAAAAAAATGCTCAACATCATGAATCATCAGAGAAATAAAAATTAAAACCACAATGAGATGCCATATCACACCAGTCAGAATGGCTATTATTAAAGTAAAAAAAAACAACAGATGTTGGCAAAGATGAAGAGAAAAGGGAACACATATACTGTTGGTGGGAAACCTGTATGGAAAACAGTATGGAGATTTGTCAAAGAACTAAAAATAGAGCTACTCTTTGATCCAGCAATCCCACTGTTGGGTATCTACCTGAAGGAAAATGAACCATTATATTAAAAAGGCACCTGCATTCATATGTTTATTACAGCACTATTCACAACAGCGAAGTCATGGAATCAACCCAAGTTTCAATCAATGGATGATAGGATTTTTTTAAATGTGATATATACAGACACACATGTACACACACACACACCATGGAATACTACTCATCCATAAAAACGAATAAAATCATCTCTTTTACAGGAACATGGATGGACCTGGAGGCCATTATCCTTAGTGAAATGACTCAGAAACAGAAAATCTAAAACCACACATTCTTACTTATAAGTGGGAGCTAAACAATGTGTGCATACATGGAATAACGCACATTGAAGACTCCAAATGCTGGTAGAGTGGTATGAGGGTGAGGGGTGAAATACAACATATTGGATACAATGTATACTCTTTCATGACAGTTACATTTAAAGCCCAAATTGCACCACATTGCAATATATACATATACTGCAACAGCACTAGTACCCCTAAATCCATAAAAATGAAAAAAGTCAAAATATTTTTAATTACAAAAATAAAAAATTAATGTCAAAATATTTTAATTACAAAAATAAAAAAATAAGTAAAAATAAACTTTTTTTAAAAAGATAGGTGTGCTATTGAGAAGCTTCATCCTAACAATTATCTTGAAGACTGACCAGTTTGCAGCAGCAGTTCTCATGAAACCTAAGAAATTCACTGCAGAAAGGAGTTAAAAGCTATATCTGATTTCTGCTTCTAAAGAGATGAAATAGAAGTCTAGACTCCATCTAGAAGACCCTGGGGATCATCTGGTCCAATTTCCTCCTACACCTATTCACTGGTAGTGCTTGAACTCTGGGAACTTGCCTTCCAATCAAAGGCTATTCCCATTATCATACACTGCATTTTCTCACATGCATGTATATATTTACACGCACAATCAAAGATTGTAAATGCCAGCTACTGTTAACTGACAAGAAACTTTGTGTTTGTTTGTAATGTAGTTGTGAATAAACTATAGCCCAATTTCTACTAAAAAAATAGTATTATGTCCTTAGGCAAGCAAGGCCACATAAAGGGATTTTACCTAGAACTTAGTTGAAGTATAATATGAATCATATTTTAGCACCTAATCACCATTTGTGTAACCACCACTATGGGAAACAGTACACAAGGATGCAATTCATTGTACTGAATACACCTCAGTGCCAGTTCCATAAACAAGAAAGGGAAGCCCCCCAAAAATATTTCTGCTGTTTCTCCAAGGTGAAGGTTCATGACAAACAATAACACAGTTGCTAGTGAAGAAAGTGTAGCATTTCCTGATAGCTGGGAAAACAGACTTTAACAGGTTTGCTACCAAAGTATCATTCCCAACAGAGTAATAGTTACTGTTTTCATACTTGAGGTCTTAGGCATATTATTAAATTAAATGCTAAAACTCTGCTTAAATTAATAAACAATACTGAGTACATAGTACACTCATTCTCCATTATTTCAGCTTTTGTATATATGGTAGGCTCCCTTCATTATGTCTTCATCTTAATCTGGAAGCTGTGAATGTATTACCTTAGATGGCAAAAGAGACTTTGAAAATGTGAGTAAGGTTAAAAATTTTGAAAAAGAAGATCATGAATCCTTAAAAGCTAAGAATTTTTCCCAGCTATAGTTAGAGAGGGAGACACAACTATGGAAAAGGGTGAGAGAGTTGAGGTTCAGAGGGTTGAGAGGTGAAAAAGTCACTACCCACTATAGTTGGCTTTGAAGATGCTAGAAAGGGGCCACAGGTCAATGGATATGGGCAACCTCTAGAACCTGAAAATGTCAAAGAAACATTTTCCCCAGGAGCTGCCAGCAAGAGACATATCCCTGCCAATTCATTGCTTTTGGTCCAGTGAGACCAGTGTCAGACTTCTGACCTATAGAACTATAAGATAATACAAATGTGTTGTTTTAAGCCAGTACATATGTGGTAATTTGTTAGGCCATAGGAATAAAATCCTTAATGCATTCATTGAGAACGATTTTTTCACAAACTATAACCGGGTAACAACTGGGATCCTCCTGCCTCTTAAAATCAATACAAGACATGTACATTCCCAGTCCATTGATTGAGAAAGTCAACACTTCCCCAAAATTTGAATTGACTGTAAAGCTAGGAGTGGATCTCATGGTCATCTTCATCTCCCTGATTATTTAAATAATTCAGCACAGAAACCGTTTCATCATTTCTTTCAAAAAGTTTCCGTTTATACAACATACACCAAGTAGACCTTAGTTGTCTTCCTATATTTCCATCAATTTTTTGGTGCAAAATATCTTATGCAAAATATTTTACTAAAGACAGAAAATTTATGCCATAGAAACATAAACCACGTAAAATAAAAAGTTTTTCAAAAAAAAAGTCGTTATCTTTTTTTTTCTAGATTCAGATCTAGTCATATTGTTCTTCTTTCAAATCCTATTGCAAAGTACTTTGTGCTATTTTCTCTGTTAAATCTTATACACTTCAGGTTTTGGCTCTCTTCACCCTACACTGTGGCTTATGAAGAGTTTTCTTTAAATAAAATATTTCTTTCTCTAATGGTAGCTACTAATATAATTCATTTGTCACCTTTCTATATAAACTTTGACTATTTGATACATCCCCTCCTATAATCTATGTAAGAAAATAGTCTCCCTTCCCCATTCTTCCCAATTTCTTAATAAGAAATTAGGACAAATACTTTATAGCCATACATCAAACTAGATAATTATTAAATTCTAATAGCCCTATGAGCACAATTCTCATGAGACAGTGAATAAAAAATGGAATGTTCAACTCTAAGCCTTGTATTAAATTGATATCCTATTGTTCTAGCTTCACATACAAAAAAACCACCCATATTAATCCACATTATAAAATTACACAGCATTCAATTTATAAAGAAATTCACAACTAATTCACAGAAAAAGAGGAAATTTTGTTGACTGTAAATAGGTGCCAAGTAGTTTCCTGGCATTATCTAAGTCAATCAACCTAATGAATAAAAATTACCAGCTAGCTTTTGATATGAATGGCCCTACAGTACTTGTATTTTCTCATTTACTTTTTGGTAAACCCATAAGGTAGGTAGTATTTCCATCATATGGATAAAAATGCAAGCCATGGAAAGGTTAAATAATTTTCCTAGTGGCAAACAAGTGATGAAGCTAAGATTCAGATCCAAGGATGCGTGACCCAGACATAAGTCTTCTATCTTGTAGGCTATAATACTATAAGATTAAGTTGCAGATAAGCAAACTGAAATTCTAAGAATTCAAACAACTTTCTTAGAGTCCCACTACTAACAGGCCAGAGGCTAGCTTTCCAAGCTCAGTTCGTACAGCATACCAGTTTATGCACTTTCAACTACCTCTAAGATTTGCAGGACTTAAGCAACTTGAAACACCAGACAGACAAAAATTTTACTGAAAGATAATCATATGAAGCCATTTTTCTCCTTCACAATATTTTACTCTAAGATATCCAAAATAAACATAATATATAAAATACTATTTCAGAGAAGCATAATTTTATAGGAAAAGTGAGAACTTTGTACTGAAAAAGACTTGAATAATAGAGTATTTCTGGAAGAACGCACAAGAAAATGAAGACATTTTGACTCCAAGGAAATGAAAGTGTCGCTGAGAGTCTATAGTGAAATAAGACTTATTTTTTTTAATAAATATACTGTATAGCTTTAGCATTTTCTATAACAGATTTAATCCATTAACTACTGAAAAAAATAATTTTAAAAGATATATTTAATATAAAGTACCTAACATTGTAGATGGTACAGAGTAAGCACTTAACACGTGGCTTTTTCTGTTTTTATTCAAAGATGAGGAATACCTTCAATATCAACAGGATACAAAATTTCTGAGAAATAATTGCTTTAGAGCAAAGTAGTAGCCTCATCCCTCAGACGCTGCTGGTCGGGAAAAGTATGGCTTCCAGTAGTTTTCTTCCCATAGTTTAAAAAAGAGGAAGTTTCTTAGAGATAGAGTTAAGAGTATAAAAGATGGACTGGATTTTTATTTAAGATATCACACTAAACTTGACTTGGCTTAACAGAACTAGCTTACAAAATTCATAGAACAAGAAAGGTTTTAATTGCAGGCAAATTAAATTTGGAACTTCAAGTTTTAAGATGTATATTTAGTCTATAAAATTTGCACCTTCTATAAAAACACTAAAAACTCAAATAAAACATAACTTTAGATTACAAATAAAGATGCAGGTTTAGTATATCCAATTATCACTAGACTTTTCACACGCACAAAATGAAAAATTGCTGTAATTGTCAGGATATTTATATGAGACATTTGCTGGGTTGTTTGGTTCTTAGAAAAGATCTGCTCCAATCTGGTAGGGAAGAATGGTGAAGGTAGAAAAGAAAGGCAAGTGCAACAGAGTATAGGATAAAAGTTGGTTCATTAAGAAGAAAAATTACTGCTTCTACTACACTAAGTTGGCTTAAAGGTATTTTCAGAAAGAAAACAGAAAAGATAAAGATTATAGTACTTTAAAAAAAATTCAAGGAAACTACATGTCAATAAAGTCCTTGACAGAAAAAGAAAGAACAATGAAGAGTTTAATATAACTTATTAGCTATAGAGCATGCTGCCACTCTAATTATGAAATAACCAATACATGTTAATTCCTAAAGCAGCAATCTTTACACAGACCTGGCAGTATCTAGTGTTTTTGTTTATTCAACAGATATTTATTGAATATTTTCTAAGTACAAGGTATTATGCTGAAGTGCTGTGAGGAATACAACATACCATATCCAGTACCCGACACCAATCACAGACAAGACAATAGGACACCGTTTTTCACTGAAATGCAACTTAAAACCTGGGGAGACAGATAAGATAAAGAAGACAATATTTTAAAAACATCTTATGAATACAATAAATACCATTCAATAGATGCTCAAAAGAAGGTTGTGGCTAGAGGAACAGAATAAGCTTAATGAAGGACAGGCTATAAGGCACGGTATCAATCTGATGATGGCCTTCATCAACTCTCCCTTCTTGTGACATGATGAAAAAACCTTGGTTTTCAGAGTAGGATCTGGTTTTGACCACCACTGGCTGTGCAAGTTAGAATACATTTCTTATCCTCTGTGAACCAGTTTTCTAATCTGTAAAGTGGGCTTTAGGGATATAACCTTCCTCTGATCTCGACCATTCCTTAATCCTTAGCAGTCTCGTTTCATCCCACTCTTGGTCACTGGAATTAGCGCTACAGCAATCGCCTCCTAATTGTCGCTTTTTGATTATCAAATTAAACAAAGACATTTTATCTATTCTTTTATCATTCTGCTGCCTTTGACCTCCTTGATTAATCATACCCGAAAACTACTTCCTCCCAAATCTTTCTGGCACTACACTATTACTTTCCTTTGTAGAAGTATTTTTTGCACTATAGGTCAGTACTCACTAGTGAATTCAATTAGCAGATCACCACCAAGAATTTGGGAGGTTTTGTTTGTTTTACTTTGTTTTCAATTTTAAAACTTCATTTTTTAAGAAAAGTTTTAGTTTCATCGCAAAAAAAAAAGCAGAAGATATACAGATTTCCAAAATTCCTCCATCCCCACACATGTATAGCCTCCTCTATTAGAAATTTGTTTTTTAATAAAATAAAATAGAACAAACTTTAAAAAAATCAAATACATCATACAGTAAGCATTTTTTGGTGACATATTTGTTTCAGGTGTGTGTGTGTGTGTGTGTGTATGTGTGTGTATGGGTTACTGTGCATGGTATGTGTGCCTGATCAATGAGAAATATAAAATGTAAAAATAAAATGTATTTCTCATTGCAAGTCATGATGAAAATTTTGCAAGTCATGGTAATTAAGCTTCCCAGTTTAGTTTATTAATTCCTGCTCTTACATTTACCTCGTTAATACCGATCCTCTCCTTTTTTGATTACTTATAAGCCTCAATTATCTCTGCCAGCTCTCCCTGCAAAATTTCACAATCAACTTTTCAGTGTTGCCCCCTGGATTTTTATACATACCTAAACTCATTATAAATTATTGATCATTTCAATAGAGTAACATGAAGAAAGTGATATGTTAGCAAGTTTAAGTTGACAACAGTATGGAAAGATAGGTTTGAATAAGAGAGACCAGGGAAATCAGTTAGAAAGCTATTACTGTGATCCAGAACAAAGCACTTAGAGAGTAAATCAAAGTTAGAGGTAGTAAGGATGGTGAAAGAAATTAATTTAATAGCAATATTAGAAAGAAATATGTATTAAGGTCAAGGTGATGGGTGACAAAGTTGATACTAAGTTTCATTAAAAGGAAGATTAGATTATTTCTTCAACATCTTTATTCTGAAAAAAAGCTATTTTAATAATTACCAATGTTAATAATATCATGCTTATTTTATTTTTAACTTGAACCACTGTATTAGTCCATTTTCACACTGCTATAGAGAATTCCTGACACTGGGTAATTTATAAAGAAAATAAGTTTAGTTGACTCAGTTTCACATGGCTGAGGAGGCCTCAGGAAAGTTACAATCATGTCAGAAGGAGAAGCAGGCACGTGTTACATAGTGAGAGAGCGAAGAAAGAACTCGCCAAATACTTATAAAACCAACAGATCTCATGAGAACTTGCTCACTATCAATAGAACAGCATGGGGGAAACTGCTCCTATGATCTAATCACCTCCTACTAGGTTCCTCCCTCAACACTGGGGATTACAATTCAAGATGAGATTTGGGTGGAGACACAAAGCCAAACCATATCAACCATTAAACGTAAGCAGTTAAAGGGCTATAACCTATCCAGAACTAAGTCCACACTATAACTTAGTTTAATATTTTGGTTTAATAAATATTATATATATATATTTAGGTTCAACTTTCTACAGGGTTGATTTAAAAATACATATTTAACAAAACCAACTCCTCTGAAATTTCAGTGCTGGCTGAACCCTTAGATATATACTTGCATCAAATCAAATATGTAAATATATAACCATAAGTATATAGTTTTTCCAATAGCTCTTCCCTCTTTAAAAATTGGGGCAAAGAAAGAGAAATTTAAAGATCAAACTATCATTTGAATTTTTAAGTTTCACACTTATGTGTAAATATATATTTTCCCTAGTGGGATCCCCTTTACTTCACACTAAAATGTCTTTTGCTCTTTTCTCGAAATGGCTTGACTTTAAGATTGTGTGTCAACAAATAAATTTGATACTGTCCTGTCAGACATTTAATTCCTCATTTTCTCCTCCTCTTTAAACTTCATAAAATGCCCTCTAACCATACTTTAACAGAGTGATGACAGTTTAATTAGATCAAGACCTCAGCAAAGAATAATCATGATGGTAGTGAAGACATTTATGGATTACAGTTTGAGCTTTTGCTACTATCCTTCAGTGAGTCCGGCAGCTGTATAAAATGACTACCTAAAACGTCAATGAGTGCTAATAAATTCAGGCTCTTACTTTCCCACCAACAAATCAGCTGATGAGAGAATAGTCATCTATTAATGAACAGTATCACTGAAAGAGAATTGGACTTGAAATCAGAAGACCACTTTTTGGATCTGATTTTATCATTTGCTAATGATTTGGTCTTGGGGAAGGCACTTTAAACTCTATGAAGCTCATAATATTTTCCTTTGTAAAACAAAATTAATGTATTGTACAGTCTAAAAAGTACTGACACATAAAGAATCTAAATAATATTTCCTCGAGGTTTTTCTGGTGAAATATTAATTCTCTATGAAACACATGTAAAGTAAAGGAGACAGATAGACCAACAGGTAAATTATGAGTTACACAAAGGAAGGTAAGGGAAAGAAGGTCTAGATCCAGAGAAGTTTGTCTGGAAATACCTTCTTGTGTTAAAGGTTAGGAGAATAGAGTCTGTCTAACAGCTCAAGGTATGAAAGGTCAATAAATAAGGCAAGTTTTGTTTTTGTTTTTGTTTTGTTTTGAGATGGAGTCTCACACTGCAGCCCGAACTGGAGTGCAATGGTGCGATCTTGGCTCAGTGCAACCTCCGCCTCCCATGTTCACGCAATTCTCCTGCCTCAGCCTCCCGAGTAGCTGGGATTACAGGCGCACATCACCACACCCGGCTAATTTTTTGTATTTTTCGTAGAGATGGGGTTTCACTATGTTGGCCAGACTGGTCTCGAACTCCTGACCTCGTGATCTGCCTGCCTCGGCCTCCCAAAGTGCTGGTATTACAGGCATAGGCCACCGTCCCTGTCCAATAAGACAAGTTTTTTAATAAAAGAAGGAAAAAGAGGAATGGAGTTTATACACATTCTTCCGTTGTAATAATGAGAAGCACCATGCAAAAGTGCAAAGCAATGCAGGTAATAATAATAATTAGTTTCACAAATAAGCAGTGCTAGCTGTGGCATTGTTTCAATCTGAATATGTAAGACTATGAAAGCTTATTGGGAATCATCTAGCAAAAGCATAAGATTGTCAGTCAGAGAATAGGTAGACAAAGTAGGTATGCTGTTGCTAAGTTTGTATCTGAGAAGAATGGAACTACAACAATGCTAATGGAATATAATAAAAGAGTTGTACGTATTGTATTCATGGCTTGTTTTCTTCTATTCCAGGTATGTATTGAGAAATGCAGAGTGAGAATAAGCTGAAGCGTAAAGCATCCTGTGCTCAAAAGATCTTGCAAAGCACAAAATAGCAAAAAACTGTTCAGGAAAGGGGTAAGTACAGGTTTGCATCAGTCTCTGAAAACTAATGGCAGGAAGCTCATAATTCTTCCGAAGCACTAGATCTGGTCCAGAGGGAAAGATGCTTTCTGGTGGTGAGGTTCCCCAAGAGAATTTTTTTTCTTTTCCTGTATTTATGTAGTTAAATCAATTTTATTGCACAAATGATTGGAGGTTACCAAGCTCTGGGGAATTCTTAAAGGAGATAATTCTACCAGTCTGTCTATGATTCAAAAACATAACTCTTCCTGTAGAACCAGACTCCTTTTATTGGGCACAGTATTCTAGGAAATATAACTCAAAATTTCTTCGAATGACATTAAATGTTGAATAAGTTTCATCTAGAAACAAGCATAAAGACCAAGTAACATGACCAGTGGGCAAGAGGATAGAACTAGGACCAGAAAGAGAGATAAGTGAACACAACGGACATTCCCTTAGTGCCGAGTTCTTAAGTGGGCCCACTGTGTAAACAATAGTACCCAAAAAGGCCATGGTTTGTTTCGGCAGCCACCAAGGTCTGAGAAACTCTAAACAGTCAAGCCGGGGACACAGATCAAAGGTTCAATAAAGCAGGCAAGACTTGAATTCAAGTCTATTGTAGGGTTCTCATATCAGGCTATAAGGCTATGCAGAAGGTATTAAATGAGTAATAACTATACAAGAACAAGATATACCTTCTTATGATAGAGCAATATCAAAAGTTAATCAAGTGTTATGGTTCATTTTAGTAGGCATTCAGGACAAGGCTTAAGTCCTGGAAGAAATTAGCGCTTAGCAATATGTGAAGGTAGAGTTGCACCAACTCAGGAGCCCTATGTTGAAGGTACAGACTAAGTAGACAAGTAGGTCCAAGAAATTCATTTTAGGCAGATCAGATCCTGAGTGAGTAGCATCAAAACCATTTCTAGATTATACCACATTTGTAGGGATCAAAATTCTATATGTGTTCTTCGTGTTAATCAACATGAATTTAGGAACAAAGCAAGCCTGCATCTTCACATAAAGATCAGGGACAACCATAGATGAGCAGAAATGGAAGATGCAGAAATTGCCAGCAGCCCACATATATAACAAACCGTTTTTTCTTCTAGGCCCCCAAGAACTTTTACATCACATACACCTACATTCAGAGGCCCAGAAAGAGTGATAGAGTAAAAAATAGAAAGTTCAAAATGTCAAAATATAGAAAGTTCTTTCTATATTTTCCCCCTAGAAATATTTTTAAATGAACTAGATTTAGCCATTGAGATTATGTACCAGGATATATGAAGATTATTCCTTATTTGGATGTCTTCAAGTTCTACTGTTTATGTCTCTCTTGTTAACAAACTAGTTTTTATTCAGAAATACTTATTATCAATAATTGGGACTTTCAGTAATAAATTCAAGACATTTGCATTAAACTAAGTAATACAGTTCTATCTTTAAAATGAAAATGAATTAAATTAAATATTTATATTTCATAATTTAGAAAGGGAAATCATGGAAAAACATGATTTAACAGACTTGGGATCATCTCTGACCCTTGAAGACTTCAACACCAAAATTTTAAATGAGATGGATTCCTTTGCAGTATGTAATTGTTAGCCCCTAAAGGGAAGTATCCATTGCTCATTGTGGTCATCTTTCTGGATTCTTCTTACTCTAATCTCATTTTTCCCAGTTTTTTATACCTGCTCTATTCTACATCTATTACATCATTTCTACCACTTAAACTTGGCTTTGGCATTTGGTATCTACATTTTGATTCTTGGCTAACTATCAACAATTTTGACTAAGTTTCTCACTCCATTACTCCTCTCAATAGCTCTCTCAGATACTATCAATCATCCAGGATCTGAAATCTCAAATTAGACTCCTCACTATATCATCACCATTTCCCCAATATGCCCCTTTCCAGCAAAAGATGAGGGAGGAAGAAATCTACAGACAAAACATAACTCATAATACCAGAGATCATCAAAGTTCACATATTTTCTTTATTATTAAAGAATGACAGATTTGGGGAAAAGAACAATTCAAAGATCTGTACTTGAAAAGTAAGACACTGCCCTACTTCCACATTACAGTCACAAGTTAACACTGTAAATAGATAGATGTTTATCTTTCTAGACATATTTTTGAAATTCGAGAATGAAAAAGTCAAGTAGGATTTAAATTTTTTTAAAGTTTTGCATTTAAAGATTCATCTAAGATTCTATTTTACTGCATAGATTTTTGTGATTCACCTTCAGAAATTCTGATTCAGTAGATTTTGAGTATGATCTTATGTCTTAGTCCATTTTGTGTTGCTATAACAGCCAGGAAAGAAAATTTGTTTCTCACAGTTCTGGAGGCTGGAAAGTGCAATATCAAGGTGACTACATCTTGCAAAGGCCATCATGCTGCACCATTCCATGGTGTAAAGCAGAAGGACATACCTGGGCAACAGAGACAGAGAAAGCTAAACTCATTTCTTAACAATGCACTCTTGAGGTAATAAACCCACTCCCATGACAATGACATTAATCCATTCATGAAGGCAGAGCCTTCATAGCCTAATCATCTCTTAACAGTCTTAGCTCTTAACATGGTCGCAAAGGCAGTTAAATCTCAACATGAGTTTTGGAGTGGACATTCAAACCAGAGTACCTAGGGATCTACATTTCAAGCGTTACAAGTGATTCTGATGATGTCCTCTCTATGACCACATTTTATCAAGCATTAATTTAAAACTTCTTTTGATTTTATGTTTTGGTTAATATTTCTACAGATTTTCATGCAGTTCAGTTACACCTATTTCCACCACTTCTCAAAACTGTATTCATTTTATGATTCTTTCATAATATGTTATTTGTATAACAATCTCTAAACATTTATGTTTCCCTTTAGAAAAACAGAAAATCACATTTTAATTGAGCTGTGAATTTGGATAGAATTCTACTAGAACTCATAGAAAAAGGTATTTCTCTGTTTTATTTTCCTTTTAATTAGTTTAGAGTAACGAATTTCTCATTTATTCCTACATTTTATGGTTGAACTAATTTGATCTTATAATCTCAAGGCATTCATAAAGACAGAAAGATTAGGCAATGTAAAGACAACCAAATGTGCTATTTTCCCCTCTGATGAAATTTAAACTGGAGCTACTGAAGTTACTTGTAAACTACCAGTGATAAAAACAAAACTAAAAATGTATTTTATTGATGAGGAATAGACAAATAAGAAACACTCTGCTCTACTCCCTTGTAGGCCCCATTAACATTTTTAAAGCAATTAAAAAATAGTTCATTAAAGACTACAGGTGATTTGTAATGTTAGTTGGACATTGTTGTCATTGGGGTCAGTCAAGATAGATTTTCATTCAATTACCCACACATCTTGCCTCCCCAAGGATACTTGAAAGAGTCATCGGCACCAACCTCCTCAGTGATTTTTAACTTCAAGTTCATTAGCTCAATGGCAGATTGATGCATTGCACTTAAAATACGCTCAAATGTCATCTTTTTAAAAATCGACTAACACAGCCTTCCACTACAGAGTTAAATTCAATCATTCAATTTAGCTTTTGGTTCTTTAGAGAAATTACCTTCCTTTATCAAATTCAAGCTGCAAGGCTGCCATAAAAGGTGTTAATCATGTCATTTGCTACCATTAATGTAAGCTTTGTTTTTATCCAGTTCTCTGCTCAACTTCTTCCTGCATCAATTCTTTTCTAGCCAGAGTGTTCCACTGTATAATTACTTCCTAAGAGTAACTTATGTGCATTAGGAAGCATATTAAACAATCAATCAATAAATATTCATTGAATGTCTACCATATGCCTGAAAGAAGACCTATGCCCTTTACTCAAAGAACTTATCTTATTGGCATAACATGATTTACACACATGAAATGATTAAATAGTCATAAAATAAAATAAACTGCTAAACTGTGTGATTCAAAGAACTATATGCTACAGAAGTTCAATGATAGGAAAGAGGTCAGAGGATTTAAGGTGGACTCTGAGGAATGAAGAGGGTTTTGATAGAAAAGGAAAAAAATGAAAACCATCAGAAAAAGACTGAAAATGGTGTGAACACAGAAGGTGGGCTCAGAAGCCAGAAGGAGGGTGGCCAATGTGAAGTCAAGGGAGCAGCCAGCCTGCCTGGACTGGAAGCTTCATGTTGGGAAACAGTAGGAGATAAGATAGAATGGATAAAACAAGAATAATGTTTATTAGACTGTCCTGCTGTAAAACAAAACAAAAGATCAAAGACTGTCTCTGATCTCTAAAAATTTACATTCCTTAGAGAAAGATAACATTCTAAGAAGAATATTTATCCTGTCTCTTCAAGGTTTTCACCTACAGACTTTTTCTATACCTAAATTTGATCCATTTTCTATAATCCCTTGATTTGTAGGCTAGACAAGAACCTAAATTCAACTTTGATTGCGAAAGTCTATCTCCCTTTACTTAATAGGTTCAGAAGTGATAAAGGATATGACCCAATATAATCAAACATTGACTGGGCATTATTATAATATCCACACTGCTGTGAGGGCCCAGATTATATGTTGTTTTTAAATATAGAATACTTTCCTGAAATAATTATGAATTTGGAATTATAAGAGGGAGGAATTTAATTGAGAATATTTAATAACATCTTAAATGAATTTACCTTGCAAATCGTATAAATTTTTTTAAGTTTGGATTTGACCATCAATTCCTTCTTACCTAGAAAGTTGAAAATCTCTTCCCTCACCTTTTCACCAACCAATTCTGAAAGTGAGACTTGATTTATTGTTCATTGCTATTCTGCTCTTCTGTTTTTTTCCTTGATGCTATGGAGTGGGGGGTGGGAGGGTGTTGCAGAGACCCTTGGCAATGATGCATAGTTTAGTTAATCGAGGCATTTCGGCTTTGTGACCTCCCTCAGAATCCCAGTCAACCCCATTTTCACTCTCCTTCACACTTTCTCTTGTATTTGTCTCATTATGTATATATAAGTGTTTGGAAAAAGTGTTGGTTGCCAATTTAAACTATTTATTGTCTTCGCTGCTTCAGCTGCTGCTGGATTTCTGAATTCAATCTACCAATAACTTCCACGCAGCACATGCTCACTGCAGTTTTAATTGCTCTTGCCAGTTGCCGAACTCTTTGTACACATTCGCAATTCATTGTGTTACGCCCTTAGTGCTGTTTCTGGCATCTGCCCTAACTGCTGGATTTTCATGTATGATGAGGTTCAGCAATTCTCTTTACAAACTTTCTGCCCAATGGGAGGTGCTATTATTGTACTTGATTTGGAGAAATTGGCGATTGCCCCAGGAAATCAAACGAAATCCCTATCTTTTATATTTCCTCATTTTCTTACTCTTACTAAAATCAGAAGTTATTTCACCTAGAGGCTATGAGAGTAGCAGGAAAATTTTTGTTTATTTTAAACCCAAGTCTTTCCACTAACTGTGAGTGTAGAACCCAACCTCACAGAATGAAGAACTAGCTAATAGTTAATGTTGCCTGAGCACCTAAATGTCAAATTGTGTGCTAAATATTTTACATGATTTATTTCAATTAATTTCCACAACAAGCTTATAAAATAAATACTATTGTTCTCCTTATTCAGATAATGAAATTGAAGTTTAAAAAGTTAAAGAAATCTTCCTAAGTTAACAAAACCAGGGATTTAAATGTAGGTAGATATTGATAGCAAAGAAACTCCTATATGCCAGTTTCTTTACTTTTACGTTATATTGCCACTCAGACCATCAATAAAACAAAGAAAATAATCAATTTAGGGTGAGACCAAAACCTCTTGTTTACGACCATTATTTTTTAGGTGATATGAAGCATTGTGAGAGCCCAGAAGGAGAAGAAAATGATGCACTTTACATTATGCATATGGATTATTAAAATAGGCACAACTATTGTTACAAATAGAACCAAGTTTAGCTCAAATATAAGAGAAGTTCATCACTTATTCACATAGTAGTCTAATGGGAAAAATTTAGGTCAGCAGGATGGTTCTCCCTCAATGCTATTATTCAGGAACCCAGACTAACAAGGCTTGGCCGTTCATAATATATGGCTTCCAATGTCTCTCTGGTCATCTTATACTATCACCATTCCAGCCCAAAGAAAAGTGAGAAACAGCATGGAGGGGCATGTCTAGAAGTTTGTACAGCCAGCCTTGGAAGTGGCACACATTACTTGTACTCACATACCATAAAAAGAGCACTGTCTCATGACTACACCTAAATGTGGTGCAGGTTGGGAAACAGTATAGCTGGCCAGCTGTAGGTCCAGCACTTCAATTACGGTGGATGAAAAAGACAATAGGTTGTGAGGGTCAGATAGTCCTCTCCACCACAGTTTATCTCTCTGAGGCAGATAAAACAGAGCCCCCAGCTAAACTGGAGTTCCAGTGCTACAGCAGCTGCTAGTGACCCTGCTCTAACAGGAAATGCAGGAGAGCTGGACACAGGTGTTTACAGTGTGCCTTGCGCAAGATTCTTCTTTTGCCTGTCAGATGGCCTAATGCCTACTTGCCCAACCCACAAGTAGGGATCCCTCACACAAGAAACTTGTTTAGACTGGAAGGTGCTCTTGTGGCTCATGTCTGACCCATGTCCACTTTATGCCTGCCTGACCATTGCTCTGGCCCTGAAAGCGCAACCCTACGTTGCCCTCTGTGTCCTTGGGAAAACCCTGCCTGGGGCAGCCCCTCGTTCTTCAGATGGAAGGCACAAATTCAATATACCACCACAACAGGAAGCAAGTTCAAAGATTTTTACTTGCAGATCCTGGGCAGAGAGAGTGTGATGAGTCAGGAGGGCAGTCTTCCTTCATCCCCAGGTCACATGAGGCCGGAAGGAAAAGTCAGACACACATACACAGAGAGAAAGGCCATGTCAATCCACAGTCTATATAAGTGAATAGGGCATGGGGTATTTAAATTTCACAGGCAAATGCCTGGATAGTCCATGTAAAGGAAGCAGGCCTCCCTGCTAGGTTAGAGCAATGCCTCTAAGTTCTCATCCCTGGCCACCTGCTTGAGCCATTTGGGTGTGGAATTCTCCTTTTAATGTCTAGGCAGCAACCTTTGCTGTGTCCTTCCCTTCACAGACTTACTCTCTCCCAAGGACACAATTCAGTCTTATCCAGATGTGGTATCTAGTCCCAAGCCCAAGATCTCCACCAGGAGAAGTTTTTCTAGAGAGTTGGATATTTTTCTTCATGGAACAGAGACCTTTAACTAAAATTATCGACTCAAAGCCCCAGTCAATATACGTTAATAGAGTAGGATAGCCACAATAAAAATGTCGGTTGAAAAGGGGGAGAATACACAGAGCCACAGAAACTCTCATTCATTGCTGGTGGGAATGCAAAATGGCACAGCCACTTTGGAAAACAGTTGGTAGTTTTTTAGAGAAGTAAGTATATACTTACTGCATGTTCCAGCAATCATGTTTTGTTATACTGTATGCTCACAAATGAGTATTGCCAAGAGTGCATAGATCTGGAATCAATCAGATGCCCTTCAAAAGCCGAATGCATAAACAAACTGTGGTATATCCATACAATGCAACATTATGCAGTGATAAAAATAAATGAACTATCAGGCCACAAAAAGACATGGAAAAAACCTTAAGTACAGACTGCTAAGTGAAATAAGTCCACTTGAAAAGTCTGCATACTGTGTGATTACAATTATGTGACATTCTAGAAGCCAAAAGATCAGTGGTTGCCAGCAGAAAGGAGGAAGAGTGAGAGAGGAATGAATTGAAGGAGCACAGGGTATACTTAGGGCAGTGAAATCATCTTAAATGATACTGTAATGGTGAGGACACATCATTATGCATTTGTCAAAACTCATAGAACATACAATAAAAAAGCTGGACCCTAATGAAAACTGGAGTTTAGTCAATAATAATGTATCAATATTGGCTCATCAATTGTAACAAACGCGCCACACTAGAAGAAGATATTAATAATAGGTGAAACTGGTGAACAGGAGTTGACATGAGACAGTATATTGGAACTCTCTGTACTTTCTGCTCAATTTTTCTGTAAACCTAAATTTGCTGCCCCCGCCCCACCTCCAAAGACACAAAAAAGTCCATTTAATAAAGGGGAGTTGGACTATAGGAAACACACAACACACAGCAATCATAGTCCATTGAAATGGCACATTCCTGCTGGGCTTACATTATGTAAGACCCTGCCCCAGTATTAAATAAAGTCCCCACATTAGGTGTGATTCTGCTCTCTGGGAGAAGCTTTCTGGTCCATAATCCTCAAAGGCACCAGGATTTGCCTTCTGAGATGTTTCTCCATTTCTGTAGTCTTTCGCAGCACTCTGTAATGATCATCAGAGTGTATGTCCCGCTTCAGGGTTGCAGGGTCCACAAACTCACTTCTTGTTTGTGACAGTTCCATGGTTTAAGGATTATTTTACAGGTCGGAGTCAAATCTTTCTCAGGTGAGGATTACGGTTTTCTTGGCATTGCAATTCTCTCAAAAACTAAGTAGATTTATTTTCTATTTCTTGTCCTTTCCAGGTGCCAGTAGCCACACCCAAAATAGTTTTTTAGACATAGTTTTTCAATTTGCTCTTTTTATTTAAACTTTGCTGGAGAGAGAGAGAGAGTCAACGTAATGAGAGCTACCTTGAGATCATCTGAAACAGTTGAGTGGAAACATATCACCCTTCATCTGATTTTTGCTGCAAGCTTAATTGCCTTAATTTAACTTAGACATCTTATTAAGCCTTTGTATTTGAAGCTATGTTACATCTTATTTCCTGTTTGGGTTCCAGAAGCAGTTAGCTTTTCCAGCCCTGTGAAGCCTTTCATGTCTAATTCTGTCCCTTCAATCTTTGTGCACAAACCAGTCAATTTGTAATACTTTAGTTGAAGCAATGGATAGCAGCTAACACCTATAAACATGGAGCACTTTCCAACCACTTTACCTAAAACTATATGAGCATGTGGTCTGCATTCCAGGTTATAGTTGGAATTAATTTTTTTTATTATTATTATACTTTAAGTTTTAAGGTACATGTGCACAATGTGCAGGTTAGTTACATATGTATACATGTGCCATGCTGGTGTGCTGCACCCACTAACTCATCATCTAGCATTAGGTATATCTCCTAAAGCTATCCCTCCCCCCTCCCTCCACCCAACAACAGTCCCCAGAGTGTGATGTTCCCCTTCCTGTGTCCATGTGTTCTCATTGTTCAATTCCCACCTATGAGTGAGAATATGCGGTGTTTGGTTTTTAAATTGCAATGTTTTACCACAATATAATGTATTTCTTCAGCTTTTCAGCCTGTAGCACCACCGCCCAAACATTAATTTCTGGGTTTCTTACAGAAGGTAAATTTCTTGAAGAAAATACCAAAAATTCGGTGGCCTAAAAAATATGTTTTTCTCCTATAGAAGTCCAGGGTAGGGGTTCCAACCCAACGCTGGCTTTTCTCCATGCAGCCATTCAGGAATTAGTCTGACGGCCACTTTACCATATTCAATGCATGAGTTCCAAGATCTCTCTGCTTATTGCCATGCTAGTTAGGCAGGAAAAAGAGCATGGTAAAATACTCCAAAGGCTTGAGAGCCAGGCCTGGCAGTGGAATTCAACACTTATACTCACATTCCATTAGAAAGAACTCAGTCATATGGCGATATCCAACTACAGAGAAAGCTGGAGAATGTAGTGTAGCTAACCAACCATTTACCCCAACTTCCCATTCCAATGGAAAAAGAGACAATAAATGTACATGAAGAGCATTATTTCCCAAATCCCAATAGGCCTTAGCCCTAGCCTAATTTCATGGAATAGTGGCTGACTTAGCTCCACCAATACAGGAGGATGCCAACCCACCTCAAGTCCAGACACCAATCATTTAGCCAGAACAACAACAACAAAAATTCCCTTCCATCTCATTTAAAAGCTCTCCTTCTAATTTTCTTTCCCGCAATCTTCCCCTCCTCAAGATATGTGTGAGTGGGAAAATTAGTATAAGAAAAACTCTCTTCCAGAAACAGCCAATCACCTCGCAGCCTTACTATATCCATCTGCGTTAATCATGTGCAAGAAATCAACAGCTTTTTTGCGTTGCACTTTCATCCCTGTACTTTATCCATGTTCTTTCTGCAAGAAGCCAGGATCTGACTTGGAGTTTATTCCCCAGCCTTCTGTGCAACCAAATACCCACATCGCCCGGAAGAATAAAATTCAGTTTTCTGGCACAGTGCAGTCAAAATCCAGACAGAAAAATAAAATATGTCTTTTAAAGAGTAGTGACATTCTCAGAAACATCATTACTAATATTGAGCCACTTAATAAATGTGAGACACCATTCTAAGAGGTTGACTTGTATGACCTTATTTAATCTTCATAAACATTGTCCCCATCTTACTGAAGAGAAAACTGACGCTAGCAGACACTGACGAACTTGCACAAGCTTGGGCAAAATCATACATTAGCAAACAGAACACTTAGCCTCGCAGTTCAAAATGTTTTCATTCACGTTAACAATTACATCACATTTTTCCCAAGAATAATTCATAATTCATAAGGGATTTTTGCTTTACATTTGTGCAACTAAAGCCCCAGTCAGGTTTTCCCAGAGTGAAGGAACAATCAGCTCCAAAGGAGTGTTCATCTTTACCCCTTCAGAGACACAAGCTGCCTGCATCTTTTATATGACAGTTTTTACAGCTTCTACCTATCAAAATTTCAGAACACACTGTTAGGAAACCTCTCAGGTATAAAGAGTTGCTCAGAAGCAATCTTTGCCTCAGCCCATTAAACTTTTGAGTCATCTAAAGCTACTTGTTCTGATTCCACACTTACCAAGCAACCTTCTGATTAGGACTTGGCTTCTCATGCGGTTCTGCAAGCAAGAAAAAATGTGCTGATCAAAAGCATTTTGAGGTTTTTATGATTTTTGTTTATAATTTTTTATAGAAAATTAATAAATGGCTTATATTATACTGTGACTTCCCATCCAAATTGCCAAGAGAAGAAACCGCAACAATCAAGCAAATTCAGTGTGCAATAATTAAGTTTATCATTGAAAATTAAGTTGATATTCTGGAATTTAGCAAATACAATTGAACACAGAAACCAGAAGGCCTTATTGGCCATATTGTTTGGATTGAAGATACTAGGGTATTAGTAAAAGATGAAAAGATAATGGGAAAAAAAAGAGCAACAAGAATACAGGAAATTAAATTGTGCAAAATTTAAATTTGATTCAGACACTGATAAAGAAGAATTATAGGATTTTAAGGAAGATGGGAATTTAGTCAAATCAAGGGAATATATTTTACAGTTTTATGGTAGAAAAAAGAAACCTTTAGAAGATAATCCATAAGGGCTGGGTGCGGTGGGTAACACCTGTAATCCCAGCACTTTGGGAGGCCAAGATGGGCGAATCACGAGGTCAGGAATTCAAGACCAGCCTGGCCAACATGGTGAAACCCTGTCTCTACTAAAAATACAAAAAATTAGCCGGGCATGGTGGTGCACACCTGTAGTCCCAGCTACTCAGAAGGCTGAGGCAGAAGAATCGCTTGAACCCGGAAGGTGGAGGTTGCAGTGAGCCGAGATTGTGCCACCGTACTCCAGCCTGGGTGACAGAGTGAGACTCTGTCTCAAAAAAAAAAAAAAAAAGAAGAAGATAATCCATAAAATATTAATTTGAACTTTCCTGCCTGATATTGTTCCAACTCAGGTATAAGAAGAATGAAGAAATTGAATTAAACTGAAATCAATGTAGGGGGAAAAACTGAAGAAGCAAAGGCTGATATAATATTTCATGTTTGAGAGCAACGGCAAACGGGTGAGCTTCCAACAGTGATGAAAAGATCAAGGGGAAAAAGTTTTTGTTTTCTGAAAAGTTGTGTCTCTCTGTTCAGATATTGATGTAATTTCTTCTGACAGATGTCTGTTGAACACCCCCATAAGCCCAATGCTATATTTGATGACAGATAAAATATAAGAGAAAAATTAAAATCGTTCCAGCCTATGTGAATCTTGAAATAGTGTTGAAAAACAATAAGGCAAATACACATAAAACAGTTTAACAACAAAAAGACTATAAAAGCTAATGCCAAAGATGGCAAGCTCAGTAGGTATTGAGAGACAAGAGACAAGGCAGTTGGGAGAAAAATTACTGAAGGAGAGAATATTGAATATAAATTTTCTGAAAGCTTCTAGGCTTCAGCAACACAAGACACAAGTTGACAATATCAGGTAGTGTTACCGAAGAAAGTTTCAGAACCAGTATTGGCTGCTCCTCTTCCTATTAAAAATTGTATACATATATATACAATTATATACATATACAATTTTATAAGTGCATGTGTAATAATTCTATATATTCTCAAAATTACCGTTAATTAAAAACTTCTATGTCTAAGAGGTAGACATTAGTATTAGAGACTCTGTTAGATACGCTTGGGTGACACACAAAGATTAAAAGTTTGAGGGCTGAGCACAGTGGCTCATGCCTGTATGAGGCTGAGGTGGTGGGATTGCTTGAATCCAGGAGTTCCAGACAAGTCTGGGCAGGACAGTGAGACCCTGTCTCTGCAAAAACTTATTTTACAAAATGAGCCAGGCATGGTGAGCCATGATCACCCCACTGTACTCCAGCCTGGGTTACAGAGTGAGACCCTGTCTCTGAAAAAAAAAAAAGTTTGAGGCTGAGTGACAAATTTGCTAACACACACAAACACACATGCACGCAAAACTCCCTAGAGCCCAAATGGTAAACAAGCAGTCCTCCTTGGTATTGATTTTGCCCACCAAATGGGAATCATGGGATCCTTAAACATTTTTAGATGGTTTCCAACACCAAAAAATCAGAATGTGTCAGCTAAAAATTCAGTTTCCTATCTCACATATTTGAAAAAAGAAATCTTTTTCTTTTTGGATAACACTATGTCCAAATTCCCACATGTAACCCACTCTTTCATTCACCAAATATTCACCGAGCTCTGATAGGGGCCAGGCTCTGTTCTAGTTACTGGGAATATATCTATCAGAGAACAACAGCAAAAATAGAGAGAGAAAGGAAAGAAGGGAGGAAGGGAGGAAGGGAAAATAAGGAGAAAGAAAGAGAAAGGCAGGAAGGTAGGCAGGGAAAGAAGGGAAGAGAACAGAGGGAAAAAATGAGAAAAGAAAGGAAAGAAAATTAAAAAATAAAAAATAAAAAAATCCTGAGTTTATAGACATTATTTCAGTTGAATCTACTAGTGCTAAGCAGCAGCTGCCCATTTAAAACAGAATCCAGCCTGTCCAGGACCATACAATACCCATGGCTTCTAATTGTCTTGGAGATGAGTATTTGGAGAAATGTTTTTAAAACATTAACTCATGTCTCTAACAAAGAAATACTGAAATCCTGTGTTTCTTTTAAACTGCTTCACTCATATTATTTGTCTTAATCATAAGACTCCCTAGCTTTGGGATCTGTGCATTTTGTTGATTTAAGTCAAGATCTCTTACCTCTCAGAGATCTAGCCAAATTTGTAGCTGAACCCCAATCCTTCAGCCTGTGACAGTTTAAGTCCTTCCCAACAGATTCCACCAGTTCCTGCAACTTTTTGGGGTCATGATTTTCTCTGTCTCCACCATGAAAGTTCAATCTCTTGCCCTGAGACACCCTGGAAACAATTTAGTCTCTTCATCAATTTCCACATAATATCCCCTCACATTAAGCATATCGTGATTTCAGTAGCCTGTACTCAAGATCTAGATGGAGAGAAGAGGCAGTTGTTGGAGGACTCTGTACATTCTCTGGCATCAAAAAGCTTGCTCTGCTGCCCATAGGCACAATCCTGAAGAACAGGGGTTCTTCAGTAGGACAGAGGCACAGGCAATTCTAAACCAATGGAAAATGGGTTTTAGGAGATGCCCCAGCCTCCTTATCAACCTTGGCCTCCAGTGGGGCACTCCGAAACTCATTACTGTTTCTAAAAATGTGGAATTCCACAGCAGTAACAGATTTAGTGCATCTTTTGTTGCCTTTTCCCCTTCCTTGTCTCACATCCCCACTTCTTCACATTTGTCTAATAAAATCTCTTCCCAATAACTACATTTACCTAAGGCTTTGTCTCAGGGCGTTGTGTTCATTTTGTTGTTGTTGTTCTCTTTGTTTTTCATTTTGTTGTTGGAGGAGGAGGTGCCAAAACTAAGACTGCATCACAAGTAGAGGTTACATGCCTCTGTGGTAGTTCACTGATTCTTCTTTCCCTCTTTCTGTCTCCCTCATGTCTTCTCTGAGGCAACAAACAAATCCTTTATTCCTCAATTTGCATAATGGTTCAATTCATATACTAGATATTCAGAATCCTCTTCCACCAGCAATATTCAGTTGGCTCTTCTCAAATAAATGTTAAGTTCTTCACTAAGAGGGCTTTGAAAATTGTTACAAACTCACTGAAGCTTGTAACAATTGTTAATTGTTAATTAATTTTTTTCCATTTTATTACAAATAGTAATTACATAAAGATGGAAGGAAGCAGAAAAGAACATATGGCCTGAAGCTGGAGCTAAAGACTTGATTTTCAGAAAAGACAGATTTTCAATTAGAATGCCTTGTGGGTGATGCAAAGGGAGTCCACCAAGTCAGATTTCAAACAACTTTTTTTATTGAAATATAGGACCCATGCTTGAAAAGATTTATTTGAACATTGACCGAAAAGTGCAATATAAAAAAAGGATTTATTTGAACATTGACTAAAAAGTGCAATAAAAATTAGCTTAGTCTTTCACAAGATAGAAACGAAGCAGAGAAAATTATTGCATAGTTCAAATTACTGGATAAACTAGACTTTCTAAGAAGACAAAAAAAGGAGGCTTTAGAAGAATCTGAAAAATGCTGGACCAAGTTCACTGAATGAAGCCAGACAGTATAATCCTAACTCATCAATTTCATTCTATTCAGCAATTGTGAGTGGACCTTGAGATTCTTCACTTTGAGATGAAAATAATAGTTGGCTCATTTTCAATAACTTGGTATAAATGTTAAATTGCAGAAGTTAATGAGAGGGAAGGAATTCCCATAGGAAAAAAAAAAGGTAAAGGTAATGATTCCTCCTCCTACAACTTCCCCTACATTGCCTGATCCCATATCTATTTCTTTCTGGGTGGCAAGGGAGAAAAACTGCTTTAAAAAGCAATAGCTAAGGAGTGTTTTTCCTAAGGGTTATGCTGCGGCCTATTTTTTATTGGTGGAAGAAGCGATAGAGGTAGCAGAGAAAAGGAAATACTTTCTTCTTTTTTTTTTTTTTTGAGACCGAGTCCCACTCTGCCACCAGCCTGGAGTGCAATGGTGTCGTCTCAGCTCACTGCAACCTCTGCCTCCCGGTTTCAAGCAATTCCCCAGCCTCAGCCTCCCAAGTAACTAGGACTGCAGACGCGTGCCACCATGGCTGGCTAATTTTTTGTATTTTCATAGAGACAGGGTTTCACCATGTTGGCCAGGATGGTCGCAATCTCCTGAGCTCATGATCGGCCCGCCTGGGCCTCCCAAAGTGCTGGGATTACAGGTGTGAGGCACCATGCCTGGCCAGGAGATACTTTTTTTTATTATTATTATACTTTAAGTTTTAGGGTACATAAGCACAACGTGCAGGTTTGTTACATATGTATACATGTGCCACGTTGGTGTGCTGCACCCAACAACTCGTCATTTAGCATTAGGTATATCTCCCAATGCTATCACTCCCTGCTTCCCCCACCCCACAACAGTCCCCAGTGTGTGATGTTCCCCTTCCTGTGTCCATGTGTTCTCACTGTTCAATTCCCACCTATGAGTGAGAACATGCGGTGTTTGGTTTTTTGTCCTTGAGATAGTTTCCTGAGAATGATGGTTTCCAGCTTCATCCATGTCCCTACAAAGGACATGAACTGATCATTTTTACGGCTGCATAGTATTCCATGGTGTATATGTGCCACATTTTCTTAATCCAGTCTATCATTGTGGGACATTTGGGTTGGTTCCAAGTTTGCTATTGTGAATAGTGCTGCAATAAACATATGTGTGCATGTGTCTTTATAACAGCATGATTTACAATCCTTTGGGTATATACCCAGTAATGTGATGGCTGGGTCAAATGGTATTTTTAGTTCTAGATCCCTGAGGAATCGCCACACCGACTTCCACAATGGTTGAAGTAGTTTACAGTCCCACCAACAGTGTAAAAGTGTTCCTATTTCTCCACATCCTCTCCAGCACCTGTTGTTTCCTGACTTTTTAATGATTGCCATTCTAACTGGTGTGAGATGGTATCTCATTGTGGATTTGCTTTGCATTTCTCTGATGGCCAGTGATGGTGAGCATTTTTTCATGTGTTTTTTGGCTGCATAAATGTCTTCTTTTGAGAAGTGACTGTTTATATCCTTCACCCACTTTTTGATGGGGTTGTTTTTTCTTGTAAACTTGTGGGAGTTCATTGTAGATTCTGAATATTAGCCCTTTGTCATATGAGTAGGTTGCAAAATTTTGTCCCATTCTATAGGTCGCCTGTTCACTCTGATGGTGGTTTCTTTTGCTGTGCAGAAGCTCTTGAGTTTAATTAGATACCATTTGTCAATTTTGGCTTTTGTTGCCATTGCTTTTGGTGTTTTAGACATGAAGTTCTTGCCCATGCCTATGTCCTGAATGGTATTGCCTAGGTTTTCTTCTAGGGTTTTTATGGTTTTAGGTCTAACATTTAAGTCTTTAATCCATCTTGAATTAACTTTTGTATAAGGTGTAAGGAAGGGATCCAGTTTCAGCTTTCTACATATGGCTAGCCAGTTTTCCCAGCACCATTTGTTGAATAGGGAATCCTTTCCCCATTTCTTGTTTTTGTCAGATTTGTCAAAGATCAGATAGTTGTAGATATGCGGCATTATTTCTGAGGGCTCTGTTCTGTTGCATTGGTCTATATCTCTGTTTTGGTATCACTACCATGCTGTTTTGGTTACTGCAGCCTTGTAGTATAGTTTGAAGTCGGGTAGTGTGATGCCTCCAGCTTTGTTCTTTTGCCTTAGGATTGACTTGGCAATGCGGGCTCTTTTTTGGTTCCATATGGACTTTAAAGTAGTTTTTTCCAATTCTGTGAAGAAAGTCATTGGTAGCTTGATGGGGATGGCATTGAATCTATAAATTACCTTGGGCAGTATGGCCATTTTCATGATATTGATTTTTTCTGCCCATGAGCATGGAATGTTCTTACATTTGTTTGTATCCTCTTTTATTTCATTGAGCAGTGGTTTGTAGTTCTCCTTGAAGAGGTCCTTCACATCCCTTGTAAGTTGGATTCCTAGGTAATTTATTCTCTTTGAAGCAATTGTGAATGGGAGTTCACTCATTATTTGGCTCTCTGTTTTCTGTTATTGGTGTATAAGAATGTTTGTGATTTTTGTTCATTGATTTTGTATCCTGAGACTTTGCTGAAGTTGTTTATCAGCTTGAGGAGATTTTGGGTGGAGACGATGGGGTTTTCTAGATATACAATCATGTCATCTGCAAACAGGGACAATTTGACTTCCTCTTTTCCTAATTGAACACCCTTTATTTCCTTCTCCTGCCTGATTGCCCTGGCCAGAACTTCCAACACTCTGTTGAATAGGAGTGGTGAGAGAGGGCATCCCTGTCTTGTGCCAGTTTTCAAAGGGAATGCTTCCAGTTTTTGCCCATTCAGTATGATATTGGCTGTGGGTTTGTCATAGATAGCTCTTATTATTTTGAGATACGTCCCATCAATACCTAATTTATTGAGAATTTTAGCATGAAGCGTTGTTGAATTTTGTCAAAGGCCTTTTCTGCATCTATTGAGATAATCATGTGGTTTTTGTCTTTGGTTCTGTTTATATGTTGGATTACATTTATTGATTTGTGTATGTTGAACCAGCTTTGCATCCCAGGGATGAAGCCCACTTGATCATGGTGGATAAGCTTTCTGATGTGCTGCTGGATTCAGTTTGCCAGTATTTTACTGAGGATTTTTACATCGATGTTCATCAAGGATATTGGTCTAAAATTCTCTTTTTTGGTTGTGTCTCTGCCTGGCTTTGGTATCAGGATGATGCTGGCCTCATAAAATGAGTTAGGGAGGATTTCCTCTTTTTCTATTGGTTGGAATAGTTTCAGAAGGAATGGTACCAGCTCCTCTTTGTACCTCTGGTAGAATTCGGCTGTGAATCCATCTGGTCCTGGACTTTTTTTGGCTGGTAGGCTATTGATTATTGCCACAACTTCCGATCCTGTTATTGGTCTATTCAGAGATTCAACATTTTCCTGGTTTAGTCTTGGGAGGATGTATGTGTCGAGGAATTTATCCATTTCTTCTAGATGTTCTAGTTTATTTGCGTAGAGGTGTTTATAGTATTCTCTGATGGTAGTTTGTATTTCTGTGGGATCTGTGGTGATATCCCCTTTATCATTTTTTATTGCGTCTATTTGATTCTTCGATCAGGCAGCAGCATCTGCGGTTCACCAATATCTGCTGTTCTACAGCCACCGCTGCAGATACCCAGGCAAACAGGGTCTGGAATGGACCTCTAGCAAACTCCAACAGACTTGCAGCTGAGGGTCCTGTCTGTTAAAAGGAAAACTAACAAACAGAAAGGATATCTGCACCAAAAACCCATCTGTACATCACCGTCATCAAAGACCAAAGGTAGATAAAACCACAAAGATGGGAAATAAACAGAGCAGAAAAACTGGAAACTCTAAAAATCAGAGCATCTCTCCTACTCCAAAGGAACGCAGCTCCTCACCAGCAATGGAACAAAGCTGGACAGAGAATGACTTTGACGAGTTGAGAGAAGAAGGCTTCAGAAAATCAAACTACTCTGCGCTACAGGAGGAAATTCGAACCAATGGCAAAGAAGTTAAAAGTTTTGAAAAAAAATTAGACGAATGGATAACTAGAATAACCAATGCAGAGAAGTCCTTAAAGGACCTGATGGAGTTGAAAACCAAGGCATGAGAGCTACGTGACAAATGCAGAAGGCTCAGTAGCAGCTGTGATCAACTGGAAGAAAGAGTATCAGCAATGGAAGACAAAAGGAATGAAATGAAGTGTGAAGAGAAGTTTAGAGAAAAAAGAATAAAAAGAAATGAACAAAGCCTCCAAGAAATATGGGACTATGAAAAAGACCAAATCTACGTCTGATTGTTGTACTTGAACATGATGGGGAGAATGGAACCAAGTTGGAAAACACTCTGCAGGATATTATCCAGGAGAACTTCCCCATTCTAGCAAGGCAGGCCAACATTCAGATTCAGGAAATACAGAGAACACCATAAAGATACTCCTCGAGGAGAGCAACCCCAAGACACATAATTCTCAGATTCACCAAAGTTGAAATGAAGGAATAAATGTTAAGGGCAGCCAGAGAGAAAGGTCGGGTTACCCACAAAGGGAAGCCCATCAGACTAACAGCTGATCTCTCAGCAGAAACTCTACAAACCAGAAGAGAGTGGGGACTAATATTCAACATTCTTAAAGAAAATAATTTTCAACCCAGAATTTCATATCCAGCCAAATTAAGCTTCATCAGTGAAGGAGAAATAAAATACTTTACAGACAAGCAAATGCTGAGAGATTTTTGTCACCACCAGGCCTGCCCTAAAAGAGCTCCTGAAGGAAGCCCTAAACATGGAAAGGAACAACCGGTACCAGCCACTGCAAAAACATGCCAAATTGTAAAGGCCATCGATTCTAGGAAGAAACTGCATCAACTAACGAGCAAAATAACCAGCTAACATCATAATGACAGGATCAAATTCACACATAACAATATTAACTTTAAATGTAAATGGGCTAAATGCTCCAATTAAAAGACACAGACTGGCAAATTGGATAAAGAGTCAAGACCCATCAGTGTGCTGTATTCAGGAAACCCATCTCACATGTAGAGACACACATAGGCTCAAAATAAAGGGATGGAGGAAGATCTACCAAGCAAATGGAAAACAAAAAAAGGCAGGAGTTGCAATCCTAGTCTCTGATAAAACAGACTTTAAACCAACAAAGAGCAAAAGAGACAAAGAAGGCCATTACATAATGGTAAAGCGATCAATTCACAAGAAGAGCTAACTATCCTAAATATATATGCACCCAATACAGGAGCACCCAGATTCATAAAGCAAGTCCTTAGTGACCTACAAAGAGACTTAGACTCCCACACATTAATAATGGGAGACTTTAACACCCCACTGTCAACATTAGACAGATCAACAAGACAGAAAGTTAACAAGGATACCCAGGAATTGAACTCAGTTCTGCACCAAGTGGACCTAATAGTCATCTACAGAACTCTCCACCCCAAATCAACAGAATATACATTGTTCTCAGCACCACACCTATTCCAAAATTGACCACATAGTTGGAAGTAAAGCACTCCTCAGCAAATGTAAAAGAACAGAAATTATAACAAACTGTCTCTCAGACCACAGTGCAATCAAACTAGAACTCAGAATTAAGAAACTCACTCAAAACCACTCAACTACATGGAAATTGAACAACCTGCTCCTGAATGACTACTGGGTAAATAATGAAATGAAGGCAGAAATAAAGATGTTCTTTGAAACCAGTAAGAACAAAGACACAACATACCAGAATCTCTGGATCTTTAAATGTCTGTTGTGATTGATAGTTAATTTTTGGTGTCAACTTGAGTGGATTAAGTAACACCTGGAGAACTAGTAAAACTTTACTCCTGGGTGTGTCCTGGGTATGTCTGTGTGGGTGTTTCCAGAGGAGATTGGCCTGTGAGTTGGTGGACTGTGTGCCGAAGGTCTGCCCCCCATGTGGGTGGGCACCATTTAATCGGCTGGGGTCCCGGGTAGAAGAAAAAAGGCTGAGGAAAAGCGATCCAGCCCTGCTCCTTGATCCTCCTGCTCCCACCCTCCTGGAACTGCAACACTATTCTTTTCTGGCCCTTGGACCTTAGAACTCCATGCTCTCTAGCCTTTGGACTCTAGGATTTACCTAAAACCTCCCGCTCCCATCCATTTATTATCCAGCCTTTAATCATGGACTGGGAATTACACCATTGACTTCCCTGGTTCTGAAGCTTTAAGTCTTGGGCTGAGCCATGCTACTAGCATCTCACGGTTTCCAGTTTGCATATGGGCTATAAGGAAAGTTCTCAGCCTCCATAGCTGAATGAGCCAATTCTGCTAATAAATCCCCTCTCATCTGTCTATCTATGTATTTATCTGTGTTTTATTGTATCTCTCTCTCTGGAGATCCCTAACTAACACATCTGTTCATTTTATTGATGACTAAAGGGATATTGTGAAATCTTTATGTAATACAGCCCTCCAAGGATCAAAGCAAGAGATCACTTTAGAGCTGGGATTCCTTTATTATATTTACTATTCAAATTTCTCTGTTGAAATGAAAGATAAGCTTTCTTTCTGCTGAATTCTTTGTATTAAAATGTTACAGTGAGATTTCATTGTGTTTTGCCATCCATTTTTCAGATTTTTCAAAGTACAGAGAGTAGAATGTTCTTATTTTTTTTAAGTTATGTTTTGGCTAATTTCTTTTAACTTGGGTATACAAGTTAATCGTATTCAGTTTGGTAAAACAACAATTTATAGTTTATTTATTTAAAGTTTCAAATCTGAATCACATACTTCATAGCAGGAAAATATATATAAAAGGGAACAAAGCTTACAAACAATAAAAAGTATCACAGAACAATAATTTGGTAAATATCCAATCACTCAAATTGACTATGGATCTCAATATGCAGTTTTTGAGTTCTAATTGGATTTGATAACCTATCACTTCTTTATGCCTGCATGCAGAATGTATTTAAAAACCCATCTCTTTCTTGAATAGTTTCAATAAACAATTAAATGTTTATACTGTATCTTACACCATGCTGAAATTATATGATTTTCAGTAATAAATGACAACTTTGATCATGTCTGTATTTATCCCTCATTAGCCTTAGAACTTCTCTGCTTATTTTTAAAAGCTAATGATTTCCTTGGTCATTTAACATGTACCAATTTTCACCCGCAGATATTCAGGTTGTTGCAAACTCATGATGAAAGAAAAAAATTGGTTCATACATATATATATATTTCTTTTGAATAGTAAAAGGCTGCCCTGAGATTTTAAAACAAGAGAATTGGAATTTTCTGAGCATTTATTTGGCTAAAACAGATTTCATGGTTTACAGTAATTGGGGTAAAATTTGGGTTGCCATTCAATATTTTCTCTCTCTCTCAAGCTGATTGGTTTGATTGTTTACCAAAAATCCAGCTCCCAAATTGCAGGAACGCAGAATATCCTAGGATGATGGTTTTCACTCATTCCATGACTTTTGAGGTTGCTAGTGTACATGCAAGATCATCCGATGAAAAAGGGAGTGTTCTTTCCTAATAAGTGCAAAGAAAGGATTGAATTAGACGAATTCGTGAGAGTTTCACAATTATAGAATCCATCTCAGTTGCCATTTAGACCTCTGGTTCACTCATTGTTTACAGTAAAGTTACTTTAAATTTAAGTATATGTTTATATGAAATGAATGTTTAATTATAGAAGGTTATTTAACATGACATATATTATAAAATGTTCTTTCCTTTTCTTGAAGGATCTTCTAGACATATCAAACCGTACTTTTGATTAATCTTGTAGAGTTAAATTTGTATTTCTACAGTTTTTACATTGTTGAGTCAGCCCAGCCAGTTTTTTAAAAAATAAAGTGTAGCCATGTATGGTGGGTAGGCTTTTAAGATGACACTGAAGATTCTACCCCTTCCTTTGAGTGGGTGGAACCTGTGACTGTGATGGGATTATTCTTGTGATTATGTTATCTTATATGGCAAAACAGATTCCGCAGATACAATTAAGGTCTCTAATCAGTTGACATTGAATTAATCAAAAGGGAGCTCTTCCTGCTGTCCTTGAAGAAGCAAACTACCATGTCCTGGACTGCCTATGGCATGGGCATTGGCAAGTTTCTGAGGGTGGCCTGCAGAAGATGGGAGCAGTCCCTGACCTACAACCAGCAAAAAGGTGGAGACTTTTAGTCTCTACAGGCTCAAGGTACAGAATTCTGCCAACTCCAGTAAGTATGGAAGAATCTGAACCTAAAATGAGATTGATGTCCTGGCTGCCACCTTGATTTTCGCCTGTTAGAAACTCTCAGAGGACCCAGGTAATCTGTATTTTGGACTCCTAACCCAAGGAAAGGGTAAGGTAGTAAATTCATCTCATTGTAAGTTGCTAAATTGGTAATAATTTGTTACGTAGCAATAGAAAGCTAATCTACTACAAATAGATGATTTTTAAAAGGGCATACTTGCTCATAAAAAATGTTCATGGAACAATACTTATGAAAATCAGTATTTATTAGCATAAATAAGATAATTCTTTAGGAACATTAAAATTCCTGTGCTTGGGGGCACTCAGTCAGGAGGTGTGCAAGTTTCTAGGCAAACTGGTGGAATGCCCAGGTGGCCAGAACACTAGGCAGGTTTTTCAGTGGTAGGGAGTAATTGTTTATGGGTTTAGAAATTCCCTTATCATTAAACACTACAAATGAAGACATTATTACCTTAGCACACAACTTTTGGTTATCTGATTCTGATGAAGTTGAGCAATCAATTTTCAAATAAAATATGATTCATATTTAAGTGCCAAGCAATTATTTTCACTAAGTTCATGAATTAACTACAGTTATTTTATAGGAAAGTGGTTGGCTACGTTTTAAGGCTTATTTACATGACATAGTGCAGTGTATATTTGTGAGGTGGATGGACACAAATAATTAGAGATAAGTCTTAATATTCTGATCATGAAATCTTTCAAATTCAATTATTTGCTTCATGTGAAATAAAATAATACATATGAGTCACAAATACAAGCTTTGAAATCTATTCGCTGTGATGATTTTTAATTTTGTTTTCCTTTTGTATTGGCGGGTACATATTTTATGAAATTGTGATATGCCTTTAAGTTATTATTGCTTGAAGTAATCATCCTTAAACACGTCATCTAAATGTCTCATTCATGATGTCTACCACCTGTCTCCTAATATCTAAGTAACAAGCAAGGTGATTTTAAGAATGATATGTCCTTGCTATATAATGTTATACTTTTACTTATTAGGGTCACAAAATGTAATTAAAGGTGGGTAAGTTAGAAAATTCTCTGTGGTGGATTGTTTTATCTTTCCTAACTATTCTCTTCCCTCTTTGATAATGAACTATGTATTCACCCCCCACCCATCGCTTTGCCATGTGGATTGCCATACTTCTTGTATGGTTGAGTACACTTTCTGACTACTTGTTTAGTTTTCACCATATGACTTGTGGGAACCAATGAAATTTGAGCAAAAGAGATGGAGTTTTACATTTAGCCAGGAGCTTTAAGAATATCGTGGGTTGCTCAGTGCTCTTGGTCTTTTTGATACATCATGAAAAGAGTATGTCCCAAGTAGAACCTGCTCCTTCAGCCCAATCTAAAAACGAAAGTCTTAGGCAGCAAAAGTGTAGCCTGGCAGCCAGAATTGATCTGCAACTGAACAAGCAACCAGTGAGATATAATTCCTTTTGTTGTTTTATAAGCTTTTGATGTTTGTTTCCACAACAAAGCTGAACGATGTAGTCTGAAATTTAATTTTCTTTGAAATGAAAATGTGACCACTTTTATTTCCCTGATTAGCATTTCAGTAGTTTTATATTGCCTTAAGACTACAGGCCAAAGGCAAGTCTTTCATAAATCCTGTATGTTTGGGGCCATATTGCCCAACCCCCACCCTTTAAAAAAAAAAAAAAGAATTTGTAAAATTCACCAGATATTCTCCTTATGTCAGGAATTCTTTCCCTATGTCCCTCCCCACCACTTGCCTTTGACAGCAGGAATAATATATGCAAAATTCCTATGGTTATACATAATTATATTTAGGATTCATGTCTTATTTTGTACTTTCTTTCCAAAATAATAGGCATTGTGTTTCTTTGTATTCTAGTTTATCTACAGTACCTATTACAGTGCTAGTACACAGTAGAAACTAATAAATATATGTTGTATGAAGCAAAACATAACATCAATTTTTTGATATACCATCTTTATCCCAAAAAAGTCATATACTGTCTTCAGATTTTTAGTGTCATTAAGGTGCTTTTAATTTTATTTTAATTCATTTCTAAAGACTCAGAACATGATGTTTCTATAAGAACTGTATTTTTAAATATTACTGGAATATTTATTAAGTCAAAAGTGTAACAAGTGTATTGCATATCATCTGTACTATTATTTCTCATGGAGCAAGAACTCATTTTCACTTTTCTTAGTGCCTAAGACTAGTTGAATGGTTTTCTGTTGCCATAGTAACACTACTCAGTTTTTACAGTGGTTTCCCCCATATTTTAAACATTGTATTATTTCATTAAAGGAACTTAAGAATTTTATGGCAAATAATATTGTCTGTTCCTAAAGGCTAAAATACACACAATTTCACATGCTTTCTGTACATATTTAAATTTGACTTTTAAATTATACTTATTTTAATGTAACTCCACTCTTTTGTGTTTTAAGCTTTATGTATTCCAATTTATAGAGTCAACCTATATTCTTTTTTAAATTTTTTTTTCAGCATGTGTTTCTAATAAAAATCATTGCTTTAATCCATCAAATTTAAATTTTAGCTATTAAGACCTGAAAAGAAATATAGCACAGGAAAAGGTGGGTTCAGAATAGACCAGAGGCAATTATGTAAGGCATACTTGGAATACTATTGTGCTAATCAAAGATTGGAGGGCATCTGGCTGAGATGGTGACTGGACTATTGTTTGATAAAGGACATACAAGGTGTAAATGTGGACCAAGTTGGAAGGATAAGTATTCTCCTTTAACAATTCTAAGCAGATACAGCTGGTGCTCTTCATATTTTTAGGAGACATAGGTATAATGTGAACAACAAAAAAATGTTGAGAGGGGCACAAATAACTCAGATATATTTGTGGTAGACTTTTCCACAAGATAGTATTCAGGATATATTTATGTATTATTATCATTCAATGTTATATCTTAACAAGATGTTTGGGATAAACTCATAACGTATGCTTTACAATTGTATAGCTGATTTCCTGTGCATTTGGCACATCTGTTTTGCTTCTGATGGTTATACGTATTTTTTCTTCTCTGAGTGTTGAATTAATATTTAGGGAGTTTGTAGAATGTACAGAGGGGTCACCAGCTGCCAAAGATCTGACTGTCATAGGAGACCTCTTTTCTGAATTTTCATACCCGGAAGAGCTTGTTAGATGATATAGCATTTTGGTCTAAGCTAAATGTAAAATACCATATTTCTTCTTTCCATAAATAATATTATAACTTTGAATTGGTCTTTTTATTTTTATATTCTAGGGTAAAGGAGTTTTTGAGACTTTCTTGGAAGAAATGGACTTGAAAAACAGAGTTCAAAGTAAGAAATAAAAGCAGAAAAAAATAAAATGGTAGGTGGGAAATCAGTAAACTATTTTATTTTCTTGAAATACTGAATGAATTTTAATTTTTTGGAAATGAAAAAAGAAGAAAGAAAGCAAGAAAGAAGGAACAAGGAGAAAGTTAGGTTTTAGGCTAAGCTTTCAAGTGTACAAATTTATTGCTTGGCTATACAGATTTAGATTTTGCAGGGAAAAGTGTAGTGTTGCGCTGATAGAATTCATACACTGTGATAGATAATATCACAGTCATTCTGTATTTTGTAAGGCATTTATGTTAGGAAATCTTTTGTTCTCTGCAATTAGTGCTTCGTGTATCTTAATTAACTTAATGCCCATCAATTAGCAGGTATTGTTCCCAACCTAAAAAGCAAATTTCAGTAAACTGTGCATATAAATGCTAGGTTATGAAGTAGTTCTTTCCAACCTCATTGTATTGACTTTAATACTGTTGATGGTGATGATAATAGAGTATAATAATTTATTTTTTGTACACTATGTAACAGGTACAGTGCCTTTTCAACTTAACAACAAATCAATGAGGGAAAAATTAAGGCTCAATGTTGCAGCTGTAAAGACTGAAGCAAAAACGTTATTTAACCTTTCATAAAGATTATAATCATTATAAGAAATATTTTGGGGAATTTGAACCCAGTTTCCCTATACTTTTTCTATTATTCCATGTTGCCTCTTCAAAAGCAAGATTAACAGATGTAAATGAAGAAAATGATAAAGAGAATGAAAGTTAATCTAAAGTCTATTGTTTTAGAACACTTAAAATGGATTCTTTTAATTGTAATATAACAGGTAATGGTTTATGTGGTAAGGCATTTGGAACTGAGCGATCACAGGTCATTAGGAAATTGGGGTTCAAATGATGTTCTCTTGAATGAGTATGGAAAAACATGTACCCTAAAAGATCTTATATTTGGGATTAAGAGCAATGTACATGCCATAAGAACTATTAAATAATTTGGTCACATTTTTGAAAATGAGATATTATTTTATAGTGCATGGATGCTGTGGTTTGTGGTGTGTATCTTTGGAAGTTTTGCTGGGCACAGAGACCAAAACTTGCTAATTTGATGGCTTTAATGACCTACTCGGGGGACAGGGAGTGTTGGTTAAATATTTTACTAGCAAGCAGTCTTGGCTAGCTGTGGAAATTTCAGGAGCTTTGGAACCAAATATGTGTGCAAATACTATTTACAAGATGTGTAACTTCAGAAAATTTACTAAATCTCTCAGACTTCAGGTTCTTTGAATGATACTCAATGTATGGCAGTAATAGCTCATATTTAAAAGGTCAGGCATATAGGGAACTTTCAATCATATTAGCTCTATTCTTTCCAGCTCCTTCCACTACTTGTTTGATCTATGTTGCTTCCAGGCTCTGAAAGGATCTCTATATTTTTCTCCTCTCTCCAGTTACAGATGAATCTTTCTTAAGATTTTAGTAATATATTAATATATGTGATTATCATGGAAAATATGAAAACATTTATGTCAGTAGGTAGCCAGTTTGGTTTCTATCTTGCACACTATTCCTGATAACTTCAATAGAATTAACTTGTTCCACTCTATTAAATGGAAGAGGGAAGGAGAAATGCTTATCCCATATTTATAGTTGACAGAGCAGAAACAAAAAGTAAAATGAGGAGGGGAGAGGGAAAGAGGGAGGGAGGAAGGGAGTGCGGCGGGGAGATAGAGGGTGAGCAAGCAAGCACGTGGTATTGAGATTGATTGGGAGAGAGAAAGAGATCTACATGCTGACCAGGAGCAATTCCCATTATTGAACAAAAAACAAGAAGTGTGACTGGGAAGCTTCTGGGACTTAATTTTAGTAGAAAAAAACAATTGCAGAGGAAAAAGCACAGAAAACTCTTAAAATATCAATTCATAGTATGGATAAGAACTCCTCATTTAGATAAATTGAGTAATTAATAACTGAAACAAAAACCAAGATCATCATCTGTGAAACAGCTTATTTCAAACAATTAATTATTCTCTGTCATATGGTTGAACACAGACCAATTGTACAGAGAGACTGCTCTGAAGCACTTTTGAACAGGAGAACTTGTGCGGAACACTGAGAGAAATCCATCTCTGAGAGAAATCATTGAAGATATTTCGGTGAAGGATTAGCAAAACTGCCCTAGTTTTCAGTGTATATTTTCATGTTATTGAAATATTATATTAATATCTCACAACTTTCTTCAATAAATTTGGCAAGTTTGTTTCTATCTATCTATCTATCTATCTATCTATCTATCTATCTATCTATCTTTTTAAGAGCTAGGGTCTCACTCTGTCTCCTAGGCTGGAGTGCAGCGGTATGACCTTAGCTCACTGTAGCCTCAAACTCCTCAGTTCATGTGATCCTCCCACCCTAGCCTCCCGAGTAGCTAGGACTATGGGCGCATGCCACCACAACAGGACAGTGTCTGTATTTTTTTTTTTTTTTTTTGTAGAGACAGTGTCTTGCTATGTTGCCCAGGCTGGTCTCAAACTCCTGGGCTCAACTGATCTTCCTACCTCAGCCTCCCAAACTGTTGGAATAACAGGCATAAGCCATTGTGCCCAGCCTATATTTAAAATTTGCTTAATTTAAAAAACTCTATTTGCTTGAATGTTACGACCGTCTAGAGACTTTAAAATAAATTCTACTATCAAAAAGCTACAAGTGTGGGTCATGGCAGTTCACACCTGTAATCTCAGCAGTTTGGGAAGCTGAGGTGGAAGGATCACTTGAGCTGGGGAGTTCAAGACCCGCCTGGGCAACATAGTGAGATTCCCCTTTCTACAAAAAGAAAAAAAAATAGCTGGGCATGGTGGGAGGCTGAGGTAGGAGGATCACTTGGGCCTGGGAAGTTGAGGCTGCAATAAGCCTTGATTGTGCCACTATACTTCAGAGTGAAACCCTGTCTCAAAAACAACAACAACAACAACAAAACACTAAAAAGCTGCAGGCAGCTACCCTAAACTATCAAAAATATCAACAGATAACCTGTAATCAAGAGCCTTTGAATGTTTTGAATTCCAGAAAAAAAAATTCTTGGAGATAAAAGCCATTTATTAATAGCTAATATTATGATAATTTTATATGCAGAAAATCTAAATGAGATTGGGAATACAGCTAAGCTTTTCTGAGCACTCACTTTGTATTAGGCATTATGGTAGTGTATTATAGGTTATCCCATTAAATTGATTAGGTGACCTCATTGCCAATGGCAGGAGAAAGTCACGTCAACGTGACCACAAGGAATTGGTTATTCTTATTTTTCAACTTTTATTTTATATTCAGGAGGAACAGGTGCAGGTTTGTTACCTGGGTGTATTGCCTGATGCTGAGGTTTGGGGTATGAATGATTCTGTCATCCGGGTACTGAGCATAGTATCCAAAGGACTGCCACGTTCTTAGTATTTCTTATTACTTTAAAAATTCTGTACTCAAATGCTGATCTCTAGCTCCAGATTTCAGGAGTACTTTTGTTTGGCTGCATAAAGACAAGACTATGCCAGGAATAGATTAGATGCTATTACCCATTTTGGAAATTCGTATACCAGATATATTTTCTTGATGCTCATGTGTAACTTCCATTAGTGTTAATGAGAGTTGCACTCATGCATGGTGTGGAGAATAGATCCATTACCTCTAAAGGGCAGTTTCCGTTTTAATATGTTGCTCAACTTTTATTACATGTTTCCTTTTTGTTTATATTACAGACTCACTCCTTTATTTATAGAAAGGGGTATATAACTGCAGGATTAAACACCTTTGCTGGAAATTTCTTCAGAACAGTTTTTAAGCTATGATGGTGTGGAACTGTCACAACTACTTTTTGAAGTCTCTCTTCTTGTAAAACTGTTAACATTCTGGATGCATTTGGATCCAATAAAATAATTTAGATTTAAATTAGACAATCACTGCAGTAGTTACTGAATCAATTGTTCATATTCACCAGTATTTTCAAATGTACAAAAAGTAGTTTCCCCAGCAACTTAGGCTGATGTTTGAATAGAAGGGAAAATAAGCTATTCATTAAAACTTAGGTCTTTCTATAATGTTGGGCCAAGTTGTATAGTCACAAAATATTTTGGATTTTTATTTTATTTTATTTTATTTTATTTTTATTTATTTATTTTATTTTGACAGGGTCTGGCTCTGTTACCCAGGCTGGAGTGCAGTGGTGTGATCTTGGCTCACTGTAACCTCCACCTCACAGGCTCAAGCCATCCTCCCACCTCAGCCTTCCAAGTACCTGGGACTGCAGATGTGTGCCACCAGGCCCTGCTAATTTTTGTATTTTTTGTAAAGATGGGGTTTCGCCATGGTGCCCAGGCTGATCTTGAACTCCTGAGGTCAAGCAATCTGCCCACCTCAGCCCCACAAAGTTTTGGGATTACAGGCGTGAGCCACTGCACCCAGCTGAAAATATTTTGTGTTTCTCAAATGTGGTTTAAATCTTTAAAGAAAAGAAAGAGAGAAAAGAAAGGAATTGTAATGTTTTTGACAATTGTTATAAGGACAGGTTTAAATAATAGTAGAAAATAATCGTAAAGATTGTACAATTATATCCTATATTCCCCACTTCCATATGGATTTCGTCTTAGATATTCCTTCATCACTGCTATGGATGACGAAATGAACCAGCCTTCAACAAGACAATTATTTATTGATATAAACCATAAAATGTTAATACTTTACTGTCTCATGTGGTAAAGAATACTATGTTGAATCAAGAAAGTACCACTTACACACAACATTCCTTCCATGTTACTTTGTTGTAAAATATTAATAAAACAGCTTTTGATGTTTATCATTGCTTTATAATAATGAATGTGTAAATGATATTTCCATTTAAACAATTAGAGCTTGGAAAATAATGAATCCCTACTGATAAACCTCCCAAACCTGTTCCCTTTTTAGTTGTCCTCTGATGAAAACATGGCAGATGTATTCCCGTTGCTTCAACCCACTCCTTGAAGACATCGTGATTCTTTCACTCACGACCTTCTGCTAATATGTCAAAGGGCATTAAATCTTATATGACTGTGAGCTCTAAATCCAATATGACTGTTTTCGTTTTAAGAAGAGGAAAACTTGGAAATAGACACAGACACATTAGGGAGAAGGCCATGGGAAGACAGAGGCAGGGACTGGCATGACGTATTTATAAACCAAGGAATGTCTGATATTGCTGGCAACCATAGAAGAAGCAAGGAAGAATTTTTTCCAGAGACCTCAGTGGAACCATGGCCCTGCCTACACCTTTTTTTCTGATTTCTAGCCTCTAAAACTATGAAAGAATACGTTAATGTTGTTTTAGCCACTCAGTTTCTTTTTTTTTTTTTTTTTTTTACCATAGCCCTAGAAATCTAATATACCTGTTAAGGTGGTGTATGCCAAATTTCTCTACTGTAAAGCTACTCCCTTATTGAAAGAGCTACTGTAAAGCCATTCCCTTATTTTCAAACAAATCACTACATCCAGTCCACATTCAAGGGGAAGGAAATTAAACTTTATCATCTAGAGGAAGGAGTGTCAAATAATTTGTGGACACATGGTAAAACCACCACAATAACTAATAAACGCTTTTGGGAAATATGTCAAGTCTTTGCAAATATTCTGCTTCTCTTAAAAGGTTTGCTCAGTAATTTTAGTATTCATCAGTGGATTTTGCCTGCAACAGTTATTAGTGTAGTGTTCTAATGGTGATTTTCTATTTCCCTTATTCTCTAAAGAGATTGTTCATTTTCCCTGTTTATTTATTCAATTATGTATAGCAGAATGGATATATAAATATATATTGTATTTGGATTTATAATTCAATATGATCTTCATTTATTGTACTTACAGAAGTGGTTCCAGCTTTGATCACTGGGAACTCTTAATGTTTCACTTCCGTGCCCCTTTTACATAGACTGTCTCCTCTTCTCCTTTTCTTGAGCACATTCTAACTTTCTCTTACTACGAGATACTCTGGGCTTATCATGCATTTCCTCAGCTCCAGTCGTAGAATCATAACTGATGTATTGTATGCATATCTATATTATGAAACCTATCTATCTTTAGACATTGTAGAATAAACGTAAGTTCTCACTGATACCTCTGAAGCATATTCAGCACCACAAGGCTCATTCTAGTCTTTCTTCCTTCCTTATTTATAACATTTATCTCTGGCAGAGAGAAACTGGGTCCCATTATGTACAATTTATTTAGCTATATGTTCAACTCTAGATACATGTAAAGTAGTTTTAGAATTGCTAATTCATATTAGCAATTCAAAGTTCTTGAGGAACAAATTTACCAACAAGAGAATAGTTGTGTACTGTTATTTTTGTCTTTAGCCTTACAATATCCAGTCGATGCTGTTCTAAAGTTATTTAGGTCAGCTCCTTTCCCCCTCCATGCCCTCCAGTAAAGCTGTCATATGCATGTAATTTAATAAGACTTGTCACAGTCTACATTCCATCCTGTGATCCCCTGACATCCTTGTTGATTCTTTTAAATTTACAAACAGTAAAGTTCAATCTTGTTGCATATAATTATATGTTTTGACAAATGCATAGAGTCATTTATCTACCACCCCAGTACTATGTAGGAAAGTTTCATCATCCCAAAAAGTCCCTTCTGCAGGCCCCTTTGTAGGCAACTGTTTATTTTACTCCCAACCTCTGGTGCCACTGATCAACATAATCATACAATGTGTATCCTTTTGTTCTAACTTCTGTTGCTTAATGCAACATATTAAAAATTATCAATGTTATGTGAATCAATAACATTTATTTTTATTGCTGAGCACTATTTCATTGTATGGATGTGGCACCATTTACTCATTGAAGTACATCTGTGTAAATAATAGAAGTGGGATTGTTTGGTCATATGGTAAGTATGTATTTGACTTTATAAAAAATTACCTGTTTTCCAAAATGACTGTACCAGTTTTGCATTTCCACCATCAGTGAACAAGGATCTCTGTTCCTTACATCCTAACCAGCATTTGATATTGTCAGGTTTTCCCTCCCTCCACCCCTCCTTTCCTTCCTTCCTTCCTTCCATCCATCCTTCCTTCTTTCCTTCCTTCCTTCCTCACTTCCTTCCTTCCATTCCAATAGATTTCTAGAGTATCACATGTGGCTTTATTTTTCCATTTCTGTAATGACTGATGTGCCGAGTGTCATTTCATTTGCTTATTTGCCATCCATATATCTTTTTTGGAGAAATGTCTGTTCAGATCTTTTGCCTATTTTATCTTTTTTAGAGATGAGATCTCAGTATGTTGCCCAGGCTGCAGTGTTATGATTATTCACAGGTGATATTATAAGGCACTCTAGTCCTGAATTCTTGGACTCAAGTATCTACCTGCCTCAGCCTCCTGAATAGCTGTGACTATAGGCCCTTGCAACTGTGCCTAGCTTGTGCCTATTTTTTTTTTTAACAGGGGTGTTCATTTCCTAGTTGTTGAGCTTCAACAGTTTTGTGTATATTGTGGTTACAAGTCCTTTATCAGGTGTGATTTTGTTGTTTTTTTCTAAAAGCATTATCAAACTAAAGGTTTATGTGGATTTTCATTTATTTTTACCTCTAGACTTCTTGGTTTTATATTTTACATTTAGATCATTTATCTTTTTGGAATTAATTTTTACAAAAGATGTGAGTTATGTATCAAGATTTGTTATTTTGCATATGGGCATCCAATTGTTCTAACACCATTTATTGAAAAGACTATTCTTTCTCTATTGGATATCTGTTCCACCTTTGTAAAAAATCAAACTACATTGATTAGGTATATTTCTGGGCTCTCTATTCTGATCCATCTGTCTATGTCTTTGTCTAACTTTATGTTAACACATGCTGCCTTTTTAACTGTAGCTTTACACTAAGTGTTAAACCAGATAGTGTGAGTTCTTCAACTTTGTTCTTCATTTTCATAACTACTTTGGCTGTTCTTATTCTTATGGACTTTTTATATAATTTTTAGAAACACATTGTGGATATACTAGCCATGATTTTGGATTGAGATTATTTTGAATCCACTAATTAAATTGGGAGAATTGATATTTCAAAAATATTCAGTCTTCTGTTCTGCAAAAGTGGTACATCTCTTCATTCATTTCTTTCATCAGTGTTTTGTAGTTTGCAGCATACAGATTTTACAAATATTTTATTAGAATATTTTTGGTGAGTTCTGAAATATATATATTTATATATATGCACACACTATATATATAACATTTACATAGATATATGTATGTATATAACATATACAGTGTATATATAAAAATATAGAGAGAGAGTATGGGATATATATATATATCACACATTGTATGTGATATATGTATATCCTATAATATATACTCTTTTTGCTTTACACTTATATTTTAGAACAATTAATATAAAAACTTAATTTAATTGGCTTTATTTATTCCATTACTGACATTTTAGGTTAGGTTTCTGACATATTTTTTCCCCAACGAACTTCCTTAAACATTGAATAGATACTGTGGCATTAAATCCTCCCAGATTTTCTAGATCTGGAAAAGCTTTAACTTCTTTTTATCATTGAAGGTGGTTTTACTGAATATTAAATTTTGGTTGGAAAGTTGTTTTACTTTAAGCACTTTAAATATGTCATTGCATTGTTTTTTATGATTGCATGCTTTTTTTCTCTTTTCTTTTCCCTTTTTTAGAGGCAGGGTCTTGCTCTGTCAACCAGGCTGGAGTGCAGTGGTGGGATTGTACCTTACTGCAGTCTCCAACTCCTGGACTAAAGTGATCCTCTCACCTCAGCCTCCTGAGTAGCTGAAACTATAGGCTCTTGCCACCTCAGCTGGCTAATTTCTTAAAGATTTCTTTTAGACACGTGGTCTCACTATGTTGCCCAGACTGATCTCAAAGTCCTGGCCTCAAGTGATCTTCCCACCTCAGCTTCTCAAAGAATTGGGATTACAGGCATGAACCACTGCATCCAGCCTATTTTTTGGGTTTCTGAAAATAATTCTGCTATATTTGTTATTCTAGTCCCTCTACAGGTAATGTATATCTTATTCTTTGGCTTTCCTAAAGATCTTTGTTTTTGGTTTTAGTGGTTTCAATATTACACATGCTCAGGTTTTTGTTGTTATTGTTTGTTTGATTTGGTTTGGTTGTAGTTATTCTGTTTTGTTATTTAACCAGCCTGTTGTCTAAATTCTTGGATCTGTCATTTGGTATCTGCCATTAATTTTGAAAAAAAAAAAATTGGCCATTATTTCTTTAAATATTTTTTTCTACTCATTCTTTCTCTTCTCTCTTTCCATGTTACCAGTTACACAGATATATTATAGCATTTAATATTATCCCATAATTCATGGATGCTCTCTTCTTTCTTTTTTTTTCTTCTCTCTTTACACTCCCCACATTTATTTCTTTTTCCATTTCAGTTGAGGTGATTTGTTCTGACCTATCTTCAAGTTCCCATTTTCCTTGAAAGTTTCAAGTCTTTTTCTATTGTCCATTTTTATTTTATTTTTCTTTTAAACTTTATCTCCAAGTTGAAATAACCTGTCTGATCATGCATGATGTTTACCTTTTTATTGGATCCTCTAACATATTCATTATAATTATTTTAAATTCAAATTCTGATTGTTTTACTATTTGTGTCACACGTTACTCTGATTCTAATGAAAGTTTTGTCTTATCAGATTGAGTTTTCCTTCCCATGTTGTATGATTTAAAATTTTGTTTGAAATTCGTAAGTGTTGTAACTGACAGCAGATAATGTAAATATTTTTTCTGTCTGTCAATATATATGACTTTTTTCTGCTAGGACTTTAGTGTGGGAGTTTTTGTTAATGTTGCTGGATTTAATATTTGTTTTTGCTGGGGTTACCTCAGTGCACCACCAGCTTCACATTCTTTTAATGATGCCTTGTGTTTTTGGTGTGGCCTTGTATTTAAGAAGGTAGTTCTCAATGCGCATTTCCTACTTGGCTTCGGGATTTCCCTTTGCAGTGCTTCCCAGATAGCATCTTTGTTTTGGAGCTCTCCCAGTTGTATTCCAATGTAATGATTGCCTGACATGTTGGTATGGTGGTGAGTAGTGGGGATGGAGACCTTTTTTGCATTTGTGGTTGAAAGCTGCAACTTCCCCTCCTACACATGTAGCATATAGCCTACCCTATCCTTAAAGATAGAGCTTTATGGCTTAGCTATTTTTTCTCCACCTGCACTATAGTTCCATGAGTGCCCCAAGGTGACAATATTTTTTTTGCTCTTTAATGTGCAGATGTAGGCTTTCATTTTATAGGATTGATAGAAGAGATGATTTTGAATGGAGTTTCAGCAGTAGCTGCTGTTACCCTCAGCCAGAACCACAAGGAAGTCTTTCTCAGGATCATTCCTAATGTTCTTTGTGAGGGCCTGGTGGGTTTAATGAAAAATAAGGCTACAAAAATAGTCCCCTCCCCCAACTCGAACTCCACTATCTCTAAGATCCTTAGGGTTTCTTAATTTCATGCTAGCCACACATGGCCTTTAGCAACTTGTTAAAACTTTTTTTTTCATACATTTTTATAGCAGTTTATTTGGTGCCTGGTGTTATCTGCTCCTGTAAGCAACTGAACAGTTTCTGGATCTGCCCATATTTTGGATTTGTTGTTTGCCTTATAATCTTAAGTCTATGATAAGCCCAAGAAAAAATTTTAATTTCCTTTTTCCTGTTTTTTTTTTTTTTGTTTTTTTTTTTTCTGCTTGTTATTGTAGGGGTGATGCTCTTTATATCTCTCATCATCTCTGAACTTAAGCTGGAAGTTTCTACTTATTTCTTTTTAACTGAGATATAATTCACAGACCATTATATTAATCAATTTAAAGTATACAGTACAATGATTTTTAGTGTATATACAAAATTGTGCAACCTTGAGCACTATTTAATTATAAACATTCTCATCTGCCCTAAAAGAATGCCATATGCATTAGTAGTTATTCCGCCTTCCCCACTCCCTCCATTTCCTGATAAACACTAATTTATTTTTTATAAATTTATTTAGCCTGGATAATTCATGGAAATGAAATTATATAATATTTGGCATTTTTGTGTTGTCTTCTTTTACTTAGTATAATGTTTTCAAGGTTTATGCATATTATAGTACCTCATTTTATTTAATGCTGAATAATGTTCCATTGTATAAATCCACATTTTGTTTACCAATTCACTAGTTGACCTTTTATGCATTTGGATTGTTTCCATTTTTTGGCTATTATAAATAATGCTGCTATGAACACTCATATGAAAGCTTTTTTATGGGCATACGTATTCAATTTTTTGAGCATACATCTAAGGCTGGAATTGGCATGTCCTATGGTAACTCTACATGTAATCTTTTGAGAAACTCACCAACTGTTTTCCAAAGTTATTACAGCATTTTACATTCTCATCAGCAATTTATTTGGATTCCAATATATCCACATCTTTATCATATCTTTATCAAAACTCGTCTGTCATTTTTATTATAGTCATCTTACTAGATGTGAAGTGGTACCTCATTTTAGTTTTGATTTGTATTTTCTCAAAGACTAATGAGGCTGTGTCTCTTTTTATGTGCATATTAGCCATTTCTGTATTTCTTTAGGGAAAATGTCTATTCAAATATTTTGCCCAGTTTTTAAATTGGGTTATTTGACTTTATTCTTGAATTGTAATGATTTTTTAATATACTCTGGACAATAGACCATTATAATATATATATATTATTTGCAAAGGTTTTTTTTTTCCCCATCCTAGGTGCTGTCTTTACTTTCTCAATAGCATCTTTTGAAGAACAAAGTTTTTAAATTTGGATAAAATGTAATTTATTTTTTCTTTGGTTTTATCATTGCATCTAAGAATATCATTGCATAATCAAAGGCCACAAAGATTTACACTTGTTTGTTTGTTTTTTCTACTAGTTAAATCATTTTAGCTTTTACATTTAGGTCTTTGATCCATTTTGAGTTAATTTTTGTATTTGCTTTGAGAAGGTGTCCAATTTCACAATTTTCTGTGTGGCTATTTAGTTGCCCCAGCATCATTTGCTGGAAAAGCAAAACAAAACTATTTTTTCTCCTTTGAATTTGCTTTATAGAAAATTAGTTTATCATAAATGTATAGACTTATTTCCAAATCTTTAATTTTATTCCATTGATCTATATGTATATACTTATGTTAATATCACATAATATGGTTTGGCTGTGTCCCTATTCAAATATCATCTTGAATTATAGTTCCCATAATTCCCATGTGTGGTGGGAGGGACCTGGTTGGAGGTAATGGAATCATGAGGGAAGTTTCCCCCATGCTATTGTCATGATAGTGTTTAAGTTCTCATGAGATCTCATGGTTTTATAAGGGGCTTCCCCTTCACTCAGGGCTCCTTCTCTCTCCTGCCACTTTGTGAAGAGGTGCCTTCTGCCAAGGTTACAAGTTTGCTGAGGCCTCTCCAGCCATGTGGAATTGTGAGTCAATTAACTTCTTTCCTTTATAAATTACTCAGTCTTGGGTATTTCTTCATAGCAGTGTGAAAACAGAATAATACAGTAAATGGTACTGGTAGAAAGGGATGCTATCTTAAGTATACCCAAAAATGTGGAAGCAACTTTGGAACTGGGTAACATTCGGAGGTTGGAACAGTTTGGAGGACTCAGAAGAAGACAGGAAAATGTGAGAAAGTTTAGAGCTTCCTAGAAATCTGGAGGGCTCAGAAGACAGGAACAAGTGGGAAAGTTGGATACTTCCTAGAGACTTGCTGAATGGCTTTGACCAAAATGTTGATAGTGATATGGACAATAAAGTCCAGGCTAAGGTGGTATCAGATGGAGATAAGGAACTTGTTGGTAACTGGAATAAAGGTGACCCTTGCTATCCTTTAACAAACAGACTGACAGCATTTTGCCCTGCCCTAGAGATCTGTGGAAATTTGAACTTGAGAGAGATGATTTAGGGTACTTGGGGGAAGAAATTTCTAAGCATCAAAGCATTCAAGAGGAAGCAGAGCATAAAACAAAGTAAGATGGTTGTAAGGGATGGTCAAGAATATACTTCAGCTAGAGCAACGGTTTCCAAATGCTTATGGATCACTGGTTCCACTGTGAAAAATTATCTTTTCCAGCATCAAAATATGGTATACTAAGTGACTTTTTTATCAGAAATTATATTTTTCTTGCTTTTGGTGTTATGATGTTTAGTGTTTCTTGTTTAATGTTATGATTTTAATTGTAAAATCATATTTATGTTGAAATAGCATATTTTAATTTCATGATATTTTCAGCGCTTATCGGTTTAATATATTTTTATTTTCTCTTCTAAGTGGCCTAAAATCTTCAAATTCTGGAATCTATTCTTTAAATAATCTCTGTATCAGTCAAGGCTCTTAGTTGTATGAAACAGAAAATAACTCTGGATAATTGAAAGAGAGAAAGAATTCATTAGAAAGATACTGGACAGTTCATTAACTCTCTAGGAGGGGGTTAGAAAACTATGGCAGGGAGCTTCCATTGTCACTCTGCTGGTCACATATTGTAATTAGAGTCTACACCACAGGAAGTTTCCAGAAAGACTCTCATAGTCACATTTTGAGAATACGAATATGCCACCATATTATTGTGTTAAAAGCTGGAGCTTACAATGGAAACTTTTTAAAGCTCCAGTTTAGTTTAAAACTCTTTGTGATCATTCAATTAAATTAGACAAATGTGCATTGACCACCCACTATGAGCACTTGGCTAGGCTCCGATCATGAGCTGTGCTATGTTTGACTTGGCTTGCAAACAACTTAGACATATTAAATGTGTTTCCTTGCCTACCATTGAATGAGGAAGGGGAACTCTCCAACTTTGTTGGGTTTTGATATTAAACAGCACATCCCTGAGAGCCCTGCTGCACCTGATATATACAGAGAGAACAGGAAAAAGGATAATTATAATCAGACTTCTACTGGCTGTGCTTAAGATCAACGAATCAGCTGAGTGCCAATCAGTGCATTTCTGCAGAAGCTTGAGACGGGAGCTTCCCTTTTCTCACAGCAAGATTACTGGTTTGTGGGAAACAAACAACCCTTGCATGTCTTTCCAACCTCTAGTGTCCCCAGTTCAAAATAAAGCAAAAAATAAAAAACAAACACACACACACAACAAATAGGAAGTGCAAAAGTGGTCTCCTGTGGTGTTAAATATAAGGAATGTGTTTAAGATGTTGCACTTAGGAGTTCTTCGTAGTCGGCAGACAAACCAGCTAATGCAGTGAAACAATCAACACATAAATTTGTTTACGTGTTATGGTAAAGGTCTTAGGCAAGAAGCATTGTGTGCTGATGGCAAACTTACCTTGTATTTCATGTTATGTACACAGTTTTTTTGTGGTTCCTGAGACTACCTTTGTCCATGTCAAAATAAAATCTCTCTTGGTAGTGTTAATATAAACTCTTAGTCATGGGAACACAAAATGTCTGAGAGAGTTATAGTGGTTTATTTTTATATGATATGCAGTGTAACAGAGTTCAGGCTTATTATTTTTAGTAAGTAGCACTGTTAGGTTAAATTCATTTTGTTATCATACACAAATACTTAAAAAGTAAAATTAATTCTTGACTTTTTAGATGCAATAATTTTAAGATATTCTAAAGTTAAGCAATTTTTAATATGCAGTAAAATTAACTTGGAGTTATTTAGAGAAAATGTGAATATTTTCTTACTGAGTGCATTTGGGGTAGAAAAAATAAGTTTTAGGATATGTTTTCCATTGGTATATGTACAAGTACATATGAGGGTGTGTGCCTGTGCATGCGTGCATCTATGGTAGAGTAGTGATGACAAGATGCTTTTTTAAAAATAAAAGATTAAAGGCCCTTAGTAAGTGTACTAGTTACTTATTGCTGCATAACAAATTACCCCAATTAACTAATTAAAACAAGAAACATTTATTATCTCACAGAGTTGAGAGCGTCAGGAATCTGGGGCAGTTTAGTCTGGTGATTCTGGCAGTGAGTCTCTCCGGAGGTTACAATCAAGATGTCAGCTGGGCTTATGTTCATCTGAAGGCTTGGCAAGGCCTGGAGAATTTACTTCCAAAATAGCTCATTCGACATAGCTGCTGTCTGTTGTCTTCACTGGCTGTTGGCGGAGGCTTCACTTTCTCTCCATATGGACCTCTTTATAGTACTGCATGAGTGTCCTTGCAACATGGCAGCTAGGTTCTCACAAACTAAGCAATCCAAGAATCCGAGTAACAAAGATGCCACAATGTCCTTTATCATCTGGTCTTGACAGTCACACTCAATATTCTCAATATTCTGTTGAATACATAAATGAGATCTATCCAATGTGGTGGGAGCTAGGTAGGCCATGACAACGAAGGAGTTGGGATCCTGTGGGGCCACCTTGGAAGCCAATATGTAATAGCAAGCATAAAGGTTTTAACAGAGGCTTAAGAGCCTTTCATCTTGCCAGGTTATCTTTTTTCGCCTAGAGTTAAGATGCTGTGTTGGTGTATTAGTCAGGGTTCCCTAGAGGGACAGAACTAACAGGATATATATATATATATATATATATATATATATATATATATATATAAAGGGGAATTTATTGTATATTCATTTACACAATCACAAGTTCCCACAATAGGCTGTCTGCAAGCTTGAGGAGCAAGGAGAGCCAGTTCAAGTCTCAAAACTGAAGAACGTGGAGTCCAGTGTTTGAGGACAGGAAGCATCCAGCATGGGAGAAAGATGTAGGCTGGGAGGCCAGGCCAGTCTCACCTTTTCACTGTCTTCTTCCTGCTTCATATTCACTGGCAGCTGATTAGACTGTGCCCACCAGGTTAAGGGTGGGTCTGCCTTCCCCAACCCACTGACTCAAATGTTAATCTCCTTTGGCAACACCCACACAGACACACCCAGGATCAATACTTTGCATTGTTCAATCCAATCAAGTTGACAGTATTAACCATCACAGTTGGTGTATTGGATCTTATTGTTTTGCTGAAAAAAATAAAAAGAAATAATCAGTTCTAAACCAGGCTAGGTTACACAACTGATCAAATTGCACTGTTGAAATGAATGGCATATAGCTCTGATTTCCTCAAATTATAAAATAATTCTTTATCATCTGTGAAAAACAATATTGCCAAACATTCACATGATTGAGGCATTTTTTTATATATAAGATTGTTGAAACTACAGGACATAATGTCTATCTCTTGATATATCTTTAATATTTTTAAAAAATAACTATGTAATTTTCTAATAAATATGTATTAATCAAAAAAGAAAATCTAAGCAACAAAAAGAACTGAGTGTTACATACCAGAAAGCTGTACTTTTATTTGTGATGCTCACAGCTGAAAGATATAACTAGTTAGTTGTCCAACTAGTTGATCATTGTTATAATTTTAGAGTAGAAACAAAGAACAAAACTGATAAAACTATTTGCTGTGCTTAAATTTGCATTCATTAAATTTGGGGATGATTTCTTTTTATTCTTTCTATTCTCAAGTGTATACATTTTATTCCAAATGAGTAAAAAACAAAACAAACATACCTTTATTACTAAAGTTTTCCAACATAATAGGTTCTCTTTCAGTTATAAATATTTATAATTTTCAATTTTCCCGATTAGTTTTTAGTACATTTAGAGCCATTGCCACCCATAAAAATGGTCTTAACAAAATATTATATTAAAATATTGGGGAATGACACACTAGATTTAATACCTGGGTGATTAAGTAATCTGCATGGCAAACCCCCACGACACAAGGTAACCTATGTAACAAACCTACACATGTACCCCCTAACATAAAAGTTATAAATAAATAAGTTAATTAATTAAATAAGTAAGTAAAGGAATAGGTGCGACATCCGAAGAAATTTTTAAAAACATTTGATTTCAGAATTTTATAATAGTCCTTCATTTGGGGAGGGGTGTAGATATCTGAGATTCAGGGTAAAAGGGTTTTAAATAGTGAGCAGCTGACCCACAGCTAGCTAGAATGAACGATTTCTGGCTCAGTTGAGTTTTTACTCCTCTATTAGGGATATTATTTATTTCTTCTTATCATACAAGCAATTTTTATATTGGGCTTATATAGAGATTCAGGATAACCAAGATTGAAGATATGTTTTTATTCAGTGAAGACACTATTTCTTGGACTTACATTGTTCATGTCCCATTTCTTAATACATGCTGGATTTTATTTGATGTATCCAATTTATCAACAATACATAGAAATATTTGGCCTTGTTATTTACACTGAGCCAAAAATGCCAACAAACATTGACAAATATATTAATTTAACTCTTGCAAGTACACTCATAAATTCCTCTTACCACTCAATACCTCCGCCATCTAATTTAGTTTTGCTGCAAGAATTCACCATGCAGAATACCTTTATATTTAAAAAGAATAGCAAGTTATTTGCCAGATCTTTCTATAGTAAAAAGTAACTAGAGGATAGGTGTAATGGTGTGTTTCTGGGAAAAAAATTGCAGGGCAATCTGACTTTTCTTTTCTCTCCATTCTCCTACTAGAGAAAAGATAAATTGGGAATAAAGTATCTATTTCTATGGGAAAGAGTCTTATAATAAAACAACTCTTTAGAGAGGACACAAAAATGGCCTAACAACCTTGAAAGTGTTCTTTTAAAGTCTATTACAGTCTGAAGTATTATTTCTAAATGGAAGCTTTCTCTTGCTTGATAGCTTTGATTTTCCCATATTGTATATGATTGCTTTCCTTACTGTGTAAATTCAAATTTCAAAAGGAATTTTATTTTTCTCCAAGAATATTCAGGTTGTGTTTTCTTTCTTGTTTTAACCTAGATTTCATTTTTAGTCAGAATATTAACATTTTTAGAGCATGACTTTAAGATGTTTGGATAATTCTAACTTTTATCTACCTTGACATGATCTTACTAATGATAAAATATGAAAGTATTTTTGTTTAATTAATTGAAGAAAATGAAAGTTTAAAGTGGTTTCAGGCCGGATGTGTTGGCTCATGTCTGTAATCCCAGCGTTTTGGGGGGCCGAGGTAGGTGGATCACTTGAGCCCAGGAGTTTGAACCAGCTTGGGCGAAATGGTCAGACCCCTATCTCAACAAAAAGTACAAAAGTTAGCTGAGTGTGCAGGTGCACGCCTGTAGTCCCAGCTACTCTGTAGGCTGAGGTCGGAGGATCACTTGAGCATGGGATATGGAGGTTGCAGTGAGCTGAGATCACACCATTGCGCTCGAGCCTGGGTGACAGAGTAAGATCGCGTCTCAAAAAAGCAAAACAAAACAAAACAAAAAAGGTGTTTCAGTTGTATTGTATGCATTGTAAGTTACCCAATTTTATGACTTTTTAAAATTGCTTATCACCATAAAATGAGTTTCATATTGTTAAACATTACTCATAATAGATATAAAAGTTTTATCAACAAAAAGGAAAAAATTTCTAAGATATTTTGATTTAAACACTGCTTACTTTAAAATGTATGCAGCCTCAGATAAAACAGGAATGTTTCTGAGATGTTAGTTAAGTGTTTCTTGATCAAATGTTTTGGATCTAATTAATTCCAGAAGGATCATCTAACATTGGATCTACTGTAAGTTGAATATTTTCTGCATTAGCAAATATACAATTAAGATGATGATAAAAGAGGGATACTTTAGAATGAGCAATGTCTGAATCTGGTTGAAATTTTCACAGTGCATTCTTCTAACTGAAAGTTACCTAGAGTGTATTTGGGATTAAAGAGAAAAGGAGCATACGTGGTCAGTCATAGTTTCTGGTCAGACCTTGCAAAGTCTTAACAGGCTATACTAAGAAATTTTGTCTTCTGTATGATGAGATTGACATTTTAAGAAGTTTGCTGTGAAGTTGTATGGAGAAGCAATTAAAGGCTGGAGGGTGATTGAAGGAGACATATTAGACAACCACTACAGTATTTCAGGTAGGAGGTGACAACAGTTTGGACCAAGATAGTGGCAGTGGGTGTGGAGATAAGACCATAGATCCTTAGAAGCTAAAACTGATGGAAATTTGAAGACAGATTTGGTGTAAGAGAAGAAAGAGATGCTCAAGATTGTTTCCAAAGCTTTCATTTTATATAGCTGGGTTGCTAGTCCTGCCAGTCGTTGAGATGTGGCTCTTGGGTTACAGGCCAACAGTGTAGGTTGAGATCCCAGTCCAAAGACTGGGCTTAATTTGCTTTTCGTAGAGAGAACTCAGGAAGATTCTACACAAAAAAGAATAAAGTGGCTTTTAATATTAATTCCTTTTTGGCTAAGTTTTCAAAATGCACCTGTATTGCTATCATAACATATGAGAAGTTCATGGGCTGTTCTGGAATTTCCAGATCTATTTTTTTAATCTGAATTGACTAATTAGTCCAGGAAGACAATGATGTTGATTTTTTTCAGAATAACTGACTGTTTATCTGCACTGAGGCTTAGTAATCTTTCCAGAAATGGCAACCAAATCCTATCCATTCCTTGCTATTGTACTTTCTTTTAATGCCCAAAATAAAGTTCAGAAGATTTGTAGACATAGCTAGATAATTATTGCTTGCCGAGGAATCATTAAAAGTTTTCTCAGAGCAAGAAAATAAACTGCATTTTAAATAGTATGCTTTTTAATTATCCTGATGTTGGTGGGTGGGTCCTGTCTTTAAAAGTATCTCCTTTGGAATGAACTCCCATTCACAATTGCTTCAAAGAGAATAAAATACCTAGGAATCCAACTTACAAGGGATGTGAAGGACCTCTTCAAGGAGAACTACAAACCACTGCTCAATGAAATAAAAGAGGACACAAACAAATGGAAGAACATTCTATGCTCATGGATAGGAAGAATCAATATCGTGAAAATGGCCATACCACCCAAGGTAATTTATAGATGCAATGCCATCCCCATCAAGCTACCAATGACTTTCTTCACAGAATTGGAAAAAACTACTTTAAAGTTCATATGGAACCAAAAAAGAGCCCGCATTGCCAAGTCAATCCTAAGGCAAAAGAACAAAGCTGGAGGCATCACGCTACCTGACTTCAAACTATACTACAAGGCTACAGTAACCAAAACAGCATGGTACTGGTACCAAAACAGAGATATAGACCAACAGAGCCCTCAGAAATAATGCCACATATCTACAACTATCTGATCTTTTACAATCCTGACAAAAACAAGAAATGGGGAAAGGATTCCCTATTTAATATATGGTGCTGGGAAAACTGGATAGCCATATGTAGAAAGCAGAAACTGGATCACTTCCTTACACTTTATACAAAAATTAATTCAAGATGGATTAAAGACTTAAATGTTAGACCTAAAACCATAAAAACCCTAGAAGAAAACCTAGGCAATACCATTCAGGACATAGGCATGGGCAAGGAATTCATGTCTAAAACAACAAAAGCAACAGCAACAAAAGCCAAAATTGACAAATGGGATCTAATTAAACTAAAGAGCTTCTGTACAGCAAAAGAAACTACCATCAGATTGAACAGGCAACCTACAGAATGGGAGAAAATTTTGCAACCTACTCATCTGACAAAGGGCTAATATCCAGAATCTACAATGAACTCAAACAAATTTACAAGAAAAAAGCAAACAGCCCCATCAAAAAGTGGGTGAAGGATATAAACAGACACTTCTCAAAAGAAGACATTTATGTAGCCAAAAAACACACGAAAAAATGCTCATCATCACTGGCCATCAGAGAAATGCAAATCAAAACCACAATGAGATACCATCTCACACCAGTTAGAATGGCGATCGTTAAAAAGTCAGGAAACAACAGCTGCTGGAGAGGATGTGGAGAAATAGGAAAACTTTTACACTGTTGGTGGGACTGTAAACTAGTTCAACCATTGTGGAAGTCAGTGTGGCAATTCCTCAGGGATCTAGAACTAGAAATACCATTTGACCCAGCCATCACATTACTGGGTATATACCCAAAGGATTATAAAGCATGCTGCTATAAAGACACATGCACACGTATGTTTATAGCAGCACTATACACAATAGCAAAGACTTGGAACCAACCTAAATGTCCAACAATAGTCTGGATTAAGAAAATGTGGCACATATACACCATGGAATACTATGCAGCCATAAAAAAGGATGAGTTCATATCCTTTGTAGGGACATGGATGAAGCTGGAAACCATCATTCTCAGAAAACTATCGCAAGGACAAAAAACCAAACACATGTTCTCACTCATAGGTGGGAATTGAACAATGAGAACACATGGACACAGGAAGGGGAACATCACACACTGGGGACTGTTGTGGGGTGGGGGAAGGGGGCAGGGCTAGCATTAGGAGATATACCTAATGCTAAATGACGAGTTAATGGGTGCAGCACACCAACATGGCACATGTATACACATGTAACAAACCTGCACGTTGTGTACATGTACCCTAAAACTTAAAGTATAATAATAATAAAGTTAAGAAAAAAATAAAAACAACGATCCAAAAATTTTTTCATAATTCTGGAAATATTTTCATCAGCTATTCCTATAAATCATTTAAATATCTTTCTATCATATAAGAAGAGGACCGCAATTAAGACTTAATACTAAAAAAAATCAAATCATTTTTCAACTTTTTTTGTACCTTGTAAATTTACTTCAGTAAAGTTGACCTTTTTTGGAGATCAGTTCAAGAAATCGTAGCACGTGCAGAGATTCGTGTAACCACCACACCAATCAGGCTTCAGAATAGTTATATTACTTACAAAAAAAATCTTCCTGGGGCTACCCTTTATAGTCACAGCAGGCCCCAACACCTAGTAAGAGCCAATTCTCTTCAATATACCTTTGCCTTTTCCAGAATGTCACATAAGTGAAATTATAAAGTATTTAATCTTTTAATGTTGAATGTTCCATGTAAGTGCAAACAACAGTCATGCACACACATACACACACACATACACAAATTCTTAATATAATCATGTGGAACTCATTAGTGTAACTGTGGAAATACAGCTTTGTCATCTGCCCATGCATTTGGAACAAAAGACAAAACTAGTTCTATAATATATGAAGTCAGAATGAAAGGATAGCAGTGGTGCCTCTGTCACCAGTCGAGGACAGGAAAATGTAAAGCTGTCCCTAAATATACCTCTCAGAAGTACTTTTCTTGTTCACTTTTAGATATGTTCTACAACTTAGGATTTATTTTAAGCTGGCTATACTTATTTCCCCCTTCAGGATATGGGGCTACACTGCATTCGCCAGGTTGGGTCAATTAATTTGTAAAAGAGCTCTGACAACTTTGAACAAAAGCTCTTTTCTATTTATTAAGGCATCAGAGAGCTGCCATATGTTAATTATGAATCCATTTTTTTACTTCAAATACTTGGACAACAAAAAGGCATATTTACACAGCATATTAAACTACTGTGTTTTTTAAAATATAAATAAAATTTTTATAAGAAGAAGAAATAAGCTTTCCCCTTGACTTCTTCTTATTTGTAAACTTATTTTCTCTAGTCCAGTTTTTGGAGGAAAGAAAATCAGAAGAAAAAAGGTCTTTCAAAAGGTTTTTGATTCATCTTTATAAATAGACTGAAGATTATGGGTATAATAATTCATAGTAAAAGACAACTCCATAAGTGTTAGTTTATGATGGTAAATGCATAACTTTATATCAATTCAGAAATTGTCTTATTAGATGGGCCTCTCAAATAATAAAGTGATGGAGTAGACCACACTAAATAAAATTATGGCAACTTACTGGGGCTATCACATCCAGAAAGTGACAAAGTCTCATGTTTTCATTTGGATTTTTGGTATTTTATTGGTTGATAGATGGTTGATAGACGCTGATATGGTTTGGCTCCGTGTCCTCACCCAAATCTCATGTTGAATTATGATTCTGAGTGTTGGAGATGGGGCCTGGTGGGAGGTGACTGGATCGTGGTGCTGGTTTCTTTTTTGTTGTTGTTGTTTTTGAGACAGAGTCTTTCTCAGTCGCCCAGGCTGGAGTGCAGTGGTGCTATCTCGGATCACTGCAAGCTCCGCCTCCCGGGTTCACGCCATTCTCCTGCCTCAGCCTCCCAAGTAGCTGGGACTACAGGCGCCCGCCACCACACCTGGCTAATTTTTCTTTTTTTAATTTTTGGTAGAGACGGGGTTTCACCATGTTAGCCAGGATGGTCTCGATCTCCTGACCTCGTGATCCACCCACCTCAGCCTCCCAAAGTGCTGGGATTACAGGCGTGACATGGTGCTGGTTTCTAATGATTTAGCACCGTCCCCCGACTTCTGTCTCCTGATAGAGTACTCGCCACATCTGGTTGTTTGAAAGTGTGTAGCACTTCCCCTTCTCTCTTTCTTATTTTGTTCCTTCTTGTAAGACGCTCTGGCTTCCCCTTCACCTTCCACCATGATTGTAGGTTTCCTGAAGCTTGTTCAGCCATGCCTCTTGTACAGCTTGCAGAACTGTGAGTCAATTAAACTTCTTTTCTTTATAAATTACCCAGTCTTCAGTGGTTCTTTATAGCAGTGTGAGGACAGACTAATACAGATGCTTTGAATTGTCATTTTGAAGCTCTAACCATAAAAAAGATTTAGGAAATTACCAAATGTTTGATGGAGAGAAGGATCCTTATTCATCACATATTAGGTTTAAAAAATTGAGGCATTGGAGAAAAAGAATAAATATTTATTTCAATGTATGATTCATATAATTGGTCAGTTTATCTTTCTTAATATAGAGATCTCAAACTTCAAAATTCATTATTTCAACATCATGGTATTTATGACTTGATGAGAATATACTGATTTTGCAATGATCTTATTAACAATAGAAGTTTCTGTTATAAAAAATAAAATAACAAATCTTTGTGTTAAAATGCTCTGTTTTGATCATTGCAAATTAGAGAGCTGTCCTACGGAATTACACAAGGCTAAAATCTGGCCCACAGTCTGCAAGGTCTTGGGAAACAGGTATTTCCAAATAAATCTCAAAATAGTATTTTATTTTGTTCTTGTGCACCACATATACAGCTGGCTTATTTCTCCACTGCAAACCAGTCAGACAAATTATGCATTTTTCCCCGTTGGATATGTCATTTCATAAACTACTTTTCACCACTGACTTTCCTGGTTCTTCAGCTTGAAGATGACAAGAAGTCACTGGCCTTGATTAACAGCAATAAACATTTATTAAGCTTCAGCAATGTGTCAGATGCTATACTAGTGACACTTTTAAAAGAAGAGAGTCACCCAAAACAAACACCCAGTTAGATTCCCCAGTTCTCATCTCTGAGAGGACTGTATCTGTTCAACCACTTGCAGCATCCATTCACATGAAAGAGAATCTGTACCCACTCAGTTGATAACTATTGTGTTCTTGAAAGATGATATAGAAGAGTCAGTGTTGTATTTAGGGATCAACTGAGGATTATTAATCTGGGTGGGCAATTCAAGAGAGGTTGAAGTAAGGAGCTAGGAACTTATAGGTCAGGAAGGTAACATTGGAGAGGGAAGGGAATATAACAAAGGATGACTTGATTTGATCTGGTGAAGAGGAAGGAAGGACCAATCCTATGCAAAAGTATGAAAATACTGTATCCTTAGTGTCTGCCACTCTACTTTGCATTTTCTTTGGCTCCATGGAAACAGTAATGCCATTTCACTTACCTTATGTAACTAGTGTTTCTCTATTTACCCACTAAGAAAATTTGTTCTTGAACAGGATATAGCTTTGTTCAATTTAATTTGTAATGTACAACTCTTCGAATGCTACCCTATTGGCTCAGTACTTGAGAAGAGTCAGCTAAAAAGTAAGAATGGAGGCACTGAGTAAACAGCACCCAGTGATCTGCCACCACAGATCTGCCTTTGCCCTTCCCTTACAGAAACAAAAGTGCTTGACTTGACTCCACATAGCCTATTCTCCTTTGGGGCAACTGGAATCATGAGAAGATGAAATAAGCAAGAGTCAACTGCTCAAAGGGAAAATAGGAGGGGGGCAAAATTTTACATGTTTGATTTTATTTCCTTCTCTGGCTATTTCAATTTTATCCCTGACTTTTTGGGGTGCAGGGGGCTCTCTTAAGCTGACTTTGCAACCAGTCACTGTAAGCGTTTAAAAGCAAATGACAAATGACAGCCAACCAATGATTCAGGACCTGCATCTCTCCCCAAGCCCACACTCTGACCTGCTAAAACTCATTATATGCTCCTGGTTTCAAATTCTTAATTCCACATTTCAACTTCATACCTTCCTTCAAACTTCACTCACGTTGCTCTCCATTCTGCTAATAGACTCTTAGCATTTTGGATACTGGTGATTCTCCACTGTGTTTGGCCTTAACTACTGTGGATAGCATTTGCATTTCCTCTACTTGAAACATTTTTCTTACTCCCATCTTCTTCTTCTTCTTTTTTTTTTTTTTTTTTTTGAGACAGAGTCTCACTCTGTTGCCCAGGCTGGAGTGCAATGGCACGATCTCAGCTCACTGCAACCTCTGCCTCCCAGGTTCAAGCGATTCTTCCACCTTAGCCTCCTGAGTAGCTGGGACCACAGGCATGCACCACCACACCTGGCTAATTTTTGTATTTTTAGTAGATATGGGGTTTCAACATGTTGGACAGGCTGGTCTCAAATTCCTGACCTCAGCCTCCCAAAGTGCTGGGATTACAGGCATGAGCCACTGGGCCCTGCCATCCCCTCTATCTTTTAAAGTCTCACTTATCCTTCAAGATTCAGTTCAAATACAACTTTTTCATTGACACCTGTTATAATCCACAGCTCCGAATAAATTGTTCCCTTTGTGCTAATGTAGGCATTCAGTTTACATTTCTCATGGTATCAGTCTTAGAGTGAGTTGTATGTATCTGTGTCCCTCAGCAGATTAAATACCACACACACACAAAGCCTTTTAATTATTTTTATATCATCTCATTGTGGTGGTGTCCATAAGTATCTGGCTTTGTAGCCCTCTCCATCATTTCTTCACTGCTCTCCATTCTAACCCTATCAATTTATAATCTAAATAAAAAGCACAATTGTTATGCAAAAACTGCCAACAAAAGTAGTCTTCTAATCTCCTTTTCTCACCAAATTGCAACCAATAAGCACGACTCATGAAAATTTTGGAGTCACTTCTAACCTTAGTGCTTTGATTATAATAAACATTAAAGATTTGAATTAAATGTTATTGAAGCAAAAAGCTATTCAATTTTTCTTTCAACTTTCCCTTTGGCCACAACTAATCATCCTACTAGTTAGATGGTAAGTTATTGAAAAGTAAGGTTTTCCAGATAGTAGATTGAGATTATGTGTAAATATAGAATGTCATTTAATTTGGATATATTATGTAAAATATAGTTATTTTATATGCATATCTAAATAATTGCAGAAAAATTTGATTATTGCTCATGAATAACCATATTATAGATCATCTATAAAGGAATTACAAAGGTCACGTTTTTAAAAATAGCACATTAATAATCAAGATAATTGGCTCTGTGGCAAGACCCATTGCGGTCTTTCTACACAACTACTACTATAGGATCATAATCAAATTTGTCAGCTGATTTACAGCAGCAGAGTTCCTGTTTCTTATAAATATATGAGAGGGAGAAGGAGCACAACCTCATTTTCAAGCCCTAGGTTGAGACCACAGTGCTGGCTGGAAAATGATAAACTTTAACTTTTTAGGTGAGTTCATTTTATGTGGAAATCACATAGAAAGAATAAATATAACAGTGATAATATGTTCCTGATACATTTCAGGCATCAACCAAAGCTCCAAAAGGTAGACATAATGTTACAGAAAAATTGTTCCTGCCTACCAACAGATAATGTATATAGCTATTTAAAATAATCTCACTAGACCAGTATATATTATAAAGTTACAGATTCTTATAATATAAATATTCAGTATAAAGCCAAAAATTATCATATCAGAATTTTAAATTTAATTATTTAATCATCTATTTTTGCTGGTACTGTCAGATCTACTTTTTCCAAAAGCTGAAATTTACCCTATCACAGTAAAAGACAACATTTTCCAGTATCCACATGGAGGATTATTTTATTTTTTAAATTTTAACTGTAGCCCTAGAATTGAAGACTGTTATGTTATTTGTTCACTTTTTAAACTTTGTGCTTTTAAAAAGGAAACAATAATAATGTTCGATGTTTAAGCATGTAGATGCAAGACATAGCATTTAAGAATATCAATGTGTGTGCCTACTATGCCTTACTAGCTAAATATTCTACTGTTGTATAACAGGATGATTTGGTTATGCTGACTTCTTCAGATTCCTGAACAGTCCAGTAACAATGTCTTTCCTTTACTGATATCATATATAGTCACTGTACCAAACATCATACATTAAGATAATCTGCATTCTAGAATGGTTTAGACATGCAAACATTTGGGTTCAAATACGTATCAACCACTTAGTAGTTATATGACCTTGGCATGCTACTCAAACATCCTTGTGCCTCCTTTTCCTCGTGTATGATTTGGTGATAATAATAGTACTTAACTCACAGAAGTGCTATGAGCAGGAAATTAGTTAATATATGAACAGTGCTAGACAAATTATAAGCGCTCCATAATTGTTAATTGTTTTTTGTTTTTTTAGTCCTGGCTTTGTCACCAAATAATGTGGAACACAGTAAGACAAGTCATTTACTCTCTCTGTCAAATGAAGTTTACAGCACCTTCCTTAACTAGGTACTAAGTTTGCCGTAAATGAAAAGTTAAAAATGCTAGTAATTTACCTATTAACTTAAAAATATGATTTTTGTGTAATTGATTAACCTTAACAGAAATGGAGTAAATGGGATCAAAGATGTGTTGAATTTAGGTATAATGGTAAATGGGAGATACGAATAAAGGAAAAAATAGAAGAAGGGGCCAGGTGAGGTGGCTCACACATGGAATCCCAGCACTTTGGGAGGCCAAGGCGGGTGGATCATCTGAGGTCAGGAGTTCCAGACCAGCCTGGCCAACATGGTGAAACCCGTCTCTACTAAAAATACAAAAATTAGCCGGGTGTGGTGCCACATGACTGCAATCCCAGCTACGTGGGAGGCTGAGGCAGGAGAATCACTTGCACCCAGGAGACAGAGGTTGCAGTGAACCGAGATCGTGCCACTGCACTCCAGCCTGGGTGACAGAGCAAGACTTTGTTTCATAAAAAATAAACAAATAAAAAGTAAAAAAAGGGAACAAGGAAATAAATAAGCCGAAATGCTGTCTATTCCTGAGTTAGGAATTCTATACATACTTAACAGAATGTATTACATGCACAGACCAAAATCAACAATGTTTATAAAGCACAGAAACCTGAAAATTATAGAAAATATAAAGACCAATGGATTTAGAAAATGCAACATGATAAATGCTCAGTAAAAATTAGTTATTATAAATAAACATATCTTTGGAACAAAATTTTAATATCTATATTTTTATCTGCAGTTTACTAATTGGAAAATAGAAGTTCAAAAAAGTAAATTGCCCAAGGTCCACAACATAACTAGAACAATGTAAAAGCTGGAATTCAAGCCCAAGTTCTCTGCTGATAAAGCCCGTGTTCTTTCTAAGAATATTAACTGCCTCTCAATTCCATGAAATCACATTATGTAATATGCCTCAGGCAGTGGCAGAAACCTAGGCTGAAATAACCAGCACTACTTGCCAAACACTTTAGAAAGATTATGTTTCTTCTCCATTACAGAAGTGGAACATATGGTTCAGGTGGGCAGACAAATAAGTGGTTAATGGTTTCATCAATATCCTAAAGGAAGAAGTTGAATAATTAATTGACACTAGAAAAACATTAACAATGCAAGACTGAGAAGGACTGATACAATCATCTATAGGTCTCGAAATACTCAGCTATGTAAATTTTATTTTGTATTGTGCTATGTTGTATATACTGAACTGTATAGGGAATTTTAAGGGTAGTTTTGCCATATGCAATTTTAACCTTTTATATTGGCTTCTTATGACCTCAAATTACACTTCTCAACCACTGATGACAGGCAAATTTAATTTATTCTCCTTATAGGACACTGCTTCTTATATTTCCTATATAAGTGAAGGTAGGCTGTTACAGTCCATGAATGTGAAAATATCAGTAGCTTACCACAGTAAGCAATTATTCTCATTCAAAAATGCCTAAAATGGGTTTGCCTAGTAGGTGGTTGACTCTTGTTCAAGTTGTGACTCAGGGATCTGCGCCTCTTTATATTGTGAATGTGGTCTACCATCTTCATCTAAGATCTATGAATCTTCTGCAATAAGGAAGAAAAGCAGGAAAAAATCCTACATAAGAAATTTTGTAGGCCCGGCCTAGAAGTCTGCAGATCTTATAGCATTTCTACTGTAGATATAGTGTATGTTATATACATTACAATGTATATACAATTACATTCTTGTGGATAGAGAACTCAGTCACATGATTGTACCCTTTTACAATGGAGGATGAGCAAGGTAGTCTGCCTCTGTGTACAGGAAGATTTGGTGATAAACTAGGCAGTCTAAGAGATAGTCTCTCTACTGAAGATGATGTCTCATTCTAGATTTCCACATATTCAAATAATTTAAGGACCCTTCCAAATGCATCCTTCCCAAGAAGTATTCTAGGATCCCCCAACACAGATGTGATTTCTGCCTTATGTGATGTATTACACCAGATTGCAGGGTTTTAATTTTGTTTTGTTTTTACATTGTTCTTAAGGAATTTACCCTAAAGGCAAACTACAGAGGTTAAGCATGTGATGCAGGGGCCAAAATTGTGAGTTCAAATGCCAACATGTTTACTTACTAACTTCATGACCTCACAAACTTGCTTCAACTTTCTGTAACTTTGTCTGCTTATCTATAAAACAATACGTACCTCAACGTCTGGTTAAAAGTTTCAATTGGCATAATATATATAAAGCTCTTAGAAGACTGCCTGGAACAGGTGAGTACTCAATAAGTGTTATCCATCATTTTAAATCTGCCATTTATTACCCATTTACTTATCTCATTTCTTATACTAAACCATAACCCTCCTCAGGGCCAAGATCATACCTTACTCAATTTCAGATGTTATGTATTTCCTCTGTAGTACTTGAGGAATATTAGGTAATCAAATAATTAGTGGATTGAGACAAGTAATTTCTTTTAGTTCTTTTTAAAGATTTTAAATGCCCTTTTTTTATACAATGAGAAAAAATCAGAACAAAATTCATAGTGATGCTTCATACTCAGTTGCAAAATATTAAAATATATGTATTCATAATTTTCCCCATTACATCACACAGTTTAGTACATAAACGTCCACCTAAATGTATAGGGTGGTATTTATGATTGAGTTTTACCCTGTGTGCCCTTTATATTAATGTAAACTCTTGAACAGTGACCAACAATCATTACAGCTTGATGTCTGTTCAGTGGCTGGAATGAAATGAATTGGTCTCAGTCCAATTCCTAGTGGACAAGTGTCTAAATCAAAAAACACCACCACAATTAACATTACTTTACTTAATAGTTTTAACCACTGAGGTCAAGGATAAAATGAATAATAAAATTTGAACTAACCTTGCAACACAAGTTGTAACTTCTTCCTAAATAGAGCTTGGGTTAAGTTAAAAGGAATGCCTGATAACTAGTAAATTTACAGAATAAAAGGAAGAAAGGAACTCCAATGAGGAAGTAATTTTATACATCATAATAATCACATAATTTTATAAAACTGGATTTTCTATAATAGTCATTCCCTTTCACAAATAGCCTCAAAATCCAATGACTATATTTTAACTTAATTACTTCATTAAAGATCTAATCTCCAAGCATGGAACATTCTGGATTACTGGGGTTTATGACATCAACATAAAAACTTGGGGGGATACAGGACACAATTCAGCTCATAACAGCAGGGGGAGTAAAATTAAAATTTTCAGTGGAATGATCAAGTTAGATTTTATTGAAATGGTAACGTTTGGGCAAAGGCACAAAATAGATAATTTACAAAACAAAACAATTTAAATTGCAATTTTGTTTATAATAAAAGTTTGCAATAAAAACCAAATTTGCAATTAATAAAAACCAAGTAAAGCTAACTAACATAAGAAGGAAGTATTACCTCAGAGAACTCATGAAAAGACCTGAGGAAAGCCCCAAGATCACCACCCAGAAAGCCTGAAGAAACTTGGCAGTGCTGTCTCCCTGCTGATTTTCTCTGCTTCTCTCTTCATATCTGCTTTGTTCTCTTCGAGCAGACCCACTCTCTCCACTAGACAGTCTACATGGTTGATGATGGCTCTCCATGGTCTGCAGTCTATACATATTCCATTTTCAGCAGGTTGTAGAGACTTATTAACCATTTTTCAATGCTAATTCCAAATTCCAAGGAGAAAAAAGTCTGATTGGCCCAGTTAACTAATGGACAAAGACCTAGGATCATGCAGAACAAAGTTAGCTGCCCACAAGCCTTCTCCATGGAAGAATGCTAAGGATATGACTTGTGGACTAAGCAAATGCTTCCAACATAGTCTATAAAAGACAGTTAGGGCTGGGCGAGGTGGCTCACGCCTGTAATCCCAGCACTTTTGGAGGCTGAAGCGGGTGGATCATGAGGTCAGGAGTTCAAGACTAGCCTGACCAACATAGTGAAACCCCATGTCTAATAAAAATACAAAAAATTAGCCAGGCATGGTGGCACAACACCTGTAAATTCCAGCTGCTAAGGAGGCTGAGGCAGGAGAATTGCTTGAACTCTGGAGGCAGAGGTTGCAGTGAGCCGAGATCTTACCACTACACTCCAGCCTGGGCAACAGAGCAAGACTCCATCTCAGTTAAAAAAAAAAAAAAATACAGTAATGTTTTCCTCTTCAGATACTGAATATTGCTTTTTATAAAACTTCATTGTTTCAACCCTTTTTCTTTATCTACTGTCACTCTTCCTTCATTAAAATTTACCAACTCTATATAAAGTTACTCTAATCAGCTCATCCCTGATGTGGAAAAAGAGAAAGAGCACAAGGAAGGAAGTCATTAACCCACGACCTTGGGTGTGCTACTTTGTACCACTCACCACATGTTAAAACTCTTCTCTCACTATAGGGTAATTTCTTGTTTACTTAAATCCCCAGTTACTTATTCAAAATTTATTCAAAAATATGTGTATTAATTTCTCACTGTGGGTCAGGGACTCTGATAAGGCAGAACCTCTAAACGTGGGATGGGGAAGGGTTTTATCTTAGCTGCACTTAAGGGTTATTACTATTTGTAATTTAAAATTCCAATCTGCTTTATAATAACCCATACTTATCTCATTAAAGTTTGCAGCAAGATCCTCCCAGGAAAGTGAAGCGGAGAAAATGGAGGTAGAAACTGTAAGTTTCTGGAGGACAGGAGCTGAATCTTGTTATCTAAATATGAAGGATTTAACACATTTTTAGAAAACTATGTAGTGATGTTTTGTGGACTATATTCCACATTCTCATATCTCACATCTATAAACAACCTTTAAGGAGAATTTTCATGCTGGATGCACAACATCCAGCTGGCAGATTAGTGAGGGTTAAATGAATGTGAATATAAGACCGTGAAATAACTATGAAATAAGAGCATTTTGGTTGGTACACACTATTCCTATGACAAAATCTTTTAAATCTCAAAAGATGTACAATCTCCTTTTCCTGGTACAAGGATTACCAAAAATTTCACATACGATGATGGTTTTATTTTATTTTACCTCGAATTTCAGCCTCTAACTTCAACATTCATATATCCCAAAAGTAAGCAATCCATGAACAGCTCCACAATTTAGGGTTATTAATTAGAATAAAGTTAGCAGTTTGACTACAGAGTTCAGCCTGTTTTCTTGTGATTCTTTAATGCGATTGACTGCCTGCAAACATTTAAATGATTCCCCTGCCACTTGTCTATGTATTTAAGCAAATAGACTATTAAAAGTACAAAGACGTACTTGGTTTTTCTAATTTGACAGAGGATAAAAGAAGGCTTTCGCGGCTTTGTTTTATTTCTAAACTCATTTAGCACCAAGTGCATATCCACTTTGACTTTTTTTTGAAACAGGTTCATTATGAAAATGGTCTAATAACGAGTAGTTGGACCTAGAGGTTTATCCATCCCCAAATGAGCCCAAGCTTGTTTCTCGGCATTTCTTTTATAATTATGTTCCCTTTCAGCCCATTCTGTGGTCTCCTCCTGAACATATTCTCTTTTGTACTGTTTCCTTTGACTGTGAATACCTGCTTATATGTGGTAATTTTTATTATAAGTCTACCATATAAATACATCAACTGATATCTAGGTGTCTACCTTTCTTGAATTAATAATTTATAATATAGATGCTTGCTCAAAATCGCATTACTCATATTAGGGAAATATGCATAAATAAGCCATTCAATTAAAAAGAATATGAAGTATAAATGTCTTATAACTCTTGAGGTTGAGCTATGCCTAAGCCAAATGCTTGCAGGCAGATTGTTTTTAAGACTGTGACTCTGTAAGCAGATATGAGGGACAGGGACAGGGAAACTCGGAAGGAGGGAAGATAATGTAAGATCGCAGAACCTGAAAAACTAAGTTTCAGGACATGAGCTCCTTTACTCCTTTGTAAGTGGATCATATTCTGCAGTGTCCTACAACTGTTCAAAATGAGCTCAAAGTGCTGATTGTTAATTTTTCAGGAATTTTTTCAAATCAATTTTTCAGCCACTGATTGTTTAAAATTAGCCACAGTGCTAGTATTCATACCACGGAAATGAGCAAACACCACCCATTTTCACCTGTGAGACATCACTTATGAGTATTTTCATTTGCTCTACTAAGGGTCTACAGACTAAAGCAACATTTTTAAAATAAAGAACACAACCACACCTATTTATTTATGTACTACATATGCCTTCTCACGACAACTCAGACTTGAGTAGTTTAGGCATAGATTATCTGGCCTGCAAACCCTAAAATATTTATTAAATGGCTGTTTGCAAAAATATTTGCCCATTCCTGTTTTGAACTATGCTGGGTGAATTTCCAACCTTGGTAACACAGAACCCTATAGCAAGATTATTCCATTTATATCTTTGCCTTTGTTTTTCACTATTATAGGAGAGGCTAGCCTCATCTTCCCTGAAAAGGTTTACACATTTCTTTCCTAATCTTTGTGTTTGGTTTCTCATATAGGAGTACATATCTTGGCTCCCTAAATTTATGTTAGTTTTATTGAGATTTTAAATAGAAGCAGATTTTAAGGTCCCAGACCCTGGTATAAATATACTTTAGAAAAGTTTAACAAAATCCTACCATTAGAGGTAGACTTTATCTCTTGTTTAAACTCTGAATCTCTCCAGCACCATATATCAGTTTCTCCTTTGTGTGGCTGCTGACTTAATCTATGTCTCCATCTTGGCCTTCAGTTTTGCAATACCCAAGGTCCTCTTGACTCCAGCCATAGACTTCAGTAAGTCAGTGATGAGTCAATGTTTTTTCCAAAGAGCTATATTGCAACTTTGAGATTCCTAAGAGTGATCTTAAACCTCTGCTTCTTATTTTCTAGGTCTTTATTGGATTCTGTTTTTCTTCTTCTATTTCTTCTTTTGTCATAATTCCACCACTAAAATAAAATAAGCATAGCTTATACAGATCTAAAGCAATGTATATAGCTTTCCTTGATTATCCGGCTTTTCCTATTTTTCATTATTATTTAAATTTTTTTAATGTTATTTCAATCAATATTTGCATAACTATCTTTATTTCTAAAGCACAGCTGTTCTTTTCCACATTAGACTGTTTCAGTTATTAACTGCTAATCCCAATACTAATTATAATGACTGATGAGAATTTCATAAAATTCACAATCATGGGAAAACCATTTAAGAATTATATGCCAAATATAATACAAACTCTAGTTAAAATCTATTATATTTTTCCAAATTTATTTTGAAATTATGTTGATCCAAAATATAGCCATAGAGACCAAAACTAAAAATATACCATTTTAAATTTTCCTTTCCTAAGATGCTAAATATCAGAACAATGCTACCACCTTATAATTATCAGGTAAAGATAAAAGGTGGGTTAGTTTTGTTTCTATTATCAAAGTAGATATTAGGTGTTGTATCTTTCAAGAATCTTGCAATGAATGAAATTCAGCTTAAACTAAATTAAGCAAAATGGAAATAGATACAAAGATGAAATCTCGACATAGAGTACACGACTAAAGCAGGACTTTCTCTCTCTCTCTCTCTCAACATATATATATGTCTGTGTGTGTGTGTGTGTGTGTGTTGTATGTATATACATATGTACAACTCTATCCCTATTCATATCTCTGTCTCTTGTCTCTGCTTTCACGTATGTTGGCTTTCTTCTCAGGCAGATTCTCTACATGTAGCAAAAATGGCAACTACAACAACTTTAAGTTTCATATTAGCTTTTGAGACCTAAAATGTAAAATAACCTCTTTACCAATAATAGGTCAAGAGAATGTGCCTTAGGGGGATTTGGATTGTCCCAGCAAAAATGGGACATTGTCTTTTCCTAAATCAATCAATGAGGCCAAGGAAAATGATACAGTCTGATTGACCGAGGCTGGATTACATGCTCTCATCTGCAGTATTTGGGGAAAGGCCACATAAAAGTCTCAATTAATAATGGATTCTGTCAATAAATACATAAACGCAAGAGAAGGGAAAAAAGAGCCATTGTATCTACCCGTGTCTTCTATATGGACTATAAAAAGCTGCTTATTGCTAATGTGAAAATTTCCACTCTAAGGAAAGTGTGTGCTAAAATGAAATATAACTAAAAATTTAGCACTGTCCCTCTTCACTAGAAGGGCTTGCTCCATTTCAGGTGAAAGAATAATGAATAAGTGAATGAATGCATGGGTAAATGTTTAAGCATAGACTTGTCTTCTACGTCCAGGGCAATGCCTGCATTCAAAACTTCAAGGTCAAACTGACCATTTGTCAATCCTTAAAACAGGCATAATCAACCAGGGGTTGATGTAGCCATCTGGCCAGTATATATCCACACCCCTGGAGTAGGCCCAGAGCCAGAAAAACCAAAAGAGACAGCTTAGGTCTGGGGAAATGGCCAGGTTTTTACTCAACAGCAACGTTCTGAAGAATGCGTACTTTAAAGTCTTTCTTCAAAGAGCCCTCTAAAAATAAGGAAGTCATCATCTCATGGCTTGAGACTTTTGAATCCCTGAATTTTGTAAAGTGTCTCACTTTTCAACTGCCTAAAATCCCTCTATTCTCTATTAGTGCACAGTAAAATTTCTAATTATTTAATTTAATGCATAGATCTTTCATTCACTAGTTCATTCATCCAATTTTTTGCAATGTTGCTTTAAGTTACAAGACATTTCTTTTATTAAATATTCTGCATTGTTCCTCTCAATACTGATCCCTTTACCTTCGCTTTCCTCTCTCCTTTCTCTCCAAATTTTATACTACCCACTCCAGACTGAATGAATGCCAGCTTCATTAACACAGCACTCAATTTTAGGATGTATTTTATTAATTTCTAATTATGTGTGTATATGTGTATGTGCTTTAAAAATTAGATGGTAAATATGATTCACTGATAATTATATCTCTAGTCCTAAGTCCAATGGAAGACTAGCAATTATTCAGTAAAATAATTCAGTTTGTTTCAAATGAAAGTACCTGTGTCTGATTTGTGGTATGAAATCATTTGTACTTTAAAGAGAATGGGAAGGCATCATAAGGAAGCTGAAAGAGATTTCTTGATGCTTTTAAAGGTTCTGGAGATTATTTGCTATGATGACTTCAAATTCAAAATGCAAGACTTTTCTTGCTTTCATATGTGTGAGAACTATTTTTCTCTCTCTTTAAGACAGAAAGAGAAATAGTAAATTCTGTGGATAAAATGCAACAGTGGGATGGTAGCGAAGAGACACAAATGTTTAAATGACCCCATGTGCAAATATTTTACATTTGGTAGATGTTTACATATTATATTTTGGAGTCAGTTTGATCCTGTGTGAAGTGAGAAAAAAAGATAGTGTTATCTTTACTTTAAAAAATCAGTAACTGGAAAATTAAAAAGTTAAGTGGTTAGGCCAAGTTCATGAATCATATTAATACATGAGTTAATCCTGTAATATGGGGCAGGATTATAATTACACTGAAGTTTCCCAGTCTCTTTACTTATTGATGAATTACATTTGATCAGAAATATCATCCTTTAAGTATTAATTTTCTTCATTTTGAAATAAGGGTAAAATAGTACCCACTAAATAAACTCATAGTGAAAAGTAAAGAAAAAAAAATGCATGGAAATCCGTGCTCAACAGGAATTGTTTATTTTGCAGCCACTTCAGCAGCACTCTCTGACTTTACCAGGCCAACTTGCCTTGTTTAAGAAAATGTTTGCGTAGAAAAGGCAGAGCAAAAGTGGAAAATAATCATATATTCTAGCTTGCTGATACGTAAGAAGAGAGGCCCAAGAAAAAACTTTGGCAATTCATTGTGCAGACCAACAAGAAGTGTTACTGGTTGAGAGTAGATCAACTGTCATGGGGGAAAGAGCCTGTGGCTAAAGATGGTGAAGTAGCCTCAGGGTAGGATGGAGAGGAAGGAATGTATGAATACCAAATGCCATTTCCCCATGAGACATTTGCAGTGGGAGATGATTGCAAACTAGCTAGGACCTAAACTGGCCAACACAAGAAAATGCTTGCAGTTTCATAACGTTTTCTATGTCGAAATGCTAGTTTTCTGGACTAAAACTCTGGGTGAGGTACTCATTTTAAGGAATAAAATGCTATTAATATTGGTGTATTTTTATTTTTCATATACAAGTTGCTTAATATTCACAGACTTTTAAGGTTTGTAACAGAAAAGCTGCTGCAGATGTTTATATCAGGTACATGGAGAAACTGGAAACTGAGGGTAAGCTAAATGTTTTTAGGTCTGGGCTAGCAATTTAGAGAATTTGTCAGAGTACTTAGATACCTGTAAGTGTTGTTATACAACTTTCTTTCATTTAAAATTCAATGAACATTAACTTTAGATTAATTTTTAAGGCTCATGAATAAAAAATTCTTCCATTTAGAGTTTATTCAAAGTTTCTAAGAATTTATTTAACTATTCTTGAACTAACTAGGAAAAACTTAATATGGTAAGTATCGCCATCATTCTACCATTTATACTTTGATAGCAATTAATCAAGTTATTTACCTAAACAACAGTATATAGTTCTGAAATGAGAAATAAGAGTTAGCTTCTCAAAATGTTCACTAAGATCAGAGAGATGTTTGGAAGAAAATATAACTGAAGAACAGACATTTTTATTATTATAAACATTATTATTAATAATATTAGTATTGAGAGCAACTGTAGATTTCTCTTCCTCTAATTATTGATATTGTTATGAAGCCTAAGATTAATAATATACAAATACTAACACCTTACACATATCAAAATCTCATCCACCACAAATAATGTTATCTTTGTTTCCTCAGATTCTCCTCATTAAACTACCTGCCCTCTGTAATGTAGCTCTTCTGTGCTGCAGAAATTGATACTACACAAGAAAAGAAATGATGGGAGAATAGTGAAGAAGAGAAGAACTGGCCAGGTAGCAACATATAAGAGGCCAAGGGCCGGGCGCAGTGGCTCACACCTGTAATCCAAACACTTTGGGAGGCCAAGGCGGGCAGATCACCTGAGGTTGGGAGTTTGAGACCAGCCTGACCAACATGGGGAAACCCCATCTCTACCAAAAATACAAAATTAGCCAGGCGTGGTGGTGCATGCCTGTAATCCCAGCTACTCAGGAGGTTGAGGCAGGAGAATCACTTGAACCCAGGAGGCAGAGACTGCAGTGAGCCGAGATTGCGCCATTGCACTCCAGCCTGGGTAACAAGAGTGAAACTCCGTCTCAAAAAAAAAAAAAAAAAAGCCAAGTAGAAACATATAATGAACCTGAGAGAAAAAGAAGAAAGAAAATAGAAGCCATATGGGCTAGAGTAGTATGAAGAGAGATATTTGGGTAGTGAAGATAACTGCAATATAGATGGATGGAGTTTTTTATTAGATGGAGCTTTATCATTCAAACACCAGAATTCCCTGGACACGTGGGTCCAGAAATCAAATCCTAGCACTTTGGGGACCAAGGCGGTTGGATTGCTTGTGTACAGGAGTTCAAGACCAGCCTGGGCAATATGAGGACATCCTGTCTTTACAAAAGATTAAAAAATTAGCTGAGCATGGTAGCATGTGCCTGTAGTCCCAGCTACTCAGAAGCTGAAGTGGGAGAATCGCTTGAGCCTGGGAAGCAGAGATTACCGTGAGTCGAGATTGCGCCACTGCACTCCAGCCTGGGTGATAGAGTGATAAAATTTTGAAATAATCCTGGCATAAAAACAAAAAAACAGAACTGGTAAGGATTTAGAATGATGATACAAAAGAGCAAAGGTCAATCAGGGTTCTCTGAATTAGAAAGTCAAAGAACCATTAAGAAGATGACAATGAAATGAATTCAGAAGGACAAAGTTGAAGAAGATACCTATTTATAAAGTGGACATACCAGCCATAGAACTAAACAAACACAGACCTACACAGTCTATGACATTAAAGAAGCTAAAATATCCCTTTATTAAGTGTTGAAATAGAAAAGTCTTTACCTGCCCATTGACACACACATTCTCACATCCCCACACTTGATTTCTTAAGAAATCAAAGTCACTGTGAGAAGTAAGAAGAGTTCCAAGTTCACCTATCATGAATAAGTGAGGGCTTCTTCCCATATCTCAGTGGTCAAAATCAAATCCTCACAAGGGAAAGGGGAGCTAACAGGGGACTTAAAATTGGTTACATATTTGCTTCGGTTTGGGCAAAGAACATCTTCTTGTGGTAAACAGCTACTAATATTGTTATAAAGTAAACGGTTTAAATTCCCCTATGAAGCTACTATTTACAGACATGTGGAAAGTAAAGGAAATAAATAGTAAGTCCCCCTCCCCAGCCTACAGTTTGAGAGGTGGAACTGTGATGAATCTAATAAGCCTTTGCTTGGCAGCCTTTCTGGAATTTTTCAAGATCAATTATGCAGCACTTGCCAAGCCCTCCTCCTCTCCTGCCCCCAGTAAAAGAACAAAAAGAAAGGGGGTCAATGTGTAATAAATTGTCAATAAAAGGACCATCTGCAAGTCCCGTTTAAATATTGGATTTGCCTTTGAAGGCATCTATGAATATTGACCAGGGTAAATGTGTTAAAAGGGTGAAATTTTTAACTTATAAATTTTCCCAGCCATTTTACCTCGTTAAATAAAGAGAAAAAGAATGTCTTTTTTCCTTATTGAGCTCCTTTCCACTACCCATCATTTTAAAAAATTATTTTTCAGAATTTCATGAGGCAGAATCATAGAATAGGTAGAGAAAGGAACGAAGAAGTGGAATAGGGAGAGACCTTTTATAAGGCACTAATATTACCTACATAATAAACATAATTAGAGATTGGAAAATAGGGAAAGGAAAAAATCTGCATTGATTGGATAGCATTGAAAGGGGATTTATTATTATTTACTTGTTATCTACCCAGATATATTTTTGTGCATTTGTTTTAGAGAAAGGCAGCCTCCAAAGCAGTGTAAGGTAGTACAGAATTGGCGACAAGGCAAAAGAGATAATGAGAAAAGTTCCAGGATTTAAACATCAGAAATATTATTACATTTATCTATTTGCATGCCTATTTGAATTTGACTAAAAATAAGATGGAATCAGAAGTTCTAGGATTCACAAACTTTATAATATATGTTTATCATAGACAGGACATATTCAATAGATGACTGCTATGTTAGATCCTTTATTTATAAAATAGTACATTATTCACAGGAGTGAATCAGATTCAGAACCTTGGTAACTGCCTGGGTTACAGAGTGAGACCCTGTCTCAAAAAAAAGTATAGATAACAGATATTTTAATAATGTATTAGAAATGAAATTATGCACATAAACACTTCGCTGTGCATTGATTATTTTTACCATCCTTTTAGAGCATAAGAAGCAGATAACTTGTCAAGATGTTCTCTAGAATAGAGAAAATCGAGTTTATTTCCTTCTAGAAAAGTAAATGTCCATTGTGATATCTTAAAAATGAGAAAAAGTTATGACTACATGTTTACAAATTAGAGGGAAATATTATAGAAAAATAATTTAATTTGTTAACACCAATAAGAAAGCAAAAGGATGCTTGACATGGCATGCCAAAAGCAGTTTAACCAAAAATCTTCAGGGTGCAGCAAAATTCTATAGACAGTTTGTTTAAACTTTTTACACAAAAATTTCAAAAAATTATTCAAAGATTGTTTTAGGTATCTCACTGGAATTATTCCATGAACCAGAATAAATTTCTGAATGTCTGAGGACATTTATAAACAGTCCCATTTTCCTTGATACTAAGTTGTAGAGTCCCCAATGCTGACTACTACTTTAATTTTAATTCCTAATTTTAATTCTTATGTTGGCATTAATTCATTTAATACATTGTTTTGAGACTGAACACTGATATTTCTGAACTCTTATTAGCTCTAGGAAAAGAAGCTATACATTTTTGGTACCTGAGTGAGTCATCCTTGTTTCTAGAAGCTAACATTTTGAAAAGCCTTTATAGTCATGTAGATGTAAGGTAAATACCAAAAAAAAAAAAAAAAAAAAAGACTCCATCTTTCTTTTTTCTTTTTTTTCTTTTTTTTTTTTTTTTCTGAGATGAACTTTCACTGTTTTTGCCCAGGATGGAGTGCAATGGCACGATCTCAGCTCACTGCAACCTCTGCCTCCTGGGTTCAAGTGATTCTCCTGCCTCAGCCTTCGAGTAGCTGGGATAACAGGCGTGCACCACCACGCCCAGCTGATTTTGTATTTTTAGTAGAGAGGTTTCACCATGTTGGCCAGGCTGGTCTTGAACCCCTGACCTCAAATGATCCAGCCACCTTGGCCTCCCAAAGTGCTGGGATTACGGGCATGAGCTGCCGCACCCAGCCAACTCCATCTTTCTATAGACACATTCAAATAGTGAATAATTCAAAAGCAGATGTTTCAGGCTCAGATGCTAAACTGTTTCATAATGTAAATTTTTTAGGTAGGGATATCGCTCTACAGATAATTATTATGTTATCTGAGAATTCAGAGACCAGATATTAGGTAAAGGGACTTAGTAAAGAGAAAATATAAAAAAGAGACTATAGTTTAAGTAAGAAGTGATCCCTAGGATCATAGTGATAAGTTTGGCCAAAGGGGAATAACAACTACTAAGAACATGGAATAATGGGGAGGCTCTTAGTCTTGAAGATCAATTTTTCTTTCTAATCATTATTTTTATCACTTTTTAATCTTATTTTAAGCATTTGGAATGTTTAATTTAAACATTCCAGATGAGTGGTAATTTAAGGAACAGAGAGAGCTTGGTGTGTGTATATGGTAATAGAAGTGACTCAAGGATATCCACACTTGTTGGAGTAATTAATGTGCAATGATCAGAGTTGAAGAGAAGTAAACATCAGAAGTATTGGTGAAAGAGACTGAACTGCCTATATTTATCAAGAGACAGTCTCCAGCTACCAAAAATGTATAGCTTCTGTTCCTAGAGCTAATAAGAGTTCAGAAATGTCAGTGTTCAGTCTCAAAACAATGTATTAAATGAATTAATGCCAACATAGAAATTAAAATCATGGTGTATAAAGTAGTAGTCAGCACTGGGGACTCTACAACTTGGTATCAAGGAAAATGGGACCATTTATAAATGTCCTCAGACATTCAGAAATTCATTCTGGTTCATGGAATAATTGCAGTGAGATATCTAAAACAATCTTTGAAAACTTTTTTGAAATTTTTGTTTAAAAAGTTGAAACAAACTTTTCTGAGCATATAAATCTACCTGTCCAATGTGTGAATGACAAAAAAATTTAAATTTGAGATGAAATGCAGTTTTCCTAAAATATCCGTTTGCTGAAATCTTCAGTTAAATACTAATTGCTTTGGTTTTTGTCTTAAGAATACATGCACATTCCTTCAGCTAGCTGCTTTTATATGTAATTGAATCTTCACAGCACTTTAAGGTATATGTTATTTTCTTTGTTTCACAGGTGACCATAGGTAAGAAAACAGATTAATGACCTCTACAGGTCACACTTTTAGTCCGCAATACTACACTGCTCCAAAGAGAGTGAATATACTAGACAGTTTACTTCCTTGGTCCTTTCAATGGTGAAGAATCCCTAGAAGTTAAGAATAACACAAAGCATAGCCTAAATATTATTACTGCAGTGCAAACACATATTAATTGTGGCTATGAGTTTTTTTTTATTATTCTTCAAATTTTCCCTTATCTTTGACATTGTGCTTATATATATTTGGTAGGCAAGTGAATAATAAAACTTTTTTCTAATCACAGTTTGTCTTCTGAATGATCTCTTGCCTATTCTTTCTTTCTTTCTTCCTTCCTTTCTTTCTTTTTTTTTTTTTGAAACAGAGTCTCACTCTGTTGCCCAGGCTGAAGTGCCTTGGTGTGATCTCGACTCACTTTAACCTCCACTTCCCAAGTTCAATCGTTTCTCCTGCCTCAGCATCCCAAGGAGCTGAGATTACAGGAGCCTGCCACCATGCCCGGCTAAGTTTTGTAGTTTTAGTAGAGATGGGTTTCCGCCATGTTGGCCAGGTGGTCTCAAACTCCTGACCCCAGGTGATCCGCCCACCTCAGCCTCCCAAAGTGCTGGGATTACAGGTATGAGCCACAATGCTGGGCCAATTCTTTCAAGACATATTTACAAATATGTGTGTTTTTACATTTATTAAACACAGTATCTATACTTGTTTCTTGAATAAATTTAAAACAAAATCTGTACTCATGAACATTTTTCTCATCAAATTCTATCGTACTAAAAGTAAAGATGGCCTCTCATTGATACTGCAGAGATTTTTTTCGAGGGAGTGGATAGGTGAAGACAGATGATATAATTTGAAGATTTTTATGTTACAAAAGTCATCCACAGAGCAAAGATAAGAACTTCAGTAAAATAAAATCAAAAATAAAATCTTTCTTGAGATCCAAAGCTAAGAAAATATCACTTGTCTAAAATATTTAAGAAAGCAGTATCCACAGGTGGTATTTAATAATGTTTTAATATCACAATTTATAATAAATTTAAATGAGAATTGCTGCATGCCTTTGTCCACTTTGTATTACTATAACAGAATACCTGAGACTGAGTAATTTATAAACAATAGAAGTCTATTTGGCTCATTGTTCTAAAGGATAGAAAGTCCAGGAGCATGGTGCTGGCATTTGGTGGTGGCCCTCATGCTGTGTCATCCCATGGCAGACGGTGGAAGGGCAAAAGAGCAGGAGAGAATCAGAGAGGATGGGTGATGAAGTCATCTATTTTATCAGAAATGCACTCCTGCAGTAACTAACCCCTTCCCACAATAATGCCATTAATTCATTCATGAGGGCAGAAACTTTGTAGCCTGGCCATCTCTTAACAGTCTCACCTCTTAATACTCTCATGATGCCAATTAGATTTCAACATGAGTTTCAGAGGGGACATCCAAACCACAGCACCACAGCATATGGGAAATTTCTAACATATACCTGCTCATGGCACTCGCGCTTAAATACCTTAAGATTTACAAAGACATTAAAAAAAAATTTCTTGCAGTGTCAGTGTTGTTTCTATAGTGTGTTTAAGTGATAAAAGAATTGAATCATTAACTTATTGATTTTTAAATTTTGCCTAGCTGCATGTAGGCATTTGGCATATATTTCTATGAATACTTAAATGCAATACAAACATTGGATTCTAATATACAATACATCTACTTCAATTGATCTGATAATGAGGTTTAATTTTTCAATTATTCTTTTAAAAAATTTCCTCTTATGTATATGTTTGGGTGAAATACTGTCATCTTAGTTAGAACTAACTACTTTTATTTATTTATTTATTTTGAGATGGAGTTTTGCTCTTGTCACCCAGGCTGGAGTGCAATGGTGCGATCTCGGCTCACTGCAACCTCCGCTTCCCGGGTTCAAGTGATTCCCCTGCCTCAGGTGCCCGCCACCATGCCCAGCTACTTTTTGTATTTTTAGTAGAGACAGGGTTTCACCATGTTGACCAGGCTGGTCTCAGTCTCCTGACCCCACCTCAGCCTCCCAAAGTGCTAGGATTACAGGCCTGAGCCATGGTGCCCGACCAGGACTAACTACTTTCAAACTTAAAAATAAGCCTCCAAAATTCTAAATTTGTAGTCAGTGTATGTTACAGGCTGTAGTAGAAGTTCTAAAACTTCTTCTCACAATCTAGACGAATGAAAGAAAGAATTACTGTTTCCTTAGTGTACTATAATAGCAGAATTTTGCATGTTTCCTAAAAGTAAGTTAATTACCTTATTGACTGAGTTTGTTCAGTAAATTTATTTTTCCCATGTGTCTTAGTGTATTTTGAATTGCTATAAAGGGATACCTGAAGCTGGGTAATTTATAAATAAAAATATTTATTTGGCTCATGATTCTGGTTGCTGGAATGTTCAAGATTAAGCGTCTTCATCTGGTAAGGGACTCAGGCTATTTCCATTGATGGAGGAGGGCGGAGGGGAGCTGATGTGTGTGGAGATCACATAGTGAGAAAGGAAGCAAGGGAGAGAGAGAGAGGGTAGATTCCAGGCTGTTTTGAACAACCAGCTCTCATGGAAACTAATAGAGTGAGAACTCATTCACCACTGAGAGAGGGCATTAATATATTTATGAAGGATCTGCTCCCTGACCCAAACACCTCCCATTAGGTCCCAGCTCCAACACTGAGAATAAAATTTCAACATGAGGTTTGGAGTGAAAACATCCAAACCATAGCACAGTGTATACTCATGTTTAAAAAAAAAAATAGCTGTGTGATCTTAAAATATAATCAGAAATATTTCTAATATTGATAGAAGCTTCAATTTTAATTTATTGAAGAATATTTTTTGAAATCCCAGAGTCTCAAAATCTCAACATCATTTTATAGAAATGTATTTAGAATTAGAAATAGTCATTTAAAAATATTTAAACCATATGAGTCATATCTAAGAAAGCTAATATTCTGATATGATGAGTTTTATAGAGCAAATTACCAAGTCACATAATCAGATGTGTTTGCGATATCACTTTTTCTTTAGAGGACTGTGAGGTTATACATGGAATTAAATCACAGTTCACTTTTATCACTATACTCAGAAATTTGTAACTCAAGAATTTTTAAATCTTAATAAAGATGCATTCAAGTGGAATGGAGCAACTTGCAACAGATGAATGCCCCACCTAGAAAAACTAGATAACAAACTTGAGCAGTGGCTCACGCCTGTAATCCCAGCATTTTGGGAGGCCGAGGCGGGTGGATCATTTGAGATCAGGAGTTCAAGACCAGCCTGGCCAACATGGCAAAACCCCATCTCTACTAAAAATACAAAAATTAGCCGGGTATAGTGGCGCATGCTTGTAGTCCCAGCTACTTGAGAGGCTGAGGCAGGAGAACGGCTTGAACCTGGGAGGCGGGGGTTGCAGTGAGTCGAGGTTGTGCCATTGCACTCCGGCCTGAGCAACAGAGTGAGATTCCATCTCAAAACAACAACAACAACAGCTAGATAACTGAAAGCTCAGAAAGTTGTTTAAACAATGCACATTGGAAGAGCTAAGACTCCAGAGAATGAAGAAGCTTGAAAAGGTAAGTTTAGCTCTATAGCCATGGCATTTGCCAACCATAGTCAGGAGATTCTCAGATGACCCCCTCTGACCCATGCCGTTGTATAATTTTCTCCCCCTGAGTGTAGAAGTCACTCTGTAGATGATGGATGTCGTCCCTATGATTAAGTTATGTTATATGGCACAGGTTTTAAGATTTTAAGAAAGTGAGATTATTCTTGACAAGCCTAATCTAATCAGGCGGGCCCTAAAAAGAAACTAGACTATTCCTAGTGAAGAGATTCCAGGTGTGAGAAGGATTTGACATGAGGCAGGTTCTCTGAGGCTGGGTTTACAGATGAAGGGGGCCACATGGCAGGGAACAGCAGTACCTTCTAATAGCTGAGAATAACCCCTGGCCAAAATACAACAAAAAGATGAAGACCTCAGGTCTGTGACTGCAAGGAACTAGAACTAAATAAACTGCCAACAAGCTGAATGAGCTTGAAAACAAATTCTTCCTTAGTCAAATCTCCAAATGAGCGCAAAGCCCAGCTGACTCTTTGATTTCAGCCTTGTGAAAACATACCAGAGAACCCAGTCATACACCCAGATATCTGACCTACAGATATATAACCTAATAAGTGTATGTTAGGATAATAAGTTTGTGTCAATGTGTTATGCAGCAATTCCAAGCAAAGACAGAAGTCTAAGAATCTGGTATTTATACTGATAAAAGACCAAGACACAGAAAAACCAGAAAAGCTTCTGGACTTCAGGGATCCTTAAGTAGCTGGCCAGTTTCTGTTAGAGTAGGAGACTAAAAACTTAAGTGGAAAGCCTCTGGAAAAAAAATCATATTTTTCAGCAAATGAGCAAGATAGGGTTAAATTTCAAGAAAACTCCCAGACTCTCAAATGAAAATTTTGCAAGGAAAAAATGAACCAAAACCTGACTGAGCCTTACCATGATTACAATCAGCCTCTACTCAGTAAAATCCATGATGGATTAAGAGATCACTCTCTCTGACTAATGGAAAGGGTAAACCATCTCCAGAGAAAGATGGCATTATTTGGAGTTTCTACAGTGTTTTGTATTCACTTCCAGCATTTAATCAAACATAACTAGTCATGCCAAAAGTCAGGACCATGTGACTGAAACAACAGAAAAACAACAGACAATAAAAACAAATCCGCAAGGGATCCAGATGTTAACAAAAAGTTTTTAAAAGACTGCCTTTCAAATTCATAAACATTGTCACAGGTGTCTTACTATGAAATGTCTTTAATCTAATTTTATTTCCTTTGGAAGTGTGAGGGGCTGAAAAGAAACTAGCCTGAAGATAAATCTTAATCTCTTGTCATAACCTAGTCATAAAGGAACTCAGACAATGTTTAACAATAATTTATCAACTCCATGCGAACTGTATTCTACTTGATCCAAGAAAACACAAATATTCATTTACTTATATGGTATCGATTCTACATGTATTAATTGTTTTTGCTTTTGTTCTTAAATATAAAATTGAAGTGCTTTTTAACACATTAGCTTAAACATTTTACATAAGGAATACAAGAATAGGCATTTCTTAAACTGTTTTTGTTCATTTCTACTTCAGAAAATTCTACTCTCCCAAAATGGTGTGAACTTGCTTTTGAAAGATAGGCTTTTATGAAGAAACACCTAATTATTGTATTATTCTTAAGATAGTATATTAATAATGGTTATTAGCTACTAATACTACTGCAGGTAGAAAATTATTATATTTTAACACTCAAATACAAAGAAACATATTAATTAAAATTCCCCATTCTGGTTAAGGGGGATGCACTGATATTTAGTAATTATAGGACCATAATATCATTTTTCTTTAAATAAACAAAATATTTTGCATAATCATAATTTGCCATATCCCAAAGGGTTTGAAAACATATTTTATACAAAATAAAATATTAAAAGATATCACAATAGTTAAGTTGAAATTAAACATAAAATCAGTTTGTAAATAATATCAAATGCTAGTATTATGAGAACTTATAGGATATTATTATGAAATAATTTGACTCCAGATTTGTTTCTATATATGAATTATATGCTCCTACACTTACAATAAGCCAGTATTCTCTCATCTTAAATCCATTGTTGACTATTACAGACTAGCCTCCTGAAATGGGAAAAATGAACTTTTTCTGCCAATGCTTCCTTTTTTGGTACTCATTAAAATGAAACAAATCTGTAAAACATTAAAGATTTGGGCTTTAGACTTCACTCTGAATTACCTTTTCTGAATTTTAGAGCCTTTCAATAATTCAACACTTTTATTTATTTCAAGGTTGATCAGTATAAAATTTCACATTGGCACGTGAATGTTTTTTTATTTCAGGACTAGATCCTGAACTGTACACTATGGCCGTATGCTGAAAATGACTTAGCAAAGCACTAATATTAAGGTTTCCAGCTTCCCAGATTATAATTGTTAGATCAAAGAATAGCTAATAAACACTGAATAGATGAGACGATACTGAAGAAATAGATTGCCTATATTTATCATTATTAAATATGGTTTATGGTTTATGTAACTCCTATGTCTAAGATGCCTGGGGCTTGCAGTCTAGTTATGCTGCAGTAGTCAAGGTGAAGAAAGAAACAGCATTTTGGTTGTCCTTGCCCTTGTTCAACACTTGAGAAAAAAATATTTCACTGGAGTCAGCTTTGTACAAGACAATGAACTTTGGAATTGACAGATCTGTGTTTCAATCCCGCTCCTATCCTTTATTAGCTGTTGGACATTAAACAAGTTAATTTATCTTAACCGGAATTTGTCCCTAAAGTACTTATGGAGAAATAGATGTAATACATTTAAAGCTCTTAGCCATTAGCCATTCAATAGATAGTAGATATTCCTGGATGGCCTGGCCCTCCACAGGCAAGTGTTCTATCCAGCGGTTCAAAAGAGTTAAGTAACAGAAAACAACATCGATCAACAGTAAATCTGAAGTCTGTAAGGATTTAAACTAAACCTTATCGTATGCTATGCCTTGTGGAATCAAATCCCACAATGATCATTTCTCAACTTGCTAATATACAAGTGTTGTGATGCATTTCTTAACAGTAGCTTTCATTGTGAGCTGCACCAGGTTTTGTCCTGGTTCTGACTCTTGCTTAGGCACTCAAGATACCTTTGCCTGGAGTACATTTCAGATGAGTGTCTTAGATTAGGGGAGTCTCTCTATTTACTCATAATATTGGTAGATATCTTTGTTCCCTCCTCCTAAAGAACTATTTGCTCATGAAAATTAGAAAATGTGAAGGAGATGCGTAAATATGTTTCACTTCTCTAGTCTCCCCATTGCAAATGCTTGTCTTCAACTTCCCTTTCAAGGAAATTATAGCTGTACTCAACGCTCTCCTTGCATACTTTGAGGTATATGTGCCTTTATTTCTCTCTTGGTCTTCATTTCCTATTCAGAGTTCATTTTTAGGTGGAGCATCCATACCAAAAAACTAAGGAATTTCTAAACACATGAATGCACTTATAGAAATTATATAAGATATGTGTTATTGCTAAATCTGACCCGTTCTTTGAGATCCAGTTAGGTCAACTCCAACATTTAAGTTTCCCTAATCAGCTGAACCCATCTCTGAATTCTAATAGCAAGTTATAATACTTTCAGTTCATATCACACTTGGCCTTATATAATAGTTTTGTATGCACATGACTTTATTTTCTTCAAAACACCTGGCACAGCATAAGGGAGACAAAAGAGCATGGACTTTGAATGTCACACAGACCCAAGTTGAAATTCCAGCCTCACAATTACTGGCTGGTTTGCCTTGAAATAGTTACTTAATCTTGGACCAGTTGCTGCATCCTGTGTGATACTTAACCTGTCTGTGTCTCAGTCTCCTCATTTATAAAATGGAGATAAGAGTATTTTGTTAATATATAGGTGTTGTGATGAATAAATTAGATATTTCATGTAAAACATTCAGAACAGTTACTGGGACATGGCAAAGACATTAAAAATACTTGCTTTTAAAGTGAATAATTATATTATAAAAGTATCAATATTGTTAAACTCTATTTTTTTTCCTTTTTTCCCAGCTTTTTTGAGGTTAAACTCTAAATTTTAATGTTACCAATAAATGTAATCAGACTGTCTTTTCGGGAATATTACATGAGTTAAGTATGCTATTTTATGCAAAGAATATCTAGAATATTTCCTAATATTCAAACACCAATTTAAATTTTATCTTCTTCTGAAAAGATAGAATGTTTTACACATCTTTGAAATGCCTGAACCTTTTTGTGCATAATTATATTTCACTAAAAATGTGTTATGTTAAATTAAATCAAATATAATTGAATTGAATAGCATTCCACCAAATAAATTATTGTTGGAGGAGGTGTTTTTTCCCTCTTCAGTGATTTATTATTTCTGATTTTGAAAATTAGCAGATTCTGACAAATAGTCCTAACATTTGCTATCCACATTTAAATAATTTGAAGATTTCCCTTCTTTCCATGGTGAGATATCTCAATAACTTACAGCTTTTGGACATCAGGAGAATCTAATTCTCAAATCTAAAGGAATCATCTGTTGAACTTCAAAGAGAATTAAATTAAAAATGTGCTATGTACTATACAACAAATCCAGAAATACCTAAAGCAAAAATGAAAAGTCTATTTTGCTATCAAGTAAATAAACTAATCCATTCAGCAAATAATGGTTGAATGCATATTATGTTTACTTCTGGGCTAGACATTGCAGATAACAAGGACATATAAGAAATGATCATTTTCTATATTTAATAGGTAACAGTGCTTTAAGTGAAATAAAGCATGAATATAACAGAAAGAAGTTGTTTATTTTTATGTTAGAAGTGGAACAACGTACTTTATGAGTTATAAAGACAAGTGCAAAGTATATTTCTAGCTGAAAAATAAGAAAAGACTGAAAACAAAGGGATATCTGAGCTAAGTAACAGAGGAGGTATAAATGTATTGATGTTGAGATGGAGACGCAAGTACACTTGAACTCTACAGATTGAAGACTGTCTCAACAAGATGTATTATGTCCCAAAAATGATATGTGCAAGTCTTAAGCCCTGGTACCTGTGAATGTGACCTTATTTGGAAAAAAGGAGTTTTGCAAATGTAACCAAGTTAAGATGAAGTTATACCAGATTAACATGAGCTCTAAATCAAATGACTGGTGTGCTAATAAGGAGACAGAGATTCGGAGACACACAGACACACATACAGAGAAGAAGGCCAGGTTACAACAGAAGTGGAGATTGGAGTAATGCAGCCACAAGCTAACAAACACCAAGGATTGATGGCAACCACCAAAAGCAAAGAAGAGGCAAGGAAAGATTCTTTCCTGGAGCCTTCAGAGGGAGCATGGCCCTGCTGACACTTTGATTTTGGACTTTTAGCCTTCAGAATTACGAGACAAGCAATTTCTGTTGTTTTAAGCCACCACATTTGTGGCAATTTTTTATGTCAGCCCGAAGAAACTAATATATTGATCACAAAAGATGTTTTGCACAAGCTTCTTTCTTCTGTTGAAATGGGCTTTAGTAAAAACCACCTGAGCTTTGGTGTCTTAAGTCCTGACTGCCTTTTTTTACTAGTTGTGTAGCTTCGGTTAAATTAACTTCTAGCTCAACTTAACTATAAAAAGGACATGCTGATATCTACATGTTTTTATTTTTTTATAAATCAATAGAAATAAAACATACATGTTATCTGATACACAGCAGACGTTTTATCAGCATTAACAGTGATAACGCTATTAGTGATTACTTTTACACAGGGTCCTATTGCTGATTGCAATTTCCAAGAACTCTGATGGTGACATAATTAATAAAATAGATAACCCCAGACTTTAAATTATGTCTTCTTAGATTTATTATACGTCAGATTTGGAAGATCTAAGACATACCTGTGATTTTTAAGAATATTAATACACCAAGATTATGTTTGAAAATAAACGAGTTACCAGATATCCCCTTTTTTGCATAATTGCAAGTGATACGTCTGCCTCTGAGCATCATGTTTGATTGATATTGGTAGTCTGATGATACAATTAAATTAAAAATGTTATTTTATAAGAGTGGATTGGTGATATCTTGGCATTATATTCAATAGTATTAGATATCAACAGGTTTCTTGGTTCTTTGTACAGGTGCACTAATTAAGAAGTCACATAGTCTCTGATTTTTTCATTTTTGAGGAATATAAAACAAAAAAATACCATGATGCTTGTTCCATGCTTCTTAAAATGTGATTTAGACCTATCTAGATGTGTATAGTAGTGTGCTGGGAATACCAGTGAACTGCACTAGATAAACAGTGCATATATTCCTATAGGCTCCACTTTAGGAAGACTTTTAACAGGGAATTCAATGTATAATATCAAAACAAGCATAATAATGAACAAATAGCTAACAATACAGTATCTAAAGCCAGAGAGCCTCAGTTCATATGCTTATCTTAGCCAATCATTAACTTCATGAACTTGGGCAAGTTTTTTAACATCTGTTTGCCTCAATTTTCTTCATCTATAAAGTGGGGATATTCAATAGTATAATAGTATAGCATTTAATATGGTTACTAATTGAGTTAATACAAGTAAACCACTTAGAAGAGCACTGCCTCTGCTGAAAGTCATCACAGATATTACAAACAAATGGAAAATATCCTATGCTCATGGATTGTAAGAATTAATATCATTAAAATGGCCACATTTCCCTAAGTAATAAACAGATTCAATACTATTTTGATCAAACTACAAATGTCATTTCTCATAGAATTAGAAAAAAATATTCTAAATTACATGTGGAACCAAAAAGAGCCCCAATAACCAAAGCAATCCTAAGCAAAAAGGACAAAGCCGGAGGCATCTCATTATCCAATTTCAAACAATACTATAAGGCTGCAATAACCAAAGCAGCATGGTACTGGTATATAACAGACACATAGACCAATGGAACAGAATAGAGAACCCAGAAATAGAGCTGCACACCTACAGTCGTTTGATCTTTGACAAAGTCAACAAAAATAAGCAATGGGGGAAATAATTCCCTGTTTCATTAATGGTGCTGGGACAGTTGGCTAGCCATATGCAGAAGAATAAAACTGTACTTCTACCTTTCACCATATACAAAAACTAACTCAAGATGGACTGAAGACTTCAATGTAAAACCTAAAACTATAAAAATCCTAGAAGAAAACCTAGGAAACATCATTCTGGACATTGGCCTTGGGAAATAATTTATGACTAAGTCCTCAAAAGCAATTGCAACAAAGACAAAAATTGACAAGCCAGACCTAGTTAAACTAAAGAACTTCTGCACAGCAAAATAAACTATCAATGGAGTAAACAGACAACCCACAGAATGGAAGGAAATATTCACAAATTATGCATCTGACAAAGGCCTAATAGACACAATCTGTAGGTAATTTAAACAATTCAACAAGCAAAAAACATAACCTCATTGAAAAGTGGGCAATAAACATGAAAAGACATTTGTAAAAAGAAGACATACAAGTGGCCAATAAACATATGAAAAATGCTCAACACCGTTAATCATGAGAGAAATGCAAATCAAAACCACAATAAGATATCATCTCACGCCAGTCAGAATGGCTATTATTTAAAAAAATCAAAAAACAGTAGATGGTAGCGAGGCTGCAGAGAAAACGTAATACTTTATACATTGCTGGTGTTCGTGTAAATTAGTTGAGCCATTCTGGAAAGCAGTTTGGGAGCTTTCTTAAATAACTTAGAACTATCATTTGACTCAGCTATCCCATTACTGGATATATACCAAAAGTAATATAGATTGCTCTACCAAAAAGATGCATGCGCTTTTATGTTTATCTCAGCATTACTCACAATAACAAAGACATGGATTCAACCTAGGTGCCTGTCAATGGTGGACTGCATCAAGAGAATGTGGTCCATATACCCCACGGAATACTACACAGCCATAAAAAGAGCAAAACCACGTCCTTTGCAGCAACATGGATGCAGCTGGAGTACATGATCTTAAGAGAATTAACACGGGAACAGAAACCAAATACCACATGTTCTCATTTACAAGTGGGAACTACATATTGGGTACTTGTGGATACAAAGATGGCAACAATAAACACTGGAGACTACTAGATGAGGAAGGGAAGGAGGGCAGCTCACTACCTGGATGATGTGATCAATCAAGTCCCAAACTTCAACATCACCCAATATACCCATGTAACAAACCTGCACATGTACTCCCGAATCTAAAATAAAAGTTGAAAAAAAAAAAAAAAAGAATAGCACCTGAAACTAAAGCTGAATTTAACCATGAATCTATAAACCTTGGCATTAGGAAAGTTCTCTTGTGTAGCTCATTCCAAGCCTTGGAACGTGCCCTTGCAATCTTTGCACAAGCTCTTTTCTTTTTGTAAATATACAAAAATAAGACATTTATCCATAGTCATTTAAGGCAGAGACTCGTTTCCATTCTTATTCCCTTTTCATCAGGTTTCTTTCATGTCAGATGGATTGGAATGGGACAAGGCACTTTTCAGATTCAGCTATGGGTAAGTTGAGTTGGAGAGATGCTTTGGTTTTAGCTGAATAATTTGCATATATAGTTAAGATATTACCATTTTGATGAAGAAATGTATTCCAGGGTTACAACTCCTGTGCTGATTTTCCCAGGGTCATGACAGGAAGGTGAAAGACAAGAGCTTGTATCACAAGATACATTAACTTGTCCTGTAGCACCTGTCACTAAGTATGTGGGTAATAGAGGTTTGAAATGTATACAGCCAGAGGCTGGACTCTAGGAAATTCTTCCAAATCTTGTAGCTTATACATGAAATAAAGTTGACAGAGCTTTTCCCCATTTTAAAATATATCAAAAATTTACACAGCATTATAAATAATGAGTCGTGATGCAGAAGTAAAGTTTTTCTAATATTAATAATAGCAAAAAAATCACATGATAGGAAGGCTAAATTATTTTTTATAAAAAATGATATTGTATAATTCATGTTATTTGAAGTGACAATGAAAAGGTCTGAAGACAAAAGACAGTAGTATAGCAGTGTGTTATGCATTTAATTTATAGTTTTTTAGATTTTGTGATGCTTGTGGTATTGTGATTCCTTTTCTCTTTCTAAATAAACGTTTACTTATATACTTACTTTTATATACAGTCTTTTGGGTGTTTGTTTGTTTGTTTGAGATAAGAGTCTTGCTCCGTTGCCAGGCTGGAGTGCAGTGGCGCAATCTCGGCTCACTGCAACCTCCAACTCCCTAGTTCAGCGATTCTCCTGCCTCAGCCTCCCAAGCAGCTGGGATTACAGGCATGAGCCACGTCTCCCAGCCAATTTTTGTATTTTTAGTAGAGACAGGGTTTCATCATGTTGCCCAGGATGGTCTCGATTTCCTGACCTTGTGATCCGCCTGCCTGGGCCTCCCAAAGTGTTGTGATTACAGGCATGAGCCACCGCTCCCAGCCTATATACAGTTTTATATTCATTTTCTTAATGAGCGAACAATAATTTTATAAGCTTTAGTATTTACAAAATCTAGGATTGCCTCTGCCCCTTCATATTAACTGATAAAATCACAAAACTACTAAAAATTACGTGTGAATACATATAAATATATATATACACATAAATGCATATTAATGTTAAAAAGGCCTAATTTTTAAATGTAACCTGAGATTCTAAAGAAATTTACAGCTTCTAGAGATAGAGGTCAGACTCTCTATCTCTGCCATGTATAATTTTGAGATTCACTGTTTTATTGAAACCATTCCATAGACATTTATTGAGTTCCCACTAAGTCTTGACTGGAATACAAATTGAACACCTCACTGTCTCCATTTTCAAGTAGCAGAATATCTGTAGAAACAGAGGGTTGCTGTCAGATAAATGAATGATAATGATAAGAAGAAAAAAAAATACAGGAAGAGTGGCAACATTTCAATTTTATTATGTTTATTTGAGACCTTTGATTTTTTTTACAACACCTCTTTTATTTTCTGAGAGTTACTCATTGTCACGTCTTCCATAAGAGAAATTAATTAGTAATAATAACTGAGAAATGTTATATAGGCCTAAGTAATTAGGCTGCAAATATTTTCAGATATTACTAAGTCAAAAGAGTGTTTTGGCATGCAAAAGAATGTCTCGGCAGAAAACAATGAAATGAGAAAAATGGGCACAGGTATTCTCTCTTTCATGTAACTGATGTTATCCTGGAAATTCCAAAATCCAATTTTTATAAAAATTACTAGTGAAGCAATTCCTCAGCATAATATAGAAAAAGATCCCTTTTTAAAATAAAGATTCATTTTAATTGCCTTTGTGTGTTTACAGATATTGATAATATAAAGTACCATATACCTATAGAAAAAAACATTATTCAGAGTAAAAGGCATAAGATATATTAAGAGAAACAAAGACTGTGCAAAAAAAAAAAAACCCTCACATTTATTAAAGTGGGTTAAGGACTGCAGTTTCTCACACTGGAAAGAGAAAATGAGCTAATAATATTATATAACTAACAATTTATGATGTCCTGTACCAAACAGGCACTCAGAAAATATATATGCTTGGTGATAATGAGTTATGTAGAACTAAAAAAAAGAAGAAGAAAGCTATGGAATAAACATGAGATTCACAAAAGATAAAGCAAATAATGAAAATTATAATATTTGAATTTTTAAAAAATTATTTAGCACTTAATTACAGGTATTAAAGGGTGGCATTAGTGAATTATTATTGGCAGAATAGATGAAAATTGAATACTGAAAGACTTTGGCAGAACTGCATTTTCTAAAGGGCCTTAGAGTTAAGAGAATAAAAGAAAAAATATATATAATAAAGTATGTTTGGAAATTAGGAGAACTATAGTATACTACTTTTGAAAATTTATTAAGTAAATTTTATTTTATATTTCACATCTTTATTTCCTATAATTCTAAAAAGCACATGTTCAATAAATATAAAACATATATATGCATATATATGTGTATATACTGTGCATATGTAGCTAGATAGATGATACAAAAATAGCTAAAAAGATAAAGAAGCTATGAAAATCATTAGCTGTATGGTCAATCCTGATGATCTTTCTTCCTTGGTTTATCAATTAATACTGGTACCTACAATGTGAAAGGTATTTTGTGTAATCTGCCTAGATTGTAAAATTCCACTTTTTACCAGAATAATTTTCTGTTCATTATGTTAACTCAATTATATCCTCAATTATTTCAGGGGAAACAAAAGACAGAAGACAAAAGTTCTCACTTCTCAAAGAGCTAAGTTTCTTTATAATCTCTTTATGCTCCAAGATGTGTGTGTGTTGTGGGGTGGGAGGGGCGGTATTGTCTCTTTAATTAAATACTTTACCAGGTACTTTTTTCCAAGTACTCACAGTTCTATCTTAATCAAGTATCCAAATCTCTTCTGAAAACTTCAAAAAAAAAAATTTTACCTTCCCCAAATCAGATTCTAAATATAGAAAAACAGGCCAGGTGCGGTGGCTTATGCCTGTAATCCCAGCACTTTGGGAGGCAGAGATGGGAGGATCACCTGAGGTCAGGAGTTTGAGACCAGCCTGGCCAACATGGTGAAACCCCATCCCTATTAAAAATACAAAAATTAGCCAGGCATGGTGGCAGATGCCTGTAATCCCAGCTACTCGGGAGGCTGAGGCATGAGAATCGCTTGAACCTGGGAGGCGGAGGTTGTAGTGAGCCAAGGTCGTACCGCTGCACTCCAGCCTGGGTGACAGAGTGAGACTTTGTCTCAAAAAAAAAAAAAAAAAGATTAAACTTACAGGATATTTTTACACCTAAAACTATCAATGCTTTTCCAGAGGGTCTCTAGAAAATCACAACAATTTGTTCTTTTACCTTTTAAAAGGAGATGACAGAAGTATCTAATTAGGTTTGTTTGATGAGTTGCATGATAAGAACTGTCAAATCAGAAGAGATACTTAGCATTCTTTAGGTTACATTACTATTTGTTAAATGTTATTAATGTAAGTATTTCAGAAACGATATGCTTTATGGGAAGTCTTTGGGTACTTTTTAAAACTCTTGCTTTCAATAATATGTATCAACCTCAGGAAAACACTGAAAAAACTCTTATGAAATAGTTTTTTTTTTTGTTTTCCTATACTTGTCAGAGTTTAAGTAGTGCTTTATCTAATATTAGTTAACAAAAGTAAAATGTTATGAGTCATAGTTTCAGTTTACTTAAAGTGTTCTTAGGCCACAGCCTTAATTTTTTAAGTTGAATCTAGCATCTTCTAAGTCAGTGGTTCTCAAACAGTGATGAACATTAGACTTACCTATGGAGTTTATAAAAATACAAATGTGCAGATTCTATTCCAGACTTTACTTGTTATTCTTGGTATACTCTTGATATGTATAGTTCAAGAATCATTATGTGTAATATTTCAAGATTTTTTTGTCCTATAAAAATCCATCCTTAAAAAAAATAGATACAGCATTCACTGTCTTTAAAACACACAGAAATGATCAGTCTCTTTCCGTAAAGGACAGTCTCCAAAACTTGTGGGTAAAACCTACAGCAGGTACTTCCAACTATTGATCCTTCAAAGATTAGGATGTTGGGTATACACTTTGACCCGACATTGCTTAGACCACTGTTAGACTGTAGCAGTGGACTAAGTCAAGATTTCCCCAACTCTTTTTACTGAAGAAGTATATGTCTTCACGAAAATACTAACCCAAGATCCAACAGAATAAGAATTAATTACAGAAGTCCAAATGAACTAATGAGGGAACATCTAAACTATTTAAAACCCAGAACAAATGAGTTAATTCTGCTTTTGTAATTGAAATGAAATATTTAAAAGATCCCTGATTCTTACTGATCACCTAGTTCAGAAACTCTATGCTGCTTCTGGCTTTTTATGGCAATATAGTTATCTGCATAGGCTCAATAAGAATGCTCTCCTTTTTACCAGGATATAATAGAATAAAATAATTGTACAATTATTGTACAATTGTACAATTGACTGTCATATTTGAGAACAATGATCACTTAATCAGATATAACAAGCTGCTTTTGAGAAACAAAGGTTGATTTTCTTATGGAGCTAATTAATACTAGACTCTCCCAGGAAGACTGCCTAATATGTGGTTTGCAGCGTCCCAGCCTTATAGCTGTTAAGGAATGTCACTTCCTGATAGGTAAAGAACTTAAAAAAATTCGCAGCACTTTAAGAAGAAAACAAAAATCTCCCAAATTTAGAGCTATGGTGGAAAGAGTATCTTGGGCTTACTTTTCTAGCCTTGGCATAGTAAATAATAAACATTTTATATTCAAATATGAAACTACTTATGAATATTTCCATACAGAAGTTAATCATGTGGTGTTTTTAATTGTCCAATTAAATCAAAAGCCATATTGATTTACAATGATTTGCCTTTCTTGATTTGTAAAAAACTGAAAAAGGCCTGTATGCAAAATTAATATTCTTACCACTTACATATCAGGCCAAACCTAGTAAAGCTAGCCTTATCTTGTATTCAAGAGCATTTTTCTTTAAATTATTATGATTACAAGATAGACAGACACCTTCAGGAAAAATTATGAGGACTTTGAAATACATCAAAATACCAGGTATTTTCAATAGAAAACTGCATTGTCTAAAGCACACTTTTCTGGGTTATCTGACTCTATGGGATTTACCCTTTTCATTGTATTTGACTATTTTATAACTCTGTAAAATGCATAGAAAACCAATAATAATGTGAATGATTCTGTGTCATACAAGGCAAATTTATTGTGTTCAATGGAATGAAATTGATTATAGCTCTGGGGATATTGACCCATTTTGCCAGTGTTCACATGAGCCTATATAGGGGCCTGTTCTTTGGATTCTCCTAAAAACCGATTGTAACATCTTACTGGTTTCCTCATTATTTAATGAACTTAATGAGTTTCTGCCATATGTTCTTTTAAAAAATAAGAAGCAGGTTATGGTAAGTAGAAATTACAGTTGAATAAGTAAGAGAAAGGTAAATGTACCTCCACAGGTTTAACATAAAGTATCTTAAATAAATTTAAAGCATATAATTAAAACCTCATTTTGATACAACAAAATCTATGAAATGAGTTAGAGAAGCTATTAAAGAAAAAGCTTATGGGTTACAGTTTTATGTTGGCACCTTTTTATGTATCTTTATTTCTCATAACATTGGTTGGTATATCTCTAAGACACTATTTTTACAAGCACTGTTCAGTCGAGAGTTTTATTAATTTAAGTTGGTTAAAAGACACAAGAGTTGCATTTCTAAAGCAGTGCAAAAGTTCTGTCACCTAAAAGAAATAATATCTCTGAAATGAGAAATACCAAACCTTATACATTGACTAGTGTGCTCTTGAAGATAGACTTAAAAAATCTGACAGGTTTTATCAGCCCATAAAATTTCATATCCTCACTCTTGCTTATCACTGTCATGACAATAAGGCATTCAATGATAGTGAGGATCATATTTATAAGGTAACTTATGCTAACACACCATTTTGCAAAGGAATATAAGGAAAACTAGTTTTTAAAAAAATGTCAATAAATATTTCATGTGGAAATGATTCAGTGGTTAATTAAAATTGAGAAAGAAGAGTCACAATGAAAATTAGCATATTTGAAGTTCTGACGATTTCTACCATTAAACATCATAACTGTGAAATGAATTTAAAAAAACATTTTTGAAATCGCTGTGAACATTTCCCCCTACATATACCTACTAATAGCCCATGGAATGATATCCTTCAGAACAATAGCTGCTGAAGGGGGTTGCTATACTATGTCATGAATCATGTTTTAGATCTTCAGTTAACTCTCAATAAATCCTCTAAAAGGAAGGTATTTTTAATTACAGCAATTAGAAATGTTTATAATAGGAAGAAATAGAAATACAGACAAGGACTAGCAGAAATATAACTCACATGTTGCTGCATATAGTATTTGTGTCCCTGCAAAATATGCTAAAATCCTAACTCTCAAGTTAAGAACAGTATTAGGAGATCAGACTTTTGGGAGGTGATTAAGTTATGAGGGCAAAGCCCTTATGAATGGGATTGGTGCCCTTATAAAAGAGGTCTGGGAAAGGTACCTCGCCCCTTTCTTTATGGAAGGTTATAGGGAATAGACAGTCTTCTATGAACCAGGAAGCAGGCCATCCTCACCAGATACTGAATCTGCCTGTAACCTACCTTGGACTTCTCAGCCTCCAGAATGATGAAAAATGAAATTTTATAGTTTATTAGCCACCCAGTAGATGGTACTTTTTTATAGCAGTCCAAAACTAAGACATATGTAATCCCATTGTGTCATTTTTCTATGTACGTAATAAGTGCTTTCATTTTCAAAAAAATAAATGGAATTATACAACAAGTTTATTTCTATAACCTCCATTTTCATTATATATATGACAAACATATTTCAAGCTATTTAATTTCCTTATGAAACATAATTTCTAATGGCTGCATGATATTCTAATTACAGATGAACCATAATTTACTTACCAAATCTTATCAATAGGCATTTAAGTTGTTTCCAGTTTTTTACTATTGTAAATTCTATCATGGTGTCATCCAAAAGACCACCAGGATGGCTAATAGTAGAGAGGAGAGTTTTAGTGGCGATATCAGTTTGCAAACTGGGAAGAGACAGTCTCCAGCTTGTACCAGAGGTGCTCTCTCCTCAAAGAGGAAAAGAGAAGAGTTGGGTTTTATGCCTCACAGGGCCTGTATTAGATAATAGATTTATGCATATTCAGCAAGTTTGGGGGAAAGGCTATACATATTTATGAGGTGTGTTGAATGCATGCATAATAGGCAAACATATGTAATATGCATCCCATATTTACTTCGGGGTGGGGTTTTGGCATTAAAATTATGGAATTTGGCTGTTTACATCAATAAGTGAACCATAGGACACAGTTTGTGTGCAGTCTCTATAAGCTGGTTGAAATATGCTTAAGGTCTGCAGTTGCTTATCAGGAAAGGATGTAAGACCAGTCCTCTGTCCAATCAGAGTTGTAATGGTCTGTGTTGTAAAATAAAATTAGGAAGAATCTGATAATTTGCCTTATAGCTCCTATTGTTAGGGTGTCAGCAAGTGTGGTTTTTGTTGTAGACAGAGGTATTTAGGAACTTGCTATGCCAGCCAATCACTGAATCCTTTACCTGTAAGTAACTTTTGTTTCCTTAACCTTAGGATCCATCTTAGTCTACAGAGGGGCATTTACTTTGCTCTGTCTGATCACAGTGGACATCCTTATGGCTCTATCTTGGATATATTCATGATTATTTCTTTACAATAAATTTCTAATCCAAACACAGTAGATCAAAGACTATGAAATATTATAGTGCTTTTAATCTGTAAAGTGTTGTGGCTTCCAACCTGAGTGGGGTTCTCCAAGCTACAGAGCTGCATTGTGTTTGCATTTTACTATCAGCTCTCTTTCCAGTTTTTGAAGATGCTTAAAATCATAACCACTCCTTTCAAATCCTTAACTGTTTTTAATCTCAGCCACTAACTCTACATCCTTCTTGAAAAAGAAAATAGAACATACCAGAGAATTGTGTTGCCTTCTTTACCTAAAATTATTCTGCATAATTACTTTCATCACCACCTATTCGTTTGATTTTTCCCTCAGGTTGAAATGTAAATCCTCCTCCTGCAAATTAGATTGCATCCTTCTAGATTTCTCAGAAGACCAATGTGTTTTCTCATATATCTATTCTCTATTCTGCCTTACCTACCTTTCCTTTTCTACTTATTCCTTCACAACCTGTTATCCAAACAGAAAAATTCAGTCCCACAGTCCACTCCAGCTACCACCTTATTTTTCTTCTCTCTCCACAGCCAAACTTATTTAAAATGATATCTCTACTCACTGTCTTCATTTCCTCATTTCCATTCATTGCACTGCAAATCTGACTCACCTCCATCTCTGACATGGCTCTTGTCAAGGTCACATTTTTACTCATAATTCTAATGGAAACATGTCCTTTGGTCCTTATTTTATTTGTTCTCTCTGCAACACTTAATACTATTGCTTTCTCTTTGAAACATTTACTTTCCCTAGTTTGGCAAAAACATATTGTGTTGTCATTCCTCCTACCTTTCTAACTCTTTGATCACTCTCATTTGACAGTTTCTCTTACCCAAGCTTTAAAGTCAGCTATTTCTAAATTTCTGCAGTAGATTCTTTTCTCTTGTCTTCTATTTACTTTTTTGTTTGTTTTCTCTTCTCATATAACATATTCTGTCTAGGATATATCATCCATATTAATTAGTTGTTTATAGTTAATCTCATTTTTATCCCCTAGCTACAGTCTTAAGTTTCTAACAATTTCTATGTACCAGATATAACTTTAACCGAGTTACTGAAGCTTTATCATCCTGAGTTTTCTTATCTGTACAATTAAAATAATGACGGTATATTTGCTATAGATTACTGTAAATCATCAGTGAGATAATTTAAATGTTTTAGTACAGCAGCTAGCAGAAAGCAAGTGTTTGATGAAATACTAGTTATTTGTAATCTCTAGTGAATTTAAAATAATTTAGACAAAACCTCACAAAATGAAGTAATTCATAGGAAGAAAGTTCTTCTTAAATACAAAAATTAATAACACCAAAACAACAGATTGCTTTGTACACAGAAGACTGAATTAGTTAAGGCAGCAATAGCTGTAATAACAGATGAACCTGAAATATTCAATGGCTTACTTAACCTATAAAAGTGTATTTCTCACTCACTTAAAATATAATAGGTAAGGCCCAGGCTTTGACCCATTCATTTATTTGGTATGCATAGAGTTAGTTTACCTTCCAGGATTTGCAGGTGGTATTTTGCCACAACATATTTGGAGTCTGAATCTTTCCAATTTCTGAAACAAATGTTCTTGACACCCACTGACTTCCTATTCAGCCATGATATATTTTAGATTTGTTGTTGTGGTTAGAGTTCCTACTTACTTCTAACAGCAACTTGTGTATTAGTTACAGTAACATAAGCTGCTTAAGAGATAAATGCCAAAATCTCAGCAGCTTAACATAGTGACATATACGATTAACCTCATTTGTATAATATTTTCCTCAATTTCTTAAAAACTCTAAGTCAGGAAACCTATATTTGTTCTAGTATTGTAAGTAGTTAGCAACCAGCTATATAACTTGGTCGAAGTCATTTCCCTTTTTCTCGTCTTAAATTTCATGTGGAATAAATGCTCTAGAAGATCCCTTCAACTCTATAATATGGTTAACTTAACATCATATCAGAATAGTCATAGCTATCACAGAAACCAACAGAATGAGAAAAATGTGTGTGTGTTTAGAAATATCAATGCCAAACATTTGTTTAAGTATTTATGAATGAAAGAAGGATGATCAAGCTACAATGTGGCTTAACAAGCATCTTTCAGGACATCTTGGTCAAGCTACAATGTAGCTTAACAAGCATCTTTCAGGACATCTTGGTCAAGCTACAATGTAGCTTAACAAGCATCTTTCAGGACATCTTGGTAGTCAGACTTAACATGTCCCCACTGATACTGTGTCCTAGTACTCATGGCCTTTGTGTAATCCCCTCTTAGTGTGGGGCTAGGCATAGCGACTTTCTTCTAACAAACAGAATATTGCAAAAGTAATAAGCTATCATTTCCGAGATTAGATTACTTTAAAAGACTCTCTCTCTTTCTCTCTCTCCCCCCACACACACACATCCCTCCCCCACCCACCGGGAAAAGCAAGCTGCCCTGTTGTAAGCAACCTATGGAGAAGCGCAAATGGCTAGCAACTGATACTTTAGTCAACAATTAGTGAGGACCTGAGGCTTGCCAACAGCCACACGAGTGAGTCTGGAGGCAGATCCTTTTCCAGTCTAGGCTTGAGATGACCTTAGCCCTAACAAGTACCATTATCACACCCTTTTGAGATAGCTGGAGGCAGATAACCCTGGTAAACCGACCTCTGATTTCCAAGCCTTATAAATTATGAGATAATAAATATCTTTTGTCTTAAATCTCTCTGTTTGGGGGTAATTTGCTATGCAGAAGTAGATAAATAATACCCTGTTTAATTGGTAAACAGCAAAGACATTCTTTTGACAGCTGGTAGACTGCTGTAGAGGACCTCACTTCTGGAAGGGTAGCAGCAAAAGAGATTTTCTTGAGTTCCTTCACATATTTTTTCCTTTGGCTTAGCTCAGTTCCTGCCCAAAAAGGATGGGACTGCGAAATGTAATTTTCCTCTCTTATTCTGCCCTTGTAGCTCTTAGAATATTTAAATTGTGCCTGGTCATCCTTTATCCTTTACCATGATAACACACTTAACACTTCCTAGTGGATAATCCTTTTTCAATAGCTTTAAGAAGTACTTTTTAATAAAATTCTTACTACTTAAGTAAAACTCGTATTCTTCATAGAAAATTTAGAAAAAACAGGGACGTAAGAAAGGAAACTAAAAATTACCTGTAATTTTGCTACCCAGAAATCCATCACTGCGGATGTACATCCTTCAAACAAATATATTATAATTATTTAGGTACTCTGGTTTTAAAGAATTTAACAATAATAGCACATATATAACACTTTTTAATGTGCCAAGAAGTTTTCTAACTTAATCTTCACAGGGACCTGCAATTATTGTCCCTGTGTTACGGGTAAGTAAACTGAGGTCCAGTATATCTGTATTCATACGCACGTTTTCACTCACTGAGCACTAGAGAATAACTTTTTAACACGACATGAAGTGTATCTCATTTGTTCACATTTTGACAAAAGCCTTTAATGACACACTTTCTCACACTCATAGATTTGGGTAAACGATGAAAGAATATTAGAAAGCCTGAAATAGTTTTAATAACTGCTTTTAAAAATACACACACATACATTTCTTTCATCTCTACATAAGGCCAGTGCAGAGGTCAGCATTTATCAGAGGTTACCTCGGGGTCGAGCTGCTGGAGAAGGGCATAGATCATTGTTAATGTCCCGTGCAGTGTGATTAGGATGAAAGGGACCATTCTGAGGTATCTACTGACTCCTTTCCCTAACACCTTAGATTACATCTTCTTATGCTTTATGAGATCTGGAAAACACATGGGCATAATGTCCTTATTAAGTTCAGAGAATAATAGAGAAGCCAGAAGGTGATTTAAAACCTAGGACATAGCATATTAGGAGTTCTGGTATTCATCTCCATTGCCAGACAGAAGAATCAGTAAAATGTCAAATAAAGCTGCATTTTAAAAAGCTGCTACATCTCTGCATCGAAGGAAAGTTGCCAAATATAATTACTATACTTTTTTCTATACCTTGTGACAAAATATTAAATACATTTGATATATATATAAAACACTTTGTGATTGTAATATCTTTGCCACCTTGATTCCTGAATAATGCAAGAACAAATTCACTCTATATTCTAATAAATATTAACAAACAGAATATATTACATTAAATAATCACTCATATATCACTATAATATACTATATATTGCAAATGTAACTCTATGTTACTACAATTTGACCAGTATGACTATACACTAAATGTCCTCCAAATTTAATCTTTATGAAACAGCAACTTAACTCTCTTGTACACCACTGTATCTCCAGTGCCTAGAATAGTTTGTGCGAGGTACATACATTATATCTATATTCATTCATTTAATAAATGCGTATGGCTATATACTATTAACAAGGAAATGAAATACAAAGAGGATAAGTAACTGATTTAGGTTCACTTAGCTAGCATTCAGGAGTTTGAATTCAGGATTACTCCTAAAACAATCCACCACCACTACTGCCAACAGTGAAGAGACAGGGAAAGATCAGAGTGAGAGCTGGTGCTGTGGAGCTCACATACATCCTTGGGTCTGCCCTAAGAATGTGCCATTAGGTAACACTTTTAGTCCTAGAATTTGAGGAGCACTATTATGATCCATGTCTCCATCTGCTTGATTACAGGTATATATGTAGAACTGTATTACAGGCATATATGTAGACATACATGTAGATCAGCATAGATTGTAACTCTGTAAAGAATAGAATTCATGTTTTTTCATATTCATGATTATGGAGCTCGTATAGCACTTTGTATACAGTGGAAACACAGTAAAGTTCTGATTAATTGAATTAGAAAAATGCATTATGTTAGTTGCATAACTCCTTCTGAATGCACATCCACAGTTGTGGATATTAACCAATGGCGATAAGACCCTCTTACATAGCTGTGGCATTCAGAAGGAGGGCTACAGTTTGGGACAAAGAGAAGCTATAAAAACAGTTTTTCAAAATGAAGAAGTGCTTCAGTTCCAGAGGAAATGAGATATGAGGAAGTGTTCCCAAGCACAAAAGAGTAAAGTAGCCATCCTAACTACTCCAAGTTAGATACAAAGCAAGAACTTGGTCAGTTGATCAAGACAGAAATCATTAACTTAAACTGAAGAAAACAGGGCAAAGCCAGACTTGAAGCAAACTTGATTAAATGTTTCATTTTCCCATTTTTCTCTCTCTTTTTCTTTCAGTATCTTTCTCATCTTTCCCTTTATTTTTTTCTTACCTTCAATATGAAAGTGACGTATCTTAAAAGTCAAGGTTACACATGGAAAAACTGTAACATCATTTTTAAAAAATGGCAATGGACAACTAATGATGGGAACAATAGTTACCCTAGACAGTGAAGACTAGAGATACTATTGCTATGGTGCACAAAAGCAAATGCTTATCTTTCAGGCATACAAAGCAAAACAGGAACATAACAGGATCTATCACTCACAATAGCTAATAATACAGAAAACCAAATTATCAGGATGAGATATTTTCCTAGGTCTGAAATCTGAGAAGTAACATTGCATGAGTCTATTTTGGGGAATTTTTGGAATCACATATAATATTGTAATTAGGCCTTGAAGGAAAGAAAAAAAAGAAGATAGTAACTTGGTGTAAATAATGAATTCAGGCTGGGTGCAGTGGCTCACACCTGTAATCCTAGCACTTTGGGAGGCCAAGGCAGGTGGATAACCTGAGGTCAGGGGTTCCAGAGACCAGCCTGGTCAACATGATGAAACCCTGTCTCTACTAAAAATACAAAAAGTAGCCAGGTGTGGTGGCACATGCCTGTAATCCCAACTACTTGGGAGGCTGAGGCAGAATTGCTTGAACCTAGGAGATGGAGGTTGCTGTGAGCTGAGATCATATCACTGCACTCCTGCCTGGGAGACAGAGCAAGACTGCATCTCAAAAAATAATAATAAATTAATTAATTAATACATTAATTCATAAAGATAAAATAGAAAAAATCACCGATGCAGGTGAAGACAAGATCTAGAAGACTGAAGGAAATATCGAATGTGCACCACTGGTGTGGTCACCAATCAGGCATACTGCCCCCAGGGGATACCTGTATCAAACTAGTAGACTGGCCTAGAAGTGCCACCAACTTGCTCGCCAGCCAGGTGCACAGTTTCCAGGGGTTTCCTGCCCCAAAGCAGTGCACCAGCCCCTGTGCTCACCACCCAGGTATGCCATCCCCAGCGGATCTCTGCCCAAACCCAGCAGACTGGCTCCCCACATGCCTCAAGCACAGTTAGCAGCTAGGTACATCATTTCCAGGGGGTCTCCATCCCAAAGCTGTGGTTCATTCAGCATACTCACCAGGGAGATATGCCACATCCAGGGGGACCCTGCTATGAGCTGGTGGACTCCTGAACTCACCAGCCAGGTGTGTTACTCCCAGGGGAGCCTTATCCTGATTCAGGGGACTTGCCATACAAACTCCTACAGAGAGACCACCAAGGAACTAGCGTATGTTCCTGAATTCAACTATAGCTGAATGAACTGTTCAGGGATTACACTACTGCACTCACCTGGAATCAAAGCCAACACACTCTACTCAACTAACAACCCAAGGCATATCTGCAGGTGAAAGTCTTTTCCTACAAAAGCCACTCTATAAAATTGGAAGAGGTGACTGTTCCACCAGATGCACAGATATCAACATATGCACAAAAAAAAAAACATAACAAAGCAAATAAACATGACACCACCAAAGAAGCACACAAAAAAATTCTCCAGTAAATGACCCTAAATAAATGAAAATTTATGAATTGCCTGAAAAGAAATTCAAAATAATTGCTTTATGGAAACTCAGCAAGCTGCAAGAGAATACCAATAGGAAATTCAATACAATCAGCAAAAAAATCTATAATCTGAATTCAACAAAGAGATGGATATCATTAAAAAAGAACCAAACAACAATCTTGGAACTGAATAAATCAATAGATAAAATAAAAATACGGTTGAAAGCATCAATAGCTTTCAACTAGATAAAACAGAAGAATTTCTGAACTTGAAGACAGGTTTTTTGAAACACAGTGAGAGGAAAAAGAGAAAATGCATGAAAAAGAATAAAGAACATCTACATGACTTACAGGACACTATTAAGCAAAGGCATAGAAAGGCAGAGGAAGTTTGTTTAACAAAATAATAGCTGAAAAGTTCCTGACTCTTGGGAGAGATACAGACATCCAGATACCAGAAACACAAAGGATCCCATACAGATTCAACCCAAAGAGGTCCTCTCCAAGGCACATTATAATCAAACTGTCAAAAATCAAAGACAAAGGGGGAATTACAAAAGCAGCATGAAAAATCTATTAAATCACATATAAAGGAATCCATGTTAGACTATCAGCAGATTTCTCAGCAGAAACCTTGCAGGCTACAAGAGAATGGAAGGATATATTCAAAGTGCTGAAAAAAAAAAACAAAACTGCCAGCCAAAAATACTATTGTCAACAAAGCAATCCTTCAAAAGGGAAGAATAAATAAAGCCTTTCCTAGACAAGCAAAAGCTGAGAAAATGTATCCCCACAAGACAGGCCTTACCAGAAGTGCTTAAGGGAGTGCTTCAACTGAAAGTGAAAGGATAATAACTACTAATGTGAAAACATATGAAAGGATAAACCTTGCTGGTAGAGGCAAATTCACAGAGAATTCCATTAATATAATAGCAGTATATAAACTTCTAAATCTCCAGTATGAAGGCTAAAATCAGAATGCTCAATGATTACATCTACAATAAAATATTAAATAATAGACAACATAAAAAGATCTAAACCAACACCACAAAATTTTAAACTGCGAAGTGGGAGAGGAGAAAAGTCTAGAGTATTTGTATGTGACCAGAGTTAAGCTGTCACAGTTTAAAATAGCTTCTTATAATTATACAAAATCTTAAGTAAGCCCCATTGTAGCTACAAAGATATTACTCTATTTAACAATAATGTACCTAATATTTCTAAATAGCTAGAAGAGTGAATTTTGTATATTCTTACAACAAAGAAATGATAAACACTTGAGATGAGGGATATGCTAATTACCCTGATTTCATCATTTCACAGGGTATACATGTATCAAAACATCACATGGTACTACAGAAATATGTACAATTTTTATGTATTAATTAAAATTGTTTAAAATGACTAAAGAAGATAGGCAGAAATAAGTAATCACAAAAAAAGGAAGCACAAAGAAGGTAAAACCACAGAATAATTTTCACAATTTACTTGAATATGACAAAATGTGTATGTAAAAATGGTATAAAATCCCACTGGCCAATATCTGTCAGGGTAAATGCCTACATTTTCCCAGGAATGTACTCATCACTTCTGTATAGGTTTCCTTGACTGAAATAATTAGTATTAAGAACTCTTATTTTAATGTGGTGGCTACTGAATTAAAAAAAATTTAAGCTGTTTTATATAAAGTTATTATGTTATCTTTTAATATGTTACTTTAAAAAAAGCCTTGCTCCATTTCTGAATGCCAGATTACTACATAGAGTTGATCTTTTGCTCATGTGAAGGTATAGGAAAAACAATGTAGGTTTTGGAATTAGATAGATCCAGTTTTGAATTTAACCTCCTTTGCTGTAACCTATTGACTGACCTTAAGCAAGTCAGTCACTTGGCACTTGGCCTTTTTAAAAGTATAATATGAAGTAAATAACTTCTTTAGCTCTAAATAGTTGTTGACAATATGCTATGGTTTCATAATTTATCCCCTCTGAAACTCATGTTGAAACTTAATCCTCGATGTGGCAGTATTGAGAGGTGGGGCCTTTAAGAGGTGATTTGGTCATGAGGGCTCTGCCCTCATGAATGAATTAATCCATTCATGAATTAATAGAAATGAATTGATGGGTTACTGGATTAATAGAGTGGGACTGGTGGCTTTATAAGAAAAGAAAGAGAGCCCTGAGTTAGCAGCTTAGCATGCTGAGTCCCCTGGCCATGTGATGCCCTGCACCACTTCAAAACTATGAAGAGGATCCCCATCAGCAAGAAGGCTCTTACCAGATGTGGCCCCTCAACCCTGCATATCTCAGCTTCTATAAATATAAGAAATAAATTCCTTTTCTTTATAAGTTACTCAGTTCCAGCTATTCTATTATAAGCAACCAAAAATGGACTAATACAACTATTAAATGAGGTTCTATACACAATGTCCCCAGCAAGTTTCTAGGCATATATTTGATAAGTAATGGGTCTATCCTCTGCTCTGCTCTGACGGGATTGGCACTCCATATCTAAAGTAGGTAAATGAAACATATACATGCCATATAATAAAAAAGAAACCTTCAAAGGAAAGAATTTCCTAATATTTATACAATGAAAGCAACCTTAAGAAAATAATCCTATATTACCATTCTTAAATTGTTTTGGATTCAACAATTCCACCCTTAAATACCTTATTCAAGATGAAAGGCATAGTGCCAGGTAACATATGTATTAAAATAAATAGTGTAATGGAGCACAGATATTAGTAACTAAATATTGTGTTAGTCAAGTTCTGAGAAAAACATTATGAGATTGTTGAAAGGTGAACAAATGAGACCTTTCACACTTATTCTACTAAAAGTAAAGAAATAAATCTGAAGGTTGCTAATCAGCCGTACATTTAAATATTGTGCATATTATTAAATGTATGCAGCACGGTAGTGAGTTTTTGCCTTCCATGAATAACATTTCCTCTCAAAAAAAGGTTTCAGTGGTCACATTTTATCCTAAGAAATGCGTAAGACCCAGGATTCTTCAGTACAAAATAGCAATATTTGTATTCCTGCACGTTGAGCTTCAGTTTTCCCAAATCAAATTGAAAGTCTGATCTCTCCTTTTCTAATAAATACAAATCAAATTTAGTTATTCCCTTATCCTTGCTCTACCACCTGAGACCCACCAGTTTTCAGAGTTCTTTTTAAAAAGTTTTTCATTAAAACAAATCTGTGTAATATGGCAACCACGCTTGTTTAGTTCTATAAAATTATTTTAAGGTTTTTCCTGATGTATTTTGTTAACCAGAAAATATTTCAATATTATGGCTAACCTCAAGGTACCAGCAAAAATTTTTCTTCTAATCCTCTATGGAACTTTTTTAAAAGTTCAAAAAGCTGTGTCTCATAATATTTGTAATAATTTCCTGACCCAGCATAGGACTCACCAGAGAGCCAAAGTGGGCTACAGAAAAGTAATTCCTCTGGTTCACTTCTTATAAGCTTCCCATGGTTCCCAAGAATTGTGTAAGGTTGTGTAAGGCCAGAGTCCAGTTGATAGTTCAGAGATTGGTTGGCCTATAGCAGAAGTATTCTTCATGTTGACAAATGAAGTACTGAAATGTGAACAACAGCACATTCTATGTTAGGCCACACAAACCTATTTCACTACCACAATAAAAAATTCTCATGGCAAATCAAAATGATAATTTTAGCCATCCATATGTTCAAAAAATCTTTATTGAGCATTATGATATGCCAGGCCCTATTTTACTTGGTAGGGAAACATTAATAAAGAAAATAAAGAAGAGTCTTCATCCTTAAGGAGCTTACATTCTGATGGGAAAAGAGAGATACAAACCAGGACCAACTAATCCATTAGGCACAGTAGGCACAGAGCATAAGGCTTGTAATTCCCAAAGGGTCCTACAAAAAATATTTTCATTTCACTGTCTTTTAAAATCAAAATAAAAATTATAAATATTACAATAATACATCCATGCTAGATTATATTTGTCTTTATATCAATGTAGATGTAAAATGTAATTTAAAATATTTTTTCATGGCTGAAGAGGCCCAGGAAAGTCATATTGTGGACACGTGAAAAGCACAATGAATGAGTATGGGTATATTAGAAGGTGAGAAGCTCTGTGGAGGAAGAAAAGGAAGTGTGATAAACTGTCGGGTAAGGTTGTTTGTAATTTTACATAGAGTGTTAGAGAAAGCATCACTGGGAAGCAACATTTGTGCAAAGAGTGGAAGGAGGTTAGGTAAACAGCCATGCAGATCTCTGGGTGAAGAATATTCTAGAAGCAGATGCAAAGCCCCAAGATAGAAGGAGCAACAAGAAGGCCATTAGGCTGCAGCAAAGTGATCTCTGGGGAGAGGAGCTAAAGGCGAGGCCATATGCCTCAGGGATCAGATGTGTAGGGCTTTGTAGGCCACTTCAGTTTTATTCTCAGTGAGATAGGAAGCAACTGGAGGTTTTGGGGCAAGCACCCTGTTATGGGTTGAATTGTGGACCCCCAAAAGTTATGTTGGGCTGGGTGCGGTGGCTAATGCCTGTAATCCCAGCACTTTGGGAGGCTGAGGTGGGCGGATCACCTGAGGTCAGGAGTTCAAGATCAGCCTGGCCAACATGGTGAAACCCTGTCTTTACAAAAATACAAAAATTAGCCAGGCATGATGGCAGATGCCTGTAATCCCAGCTACTCAGGAGGCTGAGGCGAAAGAATCCCTTGAACTCAGGAGACGGAGGTTGCAGTGAGCCGAGATTGCGCCATTGCAGTCCGCAGTCCGGCCTGGGCAACAGAGCGAGACTCCGTCTCAAAAAAAAAAAAAAACTTTATGTTGATGCCCTAACTCCTGACACTGGTGAATGTGACTTATTTAGAAATGGGGTCTTTACAGACGTAATCAGATTAAAATGAGGCCACTAGGGTGGGCCCTAATCCCAAATGACTGGTATCCTTACAGGAAAAGGAAAACACTATGTGGAAGCAAGACACACAGGGAAAACATCCTGTGATGACAAAGGCAGAGATTCGAGTGCTGCAGCTGCAAGCAAAGGCACACCAGGGATTGAAGGCCATCACCAGAAGCTGGGAAGAGACAAGGAGGGATTGGAACATGGCCCTGCTGTCACCTTGATTTTGAACATCTAACCTCCAGAACTGTGAGACAAGTTTATATTGTTTTAAGTGATGCAGTTTGTAGTACTGTGTTATGGAAGCCCCAGGAAACTAACACTGTGACTTTGTTCTAATAGTATCTCTCTGGCTGAATGTTGAGAATAAACTAGAGCTAGGTCAAGGGTAGGAATAGAAGGCTAACTTTGATCAAGTGTCCTCGGAGGCAGATTCATAGGAAATTGCAAATAGGAGGTTTTTCCAGGAATGCTCTTGGGAGCAAGATGGGGTGGGGGTGGTGTTGCATGGTGCGAGGAATTAGGAACTTAGCATTGGCAAGAGAGAGAAGTGGGGCTGCAAAGAAGAGGCAAAGAGCCCTCAGGCACTCCAACGGAGAAAGAGCTGGAGTGGTGAATATGGAATAGCCTTTCCCAGTCATCATCTACATGTGAGGAGTGGGCCGCCTCTAAGTAATGCTGTGTAGTATAGGTATTGAATGTGGGCTAACCCATTTGAGCAGATGTAACCTTGAGCAAGACAGCTTCGTTCAGCAAACAGAAGGAAATACTTGAGGAACTCATCTGTGAGCAGCTACATTCCTCAAGCTGCAGAAATGAATACTTTCATCCTGGGGAGGAGGAATATGTGAGCTGTTCACAGCATCCTTGAAACAGGACATTGCACCTACAGAGGAGAGATTCAAACAGCACAAGAAAACACGGATATTAGAGTGCATGGAATTCTGTGTGCATGAATAGTGTAGTTGTGTGTTTACATGTCCTAGCAAGGATCTTCCATTTGTACAGCACTCAAGATGTTTAACATACTGTACTTAATATGGTGGCGACAATAACCCTGTGATGTAGGTAAAGACAGGTATTTTAATATGCCCATTTTACTTATAAGGAATATAAAGCCCAGAAATGTTGAGTGATTTGACCAATAACACAGAATTAGTTTGTGTTAGGAATGGGACTGAAAACATGGTCTTCTGAATCCATGTCTTGAGCTCTTCATACCAGGCCATTTGATTCAAGTATTACTTTGGTTATGTGGCAGTGCTCAGGCTACACACTTCTGCATATTCTTCTACGCTTCATTATTTCTGAATCATCAAGGCAGTGTATAGGAAGAACTGGATTTCTATTTTTCAAACTCACATCCATTTCATTCTAGACCTAAACCTAGACTACATTTGCCAACCCCTCTTACATTTAGGTGTAGCCATATGACTGAGCGTTTATGAATGGAATCTGAATGGAGGTGATAAAGATCATCCAGACCCATAAAAAAATGCTAAGAAAATCGTCCCTTCCTCTTTTCCCACGGGCTGCCTAGTGCAGCCTTGAAAGCCATGTGTTAAGATGAAGGAATCTTCATCAGCCTGGACCTCTGAATGTCTAAAAAGAACAAAGATACTCACATACTACCACTCCCCTCCAGTTTGAAGTTCTGATCCAGGATTCTCTCAATCATTAGAAAAATCAGAAACACAATATGCATATCCTTATGTGGGATATTACAGTATAGATTTGGAATTTTATTTCATGGCACTTTGCATAAGTATAACTAATATATCTTATTTAAGTCTAATATTGAATAGCTTAACCTAAGAATATAGAAAGCTGTTGGCAAGTGCATGTTCAATCTTTTGACCATTTAGTGAGATAAACTGAGAGAATATTATTATGTTATTTTCCTAATTGTTAAATCTCTGAGAGGCAACATGAAACAATATAAACAAATACATAAATAAGCACATAAATGAATGAATGAATAAATAAATGCTTCTGGTTTGCATCATTCTAACTAAAAAGATGCTAGAGAAGGAGGGAATATTTATCTATTCCAGTGCTCATAATAATTAAAAAAAAAAAAGACCCAGGGAAGCCTGGTTTAAGTCTTGTGGCTATCCCTAAACAAATCACTGGGGTAAAGCTGGTTGCAATATTTTATGTGGCCTGGATAATTTGCCTTTCCTATGTGGGTTGGGTATCATGATGGACATACCATTACTAGTACATAAAATGAAGAGTAGAAGGATACCCAAGGAAGAGGCATGCTATTTCCAGAAGTGGAAAGAGATAAATGATCAGACAAAACCCATTAATAACTGCTATGAAGTTGTGCTGGCTTCATCAAAAGGTGAATGTACCATGACATTACAATGGCTGTTTTCTAGAAACTAAGTATAGGCACGTAGTTGGATCTTAGGAAAGAAATAAAATGAAGATTCAGAAAACCACCCCAAATCTCTCCCTGCATTTCATCTGGGCTCCTCTCTCTGCATGTGCTTCAAGCCGCTTTCTGCAGATTCCTATTATCTTTACCTCTGCTCAGTGGCTAAAAGCAGGTTCAACTGATGATATAATAGTTCATGTCTCCCATCAAGAGCAAATCACCTCTGATTCTTGAATTGCTATGGCAGAGAAAAGAGGGCCACACCACAGTTAGATAGTTTACATGGCCTGTTGAGAGAAAGAAACAATGATTCTCTTAGCTCCAATTCCAACTTCCCTAAGAAGAACTGATTAGCTTGCTAATCAAGGAAGTTACCCCTTTCCCTCCCTGATCCAATAAACTGTAGCCAGTGGGGAAGTTTCTCATTACAAAAACTTGCCCTTGGAATCTCCACCATGTAAGCAGAGAGTCAGTAAAGTAAATATGTTTATATGGTATATACTTTACTGGATTTTTTAGCCTTAGTCATTATATCCTCCGTATTTTAACATCATTGTTAATAAAGTAGAAATAATGCCCACGTTGCTTGTTTTGGGGGAGGATTAATTACAATGAAAAAAAAAAGCCCTAGCACATAGAAAGTTATGCTCCTTGCATTAAAGAAGGTTATGGTCTAAAATCAAACCATAAGAAAAAAATTGTCATTCTTATTTATTTTGAGTAAAAACATTGTCTTCTGACTCTATAACATAATTAGATGATTGCCAAGCTCTATTCCAGTTATTTAATGCCAATGATTTTCCCCCCGTTGATTCCAAACCATTAAACAAATAAAACAAAACAAAAAATCAAATGCACTTTAAAATCAGGAGATTTGTTCATATCTTAAGGCTATTCCAAATCATGCCACAGTAGAAAGAGATTTCAAAAGGATTCAACTTGATTTGAGTAACGGCAGCCTCTCCTGGACAAGGTGACTAATTTGAATTTGATAACTCTCATTTAGATGAATAAATTCTATTAATCTATAATCTTAAGAGAATGATAGATATATTAATATTAATCAGACATAGTTTAATAGATACTGATGTATTTATACATCTTATGTATTTAATATTATATATTATACAGCACTTATCTTGAATTATTTCATTCACCAGACATTTATTGAATACCTGCTATGGGTCTGAGCAATGTATGAGGGACTTAAAATTCATGGAAATGTAATTAAAATATAAAAGTAAAAAATATAAACTTTATTTCTCAACATAAGCTCTATCAAGTTCAAGGCACTTTAGTAAACAATGATCCCAGCCATTTAGTACATTCCTAAAGAACTGAGGGTCCTGGGAAGTTTACCACTTCCACCTCTTGGTAACCATTGCTTTGATTGTGCTTTGTCCTTAGGATCATGCTGGTAAAGCCATGTTCCATCTATTATTAAAATTCTTCAAAGAAATTCTTCAGGATCTTAATCTCACTTATTTAAAATCTCCATTGAAAGCTCTGCTCTTGTCTGCAGCTGATCTGGGCTCAATGATTTTGTCACCCATTGAGTGGAAGGTTTGCTCAACTTTAATTTTTCACTCAGAATTGTGTAAGCTGAACTAATTGGGATGTCTATGGTCTTGCCTATTGTCTCTGTTGTTAATTATTGGTCCTGTTTAGTTAGGTCACAAACAAGATGAATTCTTTTCCTTGAAAATTGATGTAGATGGTCTGCGTCTGTGGGCTTCATCTTCAGCGTTGTCTCATCCCTTCTTAAAACTAGTTATCCATTTGTAAATGACTGGTTTCTTTGGAGCATTCTTGTCATAAACTTTTTAAAGCTTCAGTGAGCTCACCATTCTTCTACCTAAGCGTCATGATAAATTTGATGACTGGTTTTGCTTTAATTGTAGCAGAATGCATGTTTCTCTGCTAGGGGCTCTTTTCAAACTTTTGTTTTACCTTTCTCAGAGCCTTAAATGAGATCATCATCAGTCATGTTATAACAAGTTAGTATGAGTTTATTTTGGTGCAGTAAAGTTTTGAAATCCATGCATAGTTTTTATTAATAATATGTACTTTCTGTGAACATTTTGAAGACCCCTCATATTTCCGAGTGGAGAATAACCATTATTTTCTGATCAATCTTATTTTTGTTATTTATAGGAAAAGAGGTGAGCCATATAATAGAATAAGATGTCAGATATGAGAAAATCATCTAACTGAGAGTACTGCAGAAATAATGTGACCAACATTCTCAGAAGAGTAATGCTGTATGCCTTCCATGAGCTCAGATTTTAAGGAAATCCAGTAGGTAATCTGAAGGAGAAGCTAACTTCCTAGCTATCACCATAACACAGACTGCATGTTAGCATTATAACTGCATATCCATACAGAATTTTCCCTATGCTTATCTGATTTGGGATTTAAAATATGCATTCAAAAGAAACAGGAATTTATGATAAAGTCTAGCAATATTTATTTTAATCTGATTGCATTCTTCAGGAAAATATTGCACTAAGTCAGGTTTAGATACCACCATGTGGCAGATAATGTAGCTGTGAAAAGTGTCATATTCCATTTGGGTTGTTAAAATGAAGTACCATAGCCTAGGTGGCTTATAAACACAGAAAATTATGTCTCACAGTTCTTGAGAAATAGATCAGGGTGCCAGCATGATCAGATTCTAGTGACGGCCCTCTTTTGGACTGCAGAGTGCCAGCTTTTCATGTCTATTCATGGCAGAAAGAGAGTAAGTGAGCTCTCTGAAGTCCCTTTTATAAGGATACCAATCTCATTCATGAGGGCTCCATCTTCATGACCTAACTACCTTCCAAAGGCCTCTCCTCCCAATATCATTATGTTGGGAGTTAGGATTTCAATATATGGGTTTTGTGGGGCCACAAACATCCAGTCCATTGTAGATAGCTCCTTAGCTTTCCTTACCATCAAGAATATATTGAGACCTTTGGTATAGTACAGTCTGAAAAATTCTTGACAATAATTCTGATTAGCCAAGCCTGCATTAGTTGCCTGTACCTGGACCCTTCAACCATGGCCAAGAGTCAGGGCCAAATAGTATGAACAAGGCCACTTCATAGACACATCTGCCCAATCATGTGTGGAAGCTGTTCTCAGAGAAGGAGGGGTAATTATGAGTCAGGCATCTACTATCTGTGTCTATTATAGTCTTAAAGGAGTGAGGCTGAAAAGCAGAGCCCAGAAAAGTGGCAGTGTTTTATAAAGGATCAAAAATTCCATTTTCTTCCTTTCTAGACTATGACAGTTATTACTGACTATCTCTGGTTGACCACGATGTTTTCATTAGTACAGTACAAACATATTTGTATACTTTATCTTATAAAGATGAGAGGATCTTAAGAAAATAGTGTTGGGCTCTTGAATACTTTTATATTTCTGGAGACTAGAATCTAGGCACCGTGATGTCACACTTTTAACGCAACTCTTTGAGTGCTGAATACTTCCACTAGAGCAGGGTACTATCACTAACATTTATAGTGAGTAGCTATAACCATTCTGTGTTGAAACTAATGAGGAGTTATGAAAGGTAATCTAACTGTGGGATCTAAGACAAGGTAGCTAGAAAAGTTACAGGAAAAAAACCAAGTTACAAGAAAAAAAAGACTTGTTGCTTTCACAGTCTTTCAGAACTGGCATGCTGTATGCAAACATTTGAGAAATTATAATAAAGAGTTTTAAGGAGACACTTCCATTGGAAGAAAAGAAGTCAATATGTGGAAAATGTTTACTACTTAGGAGAAGCTGTTTAAAAATATTTAGATTTACATCTATATTGATATCTGTATCTATAGCTAAGCTTCCAAGTCATTAAGAATGTAGAATTCACGGGTCTTTTTTGGATTGAAAAAGAAGAAGGGTGAATAACTTGAAGCAAGGAGGGAATATAAGATACCAAATTAGCAGGGCAATATAATCTGGGTAAGATTTTATAGACTTAAAATGGTCCTTTGAGAAATATCCCAGGGTACAGAAAGGGTCACTGAGTGCTTCTTGGGATTGGGCTATCCCATAGGGTAGTCTAATATGTTCTGATAGCCCTATGTAATCCATATTTGCATCATTATTCTACTGAATACCAAATGCCTTAAAATTCTAATCATGCCATGGCATCCTAGGAGTCTGAGTGCTATGCTTTGCTGTCTGCGTTGCAGATGTGATTTAACTCTGATTACCTTGATTTGTCAGTGAATTTAGGCCCAGTAGCATTTAAGATAGTAACTGTCTGCGGATATCTGACTGAGTATTAGAGAGTATTGTCCCTGATGGCAATAGCTCAGTAATTTGAAATCCTGTGAAAGCTTACATCTGGTTGAAGTAGAAGGTCATTTCATGTGAGAGTAGCACTGTCACGTGTCTGCATTATCCACACATTTGGTTACTGAAAGACTAATATATGCAAGCCCAGCCCAGGGTGGTATGCAATGGTAAGCCAAAGGATGAGGAGGAGCTAAATCATGAAAGAATCCTGATATTCACTTGGACACATGACTGCCTAGAGTAGTCTACATTTTCCATGTAAAGGATGGAATGAAAGGGGAAATGGTGTATGCAACTTTAGGAAATTTTCCCTGGATACAAGAATGCTCTTCTCTTCCTCCTTCTTCCCTTTCGTCCTTGCTCTTGCAAGGTAGGTGTGATTGCTGGAACTGAAATTAGCAACAGTGGCCACAGATGGCTGAGCAAGAAGACAAAGTGTCTATTTCAGTTTGGAATGCTTTTGAGGGCCATACCTGCACTAGACCACCTACCTCTAGATTTTCATTTGAAAAAGAAACAAATTTGTCTTGTTTAGGTCACTGCTACTTTTTGTTTCTGTTGCTTGAAGCCAAATTGAATCTTAACTAATATAGTATGTATGCATCATTTAAAAAATTATTTTTGCTTATCAACTTTTTCCCACTAACTATTGATTTCATTCCGATAAGGGGGCTTTTATTGAGTATGAAAAAAGCAAGATTACTTTGAATATGTAAACATTACATACCCTCTCCCCTTTTATAGCAATTATGGCTGAGATGTATATCATTATACAAAATCCTTGTCCATATCTCTGCTTTTTTCTGTAGATGAGATATCTATACATAGAAACACTGGATTTAGTGGCATATATATTCTATAAAGCAGTTGTTTCATATTGTCAGCTTCCTTTCTAGAGCAATTGTGTCACTATATATTACTAGCATGGAGGCATGCCTGTCTCAACACACTTTCGTTAGAGTTTAGTAATAGAGCACTGTTGCTATTTCAGTTAATTTTATGGTAAAAACATGAAACATGATAGATCTCCTAAATGGATCTATTTTTATGTATTAGATTTCTATAGGCAGAACATATTTCCTTGCATTTATTGGCCATTTGTATTTATTCTGTGAACAGATGGTTTTAAGGTCTTTTCTAAACTTCCATTCTGTGGGGATCTTAGTATATTTCTTATTGATTTGAAAGGGTCTTTGGTCTAAAAATTTTAATTAGTCATTTAAATGTTTTAATTCTCTTTATCTTATTTGATTAGATAATCACTTTTTTTTTTCATTTTTAGAGCCCTTTTCCCTTTGGTAAAAATTATTTTTTTTCAATTTTAACGGTGCTGAAGCCTACAGTGCCATCTTTCTAAAAAACCACTCTAGTTTGCACAGAGTTACATCATATGATAGTATCTGTGCTCAAACATCATCTGTATGATGTCTTCTCCTTGAGAAGAAGGTGTTAAATATATGTAACATAGGTGTTAAATACAGTAGCTAAGAGGACACAGAATTTATTTTATTTTTATGGAAGCTTCACCTTAGAAGAACATTGGCAAGAGTCATGGATTTCCTGGCAATGAAGTGGGATGTTTTATGTCTTAAATCAGATATAGAAGACTATGTCCATGAGATTAAAAATGACTTGGAAGCATGAAGTTTGAGATTAAAATATAAGCAGCTGCCTTAAATAATGCTGCCTTGACATTTGATTAAGTTATACAAACCATTAACCTATTCTCTTTCTTTCATTGCTTTTCTTTACTCATTGGTTATTTTTATTCACACACCCCGATTTTTGGTTCTTTCTCCCTCGTTATTGTCTTTGTAATTTTGCTTATTTGTGGTCAACTCCTCCGTGGTGAACACTTCCAATTACTTATTTAACTGACTATGCTTAGTTTTCAGTTAATATTTCATTTATATAGATACACATATATGTATATCTATGTGTGTACATATGTGTGTGTATAAATATACATGTAAAACTTTTACTTTGAAATTTCATTTTCCTGCATCCCTCCAGACCTCTGTTGTGTTAAAGATGATTCTAAAAACTGATCTATAGCTACTATTTATTTAATATTCTCATGCTACCACTAATAATCTTTAATATCTATATATTGTCATTATATATTTTTATCGATCTAAATAAATATTAAATATGTATTTAATGTTTCTGATGCTACCACTAATAATCTTTAATATCTATACTTGTCATCATATATATTATTACAATGTTATTTTTATTACTTGGTTGTTTTATTATACTTAATACAACCATTAAGCATTTGAGAAATGAATTGAGTAACTTCCATTTTTCCTCCTTTACAAATAAGAGCCTCTTGTCACAATTGGCTAGAGTTTACTCTTTCCAAAACTATTTAAGTAACAAGTGACTCCAGATGTCAATTTGTATTTTCTTTAAGTACCCAGGGGAGTTCATGGATGTCCTGTATTAAGCAAATTCAAGTAGCATAACTTCAGCTTGTGAACATCTAGTTGGTCAGAATTCAGCAATATCATTAAATCTCCCTTCCCACCCCCAATTTTTTTAAAGGACTAACTATGCGCAAAGGACTGTAGATATAATCTTTCCTTATACAGATGATTAAAACTAGCCATTTGCATTCAAGAAAAACTGTAATCTGAAGAAGCAAATGGACAAACCATTAATGATTAAAAAGGAACAAGGAAAAAGGCAGAATAAAATAGGTGTTAGAGGAGATGTCATCAAAATGTTACAGGGTATCATGAAAGGAGTGATTTTTGGGGAAGGAGTCTTGGTGAGAAGAGGCTTCTTGGAGAACGTTGGATTGGAGTTGAGCTTTAAAGAATGAATGACATTTTAACTGTCACTTTGTGTTGGGTATGTTTTTAATTCTAATGAGGTTTCAGGTTCTTCAGATATGCTAGGATTGATGTTACCTCTTAAAGAGCTCCTAGAAGTCGTTAGGTCATTCTAAATGTATACATTGAAATACAATTTGGGAAATTTAGCTAGGGATGTAATGTGCTTGTTGAATGAATATGATAAATCTTAATGATTTGAGTGTACTGGTATAGAAAATAACATCTTAGCCATTTGAAATCACGACATTTTAGAGCAGGAAAAGACCTTACAAATTATGTAATCAACAGTCTCCTTTACAAAGAAGGCACCAAAAGGTTCAGCAATTGACCAAGGCCACTCATTTAACTTGACCAGACTTTTCCTCTGTCAGAAGGCATGGTTTTGGAATCCGCACCTTTCTGTATCCATTATGGTAATTTCCATTGATGATGTGAAATAAGATAATTGAATCTCCACGATTGTTCATCAGACAGGGATACTTTAAACCGTGCAATGAACTTGCAGGTCGAGTTAAGTTTGAAGGAACATAAAATTGACCAAAGGCAGGAAACATTTTCAGACTCGGTACTTGCATAATGAAAATACGGAATAATCCGCACCTGAAAAAATGAGACACTGGCAGGACTTTCAAGCTGATGTCGTTTACTCACCTAGGGTGGAGTGGGAGAGGAAGACAAGAGGAGAAAGGGGGGAGGGAGGTGATGGAGAGTGGGAGGGGGAGAGAGGGAGGGAGGGACAGAGGAGGAAGTGGAAGAGAGAGAGAGAGAAAGAATGAGAGAGAGAGAGAGAGAGGGAGAGCGAGCGCCGAGGCGGGCCTCGAAGCCACTGGAGAGGTACCCTTTGTCTGACAAACCCTGAAAGGGAAGCCTCTAGTAGCAGCCCTCCCGTTCCCACCTCCAAGCGTTTGCCGAACTGCTAGGTGGAGCCCGCGCCGCGGAGCCCACGAGCACTCCATATCCGGGTTTTGCCGGCCACCCCTTTCCCTGGCGCGAGCCCCCTCCCCGGCTCTCGGAGCTCTTGCCGCTGGCCCGCCCGACCGCTGCTCATTCTGGCCTCCGCTCCGGCCCCGGCTGCGCCTACCCCGCGCGCAGGCTGCACGGTCCCCGCGCGCCCGCGCTCTGACCCGCTGTCTGCGCGTCGCCCCCCTCGCCTGCTGGCCCGGCACCGCTCGCTCCAGTTCCCAGGAGCGGGGATGCAGATGCTGCAGCTGGTCGGGGTGGGCGCCGCCGCCGCCGCCGCCGCCGCTGCTGCTGGTTTTTCTCGGACTGCTCGTTGCCTCCGCTCCGGCAGCTGCTGCCGCCGCCACCGCCGCCTGTGACTCGCCCCCTCCCCTTTCTTTCTTCTCTTTTTGCCTTGGTCCTCTTCCTACGGGTGTGCGCGCGCGCGGGTTGCACGGTTTGCTTTGGCAGGAGCTCGCTCGTGTGTGCGCGTGTGTGAGTGTGCGTGTCTGGAGAGCGCCAGTGCCTCGCTCGCTCTTGGGGAGTCGAAGAAGAGAAAGAACCGAAGAGACAGCGGCGGCGGCGCAGAGCCCGGGGCCGCGCGATGAAGCTCCCACATGCCCGCAGCTGCCCGGCCCGGCCGGCGAGCTAATCATCCACCCCACGGGCTCGGGGTTCGCCGGCCCCCGGGACGCAGCCCTCGGCGGCCGGGCGCCCGCTCTGTCTGCGCGCCCCCTCCGTGCACCGGGGAAGGAGTTTGTGTGGCTCTCGCTCCGGCTGTCCGCGGAGGTTGCGGGCTTGAGAGGGGACCCTCGGCTGGGAGAGAGCCTCGGGAGGACGAAGAGGAGGACGGTTTGGCGGAGAAGCCACCCCTGGCCCTCGCGGCTCCCCCTACCTATTCCATCGCTCCCGCTCCGAGGCGGAAAGGGGAGGACGTGGAAGAAGAAAAAGAAAGAGAAGGGGGGTGGGGTGGGAGAACTGGATATAAAGATCGGCTGGGGGGATGGTGGAAGATTTTTGGTCTCTTCGGCAGCGTCTTTTCTTAAGCGGCGGCGGCAGCAGCAGCAGCAAGAGAAGGAGAAGCAGCCCCAGCTATGACTGCCGCATGTTAATAGCTGCCGCTGGGTCCCTCGGCTGCTGCTGGAGACAGAGCCTGACTCCGAAGTTGTGCAACTGTGGACTGGGAGAGACATTTGAACCCTCTTTTCTTTTCGCTCCCCTTTTGCCCCCTTGGGGTGTGTGAAGCGAGGAACGTAAAGGAAGGCGAACATTTGGCTCTCTTTTTCCTTCCCCTTTCTCCGTGGCTGTGTAGCGGAAGAAAGGGAAGAGAGACTTTTTGTTGTTGTTTCCTTGACTGGGGTCTCCACCCTCCTGCTGCTTTCTCTGCGCTTCGATTCTCGTTATTTGCCGCGTGTGGTTGGGGGTGTCTGCACAGGGGCCGGCCGGTCTTTTGCCCCGGGCTCAATGGCTGGATTGTGGAAACTGCACCCGCCTTCAGGTTGTTGAGCAACTGATGGGACGATCTCAGGGACCGGCGTTTACGAAAGGTAATTTATTCTTCGCACTCTTCATAATAGGGGTCGCCCTGGCCGGGCGCAGGCGGCGGCATCCACCGGGCGGGCAACAAGAGGGGGTGCGGGGTGCATGCACACTCGCCCTTCCACTCACACACTCGCCCTCACACACACACACACTCATCCGGTCGTGGTGCGGGGCGGGAAGGGAACCTCCTGGCTGGTGGGCGCTCGGGTCTGGCGCGGGTTGGAGTTTTTTCCAGCCATTGGGCGATTTGACCGGCCGAGGGGAGTGAGGGGGATAAGAGACTGGGCGCATTCGCAGCTGCACACGCTGGGGAATAGGAACAGTTCCCACCCCGTTAATTTTCCCTCTCCTCTCACCCCAGTGGCATCCCCTGGTGGGGGCAGAAAGCGGACAGGAGGGCGACTTTTCTCCGTCAGGCTGGAACTGGTGCCGCTGGAGGCGGGAGCGGGCTGGAGGACGGACAGGGTCTGGGTGAGAAGCTGGGCTCTGGGAAGATGGAAAATGCAGGGTGCCGAGCCCGGCGCGATTCTCCCTCAACGCTTGCCTGGAGCATCCCTGGCCCCTTTTGCCCAGGTCGCGCCCCTGAGTCTTGGAGTCGCGCTGCCTCCCCGCGCCCTGCCTGTTGTGTCTCCTTCACGGCAGTTTGGTTTAGACCTGCGTGCCCAGGCTTTGTTAGGCGGTTTTGGCTGGAGAAAGCTGCCACTTTCGTGGGTGGCCCGGGCTGCGCTGTGCTGGTAGTGGGCACTGGGCGGGGGGCGGCGGTGTTGCACGAATCCGGGCGGCCGCGGCGCCGGGGCGGGGTGGGCAGAGCATTGGTGGTCGCGGTTGGCGGGTTACAGGTAGGAGAGAAGGCACCTCGGCGCTTCTCTGAGGAGAAGGGAAGGCTCCAGGCTGCAGCGCAGCGTCTGAGCTGCCGCGACCCAGCCTCCGGTCCCACGTCGGAGCTCAGAAGCTTAGGGTGCCAGGCCCCCAGCACTATAGGTGGGTGTGTGTGTGTCTGTGCGTGTGTGTGTGGTGTGTAGGGGTGGGGGCGACCTCCTCTACCAGCCTTACTTGGCGGCGGAGTCAGCGTTTGAGTGTGTGCGCATTTTTGCGCCCCAGGGACGGCAGAGAGATATTTGCGGGGATGCCGGAGCTGATGCTGCTGGAGCTGAGCTTGCTTATTGAAATCGCCTGGGATCCTCTTAACTGGAAAATCTGGTTTGAGGAGGCCACGGGGGCCCCCGCAGGGTGGCGAGGAAACCTTGCCGTGTCCCCTTCCCCTGGAGAGGCGCAGCTCGGCGACATGCGTGCGGCGCGTGAGAGTCGCTGGTGCAGCGCTCGATGCACCCCAGAATGGCCCTGATGAGAACCTCATAGGGTAGTCATCTCTCCAGCAGGTTGAAGTAATCGAGTCCAGCCAGCGTAACTCCTGGTCCCTGGAATTCTCTGGCCACTTTCCTACCTCTGATAGAAACATGCGCTGCTTTTATTTATGGCCAGAGATATCATAGCAGTTGGGAGAACTCGAGGCTTGCGAGCCACCTCCAGGGTGTCTCCTCCCTGTGTCTGCGTGTGATCCCTGCCTGCGGTAGTTAGAGCACATTGTAAACAACGGTGTAAGCACTCCTGCCACAGTCTCCTTTAGAGTCTAACCTGCTGTCGTCTGTTGTGTTTACTTTCCTGGTTGTATTACTCATTAGGAAGTATAAGGCTTCTTGCACCTCTGATTTTACATCCTTCCAGCCAGCTGCTGGGGAAATGAGGAGACGCATAGACTCTGGCAGGAAGGAAAAATTGCCTTCTGTGTTTTGCTCTGAAGTAAATAGGCAGTCTGCTAATTTTAGTGTCATATGGGCTTTCATCACTAGTTAAAGAATGTCATCGTAGAATCTGCAAAGAAACACTTCTTTAGCACTTTTTCATTTGGAGACTTTCCTATATTTCCCTATGAGAATAAACAGAGTTTGGTAAGATTTCTTTTGTATATTTTTCCATCTGTAATGATTCTAAATGATCTGGACTTCTGGCGCCCAATTTATCTGCATGTGGATTACAAATAGGATAGAATTCTCAGCTCTTTTATAATCACCAAAATAGGATACCAGATAATTTGTATAGGAGTTAAGAGGATATTTGTGTGTTGAATTATCTCTCAGCTTTGTTTCACCCAATCTTTTTTTTTTTGTAACCAAAGCAAGGGTAAAGACTGTACATAGATAAACACAGTTTATAAAGTGTTACTTTTGCAAGTGAAACTGCTTTTTACTTTCAATAATTAAAATGTATTAAATTCCTTAGGTCTAGATTAGCTCTGACTGCTTTGGTGTTTGTTGCAAATACTTGTGCTCTATTTTGTTTTAAAAAGTATAGGGCTGTTAATGGAACAGTGTACTTTATTTTTAGGTACAATAATTTCTGGATATCTTCATTATTTTTTAAAGACCTTGACCTCTTGAAAAAGCATAGATTGCAAAAGACACTGAATCACTGATGCCTGACTTTAAGTTATATTTTTATGAGAGATATTGCTAATGGCCATCACCCTAATAGAAAACTTAGAAAATTTTGATTTAATTCATGAGAATCTAGCTTCACGTATTTGTTTCATTTCTAGATGATACGTATTAAAGTCTTTATACTTGCAAATATTTCTGAGGATTAAAGAATACTTGTCCTCCCATTTTCCAAGATCTAATCACAATGATTCCCAGTCCTTACATTATAAGATTTGATCAGATCTGTTCTTTGTTTCCTAGCAGCATGTGTTCCCTAGCAGTCATACATTCCACAGGTCCTGATGTCATTAGAACTGTGTGTGTCAGTGTATTGTGCTGTCTTTAGCTGAAGGTGAATGTGTCAGAGTATTTGAATGCCATTCCATAGCTCTTCCTTATCACTAAGTATTCAGTAACCTGATCTATTTGTGTATATGGTTGACTAGACTATTTCTACAAAATCAGGGTAGGAGGAATGATTAACTCAAAGTTTTATATGAACTATTAATTTTTTTTTTTAGATAGAGATGTTAGGCTGCATCAGGCATCCCCGGCCTGAAGAGTGATAAGCCAGTATGTGATTTGCCTGATGGGTAAATGCTTTTGATGTCTCATTTTTGGTTGCTTGGTGTGATTATCCTTCAGACTGAGAGTGCTCCTCAAAAATATGAATGGAAAGTCTTTCAGAAATGATTTTCTTAATCATGATCTTCTTAACATTTTGCAGATTTAAATACTCTTTTCCACAGGGAATAATAGCAAGTATGGCACTTACTGGCTGCAGCTACTGTGGCTGGCATTGTTTCTACTAATTAGGAAAGGCAGATTTTTTTTATGGATTTGATTTACCATTGATTCCTTTGTGAGCTATAGCCAAGGAAATCATAAATAGTAGATTAAAAAGACTATAAAGTCATGAGGATTGAAGTTAGTCAAATAATATGATGCAAAACTGAATTGTTTTTCAGATTGGATTTGGACCACTTTAAGTGTTGGTTGAAACTCTCTTTGAAAAGGACTGCCAAGTAGAAGTGACAGTTACTGTTAGAAGTGGGGAGTTTTGGCCCAGAAATCAGCAAGGAAAACTGATTGCGATTTTCATATTTAGGATCAAACAGTGATTTTAAGAAATGCTGTGCAGCCTTAATTTAGCATGGTGTGAATGGCTAGAGTAGTTGGAATTTAAAAAGGATGATCTGTCCTTAAGTTTTGCAAATGGCTATTTTGCCTTCTCTTTCCTAGATTTGCATTATATTCAAAATATGCATTTGCTCACTTTGGGAGGAACCCTAAAGAATACAGCTGTATTGTAATTTATTATTTGTTTGCCCACAGGACATATTTACACTTAGATTATTATATTTATGTCTTCTTATTTCATGCGAATGCATTTCTTCATAGAATAACCAATTTTATAATTAAATAAAAAGTAAAACTTGCAAGTATGAGTAAGGTCCTCCTGACATTTTTCCTTGGTTATCTTTCTGTGTTTTGTCGGGTAGGGTAGGGTGAAGGCTAGGGAGTTGTTGATCAATGGAGAGAAAAATCCAGATTTTTCATTCATTGTAATACATTGTGAGAATGTAGCGTGAGCATGCTTGTAAATAGCATTTATGCATCTAAGGTGTGCAAGTTTTTCCCCAAATCTTGAATGTCATTACTCTGATCTGAGTGTCAGCATGGTCCAATAAAATTAATTCTACTGCTGCATAAGAAACCAAGTGTAACTTTTTTCTTAGAATTGTGACATGTGCTTATGGATTCATAAGCACAAAATGTAAAAGAGAAAATAGCTGTCCTACTTGAAATTAATTGAACTTCTTTATTTATTTTGAGGGGTGGATAAAAGGGGAGCGTTTCTATATTTGCTCATAATAGGTTCTATAGACCTTGATAAATCATGTCTTCCTTATGTCTTATTGACACTTAAAACAGGAACTTAGTTTCAATTTTAATGAATGTCTTCATAAAAGTGATTACAAATAGGTGTTAAAAGAAGTGAAAATTTGGTCCATATTATTCAAGAATTTAAATGGAATATTGTGGATGGTAATCCTACTTATTTTGAAAACTATTTTTGGGATGGAAAAATAAATCATCCAACTGAATGTTTCTGCCTGGCAAAACTTCCATGTCAGTTACTTTGTAAAGCAAACAATGCTGTTTTATCAGTGTTTTCAAAGTGTCCTCTGGGGAACCCTGGGGATCTCTGACACCCTTTCAGAGGAAATGTGAAAAGAAAACCTTTTTATAATAATGCTAAGACATTATTTGCCTTTCACTCATATTCTTTAACACGTGTTCAGTGGAGTTTTCCAGAAGGTATATGATATGTGATGGCATCATTGCTCTGATGGCATATGTCATATGTTCTTATGTATTCTCAAGTTTTAGAATTTTCCCAGTTTATCAATACTTGAATGGTGACAGTTACAGATATCATAATCAAAAGTCATTTTAGAGGCTGAGTGCAGTGGCTTACACCTCTAATCCTAGCACTTTGGGAGGCTGAGATGGGCAGATCACTTGAAGTAAGGAGTTTGAGACCAACCTGACCAACATGGTGAAACCCTGTCTCTACTAAAAATACAAAAATTAGCCGGGCATGGTGGTACATGCCTGTAGTCCCAGCTATTCGGGAGGCTTGAAGCAGGAGAATCGCTGGAACCCAGGAGGTAGAGGTTGCAGTGAGCCAAGATCGTGTCACTGCACTCCAGCCTGGTCCACAGACCAAGACTGTGTCTCAAAAAATAAATAAATAAATAAATAAATAAAATAAAATAAAAACATGAAGTCACTTTAGGTCATTTATTATTATTATTATTATTATACTTTTAAATTCTGGAATACATGTGCAGATGTGCAGGTTTGTTACACAGGTATACACGTGCCATGGTGGTTTGCTGCACCCATCAACCCATCATCTACATTAGGTATTTCTCCTAATGCTATCCCTCCCCTAGCCTCCACCCTGCAACAGGCCCAGGTGTATGATGTTCCCCTCCCTGTGTCCATGTGTTCTCATTGTTCAACTCCAACTTATGAGTGAGAACATGTAGTGTTTGGTTTTCTGTTCCTGTGTTAGTTTGCTGAGAATGATGGTTTTCAGCTTCATCCATGTCCCTGCAAAGGACATGAACTCATCCCTCTTTATGGCTGCATAGTATTCCATGGTGTATATGTGCCACATTTTCTTTATCCAGTCTATCATTGATTGGCATTTGGGTTGGTTCCAAGTCTTTGCCATTGTGAACAGTGCCACAGTAAACATACATGTGCATGTGTCTTTATAGTAGAATGATTTATAATCCTTTGGGTATATACCCAGTAATGAGATTGCTGGGTCAAATGGTACTGCTAGTTGTAGATCCTTGAGGAATCACGACACCATCTTCCACAATGGTTGAACTAATTTACACTCCTACCAACAGTGTAAAAGCATTCCTATTTCTCCATATCCTCTCCAGCACCTATTGTTTTCTGACTTTTTAATGATCACCATTCTAACTGTCATGAGATGGTCTCTCATTGTGGTTTTGATTTGCATTTCTCTAATGTAGGTCATTAATTTTTAAGAGTATAAAAGAGTCCTGGGCCAGAAAGTCTGAGAATGGCTCAGGTAGATTTTTCTGAGATCTGCCTCCTTGTGCTCTAAAATGCCATCCATCCAGCCACATAAAGAGCCATGTAGGATGAGAAAATGATTAGATGTCCAACCTGTAAAAAGATAGGCAGGTTGGATATAGTTATTAATTATTTGGCATTTTCATTATTCTATTTCCAAATAATCCAGTGTAGAAAACTTGTTTTTAGATTTTTTGTCCCCATTTAGTGAAATGGAAACTTTAAAGCAGCAGATATGCAGCCTGATCTGCTGACTGCTCTTGGGAAGGCTACAAAGGAGTCAAGGGGAAAATATCTGGATCTAGGCCCTAGATCAAGATATTTTGATATCTAGAAAGGCAGAGTGGTGTAGAGATGAACAGAAAGGGACTCTGGAGTGTGTTTGCCTAGGTTGAATAAGCTATTGGATTTGTGTCAAGATACCTGATCTCTCTATGCTTTAATTTCCTGGTATTTTTAATGGATTTAACAATTGTACCAAATTCACAGAAGATTATGAAGATTTAATTGGTAAATCTATGCAGAGTCCTTAAAACAGTTCCTGGTGCATAATAATAACATAATTGTTTGCTGCTATTATGATTACTATCATCATCATTATTATTGGGTCTCATGAGAGTCCTAGGAAACTTTAATCAATTCCCCATGTGATTCAGATACATAATTATATTTCACACCATTATAGAGTATGTCTTAAAATGTTAGTAAATTTTAAAATTTCATATAAAAGATAATCGACTTTATTTTACTCTCACACTTTAGAACTCATGAAGGGTTATTAGCATTTTTTAGAGGAAGAATTAATAAAACACCTTTGTTAGCTTGAGCTAAGTTTGAAGTTTGATAGTGAATGTGAATGCCCAATTAAAACTAGATTTCAAAGACCCCAATTGAATATTTATATATCTTGGGAATTATTAGAGAGGAAATCACTTTTCTGAAGTGATATCAAGATGACTCACTATACTCTTAATCTGTTAATCACTATCTAAGCACCACAACAAGCCATTTTCAGTGCAAAGGATCCTTGGGGTAATTATATACTGTAGTTCAGTCTGTTTGTGAGTGGTCGTATGTCTAGTGAAAGAAGCTATACATTCCGATTACCTTTACTAGATACTAAAGTTTAATTGGAGAACTGTGTAATACTTTTAAATGAGACTTTGGCAACTATTTAAGAACTTTAAGTTATAGATGTATTTATAAGTTATATACATTTTGGGGGTATATTCTATGGCTAATTTCTGACCCAGCCTATCACTATGAAATTAGTGCTATAGCACTTATTTCCTTCCAGAACTTTGGTCAATTCTGATTTAGTGTTGTAGAAATTAAATTATACTCCATAGATAGGCATAGCTGGGCAGTGTTTTTAATTATGAGCTTCTCAGAAATGGTCTTTGGACTGAGAGTCACTTGAATACAACCCCAAATGTGCAAGTTTCTGGCTCTGTCATCTCTATCTGCAAAATAGAGATAATAAAGTTTACATTGCTGGTTTGAGTAGAGTAATAGGAAGTAAATATAAAAGTACCTGGTGGAGTGAATACTTCATGCATAGTACCTTTTGTTATTAGTCATAGTATTATTAGAAATGTCCTTGAGTACCATTATTAAGAAAACGTAGCTAAATCAAATATCATTTTCTTAATTGAAGAGTTCTTGATGAGCTAGGAAAATCAATAGCATTTTCTTAAGTAGTTGAGAAAGGTTCAAGTCTTGTATTTATCTTTACTATGTTCTTTCCCTCTGTCCTTTTTTAACCTTTTAAGTACTTATTTCTGAGCTCTTCTTCATCTTAAAATGTTATGCTCTGCTACTAATTCCCCATCAAAAATTATAATCCTGACAGAAAAATATTTTTGACATCCACCAAATACTGTGTCCGAAGATTGACTTTAAATTAGGTATAAAATGAAAGCAACAATTTAAGATGTTTTAAATTAAATGCCCTATTATCTTTTCACATGTCAATCATTCTTTAAGCTTTAACTGCATCAGAATTTTCTATAATGCTGTAACCATATGAAGTCATCATAAACGTCGAAGATATCAGGATTTTCATATTTTTAAAAGATTTATAATCCCAGATTTTAAGTCTCATAAGAATGCCATAAATGAGATAAACCTATAAAATTCAGACCCCAAAATTGCTTTAAAGACTAAAACTTTTGAAAGGCTCATAAATGAGTTGAAATTTTAGAATTGACATATGTATTTCAGTTACAGTGCCAATAAGAGAAGTTATTAAAATGTGTGACTTTTACCATAATTATCCAGCATGTATACTGAAAAGGAAAGGATATGATATAGTAGGTGGTAAAAATGAATGAAAAAGTAAACTGCACATTGGACTGGACAACTGGCTTGCTAAATTGTACCAGAATTAGGTGTTTTAAAGTATGACTCAAGGAATTGAAAGCCAAGTAGAAACGACACTCCCTCCTGTTTGATCAGCTTGTGTTGGTGTTTACGCATCCCGCAGAGGCAGAGTGTGTTACTATTCAGGACAGCCCCAGTGGCTCCACAGTAGCCTGAGCCTGTGAGAATAGAGGAGAGACTCAAGCCCAGTTTTTGATGTTCTGCTTGGGTGGGTAACCTGAATACTAAAATGCATTCCATTGACGCTGACCCTGTAAGAGGGTTTTCAACAGTCTCCTGTTTTGTTTTGATTTGGTTTGTTTCCCCCTTCCCCATTTCCTTTTTCTCAAACTCTTCCAAAGACTTTTGAATAAAAGGAAATGGTTCTGACTGATGGTCATCTTTTTGTATGAGATTTTATTTCTGGCAAGAATGGAAGGGTTCAACTGTTTTTCATTAACACCTTTTGTTTTTTCAAATTTTCAGTGTTCTTGATTTGTCAATGGCTTATGGTTGTTGTTTGAACCTTGACTCAGAATACTGATCATGACTTCAAGGCGTGGACAAAGAACCTATTGAGAAATCATTTTCTGTTAACACAAGGCATGTGTGTATCTATAGCCTTTATTTATATTGGCTTTAAATGTTCGGTTGATGTTGTCTAAGGAGTTTTAATTATATTATTAACTGTAGTTGACTTTGGAGGAAGAGCTAGGCAGCCATTTAAAAAAATTATATACAATCATCTTTTGAGGTTTAGGCAATTTCAATTAGTTTTCACTTTGATTCCTAACAATTTTTATGTATGAAGTTTAAATATTATTTTACGGTCATTCTACAATGGTGCAATTTTATGATAGTATCTAAGTTATATGTACTTCAATTTAACTTAAAATATTTAATAGAATGGGTGTTTTCACTATTTCTCTTTTAATTGCAAAGACGCCTCCAGCTAGCTTTCTGCTGAGCTGATTAATTTATTGGGAAGTTATTGTGTTTCTCACCTAAAGATTCTTGGGAAAGAGTGAAGTTTTACTTAGGTATCAGGAAAAATTGGATACCTCTAGCCTTCTGCCTCAGTTCCATGCCCCTACCCAGCCTACCAGTTTTCTTTTTCTCTGACTGCTGGATTCATTCCCTTTCCCACAGTCTAAATTAAGTTCTCAGACTTATACTGATCTACTGTCATCAGCTTCGTGGAGGCAGTAAGAATATTGCAGTTCCTCTGTGGACGAATGGATAGTTAGCTTGAAGAAGAAAAGGCTCAATTAAGAGAGGGATGTTGTTCACACAAAAAGAAAGAGGTGCTGATAGTATCTGAATAGTTATTTAATAACTGGGACAAGTCAGGTGTTAGAAGAATTGGTTAGGAAAATCATTGAAAATGGGTTTACCCTTTTCCTGTAAGAGGCCAGAGTGATCTTAGAAAATGGTTCCTTACTCACTTCACCAACAAAACCCAACAAAATTATGCAAATCAAGGGGTTCAAATCTTCAGGTTCATTTCAAGAGCACCCAAGTTATCTATAAAACTGCTCAAGACATCTAGGCTCTGTATATATGAGAAGCCACCAAATATCTGAAAGATGTCCCTTTACAGAAGCAGTGTGCCATTTCTATCCTACAGTGGTAGAGCCACTGTACAATGACAATGTACAATGCCAGATGGGAGAGCTGGACACAGGTTTGCTGGCACAAAGAGAGCTGGATTTTTTCCTGCACATGCTTAAAAATGCAGAGAATAATGCTGATCTTCAAGGTTTAAATATAGACCGTCTAGGCATTGAGTACATTCAGATGAACAAAATCCCCAAGATGTGACATCTGATAGTGCTCATGGTTGAATTAACCCATGTATGAGCTTTGCTTGCCACATTACTGAAAAAGAACAAATTGTTCTAAAACCAGAAGTGGAGATTGCACAGAAGAAAAAGTTATGCCAGAAGAAACTGAAGAAAAAAAACTTATGGCATAGGAACAAATACAGCATAAAATAAATGCAAATAGAAGTAAAACCAGAAAAAGTGAGTTTGTAGTTATGTATCCATCCATCTGTTTGAGACATCTAATTATTTTACACTTGCTGTGTACTCACTCATTATATCATTCTTCTGATGAGAATATATGTTTATTCAAGTAAACCTTCTGTTTAGAGGCAGAGTATTCAAAACTATATCAAGTAAGATATTTCAGATAATTGAGCATGGATAACTTTATAATTGCCTAAAGCATCCAAAGAAAATATACTTCAGTGTATCCAGTAGTATTTTTCAAATGATAGACATCTAATATGGGCTCATTATTACCAAAACCAGAGACTGAATATTAATGATGACACTTGACCAGCTGAGGTGCCTTAAAGCTATTATATGTATTGTTTGGAATACTCCTAAATTTATTATTTTACTTTTCATGTATTCAAAAAAGAAAGTTATGTTGAGTTTTCATTTTCATTTGAAAGTACCAACTCAATATAAGTAGTAACATATGAAGATAATTTGGAAGAATTTTTAAAGGTTAGTAGAAGGCCTAATTAGCAGAAATCTTATGTACAATGACCTTCCTTACTATTGCAAATCCTCAAAGAAGAAGGAACACTAAAAATTAGTATGCTGTCAACATTTTTTTTTATGATTTGATGTTATTAAGCAAACTTTTGCGAGTATTTCTTTTTCTGGTGCGTTTGATTAAATGTGTGATCTTATCTTGGTGAAATAGCCTGCTGGGCTGCAGACAGTAGTGTTCAGAAATGAAATTTGCTTAGAGCCTCTGAACAGACATTTATTCAATGAGACCTTTCTTGAATAATAGATGATAGTGAGATAACAATGGTATGTGTATGTGTGTTTTCTTCCTTGAATTTAGGGGATGTTGAGCTAGAGCAACAACAACAACAGAAGTAATGGGGTATGAAAGAAAGCATTAGATTTATATATGAGAAATTAACCTACTTTATTACAAATGAATGAACAGTCTGTATGAGGGACTCATAGTATCAATGTCAGAGGACACTGTGTTAGTCCATATGTTTTATTTTAGCAGTCCTTCTATGTTAATTCCTTGCCGGCTACTCTCTTTTGGCTCAGTAGAAGTTACTCTGGAATGAATTTTTCCTCCACATACATCATTTGTGCGTGCTTTTTCCATTCTACTTGGGTGCTGGTAATGGCTGAATTTTGATTCCCAATCTTTCTTCCTAGTATAGCTAATTGTACATTCTGAAGATCATATTTAAATTTTTTTTCTGATTATAGTACATGCTTACGTTGAACACTTTTAAAATACAGAGATACGTAAAGTTAAAAGTGAAATCACTCAACATAACATAACATACTGGCATACCACTGTGTTCACAGAGATTATGTCATACTTAATTTTTGCTTTGATTATCTGCATCTGTATTGTGTGTGTTTAATGGAAATGAGATTAAACCATATATAGTTTGTATAGTTATCTCCAATTTCTCAATGCCATTATTTTTTTGAAAGCATTAAGTATCATAAAATATTTCGTAATGTAGACATACTATGATTTATTTAAACATTTACTTATTCATGTGGGTTGTCATTTGTTGCTAGAATAAGTGGTGTCATCATGAATATCCGAGTGCTGAAAGCTTGGCCTGTTCTCTAATTTTTTTCTCTAGTACAGATTCCTTGAAGTATAATTACTAGATCAAAGAGTAAATAATCATTTGACTTTTTCTACTTGGTTACAGATCCAGATGCATCATTGCCTTCTGTATAACTGGTCCTCTGAAAGTTTTGGAAACTCTTTCTTAAGAATTGTTAACTCTCAGTTGTGTATTGTTCATAGCTACTAATTCTTGGTTATGTATAGTTCTACTATGTATATATGTATAGTAACTTTTACTAACTCTTTGGTTATTCTTAAGAATTACTAATGCTCAGCTGCACATACACCAATATATAAAAGCAGAGGTCAGTAAAATAATCAAAAATGCAAATTTACTGGTTATTAATATTTAAGTAAAGCTATGCCTCATGTCTTTGAATTTAACATATTACTAAAACAAAACCATACAGTGAATTTTCTCCATGAAGAATTGAGTCCACCATGTGTCTAATATTTCCATAAATATTCTTAGTTTCTTTCACTGCTCTTGAACGGACCTCGTATCTCTTAAGTTCATCTAAAGTATCAACTTAATAAAACTTTTTCTTTACCGTACTTCTTATGGAACAAAAACAAATGGTGGTTTGGATTATTGTTCTAAAATTTAAGTATGAAAAGTAGGAGCAAATTATCAGTCAATGCATTTAAAATAAATGAAGTTTGTCTATAAAAGTAGATGGGTCAGAAAAGTAATTAAACAGAACATTTTGGCTTATAATGAGTAAACATGAACACAAGTTTTGCTAGGTGTAACCTCAGTTAGAGATCTGTCTGTAGGAATAAGAGTTAGGTACAGGCTGGATGCTGTGGCTCATGCCTATAATCCCGGTACTTTGGGAGGCTGAGGCAGGAGAATCGCTTGAACCCAGGAGTCGGTGACTAATCTGGGCAACATTGTTATACCCTATCTCTATAAAAATAATTAAAAAATTAAGCAGGCATTAGGGTGCATGCCCATAGTTCCAGCTCCTCAGGAGACTGAGGCTGGAGGATCCCTTGAGCTGGGGAGTTCCAGGCTGCAGTGAGTCATCATCACGCCACGGCACTCCAGCCTGGGCTACAGAGTGAGACCTTGACTATTAAAAAAAAAATCAATAAAAATAGATACATAATGTGAAATGTCCAGTAGTCAGGTAAAATTAAAGAGGAAAACAGCAGGTGGATAATGCAATTTGAAATCAATTTTCCAGTAATGCTGGTACCTACTGAATTTGATTTCATTGTAGTTCATTCTTTGTTCTGAGAGACTTTAAACAATATCTTTGAGACTTCTGCTTCCAATTGTACAGACATATTTACGATACATTTCTAGCAGTCAGAGTGGAAACATATTCTACTTTCAGTATCAATATTTTGTTTAAATCTGCACCAGAACATATTTATGGGACAGAGTTTAATGCTTGATAAATAAATGATTGTATAACTGCATGAATGTGCTTTATGGACCTAGAAAAAACAAGTGAACATGAAAGCAGTTTTTGAAGTTACTGTTGCAAGATAAATTTAAGTGCCATTGAAAATTGCTCTGTACATGCATGTGAAATAAAGAAAGGTACAGAAGGAATCTTGAAAGCCAGACTCTCCTGGGTTTTAGTTTCCTTAAAAATATATTGTCAAGAGTTGAAGTAACTTGCCCAAAGTTACATGGCAGTTTTGTAGCACATGCTGCCTTCTATTATGGAATTTTTTTTTTTTTTTTTTTTTTTTTTTTGAGATGGAGTCTCGCTCTGCTTCTCAGGTTGGAGTGCAGTGGCCCGATCTCGGCTCCCTGCAAGCTCCGCCTCCCGGGTTCACGCCATTCTCCTGCCTCAGCCTCCTGAGTAGCTGGGACTGCAGGCGCCCGCCACCACGCCCGGTTTATTTTTTTGTATTTTTAATGGAGACGGGGTTTCGCCGTGTTAGCCAGGATGGTGTCGATCTCCTGACCTCGTGATCCATCCGCCTCGGCCTCCCAAAGTGCTGGGATTACAGGCATGAGCCACCGCGCTCGGCCTGGAATTTCTTAGTCTTGCCCTTGAGAGTTCTCATTTCTGATTTCAGGAATGATGTTATCACTCTCTTAACTTGTATCGAATTAGTCATGTAACTTCTGTAGGTCTATTTCATCTGTAAGTAGAAGATAGGATGGTGGGTGGTCCTTTTTCCCTAAAATATCCATGGGATAAAATAAAATGGTAAGGCTTATTAGAATGCTTCTGCTTGCAAGTTGAGCTTTTCAAAAAAACTGAATAGGTAGTTGATGTTGTAAGAATTTTTACGTTTCTTCCTTCGTTAAGAGCTAAGGCTCAGTATTGCATGTGGTAATAGCATATTTTAAAAAGACGAAATAGATTAGACTATCTTTTTGTGATGGCTTAAAGAGAAAGTGACATAATGAAGATGTTTTGCATGATTTGAAACCATTAAGGAGTCTGATATATTTTTATCATATTTCTCTATTATTAAGGATAGTAATACGTTTTGTTCCTAATAAATGATTTTAGGATTTGGTATAGTTTTTTATCTCAGCTTTTTTTTAATGTTTATATTAAATACTTTTGAGATTCAGAGCTTTAGGCCCATAGCAGTGTTACCTTGTATCAAGGCAGTTTCAACTTTTCTTCATTTATAAAGCAGAAGTGTATACCTTGAGTGTAGAATTCTCAGTGTCCCCATTTTACTCCTTTTTTTTTCTTATGGCTGAATTTATTTATGTAAAATTATTACAATTTATTATAAAGTTCAACATTAAATTGTATTTAGTTCTACATTAATGAAATGATCTTTACTGGGCTTAATAAACACACAAATAGAAAAGTACCAATTGCAGTAATAAAAATATATATGCATGAATGAAAATCAAAGAGGAAAAGTAGAGGGCAAAGGAGTCGTAAAAGCATGATTTCAAACCTTTCCTCTATGTCACACTGGAAAAGTTACTTCACTTCTCCGTGCCTCATTTCTTCATGTGTTGAAAAGGATAAAAATAATACCTACCTTTCAGAGTTATTGTGAGGATTAAATGAGGTAATGCACATAAAACTTATTGCACACTGTCTAGATTTGTATAAGCACCCAATACATTTTATTATTTGTGTTAATTTTTCATCAATTTGTTGTTGAAGCTGATACCTTTTCCTAAGTGGGTCTTTAAATTGTTCTGCTATTTTTCTGCAGTTCCCAAAAGACTAGCTTCATTAAATCATTAATTTTATAATTCACTATTTATTTGTTAGCACTAGATGTCTGCAGGGTGCAGGGGATATGGAGCATAACATGGCAGAAAGAGCCTCTGGCTTTATGGCACATGCAAAATCATGGAAATAAAGAGGAATTAAGCAATGTATCCCTCATTAATTAGTTATAGTTAAAATTGTGGTAAGTGCTACAGAAGACAAGTCCAGGATGCTTGAGAGTTTAGCAGCAGAATCAGACCTTGCCTGAGCTGGGTGGTGAGTGGGATCTGAAAAGACTTCCCAGAGCCAGTGACATGTGAACTGAGATAGGAAGGTTGACTAGGCAGCCCTAGAGAATGTGCTCTCTTCACTTTCTGTCATCAGAAGAGCTCATCACAGACCCAAGCATGTTCTGGTGGAGGAGGTTAATAGAGCTGAGTACAGAGAGGAAAACTGAACATTGATGCCTTGATGTGGCAATAGAGAAAACAAATCTGAAGTTTTCCTTTTACAGAGAAAGTGAGTTAACGTAGAGAATGTTTTAATATCACTTGTCTAGCTTTAATATTAAATTTCAGGATGCCAGAAAATAAACTCTCTGTTGACCATAAACGGTGGTCAGGCACTGAAGATTTGAGTTGAGCAGGAATAGGTAAGTTCTATACAAATATTGAAATGAAGATTTCAGAGTTTAGCTTTGGAGATATGTATCTGTTTGTATTGTGACGAGGAGAGTTTTACTCCAGAAGGTTGGTTCCTACTCATTCTTACCCTTATTTTTTCCCATCCCCATTGACTTATTAAGTACCTGGTATCTTTTGTCCCTGAGAAACGCTGTAGAAATAGAGGAGCCAGCTTTAGGAATACCAGTGCTAAAGACAAGGCTGTGGTTATGACTCTGTTTGTCAAAGAATAGCAGTAAAATATCAATCTGGAAAACAATTGTTAAGGAAACTGTGGTATTATTGTTTAGTAAAGACAGTAGACTTTGTCTTCTTTTCACTGCTGGGATTAAGGTTATTATTTAAATTTGGGGGGACTTTCTACAGTATGTAATGATAAAGATTATTTCTTAATTATTTGGAACAAATTATTTAATACTAATAAAATAATAGTGAAGTATGTTTTAAAAATGTTTTTTGTTTAAGAGTCTTTGGGCAAAATGTTAAGTAAGTGTGGTTTAGGAAAAGCAACTTAGTGAATTCAAATTTTTAAAAGAGGAAGAGTCCTATAATAGAAGATACTATATTTAGAATCATTAATCGTTTTCATTCATTTATCAAGAAATATTATTAAGTGCTTCTTTTTTTTTTTGGAGACAGCGTCTTGCTCTGTCACCCAGGCTGGAGTGCAGCAGCACGATTATGGCTCACTGCAGCCTCGACCTCCTAACAGAACGGATCCTCCTACCTCAGCCTCACGAGTAGCTGGGACTACAGGTGTGCACCACCATGCCCAGCTACTTTTTTTTTATTTTTTATTTTTTATTTTTTTAAGTAGAGACGAGATCTTGCTTAGTTGCCTGGGCTGGCTTCAAACTCCTGAGCTCAAGTTACCCACCCACCTTGGCCTCCCAAAGTGCTGGTGGCATAAGCCACTAGTGTGCCCAGCTTGAGTGCTTCTCATGCGACACAGTTAAACACAATTGTGATAAAGATTAAACAGAAAAAATACTGCATTTTATGAACTGGTCAAGCAGCACCTTCCTGAAGAAGGGAACCTCCTGTTTCAAGGCTTAAAGAAAGGAGCTCAGTTCTTGTGAGGAACTCAGAGGTTAGAGAACCTGGAACATAAGGATTGAGAGAAATGGTATGAGATCTGGCTAGTAAGTAGTAGTCCAGAATTTGTAACATTTTATAAGGTTAAGTATTTTGGGATTTTTATCTTAGGAGCAATGGGAAGCCATGAAAGGTTTTAACAAGGTAATAAGATCAGATTTTCATTTTAAAAATATTATATTGGCTGCTCTATGTAGACATAATTGGAGGAGGCATCAAGGGGGGCTGTGGAGAGACCAGTTACATGAGAGTCTAAGCCACTGCCCTACTGCTTCTCAGCTAAGCAGCAAAGGATAGATCCTGCTTCTTTCTGGCCTCAGCTGATTCATGTGTAAAGAAGTGGTCTGCATTGCATAGTACCCATTTTGACTATACTATGCTGTACTCTAATTAGATTATAAGGATATGGAGGACCTAAATGAGATGGTGATCATTGGTTAAATGACCTCATCTAAACTTTGTTACTGTTTTTTACTGATCTACCTGTATAAGATATGGTTGCAATTATTCTGTATCCAGTTGTTTAATCTGGATTTATTTTTTACCTGAAAGTTAAAAGCCATTCTCTGAAGACCTGTAACGTAACTAGAATTTTTAATATGTTTGTATTTTAAATGCTGTATGAAAACCATAAAGCCAGATGTTGAAACTGCATTTAATTTAATTAAGAAGGTTGAAACCACAAAGATCTTTCATTTTGTTTATAGTGATTTATTTATAAATACTCATTACTGAAGTCAGGGAATTCCTGTTTCGATGATACCTGAAAAGAGAATAGTACATTTTTCTTAGAACAGTGGTTTAATATTCTGAGTGACAGATGCAAAATAGTTGACTGTATTGTTTAAGAACTTATGAAACAGTTCAGCTTTTATGCTTTTCATTAATAATGTAAATATTTTATTTTCCCCGTGTTCTGCCCTCTAACTCATCATTGCTCTTTGTCATCTCTCTCTTATGGCATTTCTGACATTCTGCCATGACTTTCGATTATTTCTCTTCCTGTTTCAAACCTCTGAAAATATAAAGTCATCTGCCAGGTGCAGTGGCTCACGCCTGTAATCACAGCACTTTCGGAGGCCAAGGCGGGCTGATCACCTGAGGTCAGGAGTTTGAGACAAACCTGGACAACATGGTGAAACCCCGCCTCTACTAAAAATGCAAAAATTAGGCGGGCGTGGTGGCGGGCGCCTGTAACCACAGCCACTCGGGAGGCTGAGGCAGGAGAATCGCTTGAACCTGGGGGGCGGAGGTTGCATTGAGCTGAGATTGCGTGCGCCATTGCACTCCAGCCTGGGCGACAAGAGCAAAAATCTGTCTCAAAAAAAAAAAAAAAAAGAAAAGAAAAAGAAAATACAAAGTCATCCATGGCTGGAACTTCTTTTAGTCTTTTCATAAGCTAGAGTATTTGGTTATGAAAATGAGATTTGATTTTTTTCGAAGGTAGGGGCTTAGTATATTAGATGAAACGTCATACGTGAAATGTGTCTTGTATGATTTAAAAAGGTAATAGGACAAGCTCTAATAACTTGTTTGTCTCATGATACTTAGTGATTTAGAACATGAGCTTTAGAATCAGAAGACTCTGAGCCTAAACCATGGGACTGCCACATAGCAGCTATGTGACTTTGGGTCACTTCCTAAGTATCATTTTATGCTCTATATAATGGGACTGATTATATCTGTTTCATAGAAAGATGGTGAGAATTAAATTCAGTCATGTAATCTAATACACGGGCAGAAGGTTTAGTCATTATAAGATTCAGTTAGGAAAAATTAGTGCTATCACCACCCTTGCTTCATGTAGAAAAAGGGAGTGGAACACAGTGGTTCAAGCCATTTCCTTTTTTTCCCCTTTGCTCCTGCTCTTTTTACAAGATTGACATTGCATTTTATATCTGTTGCTTTCAATCTTCAGGGACTTCCATTTGGAATCATTCTGGCATGTTACTTCATGTATATCAAACTATCTTTTTTATCTCTGACTTATTCTGAAAGGAATGATTATCTAGCAATTCGTGAGATACAAATGGAAGCCTGAATACTTACAGCAGCGTCAGATAAGCATGCCAGAAATGCCTTTATTACTTATTTCTAATACTGCATTCTGCAGGCATATATACATAATATATATGGACTGTAAAATACAGTTTGCATACTTTTCATTTTAGGACAGACATAGTCTTTCTTTTTCCCCAATGCACATTTTCCCCTGAATCAATTATTTTTAGAACTTTAAGAAAACTGCTTATTTTAAAAGTGACAATTTAAGAAAACAGTGTCACTATTGCAAAGAATTACTGTGACAGAGGCTGGAATATGAGCTCAGAGACCTTTATCCTAAGTTAACTTCTCTCATGCTGAATATAATAGTTTTATAAACGTGTATTAATAATTAGGGACTATAATTAAATAACATTTAGCAAATGTATTGGATATTATGAGAAAAACATACAATTGACATGCATAATAAAATAGTATAGTTTTCAAGAACATTTTGAAGCCAGGTTTTCTGAAAGCACCTGTAGATGTGTATGAACTAGGACTCAGTGTGTCTTTATATTTGGCCTGTGAGAACTTGCCCTTCAAAGGTGGGCTCGTAATATGATGTCAATATTTGTGTCCTCTTCAAGAACTGCTGTTTCAACATAAGACATCGTCTGTTCTCTAATTATAGTATTCAAAAGAGACATACAATTTTAAACCTCTCTTGATAGTTGAAAATATTTTTTTTGAAAGGACATAAAAACCCTTAAGTTCTTGTTCTGGGTAACCAAGTATCATATTTTATTTGTAATCCTAACTGCTATAAAAGTGAATTGGTAATTTTTCCATGTTTTTGAGTCTCTTATTAGAATTAATACTTTTACAATAAGTTGCTTTACTATTTAATTTATTTTTTCTGAGTAGTATATTAAAAGAGCTGTTAAACACTTTGTGACATGTTTAAACATATTCAAAAAACTTATTTTGGATAATTTTGTGCAATTGTTGTAGCAAACCAGATGTTGCAAAGTTGTTATTTAATCAAAGATAAAAAATATTCGCAATATAGTTTTGTCTAGCTGTCAGCTTAGATAAATGAATCCATTTCAATCAGCATGCTCCTAGTGAAAAAAAGAGGAGATATAATAACATTCTTCTAGCTACATTTGTTGAAAATAAATATTAATCTTCTATGTGGTTAAAACCATGCTGTGCCAACTCCATCATAACCATAATTGCAGGAAAGCCTTTCAGATTTCTTATTTTTATGAATTCTGTTTTTTTAATCCTTCTGGAAGCATTGAATTAGATTCTACTTTTCATTTAGATTATATGCTCATTCATGTTTGTGTTAATCTCATATTGAGATGCCTTGTTAAGATACTCTTGGGTAGTTTAATGTCCAAATAGAACACTGTGGTCTGGTCAAGATTTTTTTGGGTCCCAAACATAAAGCTTATCTTTACCTTTCTTTTAAATCTGTTGTAATTCATGGGAGAAGTTTAAATATGTGTTTTTGTTTTTATTTTATTTTAATTCATAATTGTACATATTTATGGAGTACATAGCACTCTGTTGATATATAATATAGAGTGATCAGATTAGGGTAATTAGCATATCCATCATCTCAAACACAAAGAAATAACAAGCAATATTTTATGTATCTCTCATTCTCTTTGGTTCTATAGCATTGGGTAAGACAAACTGCTTGCTTCTGTAGTTATACTGACTTCCTAGAAAATGTTGCATAAAGTAAATCACTAAAGGAAAACAACTCTGGACTAACAAAACAAAACAAAATAAGGCATAAGGCCAAAAAAAATGTTAATTTCAAGCTCCATTGGAAATGCCAGTGAGAAGAATGGCAGGGACTCATGTAAGTACAGGAACCAGCTTGGTAAAGAATGAGGTTCCATATTCTAGTCTTCATAGTGTGCAGTCAAGAAAGATAGAAAAGGAAACCCAGACTACAAAGTGAATAATTTCCTCTTGAAACAATACCAACAACATCACTTTCCCATAATAATAAAGTTTGAAATTTAAATTTATATTTCCTCTTAGGGGTCCTTAATTGTATAAAAGGAATTGTAATGAGAGGTCCGATATTATGGTTATAATTATTGATTTTTGTCAAATGTATGGAACGTTTGTAGGGAAAATTGTTAAGATAGTAGAAAACCACTATGAGCTGTAGTAATTACCAGAGTTAACTGTTCCAGTTCATGTTGATGTTTGTCTAGGCTATTTATTGAGGAAATTTAGAAGATGAAGATTGAAGGCATAACTTTATTTGCACCTCTAAGAATAATTCTTAAGGATGACTGTCAGATTTTTTTTTGAAAGTCAGATTATCTCTCTCATCTCAGTTTTATTGATAACTTCTTCAGAAAGCAAGTTTTGAAGGGTTCTTCTTAATTACTGGATAGAAAAGTGGTTAGAAGCACTTCACAAAATTCTCTTTGGAGAGATGTTAGAGTGCCAAAGAAAAGGGTGAAATGATACGTATAGTTTTATTATCTTCTCTTGCTTTTATTATGGCATTTTGATGAAAGAGTAGAAAGTGCATTTAATGGGCTCTCTGCAGTTACGGATACAACTTACAATATAAGCAGAGAGTGATGCAAAATTGTTTTTTATGGATTTCTCATTGGCCTCTTGTTTCAGTGACCTGAGGAATGAGAAGTGAAACAATACTCTCAGCTTCTGAAGCACAGTGGTTTTGAAAGTAGGTGTAGAACCAGATTGGTGAGTGGTGGTGTGTGTCGGTCAAATGCCTCCACTTGTGTGTAAGATTTATAAGTCAACATCGTGGGCGTTTTGCCCACACACTATGGGGTAACAACCTATATTTGATTTTTATTTGTTTTCTCTAATGTTGAGGGTGTGTGTCTGAGTGTTTGTGACTCAGTGATTGTTTGGGCATTTTGGGTTACCTTGTCATTCTTACATTGGCCAGTTTCTGTCTGCTTCCCTATGCCTTGTGAAACACAATAGAAACGACAATATAGAAGCAAGCCATCAGCTTCTAAGAGCAAAATTCTAACAGATCCCAGACTTCAAGTGAAGGAATGATTTGTGGGCGTTTCCAAATATAACACTCTGAATTATGAGTTTATAAAATGCTAGGTAAGTGTCTTTATATTTGTTAACTGCTTATTTTAAATTTTTCATGCATTGCTTAATTAATCAACACTTTCTATTCATAAAATTTCTGTATTGGTAAATTAGAAATTTTTTGAAATAATTTTTAAAAATTATTAAATTTTAAAAAATTGTTAAATTTTCATTTTCAAAAATAATACTTAAATTTTTATTTTCAAAAATAATCTTCGTGTATACTGTGTGGGGCCGCAAAATCAGATTTGATGAAAATTTCATGTCTAATAACTACAATAACTACTTTTATCTTTACTCTTTCAGCTTCCAGACAACTTTAAATATGTTTATTTATCCATAGCTAAAATTTGTTGGGTGAACTCATAAATATTTAACATGTGTTTATGTATCTTAATTTGGGTCTTTATTGCCGTTAAATATATGTTGTTTCAATGTGGGAGCCACCCTTTAATTTTACAGTTTGATATAATAGTGACCAGAAACATTTTAAATGCACAGGTTTATTTTGTTCTTTCATTTTTAATAGTTTCCTGATTAAAAATTTATTGCTTCTTACTAAAGCATTATGTATCTTTATGTTTTTAAACTGAAACTGGGTCTTCCAGATTTTCTCTGGAGGAAATACAGAAAAGTTGGTCTTATATTTCTTAAGGCCAGAAAAAGAAGTGTGTGTGTAGGGGATGGTGTTGTTTAACGTATGTCAGTAGAGGATTCGCAATTCATAGTGGTCACTTAGAGGTGCAGACATGAACACACAACTGCTTGCTTGAGGCCACCTCCTTGAATTCTCTGTGAACTTGGTCCAGACTCAGCGGCCTGGCTAACTACATGCTACTCTAGGCTCTTAGCCATTCAGAAATCCTTGGCAGGACCCGAGGGAAGGAATGGTGGACTCCAAGTGTCGGCAGACACCTTCTCACTGACTTATCTGAGTGGATGGCGACACACAACCATTTCTGATGTCTTCTGTAGGGGCGATGGAGCTTGAAACAGTCTGTATTCAAAAGGAGAGGGTCCTCTTATTTATTGAGCTTTGTCTTCTGAATGTAATGCCAACCATCCCTGTCTGCACGAACCCTGAGCATTGTGGAGAATGGGGAAGGACAAAGCATCCTTCTTTTATGCTTCCTTAATTCTCTTTTCTGGTCTTCTCACTTCTAAACCAGGATCTGCTTTGTATTTTATTGGTGGAAAAGGAAAGAAAAATATAAATCAGCTTTGTCATTTCAACCTCTGATTATAATTCAACCCTGGAATTTAGTAATTTGTACTCTGGTACTTTCAGCTTAGCTGCCTGACAGAGCAGAAGGGCAATCCAGTGGTCCCAGGGACTGGGAACAGTCACGTTCCTTTAGTATCCTGTTGTTACCTATGCCGCTTCCTGGATGGTACTGTGGGCTCACTGGTTCCTAGCCAAACCTTTCTTCCTTGAATTGATGGCCCCACAGTTAAAGGGCTATGTAAAACCAAATACTTTAGAAACATTCAGTTTTATATAGCTGTTGTGCCAATATATAACCTTTCCATTTCTCCACTTGCCTGTCTCTATTCTGATAGGGGCATTATTTTTCCTGCCCTCATCCTCTTCAACCTCAGTGCTGTCCTGGGGTATAAACATGCATCATTTAACTATGATTTAAATATGATTCGTTATGTAAGATATGTGAAAATCAGTCCCAATACCATAGTCAAGATGTATCTGTGTCAGTAATTACAAACACCACTTTGTTATTCACTTTAGCAAAATATAGATTAATGTATATTAACAGGCATCAGTTGAATAGGCATCTCTAGTTTTACTTCCTTCTGCTCTTTCAGTGATATCCAGTTTCATTCCTGAGCTAAGCTTGCTTCATTCTTAAGGAGCCCAAGTCCTTTCTCTGGGACCCCCAGTGAACAGTCAAAATGTTCTCCTTTCAGTGACTCAACTCCAGCTCCTTAAGTTCTCTGGATTTGTTTCCATATCTGTTTTCTTTCCTGGCCCATGGTCAGCATGAAAATCCAGTAATATTTCCCTTGTCTTCTTTAATATCTTTTCCATCACTGCTTTCTACCTTCTTGTTCTCTGAATTCTTTTGCTAAAAGCTCTCAAGTTCTCATTTTTCCGTAACAGCTCTCAGAGTATTCCCCACTCCCAAATCTTTGTCTCCCCCAAAATTACCATATAGAATTTATGATGATTCATCTTGGGTTACCTGAGTCACTTTGCCCAACTTAAATTTAATTCTCTATTGTTTTTTTTTCAGTTCAAATATTAACATAAACATTAACATTTCTAAACAGTTACAATTATCCTGCCTTCCATCAGACATTAGCACAGTCCTTTCTCCTAGCATTATGAGGGGGTGTCTTAGAATCTATAGTTATCCAATTGGCTGTGATTAATGACTACTTTTTAAAAGAAAACACTGTGGGTTTATTTTAGCTGTAAGTAGGCAGTCTTTAGGATTTGTAACAGCAAATAAATAATTGCAGTTTGCAGTATAGGAGACAAGAAAAATCTCTGTTCATTTCTTTGTTTGAGATGTCCCATTCCTTTCTACAGTGTCAGAAATCTCTTGTTTTCTGTGCACATGTGTGGTTATTTTAATGTTACGTCTGGTAATAGCAGAACTCAGATTTTGATGTGGCATGAATAGTGGAAGAGAGTTCATTTTATGATATTTTTCAGGTTCTTGACCTTAGGTGAAATACAAAGGTCAGCAATCTCTGAATTATAAAGTAGAATATATGTGATCTCTGTTTATTTGCCTTATTGTATGGGATGATGGAGGAAGACCCTGAGAAGTTTCTACTTCTATTTCAAAGTGCCTGGAAGAATACCTGAAGGGTAGCTCAGGTGGGAATGTGGCATGAAGTTATAATTTCACTCTATTCGGGATAGTTAGGTGTTAGTAGGAAAAAAAAAACTAAGGAAAATGGATTCTTTACAAAAATCCAACCCTTTGCTACTATCCCCAGAGTAAATAAAGCTATATAAGAGTGGAATGCCATTATCCTCATAAATTTAGATATTTGAACTCTCATGAAGAATAAATGGGAAAGATATCCTGCTGTGAAATCATATTTAATCTCTTTTAGATATTTAGAATGTAATTTTTTAGTAATCTTTGCTTCGGGAGTAAGCTTTATATCTAAATGAAATCTTTTTAATTTATGTTTTCTGAAGTTTAACTTGAATTATAGTGCCTAGCACATAATAGGACATCACAATGTATGTTGCATGAATGAAGGAGTAACACTTTGTTTTGTCTTCATAAAAATGTCTGCAGAAGATGACTTGGAGGTTTTTTGTCATTTCTTCTGGCACCTCACTTTTTTTTTCTTTTGAGATAGGATCTTACTTCATCACCCAGGCTGGAGTGCAGAGATCTGATCATGGCTCATGGCAGTCTCAACCTCCTGGGCTGAAGCAATTCTCCCACCTCAGCTTCCCAAGTTGCTGGGACTGTAGGTGTGCACCACCATGACTGGCTAAGTTTTAAATTATTTTTTGTGGTGATAGGTTCTCCCTGCGTTTCCCAGGCTGGCCTTGAACTCCTGGACTCAAGCGATCCTTCCTCCTCGGCCTCCCAAAGTGCTGGGATTATAGGTATAAGCCATGGTGCCCAGCCCTCATTTTCTCATTATGTATTTCTTATCTCTGATCTCTGAGAGTTATATCAAAGTCATAATGGCAAAGAATAATCTGTTTTTAAATTTTTTCTTTGACTGAACTGAGTGTCGAATTTTATAACCATGAAATATAATGTTTTTCCTCCCACATTCAAATGTAGGGCTTACGTTTTCATTTATCATTCATGGATCCATCTTTTAAAACTATTCTTTTGTCAAAAATCAAAGGGTAATAAGCCATTATTGTTAAACACAGTCGACATATGCTGCAATCTGCTGATATTCTAAAGCTTTGAATATTTGAAATGGTTATTGTTAATGCTCTGTAGCATCTGGGCTGCTCAGACTGCTACTATGAAATTTTGTGTTAAAAGAAGTAGGGACTGTTTTAAACTTTTTATTTTGGATCAATTGTTGACTTAGATAAAAATTGCAAAAATAGTACAAAGAATTCCTGTATACTCCTTAATTATCTGCTTCTGGTATTACTATTTACATAACTGTAGTCCACTTATGAAAATCTGAAAATTTAACATTCATACAGTTCTATTAACTGAATTGCAGATCTTGTTCAAATTTCACCAGCGTTTCCATTAATGTAGGAGTTTTTTAAAATGTGAAGTAATTCATAGCTGTAACTATGTAAAGTTGGTAAGTTTTGCTATTAATTGACTTTTTAAAAAGTAATGACAGAATTTTGACAAGCCTCTGATGCTATGAGAATGATGATGTCCTTTTCTTCTTATTCTGAAGTACATTTTTGAATGTTACCATTTGAGAAAAGGAATATCATTACTATTTTAGGAAATCATTAAATGTTACTGATACTAACATTTTATTTTTATCCCATTTCAGTGATCTCAGTAGCATGATACATTCCACATTTCCATGTGGTTGTGGATATAGAGTCAAGTTCCATATTCTAATTTGATGTTTAGATCTGTAATACTATGAAAGTTATAGAACTCATCAGTGTCATCAATCGCAATAACCACTATTTATATAGTAGAGAGTAGGAAGTGCTAAAATGTAAATGTTCTAGATTAAAACTAGACTGAGAGGACCTTTAAGAAGAGCAAACCATGACAGATGAAAATTTGGATTATTTGTAAAAGAGCTTCCTTAGTCCTTAATATGTTTAACAACCCATTATGTGGAGAAATTTGTCTTTATGTCTGAACTTACACTGCAGCATAAATTAAATCCCTCTTATTTTGTCAACAGTAGTTAATAAGTGCAATGGCACCGTCTGGGCTCACTGCAAACTCTACCTCCCAGGTTCAAGTGATTCTCCTGCCTCAACCTCCCTAGAGCTGGGATTACAGGAACCTGCCACCATACCCTGCTGATTTTTGTACTTTTAGTAGAGATGGGGTTTCACCATGTTGACCAGGCTGGTTTGGAACTCCTGACCTCAAGCAATCTATCCGCCTCAACCTCCCACAGTGCTGGAATTACAGGCGTGAGCCACCACACCTGGCCTCTTATTTATCTTTGTGTGCTTCAGCTGAATATGGTATCTGGCACATGTACAGATACAGTAAATGTCCTTTTACTTGAGAGAGGCTGTGATGTAGAGAAAAAGCAAGGGCCTTAGAGGTGAGGGCTGTGATCTTCTAGCCTATAGGCTGAGGCTTTGATTATTTTAAAGTGGTCTCCAGTACGTTCTTAACTCTCACTCAGCCAACTGTTTGCCCAATTGGCTCAACATTTCCTGTGTTTCTGTCTTTGCTTATGTGCTTACCTAAGCCTTATTTACTTGTTTATGAATAATGAATGCTTATAAAATAACCTATACCAAATGAGTTGTATAGATAGCAACTGTTTGAAGTAAAACTTGTAAATAATTATTAATAAGTCAATGAAAGTAATTACCTTGGTAGCCCTATCTGGACATTATTAGCTTTATTGTATGTTTTGAGAGAACTTTAATTTGGGGCTAGCAAGGATTTTTTTTAGATTTGAATTTTAACGTAGTATACATCATACCCTTCAGAGGAACTCTGGAAGTACTGCTTTTTTTTTTAAACTGTTTTCTTTTAATCCTGTATTGGGTATCTTTAATTTTGTAAATATGTGAAAAGAAGTCAGGCTAATATTAAATGACCCTGTGAGTCAAAACTTTAGGCTGGGCATGGTGGCTTATGACTATAATTCCAGCAATTTGGGAAGCCACCAAAGCCCAGGAGTTTGAGACCAGCCTGGGCAACACAGCAAGATCCTAGCTCTACAAAACATTTTTAAAAAATTAGCTCTGTGTGGTGGCATGTGCCTGTAGTCCCAGCTACTTGGGAGGCTGAGGCTGGAGGATTACTTGAGCCCTGGAACTTGAAGCTGCAGTGAGCCGAGATTGTGAGCTCCAGCCTGGATGACAGAGTGAGACCCTGTTCTTAAATATATATATATATACACACATATATGTATATACATATTATATAGATAGATAGATAGATAGAATGTACTTTAGGAAAACTTATTTCAGTATCTGATTTTTAAGTGTTTGTAACCATAAGTACTCAAAAATGTCTTAAAGCTGGAATACCATGTATCTTTCATCAGTATAATGTTATAGGGTCACCCTAGCTACAAGGGTGTCTGGAAAGCAAGTAATTTTAAAAGAAGCACATCATGATGGTGAATAAAATGAAGGTTTTCTTGCTTAGTGATGGTAAGCGATCACGGCTGTCTGCTAGAAGCCCTTAACACAGCTATTGGCACATAGGGAGTGCTCCATGGCTGGCAGCCATTCTACTACCATTATTATTATTGTTCCTGTATTACACTTGAGTTCTTTTAGATTGTCAAGATTAGTTTTGGTTTAATTAAGATGAAACAGTGCTTAGTAGACATCTCAGATATTATAAGTGTTCCACATGCTGCAGCCTTTCCCTATGATTTCTGACTTAGTAATGTGGAGTTGATGGCAAAAGTTATTAAGAAATTGTAAGGAGAGAAGGATTCTTCCCAATTTATTTAAATCTTTCATCCTGAATGTGTTTCTTTGATTTGGGGGTTATGTTATTTTTAATTTTTATTCATTTAATTATTTTGTTTTTTGTAGAGATGAGGTGTCACTATGTTGCCCAGGCTGTTCTTGAACTCTGGCCTCAAGTCATCCTCCTGTTTCGGCCTCCCAAAGTGCTGGAATTACAAGTGTGAGCCACTGTGCGTAGCCTGTGGCTTATGTTTACAAAAAATACAAATTACTGTTTATCCCATCCACCTATCATGTATGAGTTTTATAGTAGTATAACTTAACCATTTGACAATATATGACATAGCACTAATAGGAGTTTGTATCCTGATTTGGCTAATAATATAAGCTAATCAAACTTGCATTTCATTCTCCAAAATTTAAATCTCAGGAGAGTACAGCCTCCTGGGGAAAAGTGCTGATAAAAACCAGGCAGGGTGGCTTGGCCACAGTTTGTCAGGTTTTTGTCCCGTGCAAGCATCTAGTCCAAGCAGGACTTACTATGCTTATTTAAAAATTACTTGCTCTTCCAGACACCCTTGTAGCTAGGGTGGCCCTGTAACATACCACTAATGAATTATTGTGTTAGACAAATAAACTGAGGCGGAAGTCCAGTTTTTTGGGAGTGGATCAACAATGAAGATCAGTAGAAAAAAGTCTGTGCGGAGATAGTAGACCCAGGCATGCAAAAATGTCAGTTGATTGTAATGAAACTAAATCCATGTGACCTCAATTGATATTATCTCATACGAATTTTTATTTTTTTGGATTTAGCAATGTTCATATTCTAGACTTATGCTCATGTTATACTTGCGGATGTCACTGGCAATTGGGTGAGGCAGAAACAGAAATTGGAAGACATGCTATGTCTCCAGGTGAGAGGGTTTGGTGCATGAAGAGACCAACAGCTGACTAGTGATTCCCAAGGGAATTAATTTCTAGGGGTTGTGGGGGCGGAGTGGAGGGACAGAACACAGCCAGCCTCCCAGTGTTGGGTCTTCATTCTTTTCTTTCTTTGAGAACACTGTAGTTTATTTCTACATCTCCATCCTTTCTTCTTCACCTGGCTGTTTCAAACTTTTCATTTAGGGCTCAGATTAGTCATTGCCTCCCCCGGATCTAGGTAAGGTTGTGCTTCTGTGCATTTCCTTAGCAACTGCACTTCCCTTGCTGCAGTGCTTCTCAGGGCTTTTTGTAACGGTCTATTTACTTGCTTTATTTCCCATAAATAAATAAGACGTCGAGGGGTGGTATCAATGTTCTTCATTTTATCCTTTGGGTCCAACCAGCCTCCCGGCACGTGGTAAGTACTAAATATAAATTAATAAAAGGTATCCATGGTATCAGATACCTGCACTGTAATTACAGTACCTTGGGAGGAGTGTATTTCAGCATATAATGCTGAGGAGGTAATTATGACTCTATAATATTACAATGCTAGGATGAGACCACTAGCTTAGCATAAAGAAACAAAGGAGGCAGTGTGTGGGGAAGCATTACTAGATAGATAAATTAGGAAAATTGTAAACAGGTTTGACCTTGTGCAAGTACTTAACCTCCTCAAGCCCCAGTCTCCTAGTCTGAAGACAGTGGAGAGAATTGTTATATCTCCCTTCTGGGATTGCTGTCAAGGTCAAATGTTTTGATGCATATGAAGCACTCAGAATCATGCTTGTTAAAGAGTAAATGATCAAATTTTTAAGCTTATATTTTTTTATTTGGATTTAAGCCAACTATCCAAGTGCTCTGAAGAGACAGAATATCAATTTTGGAGCTCATTTTCTTAAGTTTGAATTCCAGTTTTACCAGTGACCAACAATGTCACTTCATTTTTTTTTTTTTGAGACAAAGTTTTGTTTTTGTTCCCCAGATTGGAGTGCAATGGTGTGATCTCGGCTCACTGCAACCTCCACCTCCCAGGTTCAAGCAATTCTCCTGCCTCAGCCTCCCAAGTAACTGGGATTACAGGCATGCACCACCACACCCGACTAATTTTTGTATTTTTAGTAGAGACAGGGTTTCACCATGTTGGCCAGGCTGGTCTCAAACTCCTGACCTCAAGCGATCCACCTTCCTTGGCCTCCCAAAGTGCTGGGATTATAGGTGTGAGCCACCGTGCCCAGCCCCAACAATGTCACTTTGGAAGAACAAGCTTACTCATTTTTAAAGTGGGGTAATAATAGCACTTGCTATTATTATTATTGTCGCAGGATTGTTACAAGGATTAAGACATGTCAGGTAAGACATGTAAACCATTTAGAACAGTGCCTGGAACATAGAAAATGTGCTTTAAGGTAATTATTATGTAGGTAAAGACACTCACAATATGATGTTAGAAATAAGCCCTCAGCTTTATGAGGATATTTGCCAGAATATAGCCAAAGTGGGAGGCAATGCTATACTGTGAAACTGTCATCAGGACTTTGACTTACCCAACATTGTAATCAGACTCATAGTTTTCTTGCCTCCATGCCAGCTTAGATGTAGTTAGTGATGATGCCTCAATGACTCTATAACGTAGTTCTGTTGCAGAATTATGTGCTTGAATATTTGTATAGATTTATCAAACAGATTTACTTATATTACAATTACTACTAAAATTCAAAAGGAAAAAGTCATTATCCAGTTTATTTGATTACATTAGTGAAAATGTAGTATTACCCTAGTAATAATAATAACATCATCTAATATCATTTAAGGTATTAAACTTAGGTTTTATTTAAGAGCTTCCACATACATACTTTTACTTAGAACTGTGCCATCTACGTAGGCATTTGAATGATTGGAGTAGGTAGGTAAAATTTCTACAGTTACTCTTTTCTTTTTTTAAATCTTTTTAGAAATTTTACCTTCCTCTGATTTTTAAGACCATGGTTTGCCCTACTTTTCTACCATTATACTACTCTTTTTTCTCTTCTTTCTGCCTTAGTAGATTAATAAAGAAGGTAATAAGTCCTATGTAGGAAAGAAGAAGAAAAGCAGTATGAGGGGACTGAGATTGAGTGGGAGGCATAGAAGGCAGCTTGTTCTATTAAACAGGCAGTCGAGGAGGCTTCATTGAGAAGGTGACATTTGAACAAAGAGTTGAAGGATGTCAATATATACAGGGTAGTTAAATACAAACATGTTAACAGCACATTTAAGGAAATGGATAAATGAAATAAATGTATACATGGAAAAGGCATGAATAAGGAAATAAAAGTGGTGTGTGTGTGTAGTGCGTGTGTGTGTGTTCTACAAGTTTTTAGGAAGACTTAAGAATTCTGAGGATTAAAGCTAGAAAGGTAGGTAAGAGCCTAATTCTGGGCCTTGATGGACCTAACCAAGTAGTAGCCATGGAAATGGTGGGAATGTCTACTGGATGTATAAGGTTCTAAGGAAATCTTCAGTAATCTATGACTAAATTAAAGATTGACAATAAAGGTAGTCTAGGTTAATTTATAGCTCACTTACTTGGGGGATAGAGAGGATGGTGATGTCATTTTGTGGTCTTAGAAGATTATGAAAAAATTGATGGGAAAGGGAGAGAAATTATTTTCAATGTAGGACATTTCTATCTCCTACAAGTGGATATAGGCTGGATATAGACTTACAGAGCTTAGAGGTAGAATTGGGCTAGAGGTATAGATTTTGGCACCTCCAGGCAGAGGTTGTGTGTTAGTCCATTTTTATACTGCTGATAAACACATAACTGAGACTGGGAAGAAAAAGAAGTTTAATTGGGCTTACAGTTCCACATGGTTAGGGCGGCCTCAGAATCATGGCGGGAGGCAAAAGGCACATCTTACATAGTGGTGGCAAGATAAAATGAGAAATAAGCAAAAGTGGAAACACCTGATAAACCCATCCGGTCTCGTGAGACTTATTCACTATCACGAGAATAGCATAGGAAAGACCGGCCCCCAGGATTCAATTACCACCCCCTGGGTCCCTCCCACAACATGTGGGAATTCTGGTAGATACAATTCAAGTTGAGATTTGGATGGGGACACAGCCAAACTATATCAGGTTGAGACCAAGTATATGGTTTAAATTTCTAGGAGGAAGCAGAAAGAATGGGCATAGAATATGGCCAAGGAGAAAGCTATGGAGAACTCTGATATTAGAGGATAGAAATCAGAAGACGGAAATCAGAAGATATAGTCAGTGAGCCTGGAGGGTTGGTCGGAGAGCTTGGAGCTTAGAATAGAAGGAAAGAAAATGTTTCAGAAGTTCTTGTTCAAGTGTAATTGGTGTTGTTTTATAGAGCAGTTTTAGTGAAGGGTGGTGTTACCTGAAAGACGACTGCAGTAGGATGATGACCGAATGAGGGGTAGTAGTGGACAGCAGGTGTACATTATTTCCCCATTGGTTGGGAAAGAAAAAAAGGAAGGTTTTGGCAGTGTGCAAATAAGAATCATAGACAGCTGTGAAGTTTGGTTTTTGTTTACTGCCTTGCTCATTTGCTCTTTCAAGATATGAGATGCTTGAATGTGATTATGAGTTGCATGAAGTTAGCCAGAAGTGAAAACATGAGGAAAACAAGAAAACCAACCAAATAAGGTCCCAGAAGAGATGGAAATGAGCCTCTTTTCTCTTGTGCACATGTAGATAACAGTATCTACTTTAAGGCTATAAGAAATAAATGAGAAACGACCTCTTTGTTTGTCTAGTAGAGCGATGAGTAGATGACACTCAGTAAATGTTAAGTCCTCCAGCCTCCCAATCCTCACTGCAAAAATGTGCCTTGCTTATCTACAATTTGTACTCAGTAGATATGTATTAAATGAAAGTACTCAACTGTCCTATGTTTTTACTCTGTATTTGTGATAATTAAGAAAGGGTTGAGAACTAGTTGATTGCTAATTCTTTTTTGTAGTATAAACTTATAATTTGGCCAGTTTTTAAATTAACACATCTTTTCTGGCTATGTCCTTGATTATAAGCTTTACAAATTATAATGTTTATAGTTCAGAATGATACTGTAGTGTATTAGAGCTTGTAGACTAAAGTGTTGCTTACAGAAGTGAGAAAGAAGCAAAGTACAAATCCCGTAAACAATGAGATGGGCATAGGATGGAGAAAGCATAGATGTGTAATTACTCCCAGGCCAGGAGTTTTCCTAGGACTGGATTGGAGTATCACCAAACCTGAAAGAATAATGCATCACTCAAAATAAGAGCTAGTTAAGTGTGGATATACAGAAAACAAATCCTGCTACTATTGGCTAAGAACATCACTATGGTAAGATAGATAACTTGACTAACCTATGGAAGCCATTAAGTATTTGAGTTAGATAATTCCCCTTTGTTCTGTTTCCATGTTTGTTTGACTTCTCTGAAGCCAGCTTTTAGGAAGAGAATGGACTAGTAGGTGGGACCCCTAATATCCTGGTCCCTGTGAAGGTTATTTGTCATTGTAAATTAATAAGGTCACATTCCATTTATGTATATCAGCTTCTGTGAACTTTGGATCCAGTGAGTTTGCTCATGAGAGAGCATTTATTTCCTATATGTGCTTTCTTTATCAGTGTTTCTTTTCTTTTCTTTTTTTTTTTTTTTTTTTGAGATTGAGTTGTGCTCTGTTGCCCAGGCTGGAGTGCAGTGGCTCTATCTCAGCTCACTGCAGCCTCCACCTCCTGGGTCCAAGCGATTCTCCTGTCTCAACCTCCCAAGTAGGTGGGATTACAGGTGCCCACCACTACACCTGGCTAATTTTTGTATTTTTAGTACAGACGGGGTTTCACCCTGTTGGCCAGGCTGGTCTCGAACTCCTGACCTCAGGTGATCTGCCCACCTTGGCCTCCCAAAGTGCTGGGATTACAGGCTTGAGCCACTGTGCCCTGCCTCTTTATCAGTGTTTCTAAGCATGAGAGAGTGAATCCTTCTCTTTGTAAAGTGATCACAGGTGAGACACCCTGGAGCTTTTTCTTTGGTGACCACCTTGGCCATTTTTCTACTGTGTGTATCATGGTGATAAAAATTTATACCATTCAAAACTCTTTTTGTTTATTTTTTGGTATTAGATGGAAATACTCTTTACTACATATGAATATTATTCTTTTATTTCTTTTTTTGTCCCTCCCCCTGAATGTTATTCTAATAAGATTTTTCTAAGGTTATATGTATGAAATAAATTTTTTATGAGTATGGATCAATATGATGATTGCAAACTATCTTTAATGATTTTTAGCCTCCATAAGTAGAGGTCAGTGTAAGATATATAGGCTCATGTTGTCTGCCTTATTAACTTTAAAGAAAACAGTAAATTTCAGTAATAATTTCTTTGAAATATAATTGTCACATGAAGTTGTTATTCATTTCTTAATTCGATAAAGCGAATTAGAGCTAAGTTTTCTCCACGTGGTATATATCAAAACTGTTTGTCTGCTTGATGAAATCATTATTGTAAATCTGTCTGGACCTGAGTTCTTCCTACCTTTTTAGATAAACAAGGCTATGAATTTGACTTTCTATTTCAGATATTATTACATTAATATCTTTTGCTCTGCATATGAATTCACGTATAATGTTTACTCATTTATTTTTCAAAAAGAAAAGAAACTTTATTTACTCCTTCACAGTGGTAGTCCCAATTCATATTTTTATATTTTACATTATGGTTGTTGCAGCAAGAGTTCACTTAAGTTTATTTTCCCTATAGTGTTTTCTTTTAATGCATGAGTAGTTAGCAATGAGATTCTGAAAATGCTAGGAATCTTCACATTTTCCAACCGTATATATTCATGGTGGCTGCAGGAAACTCTATGTATATTAAATCCTTTCAATTTTAAGTAGCATTAAATGAAGTATTTTTACATTGCCATATTTTATCCATACATAAGTGACAATTTTTAGTGTTTTGGTCCTGGGTTTCTGTTGGTTGTTTAAATATTCATTTGGCTAACAGAGCTATGTTTGCTGTATTATGCTACACAGTGAGAAGATTTCTGTTAGTCCTTATTCTTTGACACAAGGAGGAGCACAAAATGTGACAGAAGAGATCATCACAAACAAAATCTAAATCTTTTGTCCCTGACAGCTCCATGAGTGAATCTGAGAAAGAAGGACCTTTTGATTTGACCCTGAAATATAACCCCAGTCTGCACTTGAGGTGTTCTGAATACTGATAAGGACCATAAAAGATAGAACTATTAGTTAGCTTTGAAAAAGCAAAAAATTAGCTGTAAAACAATTAATACAATTGAGCTTCTTCTGCAGTTATTAGTATTCTGGAATTATCTCATGAAGTTTTGCATTAGCTTTTTGAAAACTGCAACATTTATTTTGAAAATCTGGTAGGTAATCACATCTCTAGTACATTAAATTTAAAACAAGTCCCTTTTAGGAGCCAGGTGATATTGTCATTTTGCATATCAACATCATACTTAGTGAAATGGTTAGGGTGAAATATTGAAACACAGTACAATACACTGCCGGGTAACTTTTGTAACAGTGCGAGTCTGTGTTGCTGAGATGCATAAATTGACACTTGCTCTCTTGCACTCCTGAGTTTGTGCTGTTATCAATTCATTGGAGGCCTACAACTTTCTCCTTTCAGCTGATTGATTTTGAATTTTTCAAACTGATTAATGTCTTCATTTGAATGGTAATGTTGATTTTGCAGAAGATGTGATCTTTTAATTAGCAGATGCTGAGATTAGCATTAGGGTTGAACAGTAATTAGCATTTGTTCTTATAGTACAAGAGCACAAACTAAGTACTGCAGCAAATAGAACCACCGTGTCCTCCTTACATTGCCTCTTTAGATCTTCTTTATGAGAGAGGTTTAAAATTATTAAAATACTTATTCACTGTGGTACTACATTTTAACAAATTGAGGATTCACTTAAGATACAAATATTTTGAACTCCCTTATACTCTCTGTTATCTCTATAAGGTTCTGTTTTCGAGGTTTATCTAAATACTTCATAGTGAAACTTAAACATTAGTTTTATTAAAGGGTAAATTCTAATGTGTGGTGTGTGTGTGTGTGTGTGTGTGTGTGTGTGTGTATGCACGTGTGTATTTCTCTGGACATGTCCACAGTCTTGGTTTCTGGATTGTGCTTACAGCAGTAATACCCACTGTATATCCAAAGTTATTTTGAGCATCAACCTAAAATTGATGAGCCCCAATTACAGACAGTCAGTGGAGTTAAGACTTGGAGTTTTCCTTCAGGCAAACCTAGATTGAAATTATGATGTTCCCACCTCCTAGAGCAAATTATTTAACCACTTACTTTTCAATGTCCTCATCTGTAAAATGAAGATTCTAATAGAATTATTTGAAGGTTAAAACATATTTCACATAAAGCACGTGGTGTCCATTAAATAATGAGGGATTATTATAGTTAAAAACACTATGTATTTGAAGTAATACACATTCCTGTATATGGCCTACATTAAAAAAAACTTATTTTAGCTGATTTATGACATGAAAATTATTAGAGACCTACAGAATAATTAAAGCTTTTTAAAATAAATAAGTTCTCTTATTCCGGAGCTGCAGGCTTTTTAGACACTCTTGTGGGCATTATGTAAGTTTCTACCTACTCTCCAGAAAGACATTTGTGTCTCTGGTCTAGCCCTTCTTCATAGTTACTCCTTCAAGGAATCCTTATAGATAGATTGGTTGTCCTTACTAAAACTACCACCAAGCACTGGCTGTTTTAATTTTTTGTTTTAAATGGTTTCTATAACAAATGGTGGTGGTTAGGAGAGTCAAAGCATGAATGATGAAATGTACATCTAAACTTGGGGCAGTTTGTCTATGTGAACAATGTAGGCTGTATTTTTAGGGCTGTGAAGGTAGACAGTGGGGTGATATTTTATAGAGATGCTAAATATGTGGTTGACTGCTTAATGTGTATCAAACTTCAGCATGATGAAACTTTAGCCATTAGTATTCAAAGAGGAAATTACTGCTGATCCCTAGTGCCTGGAGAGACTTCGTCCTATATAGAATTCCCCCTCCCCACTCCACTGATGGCTATTAAAATAGCCCTAAAGTAAATGCATTTGCATTTGTTACTATGGATGTTACTCTCCCAGGAGACAACAAACAGAACACTTAAACTCTGAGTGAACAGAATGATTGACAGTCTAAATCTCTATCCCCACTGCTTGCTGCCTCCCCACTTAAATACAAACACAGAGAAGGAGTAACAAAATGAGTCAAGGTAGGTTTTCAAATGAAAAACAGGAAAAAAGAAGAAGCTGGAAATATAATGCTTTATTTCTATGAGAGTTTAAGTGGTGCTTGAATGTAATTAAATTTTAGCATGAAGAGAAAACAGGATTTTCTTTCAGTGTATCACTTTCATTCAAAATAGGTAAAACAAAATATGGCATTGAAATGAGTTATGTTAGAATTAGAAAATAGTTAAGAAATAGATTATTGAGAAAGAATTGGCTATGATGTTTAAGTTCATCAACCTAAATGTTTACTTGAGTGTACATTTAGTTCACTATTAGAGGCCATTGATTATTTGGCAATAACTTCGGTTTTCAGACCTACCTCATTGGGATTGTCTTAGTCCATTTGTTCTGCTTTACAAAATATCTGAGAGTAGGTGGTTCATAAAAATAAACTTATTGCTCGCAGTTCTGGAGGCTGGGAAATTTAACATCAAGGCATGAGAAGATTTGGTGTCTGGTGAGGGTTACTCTCTGCTTCCAAGATGGTGCCTTGTTGCTGCATCCTTGCATGGCAGAAGGGTGAATACTGTATCCTCACTGGTGGAAAGTGGAAGGGCAAAAAGGGGCCCAGCTATTTCCCTAGAGATCATTTATAAGGGTTCTGATCCCATGTGTGAGGGCAGTGCCCTCATGACTTAATCACCTATTAAAGTCCCCTTCTCGTAATACTGTCACATTGGGTCTTAGGTTCCAACATATGAATTTTGGGGTACAAATACATACAACCCATACCATAGCAGGAGTATTTTCCAAAAGGATCTTGCAAGATTTCATTGTCTGCCCATCTCTAAGGAAGACTTTCTGCATCACAAATTTCGTATAAGAAAACTTTATTTTTCTTTCAAATAAAGTAGAGCCTAAACATCTATGAAACAGATGTAGATGTCTTTATCTGTAATTTTTAACTCTTTTAATGCTGAAATAAAATTTAGTTGAATAGGTGTCAGTTTTCTATACATTAACTCGATTTTTTTAAACAAATTTTAAGAAAGTTCAATGGGTATGTAGAGCTATTTACAGATGTTTGCTAGGGATATACTCATGTGTTGCCAGCAGAGTTTCCATAAATGTTTATTTCTTTTTTAATACTTGCTACAAGATGTAATTTTTTGTTTATGCATTTACTTGTTTAATGTTTCATGAGGGATGAACCTAATTTATCTTGTTGATTACAATCTTATGCATAGGGCTAGGGACATAGGACATGCTTGATAAATATTTGTTGAATGAAATAATGAAAGATTTTGTTGAAACTGATGTATAGGTATGATTTTAGTGGCTATGATATCTAGTTGTAATGTGTAATACTCATTGAGCACTTACTGTTTAATCTTATGCATTAGTTCATTTAAAATCCTAAAAATTATGTTGTTATATTCATTTTTAGATGAAAAAACTGTGTGTATATATATGTATCTTTTACACACACATACATATAAAACATTGTGCAGATTTATAGCGAAGGTATAAATCTTTTATAATTCCTAGGAAGCATCAGAACAATATAATAAATGGCTGAATAAAGCAGATATAGCTCATTTGGGCCTTAAAAATAGAAATAATTTAGAGATTAGATGAATAAAGAGATAGGATGATTTGATAAAGGTAACGAAGGTGTTTGTGATAGTTTTCGTGAGCATGTAAGGTCACAGTTTTGAAAGAGGATATGTGGTTCAATATAAATTCCAGAAGATCTTGAATGATAGCCATAGGATTTTTGACTTTATCAGGAAATTGGGCACCATGTAGATTCTTAAATTAGGTATCAATATACTGAAACTACTTTTATCAATACCCATGTTAGCTGGACTAATCTACAAATGGCTTGGAAATATTTTTAAAGATTACTTATTTTTAGGCTTGCCATTGTAAATAAATTAATTCTTATTTCATATTTGATTTTTATTAAATTTATAGGTTACTTAGAAACAAAATGTGCAGTTTGAATTGGAAGTGACCTGTCTTCTACGTATATCCCTTTTTAATCTTAACACTCCTGAGATTTTAGTAAGCAGCACAATATTTATCACTTGTTTACAACTTAATGTATAAACCTTTTTACTTGTGAGCACAGAAATACATTCAGACACCACTGACTCTTATTATAGTTTGAATCTTATATTCCATTATTTTGTTTAACATTGCTATATTTGGGAGAAATATATTTTATGTTTTATAATATATCTAAACATACTAAATTTGCTATGGCATTTAGCATGAATTAGATGTCAGAATAGATCTGATAATGCAATTCCTTGCTTAACTCTTTTCTTTGCATTATTCTTAGAATACAAATCCAAATAATTAGTATGGCCAGACCCCAGGTGCTATGGCTTCTATCCATCCCTCCAGCTTCCTCTCACATCACTCTCTTCATGGCCAACTCTGCTCCAGCACTCTGTACCGTTTCTTCAGTTGTGGTTCTTTCCTGATTGAGAATATTCATGCAGACTATTGTTTTTACCTAGAGCATTATCTTTCACCCCATCCACTTTTTCCTGGGCAGCACTTATTCATGATTGTATTTGCTTGATCATCTGTTTGATATCTGACTCCCTGTTCTGATTGTAACCTCAATGAGGTTGGAGATTGTGTCTATTATGTCACACTGTGGTACATTCGTTGCCCTGCAGAGGACCAGGCATGTAGTTGGTGTTCAGTAAATATTTGTTAAATGAGGTGAATGAATGTCTCCCAGACCAATTAAGTTGTACTTTGATGTTTTTCAAACACATCGGAGTGTGAATTGCCACAAGGAAGCCTGTTAGCTGTTTGAAGCCTTCTGCAATTTTTCTTTTTTCTATTATCTCATATATTGATTTATATTTGAATCAATGGCCATTTACACTGTTTTAAACATTACATCCCCTATCTTTATGTAAGCTTGCATTCAGAATTAATGTCTGAACCCCAACGAAAACCAGTCTTTGGGTATATCAGTAAGGAGCTTTCCAATGAAACAGTTACATGCATTTTTTATGAACATTAGAATTAGCAGTGCAGAAAACACATAGAAATTCCCAGTACACATGTATTCACTGCCTTAAGGCTGTTGGCTAACAGATTACCCTTAACTGTATAGGAATGTGCTCTTATTTGTTGGGTAAATAGAATATATGTGATGATTTCGTTTTTACAGACTGTCGTTTTCTTCACAATAAACATTATTTAATTTTAATATTTTAACATTAAGGAATATATTAATTCTATAGTTTATTTTAAACAATTATTGAACAGTTGTTTTATGCAAGGCGCTTTTTAGCGTGCAAACCAATAAGGCATAATCTCTGGCTTTAAGGAGTCTATTTGTAAGCTAGTGAGAAAATAGGGCAAGTGCCATAAGCAGTCTACAAACAGCCATGGGGACATGAGGGGAAACAATTAATTTCAACATGGGAATCAATTAAACCTTCACTGAAATAGGTGATATTAGACATGAACATTTAAAGATGAGTAAGATTTCTGTTAGACTGATAAGAATTATATGACACCCTCTGTGTGTTTAGTATAGGGTTTTCAATTTCAAAGTAAATGGGAAGTAAACAAAACCATCAGGTAGAGATCAAACGATTTGCTTTATTAATAGTAGATCTCAGTTAAAAACCAAAGTCTGGACTTGCAGCCAAATGGTTTTGCAAGTATTTCTCTTCTAGAGTTAAAACTTACCCAGACCAAGAGAGAGAAGAGAACCAGGTCCTGTGGGAACTGTGAAATTTTACACTTTCTTTTGCTAAATTGAAGAATATAGACATCAATGACAGACACATGAGGTCCCACCCAATCTCTGCTTCTCCCTTGGGCAGCAGCAACTGAGCAATGAAGAGGTTTTCTAGGATGTTTTTGTCTTCGAATTACAGGTTTCTGCATGAGAGAGAGACTTAGAGTTTCCTCTAGCAGTATTTTTCTAAAGAGAAACTTGCCTAAATTTTAAAAGATATATTCTTGTAATACTTAAATAAGGCCTTTTTGGTTCTAATGTTGGCTTTTCTTTAAAGCCATCATTTTGTTTGGAAGAAAAACTACTTAATGTCCATTTTAGTCCCTCTTCCTTCAAAGACATTTAAAAGGAAGTCATGTTTGTACTAGTGGACCTCTTGGGCAAATAATATTAAAAAGATATTGTGTTTGATTTGTGAATGAAACCCAGGGTTGATTTTAATACGGTCATCATAAAATAAGTTAAAGGACATTATTTCATTGTGCAATCTAATAAACCTAACCACACTATTAAGATTCAGTTAAATTCAATTTTACTTTACTACTAAAAATATTTTCATGAAATACTATCCTTAGATTTAAGAAACGTTTCTATAGTGATGGTTAATTTGTATTGGCAATTGTAAATAAAGTTGTTTGATAGAATGCAAAGACTAGGATCATATGTTGCTATCGGGTCTACCTAACTTTCCCTATCTGTCATATTTTATAGAGGAAATATTTGTAGGTTATGGACTTCAGTGTGAGACCTTTGGCTGTGAAAGTTTATTAGCTGACTCCAGTTACACTGATTTATGCAGTAGTAAATATGATGAAAGGGGAGGGATTGTGTTTTACTGGTAAGAAAAACAGTAGAGCAGAGGGGATTAGACTTGTATTTCAAGTCATCTACTCTCTGGGGCATATTTTCCTTATAAAAATGTTTCAATGATATAAATGCCCATTTAATAGAATATGAATATTTATCAATTAAACAGTATTATAGAAGAGTTGCAGAACTGAATTTTCTTTCTCCATAAGGCCTAATAGGTACACAAGTAATAAAAAAATAAAACTGATCTTTCTCTTTCCTCAAATAGATTTATGCATGTGTAAATACATGTGTGATATGTTCTCTTATATGACATGAATTTATATCTATAATGCTGATAAAATTAAACTAGCATTTAATTTTTTTAGGGTTATTGTGCAATGATAAACTCATAAAAAAGAGCCAATTAAAACCCATTCTTGGATTTCTTGTTATGGAACGGCTGTACCCTGAGTCAGTAATTGGGAACACACAGATGGAATCAGCCCCCATAAAAACACAATCTCTGACTCGATAGAACCTATGGACTCTGGCAAAAATAGGAATGATATTAGGAATCTCGAATAGTGGGTCAGAGAAGTAGACAAATTGGTCATTTTCACCTAAATATTTGCACTTAGCACTGTGATACAACTTCACCGATGGCTTCTGTTCCATCTTTCTGCTTTTCTACTGGTTTATTTCTACCACTCATCTTTGCTTATTGTATGCTATATTGCTGGTATTGCTTTTTGTAATGGAAGAGTGTTTGTTTAGAGATAAGTGAAGGATTCACTGAATGGGGCACTATCCACACAATCTCCTTTCCTTTACTCTTCTGGAGATACTGGCATGAAGAACGGGGCTGCAAACTGGTGAGTGGGTTGGGCAGTAGGAAATGAGGAGACAGCATCTTGTGCATTCTTGTTTCCTTCTTGTCCTCTTCTCTCTGAAGCACATTCAATTTTGCTGTCTTTACTTCTGCTTCCATTGCCAGACTGTCAAGGACAGCTGAAGAAAAATCAGACAGACTTGTGGATCAGTGCTATTACACATATAAGGTTTTTAGCCTCAGCCGAACCTTGAGTACTGCTCAGCAAATCCTTTCCCCTGTCTCCCAGGCAGCTCCCTTTCTCATCTATCATGCTCTTTGTATTTGCATGTGCTATTCTTTTCCTGAAATACATTTAAAAAATTTCTTCTCCAGATAAAGCCTAGTCATCCTTCAAGACAAGTCTGGAATGCTACGTCAATTTATGAAGCTTTATAGTCTGCCACTTCCTCCTGTCCATCGTCCTCATGTCTTGGCCCCAGCAGAGTTAGTTTCTTTCTTTCGTGTACAACACAAGAGGCATTGTCATTATTGTTTATGCCTTTCTCTCCCACATGCAATTACTGGAGGCCATGTCCTTGCCTCATTAATTGTTGTCTTGCCCAGTACTTGGCACATGGTTGGCATTAGTTTAGGTTTGTTTAGTAAATCAATGCCTGTGAATATGTTGCCAGTCTCAAAATGCAGTTTGCAAGAGGGGCAAGAGCCATCATATTCACATTTGTCACAAATGTCTTCCTATTTATAATTATCATACTTTATTTTAAACACATCACTGTGTAGTAATAGCATTAAGTGGTAAACAGATGCAAGGGTGAAGAAATAGTTCACATGATAATCTAGGTTCCCTGCTTTCAGATAGGGCAATAAAATACCTTCAGGCAGATAGCAGCTGTCTGTCCTTATTCTTCGTCTTTATTTTCTTTTACAAGATTTTTCAGGCTATAGGCTTCTGTGATATCTGTGAGTCCCCCCTGCCACAGTTTGTTAGCATCTGATCTGTAGCTACCACTTATATTAGCTTTCTCTGTATTTCCCACCCTTATCATCACTTTTCTTTTCTACTGTCTGTTGTCTCCTAACTATGGCCCTTTTCTACATAAAATCTACAACTCTTTTCAGATCTCATTTTTGTCAGCCACTTGCCAGCTGTTGAGGCAACAGCTGATTTTTGTTATGTAGTGAAAGGGTGGGGCCCTTAGCTCACAGCTGCCAAGCTTCTGGTTCTTTTCCCTCACTGCCTTGAAAGCCCAAGTCCCTTATTACATAAAATAGCCCAGCTGCTATCTATCTTGTAACAGGTGATCAGGGAAGAGCTTTCTGTAGGATGATTAATAATAAGACTAGTTATGAGCTAGATGGTGCCTGACAGAACTTATATCAAGCATCGGGGGGAGTTTAGTCATTGCTATGTTGCTGTATATTAGGGTTTCTTAAAAGAGATGATTTATGACAAAATTTAAAAATTTACAGGAGTTATTTTTGTATACCCAAATTTGTTTTGGTTTTACCATACATTTAAATTTAGATGTGTTATTTAGGTTGAAACTTAGCAATATTGGCTTTGAAGACACCCAAGTCTAATGTAAATTTTATGTTTTATTATTTTTCTTATTTTTGTTACATTATAATTTTAATTTTGTGTTTTCCAGCAAAAATGAAGTTAACTATACCCTAAATAACATATTTATGATAATAACCCTTTTCCTATATATTAACCAAAATGAGGTGTGTATATATATTTATATATTATAAAACTTAGCATATATTCCAATTCTGAGCCATCCCTCTTCCCATATATACCTTCTAATAAAGTTCCTCTTCAGAAAAAGAATATATATATGGGGGGAAGGGGATGGCTCAGAATTGGAATAAATGCTAAGATTTACTAGGATTACTGATTGTGTGGCATTAAAATTCATCATGTGCTTACAGGAAAGATATTCAATTTATACTATATAACACAACACAAATTGAATGCTACCACTTATGGATTATCTTCCAAGCAAACATGATATGTAATAATATAACAATGTGAGATTGAGATTTTTTTAAAGGAAGAGAAATAATTTTTTCTGTAAATTTTAGTTTCAGGCATCTTTGCCATGAGCATATTGGCTTTCAAACCATGATGAAAAGCAGTCACTTTTTTTTTAGCTAAATTCATTTAACCATTAAGTTATCATATATTTATTGAGTTCTCATAAAGTTTCAGACACTGAGCTACATCCTGGGGATAGGGTGCTGGGTACAACACATAAAGAGCCTTCATTGCATTCTGTTGCAATTCAGAGAGTGTTTTTATAAATAGAAACCCTGCCTGTGTATGTTCTCCTATAGACAGACCAAGATATATGTGATAATTCTTGTAATGTAGATTCTATAAACATACTTAGCTCTTTTCTGAAAGTTCTTGGGGCATTCACTTTTTGACAGCACAAATTGTAAATCTTGGATAAAATCATTATCTGCATTGGTTGTGATGGTAGTTAGACACATTTCAAAGGGTTTGTTTTTCAACTTATTTCCCATGTATTGCCACAATTCAAAGTTGCCCATCTCTCCTCACCCCGAATGGTAATTAGATATTGACTCTTTTCAGGCAAATTTCAGTCAGTTTTAGGGTTTTCTAATTAAACAACGGAAGGATACTTGTGATAGCATTTACATTCTGTAGTTTTGTATTCTACATATTTTACATTAAAATATATGATTGCCTTTTCCTACCCCTGTATAATTTAGGTTTATGAGAAATTGTTATTTTCCTTTCTTAGATATTAAAATGATACTCAAAGGTATCAATAATAATAATAATAGCTATAATTTATACATCAGGAGCAATTGTCAAGAATGATACCATAACGATACTTTATAGTAACCAAGGAAGTTATCCTGTGATATGTTTCCTTGCTCGTAGAGTTAATAGCAAAGAAATGAACCACATGAATCCCCAATTTATACTTTGAAGAAATGCAAAACCATTCAAAGAAAAATTAATTTGTATATGTTTTAGAGCTATTTTATTTACTCTAGATATCCCTGTACAAGAAGAGTGTAGTAATTTCATTTAAAAGGTTTAGAGGGGCGAACTGCTCTATGTGTGAAATGCAGTGTTGACTCACTGAATTGAAACCTTCTCATTTGCTTTTCTTTGCTTCTTTAGCAGTTAGATCAAGTGCTGCTGTAGAGTAATTTTTTTTTTTGGTCATTCTCATAGATTTTCAGATTATCTTCTAAAGCAGACCCATGGTGAGTTATTGAAATGCTTCATTTCAGAAAGTTACATATGACTAAGCATGCCCTAAATTGAAAAGTTAAATTAAATTATTGCTTATGTAACATTTCTTTCCAAGTATTGAGTCTGATTACTTACTAAGCAACTCATCAGTGATTTTATTTTCACTGCCTCAGTCAATTTATTGTTTATTTAAGGTGTTTTAAAGAACAAATTTCACTGCTATTTTATAATCAGCTCAGCTAAACAGCAAATACTAGGTTAATATTATAATATTGAATGTCTTTTGGTATAATCTGACATGATTTATTTGTAGGTTGCTGACAAAAGGGATGAAATGGTTAATGGCTAGAACATGTAGGCAAAATCTTAAATGGATTTAAAATTAGCTATCTTATATTTGTCTAAAATACTCTTTATTCCTTGAGACACCAAGTTTTCTTTTAAAAGCACATCTAATCAATTTCAAAGTGAAGAAAAATAGAGTCCGAGCCAGTTTTGAAAATTATTTCTCCTTGAAATGTTCAGAGTGCTGGAATTTATTTTACAGTTCCACCTAACCAGGCTTCTGGACTGAAAGGAAGGGAATGAATAGTGTCTAAATCTGCTTTAGGAGAGAGCTTGTTTATCGAGCTACACCTCGTTTTCCTTTATCTGTCACTACGTAAATAATAGGTCGAATTTCTTGGATGGTTGTATTCTACGTGCACAGCATAAAGCTTGAGTCAACTAACTGTAGCAATTTTGATTCTTCCGTAAGCTTTCCTTTTCTTGCTAAGCTTGCTTCTCCATCTAACCTTCCTGTTTCCAACAGGATGCAAACAGAATTATGAAGTTTAGACAATTAGAGTCTTCGTGTCTATCTTTAAATTCATGCATTCAGTCTGGAAATGAAGTACGGGTTTTTTTGCAGGATGAAATAGAAATTACAGTGAAGTGGACTGTTAGGAATAAATGGATTTCTTTTTCTTTTTTGAAGCTTTCAACATTGTGTTCGGCAAAATCTTTCAGTAAAGGTAACACATTCATAAGGATTAACTGTGTCCAACAGTGTTTATCAGAAAACCCAACATATTAGGGGCCTAGACAGTACAGAAATACATTTCTCTGTCTTGGAAAAAGAAGTTTAGCAGTAAGTGATGCATGGCTCTATGTTGTCTTCATGATCTGGAGAGACCAAAGCTCCTGCCTCACCCTCCTCCTCCTCCTCCTCCTGCATTTTGACTCTGGCGTTCATTCTCTGGATCACCTCACATTAAAGATGGCTTCTGGTGCTACACCTACCTCATCTACATTCCATATTGCATGAAGGAAACAAAGGAAACAAACAGAGTGACAAAAGGAATGCATTTTCCAGCTAATCAGCAGCTTTCTAGGAAATTCCACACAACGCTCATGTATCATTAGCTTGAATTTAATCACATGGCCACACCTAGCTGAAAACGTTGGGAAACGTAGTCTTTTAACTGAGTGTATTGCCCCATAAATAAAATTGAAAAGGAGAGAATGGATACTATGCACGATTAGCAGTCACTGTTATTTTCAATTTCCTCATCTTTAAAATGAGCAAGTGAGTGGCTTTCTCATGGTAGTTTTATGAGGATTAAGGGGGATACTGCGTAAATGATTCTTAGGCCTGGAACATAGTAAACATTAACATAGTTCCCTTTCTAATTCTCATTTCCCTTACCATTACTGTAACATTAAAGCAGCGGGAAGTCTCAAGGCTTTATGGACTCTTATGATGATCCACATTAACTTGTGAATTATTTCACTTTCGGGACTAATATGTGCTTTGTTTTGCAATTGGTGTCTCCTTGCATTGTCTCCCTTCTATAATGCCTTACTCAGTGTTGGGATGTAAGTATATTCTGCCTTTATGCCCTATATAACTAAGAATTGAGGATCAGTCACTCTTTGAAGTGGAAAAGGATTTGCCACAGGGTTGATAAATCTATCCTTCTGAAATTTTGGGGACTACAGAATTCCCTGAAGCTATCAATCTACCTGAGGAAGCAACAAGCTCTTTAGAACAGAGCATTCAATGGCAGTGAGGAACCAAGGCAGCCTCAAGTGGGTTACAGGACTGTTTTCTTGTTAAAGGAGGAGTTGGATTGGCTGATCTTTGGGGTTCTTCTTACTTCTTAAATAACATGATTCTAGGAATTCCATTTTCCTCACATCTTTTAAGTCACACACAGGTTCTTGTGATGTTTGGTGCCTTTTATATGTAGCCTGGATAGTAAGGGCCTGATCTGATGGCCTTGAAGGAGCTCCTATAATCTATACCATTGATTTTTGTTGCCTAAGATACTGACTTCTTTGTTTTTCTCTCTTGAATTCTAAGAATTGCCAGTTATTCAGATGTGAACCACTTCAAGTAAATTTTCCTGAAAGTGAAATCGTTTAGTGATACTTATACATTAGTACATTTTTGACGTGCATGCTTATGTAAGAACTGCATATTTTTTATCTCAAATGAGCTGTGTGTTACTGACAGCTGAGAAGTTACAAATAACTCCAGGTAAATACTGGTTCTGATATTTGTTACTTCTGTGCTGTTGGTAAGGTCACTTAAATGCCTAAAGACTTAGTTTCCTCATCTGTAAAATGGGAATATTTATAATACTCTTTTTATAGGTTAAATGGGAGTGTTATAATAAAATCATAAATATGAAGCCTTAACAGTATATCTGGAGCAAGAGATCATTAAAATTATTTTATTACTACCGTTTCTATTATGGAAATTAACTTAGAAAACTAGATAATTTAACTAGAGTGATAGTCCATTTATATGTTGCTGTATAAAAAACTTCCCAAATCTAATGGCATAAAACAACTACTGTTTTATTATGCTCACAAATTATGTGGCAGAATTTGGACAGGGCAGTGAAGGTGAGTGCTTGTCTCTGCTCCATCATGCCTGGGGCTTCAGTGGGGAAGATTCCAAAGGCAGAGTGGGCCTCAGACGTCTGGGGCCTGGAATCATCTGGAGGCTCTTTCACTCACACGCCTGGTTTCTGGGCTGTGCTGACCAAAGGCTGTGCCTAGCTAGACTATTGACTAGAGAACCTACACATGGCCTCCCCATGTGACCTGGACTTCTCCCAGTATGACAGCTGTGTTTGGAAAGGGAACGCTCGGAGAGCAGGTGTATCAGGTAACCACGAGGAAGCTGCATGGCATTTGATGACCTCACTTCAGATGTCAGATGTCCCATGGCATCACTTTTGCCACATTCTATTAGTTGAAGAATTCACAGGCCCTCCCAGATTCAAGGTGAAAGGACACCGACGTTTAAGTCTTCTTGGTACAGTGTCGAGCAACTTGTGGTTATCGCCAATGAGATGACAAGGAGTAAACATGATTAACTTTGAAAACAGTTTTTCTATAAATTATTCTCAAGAAAGTAATTTAACTATAATGTGTCAACTACTATGGGCAAGCAGTTTCAGGTTTCCATCAGAGGCCTAAAACTACTGTAAATTTAATCCTAGATTTTCATCTTCTTAATCTTGGATCTTCACACTCTCAACTCTAGGATTTTTTTTTTTTTTTCAGTTTAAAAGTCATTGTGATCCTCAAGCAGTGATACTTTATTTTTCTTGCAGAAGTTTCTTATCCTAAGATTCTTTTTTTTTTTAATTTTTTTATTTTTTTTTTTAGAGATGGAGTTTCACTTTTGTTGCCCAGGCTGGAGTGCAATGGCCTGATCTCAGCTCACTGCAACCTCCGCCTCCCAGGTTCAGGCTATTCTTCTGCCTCAGCCTCCCGAGTGGCTGGGATTACAGGCACCTGCCACCATGCCCAGATAATTTTTGTATTTTTAGTAGAGAAAGGTTTTGCCATGTTGGCCAGGCTGGTCTTGAACTCCTGACCTCAGGTGATCCACCCACCTCAGCCTCCCAAAGTGTTGGGATTACAGGCATGAGCCACCGCGCCCAGCCCCTATGATTCTTATGAGGACAAATTGCCTATTTTAAAAATGTCTAGATCAGTATCATGCATATAAGTTCATTGTGTGTACATTAAATTAAATAAAAACATGTCTGTAAACCCCTTTTAAAAGCTATAAGGAACAACAGGAGGTAAATTTTTCTTAACTCAGTATGTTATTTACTAATATTGTATCATTAACATCATCATTACACTATTTTGTCAAAAGATTTGAAAAAAAGTGAGTTTGATAAATGTTTTAAAGTTAGAATTCATTACAGACAAATAAGTGATTCAAATTTTTGAATGACAGTGAATGAATATTTTTAAAACTTTGTTCTAGGGGCTGTAGTTGTAATTGTGTTTCAGTTGTAAATGTCTCATTAACTTTATAAATTGATTCCTGTTATTTGTTTGGAAGTGAAAGCACAATAATATCAAATTCAGCTAATAGCTCGCTTTGTCAGATCACTGTATTTTAGATCGTTTCTGATTTCGTTTGTCTCAAATTAGATGAACTTTTTTTTTTTTTTAAGTCCCGGTAGCTTGATTCAAAATGTGACATTTTGGCACTCAGTAGTTAATGATACTATTCTAAACTTTAAAATCAAAAAGGAAATATATTTACATCTAAATGACCATACTGTCTTCTGCTCATCATGTCTGCTATTTAATTTTTATTTTTAGTGACCTCAGAGTAGGAATACCTTACATAGGCTCATGTCTGAAAATGATTTGAAAAGCCAGGTAAACTTGCCTTTTCTGGATGCTTTTTTCTCCTCTGAGTGAGGTGAGGACACTGAGGTTAAGGTGTGTCATGCATGTATTTTTTTACTTATTTTCAGTCTAAGCCAGTTATATGAGTAGCTCTAATGGTTAACTTTGTAAATCATTCAGGAATCTGGCTGCTTTCTGAAAACATACCTGGGCCTTCAGGCAGCCATCTACAGGTGATTGCGCCTGGATGTTTGCCTAAAGATGATTTAGAAAATTGGTTGGAAGCTTTGCTCTTCCCCAGCTATCAAGAATTAACCTGCCAGAAATTTGCAAACACAGCAAAGTTATGTTAATGATTCTGACTCATGCACAAGATTTTCTTTTTTAAAAAATATAAAGCTGACTATTCCAAATTCCAAAGATTCAGCATTTATTATTTGGTAATTTACTTTTGTATTGCAGAATGAGTAGGACATTCATTACCAGACCCCTTGACTGTCTCAAACCTTTAGGTTGTTGACTCAGTGTGCTTATTGGAGGTAGGTAACCAGTATTCTCTTACTCCATTGACAAACATGGGTTCTCATTTGTTGGGAAAAAAGAGAGGAAAGTCTTTGTACCAAAGACTTACACCAAGAGGAATTGTTGTCTGATTTCCAAACAGGCCAGGGAATATACTGTGTTGCAGGATCCCCTTGGGTATTCATTAAAGCATAGTGACTGTGTCACAGGGGTGAGAGCCTAGAGAGCTGACATGGACCTATTTTGTAATATGTGCACAACTTTGTTTGTATGTTCAGTTCCACACACACACACACACACACATATATACATATATATATAGGATTAAGTATATTTATAGCCTTTCCAATCAATACCATTTGTATTACAAATTTATTTCTAGAATTACTTTGTACTTTATAATGAAAGTGAGCTTCAAAGGCTTTGAAATTTTGCATATAAGTTAGTAAATTGTTATCTCTGTGAGAGTTGCACCAGATGATCTCTAAATGCTCTTGCAGCTCTAAATCCCTATGATTCTGTGAACCACGATTATTTTTTCCCAAATTAAGCCTCCACCTATATGATTTTTGGCCTTTGCTTAATTCTGAGTGTATACATCTTTATCAAAATACTGTACAAGCAGTCAAGTCGCATTATCAATAATCAGTAGTTGAGAAAAAGAAAGCTTGCTAATTTGGGCTTTTTTCATATTAACCACTGCTCAAACTCATTATGCATTATTTCTTTTTCAGTTAGAGGAGTTCATTTACATTCAGCATCTTTGGGTTAAGTCAAGGTGAAAAAGCATTCACCGTACAGTCCCCAATTCACTTCCATCTTCTAGAATTGTGAGTCATTTTTTTAGAAGTTTTAAAATGGGGATTGTAAACTCAGAAGCCTCATGGGTCAGGTAGGTGTCATTAATGAGTTAGGGATATAGTGTGTAAATGTTGCCAGAACCTCACATTATTTTTTAAGAAACTATTAGTCCAGATTTTTCTTATGAAAGTTTCTACCTTCTTAGTGCTATTTGAAATTATTTTAAAATCTTGAATGCTAAAGAGATAAATAAATAAGAATGACATGACTGTGCATGACCAGGTCTCTTCATTCTTTAACTTCTACCTGAAAACCAGGCATACTCTTCAACATCATGCTGCTAGATATTCTGTTGTGAATCACTTACCCTTATAGATCCCTCCTCTTGGGGATTTCCACTTACTCCCTCACTGCACGGTTGTACAAGTGTGAACATGCCTGGAAACTATAATTATCTGTGGATTTTGACAAAAGATCCTCAGTAGTTGTTACCATGCTTATTAAGTTCCCGAACAAATTTTTATCTCCTAAATTAACATCAGGTTGACAGGCATCCAGGATGGATGCTGATTCTCTGGTTATCTGCACACTCGAAACTTAGTTTTATCAGTCATTTTTCTTCCTTGTGGATCACCTCAGAACCTTTTACATTTTTTCCAGTTTATTTTTTGTCTTTCAGTATCATCCCTGCTGTTGACCCAGTGCACACCACAGCACCAATGGCTTCCTTCATTCTTATGTCTTTTAATTTTTTTTCAAGTAATTTCATAATATGACACTCTTGTACTTTTTTCATCACTGAAAGAATAGGATGGATAATGTACACAAACTAACTCAAATTGCAGCATAAATATCATGAACATACATTAGATTAAAAGATGTTGCTATGGCTGACATTAGAATGACATCTCCTGACTGCTAAATTCATTTGTTGCTGACAGTCAGGGTTGGTTGATATCCCGTTGTTCTTGAACACAGACTTGCTCACTTCAGTGAAAATTTTAAGGCAGAAAGTTCTCAAGAGCTGCTGTCTGAAGCAAATCTTATGGCCAGAAGTTATAGTATATTCAGACTGATGCGCTAGAGTTTTCGAAATGATTCATTTGGTCTTCTTATGAAATAGTTTTGAGATTCTTCTTAGTAAACATTGGCTTGATTTTGTTTCTGTAAAATTTTTTTTTCTTCTCCGCTGTATGGAGAAGACTGTCATGAGTGAACTTGGCAATTGCCTTGTTAAAACCAGTTGGACGTTATCTTCCACATTGCGAAGCTATACATGTCTGATATGTTCTGAAAGAATAGAATTTATAGTTAGATATACTATTTTTGATTATTTACTCAGAAGGAGACATGTAATTATTCTTATGTTGTCATGAAAATCTATTAAATGCATTTATATTTCACATCAATGTTACGAAATTCCATTATTATTATTTTACAGAGGGGAAGCCAAGATACAGGAGTGGAAATTACTTGGCCACATCGCACAGGTAGGAAATTAGTCTTGGAAGTTTAACACAGAAATCTCATTCTTAACCACTATCCTGTCTGCCTCTCATTATTTCATTTGAAATAGCTCACGGTTAGTGTAGGCAGGGTCCAATAAATTGTTTCCTAGCACCATACAAATCAATCCCTAGTAAGTTGTTATGGAAGATTTTGTAAGAATAGTGTAAAGCTCCTCTGTTGATATTTTGAAGAATTTACTGTTCTCCTCTTTTGCAAAGTGAATATGCATGTGTCTGCGTCAGCCTGCAGTCTTCTGGCCCCTCCCCAATCTTTTAAGTTCCTTCAAAGATTGCTGCAGTTGTTGGATCTACTTTGCACGTCCTTTCAAAAAATATGGTCTTTAGTCAAAGGGTCCAGGGGACTGAAACACTTTTTCAGTGAATAAAAAAGTTTTCATTTCTCAAAACACATTTTTTAAGCATTAACTTTACTTTTCCTTCTGATAAGTTTTTCTTCTGTTCTTTTCAATCAGGTGGCCATTCTCTTTACAGAAAATTCTGAGACAACATAACAATTGGTTGTTTAGCTGTTTTTAATCATTTTTTTCTTTATCCTTTACTTTTTACACCATTAATCTCAAAATGTATGCCTCTTCTTTCCTTGTTATGTGTGTATTTAAGTATTGATTTAAACTGTAGCAGCATTTGTTGGATAATTAGGAATTTTAAAACTCATCAGAAGTTATCTTTCTGCAAAGCTGGCTAGAATTGATGAAAACGGTGAGTTTTTTTCTGAACTGGTAACAATAATACAATAATTATCCTTTTTTTTTCTCAGTATGAGCCAGTAAAAGGACTTGACATTTTCAAGAACATCATTTAAATCCTTCAAGATAAATTTTCGGAGATTAGCATCTGTTGTTTGTTTGTTTATTTTGTGTGAAGAAGTATTGTGAGTGAATGAATACCAAATCAAACACAGAAAGCGCATTTTCACTTTTGCCTTACGAATGATTCGCTTTATGTTAATTTTTACCTTCTATCAAGTATAATCTGGAAATAAACTGAGTTTATAAACTCTAAGGATGATTGCAGACATCCAGGTTAAAATCACATTTTAAAAATGTGGTTAAATTTGCAGTGCATTTGACTAACTGTAGTCTCATATCCTACTTTTATTAGTGGAAAAAGAATCTGTGCCTTTGAAAAACTAAATTCAATATTTCCTACAAAAATGCCAACAGTTTTTTTGATTCTCTTTCTTATTTCTTATACTTGAGGTCTTTTATGCACATACTTAACACACACACATAAAATCAAATTTTAGCATGAATTGAAACATGAAAATTATAACACAGTATTTCCCAGCTGAACACAAAAGTATGCTGAAAAATCTTAATGTACATTCCACAAAGCCAATGATAAATCTTGCCCATAGTTCTTAGAGGCAGTTTCATTGTAAAATATTTTCCATGATTTTATTTCACCTTCCAATATTTTGAATTCTTCAGGATCAAAATGTGGTATTTCTATTAAATCCATATTCCCAAGTCTATCACTGACACATTTGCCCTCCTATGAATAATATCACTGTAGTCTGTGATAGATCACAATGTCAAGAAACTGATCTTGTTTCAATTTTTAACTCTGTTGAAAGAAATAAAAAATTCCATTTGCTTCCAAGTTGTGGAGAGAAGAAAGAAGACAATTATTCAAAACAATAGCTTTAACATAATATTTATTTATGGTTTCTAATTAGTTCTGTTGATTATTATTCTTAAAACCACAATAATCCTTTGGTAGCAAGTATATGTTGTGTGGGCCAGTGAACCTATTTGTTTAAGTCCATAGACAAGATGTGTATTTAAGAAGATTAGGGTTCTTTGAACATAGTATTAGACATACTAAATAGGTAGCTCAGGAAGACATTAAATGTATTTTATTAGTGCAGTTTTTAAAGACAAAGATAAATATTAAAATTCAACTCCCCCCAAAACCCAATATGGATGTGTTTTGGTAGATATGATGAGTAACAGTTGAAAGTAAAAATCAAATAAGATATGATAATTAATGTTAATATGGTATCAGTGATCATCTGTAGTCAGTTTATACAAACTTATTAAAGATTATTTCACTTCATACCATTTTTCAATTTATTTCGCTTAATTGAATTAGAGGTGTGTGTGTGTGTGTGTGTGTGTGTCTGTGCGTGTGCGCACGCGCACACCCCATGCTTTAGGAAGGAGGCACAGCAGTTTTGGGGAAAATGTGTGTGTGGCCCCAGCTGCCTGATTTTTCTCTGAGAGTCAGAAGTGGTGTCTGAGTACATACAGGTTAGGAATCCCCAAGGTCTGTCTTCCTTTAGCTACTACCAGCCCCCATCTTCCTCCAGGACTAATATTTTTTAAACCTTAGTGCAAGGACCTATCCCCCCCAGACTAAATACTGATTATCACAAGAGATCTTGCTTGCTAGCTCTGAATGGACTTGTGGACCAGGTCCCTTGATAAACTGTAGTGGGGGTTCCAGTAATACAGGCCTCTTTCTTACAACAGCAAAGAATCCCCAAATGAGGAGACACTTTGCCCCACAAGTCACCATGGTTTTGGTGCTGATGGTTACTTTCCTTCTGTATTAGAATCCTCTCTACATACAGCTCTTGCTATATTTAGTACCCACCAGGATCCCCTGGAATTCATAAGCATGTGGTTTATGTTGTATCATTGCAATGTGGTTCATGAAGCCTTAGGGCCAGGAGTCCTGGATTCTGGTTTTTGTTCTGCTCCTCTGGGATGAGTGACCTTGGAAATGTTGCCTTCCTGATTCTTTCCTTTGTAGAAGGGCACTGCAAATAGCATCTGCCTCCGGATTGTTGTGAGAACTAAATGACATAATGCCTAGGTGCGTAGGTCTGTTTTAGGCACATACGAAGTTCTCAGTCAGTGATACTGAAATCAATGTTTATATAGTCAGTGTATACATTATATACAATGAAATCAGTGAATTATTATTGACACTTCTAAGGTGTTGTCTAACCAGTGGGAGCGTACACCCAGTGTACTATTCTTTCTTCTTCTTTGTAGCCCCTAGAACTATAACATCAGGGAGTCTATAAACAATAGATAAGTTAGCTACCTCAACGGTAATCACTTCACTCATATATATCACAAAAATAAACAAAATAACCTACTTCTAGGAAGTATAAGTAGATAATATTGAACATTGCTAATGCAATAAAAATAACCCTTATTTACTTTGCTTCCTTAAATCGCATATCAAAATAAGAAGATACTAATTTGGACTTTCCTCTATCTTTCCAAAATTTTAAAGCATTCCCAAATTTGCCTCATTAGCTCTATCACTCCAGGCACACTTCCTCATCAATTGAACTTACCTCAAAACGAATTCATGATATATGCCAATAAAATCATTCACTAGCATCTTCCCATTGTCACCATATCTAACATTTAAGAAATAAAAATGGGCCGGGTGCGGTGGCTAACGCCTGTAATCCCAGCACTTTGGGAGGCCGAGGCGGCGGATCACGAGGTCAGGAGATCGAGACCATCCTGGCTAACACAGTGAAACCCCGTCTCTACTAAAAATATAAAAAATTAGCCGGGCGTGGTGGCGGGCACCTGTAGTCCCAGCTACTCAGGAGGCTGAGGCAGGAGAATGGCGTGAACCCGGGAGGCGGAGTTTGCAGTGAGCCGAGATTGCGCCACTGCACTCCAGCCTGGGCGACAGAGTGAGACTCTGTCTCAAAATAAATAAATAAATAAATAAATAAATAAATAAATAAATAAATAAGGCATGACAATTTAATAGAAGATCATTACTGCTCAGTATTGGTCAGGCTTCTTCCTAATTCTAAGCAAACTCAACAAAGCAATTGTTCCCACAGCCTAGGGTTTTCACTTTTATCCTCGTAGTGTTTATATTGCATGAAGCCTTCCTGAACAGCACGTCCATATGCTCGCCGCTGAAATCACTAGGAAATGTCCTCCTCACCAATGAGGTGTGAGAAAGGAGGAAAGCAGGAGTGTTTATTTTTTACATCTTTTTTTCTGTTACCTTTTTTTTCTCCTTTGAACATATTTATATTCTCAAATATTCACTTTCATTGGAAATCTTTGACATTCTAATATAACATGAGGCAAATCAGTGCAGACTCAAATAGGTTACCAAGATACAGGCCTGTGACATATTAGATTTTCTCTTTTCCACAATTTCAAAAATCATTACTTTATGATTCAATTTAGGAAGCATTTGAATAAGTACTTGAATCTAACACTACTAGAGGCTTCAGGGATTCCCCCCAAAACATTAAAATGGTTCTTGCAATCGAGGAAATTCAAATTTCATTGCTGCTTATGAGACGTGTAAGATTAAATGTCAAAATATATGATAAACATGCTATATATTAATACCATTCAAGGTCAGAGTTGGGAGAGATCAGAATGATTCAGATATTTGAAGATGGTTTCATTGAATAATAAACCTGTAAATATATGAAACATTTGAAGGGTATTTGAAACCTAACGATGGTTGTTTTATATTATATGGATGAGAGATAGAACAGATAAAGGCAAAAATGAACTGTATTCATTTTATTATTACCTTTTACTAAAGTATTTAACCAAGTGCTGTTGACATGAAAAACCAAGAATGTACATCTCTGTCTGTTCTTTTCTCTGAGCATCGCCGGATTCCCGTGTTAATGAATAATGAAATGGATAGAGTCTGTATAGTGTAGTGCAGTTTATGCCAGAAATAGAGTGTAATGGTAAGAACAAAGGCTTTGGTGTTAGACAATGCGGTATTGTATGTTATTTTTGACATTTACTGCCTTTCTAATGTTGGAAAAGTTACTTAATGTCACTGAGTCTCATTTTCTCTTTTAGGGTGGTTCTAAGAGTTAAGTAAGATAATAAATGAAAAGTGCCTAGCAGAATGCATGGCATAGAATATGCATCAATACATAGAAATTTGACCGTCACTTGAATTAAGAGACTGGTTTAGGAGCATTGTAATCTTATGCAATAAAATCTTAGTGGCCTTTAAAAAATTTTTTTTATTTTTTTGAGACAGGGACTCACTCTGTCACCCAGGCTGGAGTGCAATGATGTGATCTCAGCCCGCTGCAATCTCTGCCTCCCAGGCTCAAGTGATCCTCCCACCTCAGCCTCCCAAGTAGTTGGGACTATGGGCGTGTACCACCATGCCTAACTAATTTTTGTATTTTTTGTAGAGACAAGCTCCCACTATATTGCCCAGGCTGGGCTCGAACTCTTCAGCTAAAGAGATCCTCCCCTCTTGGCATCCCAAAATACTGGGATTACAGGCATGAGCCAACACACTCGCCATTCTCATTTGTTATTTGTATTAAGAGAAAAATATCCGTTTACCAAGGTGTAACCTCAATCTCCAGGGCTGAAGCTTGATCCTCCCACTTCAGCCTCTTGAGTAGCTGGGACTACAAGCATCCAATACCACTCCCAGCTATTTTTTGTTCTTTTTCATCTTCTTCTTTTTTTTTTTTTTTTTTTTTTAAAGGAGACAAGGTCTTGTTATGTTCCCCAGGCTGGTTTCAAACTCCTAGGCTCAAGAGATCCTCCTGCTTCAGCCACCCAAAGTTCTGGGAGTACAGGCATGAACCATTGCACCTTGCCCTCCTGTATACTTTAAATCATTTCTAGATGACTTATGCTACCTAATACAAGGCCTACACATTTTTTTCATTTGAGTGGGTTCGATGTAGCACTTGGCACACATGAAATTCAAGTTTGGTATCTGGGACTTTTTGGAATTTTTTCTGAATATTTTTGATGCACTGTTGGTTGAATCCATTAATGCTGAACCCACGGATACAGAGAGCAATTGTATTTTGACATCTGCCAGGGTGTGTGTGTGGTGGTGGTAGGATATTTTTCCCATGGAATTTGGCCAACACTATAAATAAGGAATTTTTATTTTTTCAAGAGCTGGTTTATAGGCATAGTGCTGAATAAAAGAGACAAATGATTAAAGAAAGAATAACAATAAAGTATGCTACAAAACATAATATAGTGTTACAATGTCGTCTTTGCAAGGACATCTAAACCAGCCAGGGAGGTCAAGGAGAGCATCTCCTTTCAAAAGCAGTAACATCTAAATTGACCTCTGAAAAATGCTAGGATTTGCCATGAAAAGAGTGAGGATAAAAATATTTGAGGCAGAAAGAAACAATGTGTGTGAAGTTCCAAAACTAAGACAGGATTGTTCTTTAGTCAACTGAGTTCAGTAGGGTTAGAGCTTAGACTTCAAGGGGAGTTAGAGATGTTTGGGAACGACGAGATTGAAATATTAAGAGAGACCAAGGAAGGGCTTAGTAAACTATGTTTCAAAGGTTTATTTTTGAGCACAATTCCATGTTGAAGGTGCTCATCATGGAATCAAGACTTATCTCTGAGCGTCATCTTTGCTATGCTCACGTTATAATAATGATTTTTACATTTTGGCAGTGCCACAGCAGTGTCCTGGCATGTGGTATGATCATTCAGCCATCTATGACAATGTAATTATAATACATTCTTTTTATTATGTATCATATGTGTTATTTTGTAGTAAAGGTCTTTGTGAAATTCAGTATGCTGAGTGTCTGATCATAGTAACCCTTTCAAAATTAGAAAATAAAATCAGTTTGGCATGATTTCACTAAAAGTCACCCCTTTTCTCTCTAAGTGCTAATTCTGTGTTATATCAGTTATGGTTTTACCAGAAAAAAATTAAGGTCGCCATTGTGTTGTTTCTAGATTTCACTCTTTTTTAAAAAAATTGGGCAACATTTGCTTTCAGATTCTCCAGACACTGTATTAGCATTCGTCATTCTCGTATCTTTTACTCACCCGGGCTGCTTCTTACCTGGGCCAGTAACCGGAACTTCTCTGGTCTCTTATTATCATTTTCTCTCTTTTGGGCCCTCCTTTTATCTTAATCGTATTTATTCTATCATAGTCATTGTTAAGAGCGTTTATCTTAACAGAAAAAAGAAAAAGAAAACAGGAGCTGAGGACTTATGCTCTCTCTCTCTAATTTTGTTCTACTTTATACAATTCTACCAACTTACCACGGAATCACAGACTCCTTATCCTTTTTATCAAATAATTTGAATTATGTGGAACCAATTCTTATTTTTGTTATTTGATGCACTACAGCCACTCTTTAAAAACTGCTGTAACTCAACCAGAGAAGGATATATCTTTAAAAATGTTTCTGGACCAGCCACCAGTTTCTTATCTCTCAAGTGGTAGTACTGGGGAAGATTTGCAAAATAGCCCCCAGAAAATTAGGATCTGTGCATATTTATAAGAGGTTAGATTCTAAGACAAACATGAAAATTTCATATTTGTGATTTCTGAAAATTGTTGAATGCAATCTTGATATATTTATTTATTAAGTAGATAACGAATAGCTAAATTAAAAGGTTATGCAAATGTAAAATAATTGCAGAAACAATTCATATTCAAATTTACGTTTTGCTGTATTATTTCCTGAATATATATCATTTTATTAACATTATCAAGTGCAAATAATTAAACTGAAATTTATAATATGTAAAATATTTTAATAGAAATTGAGTTTTGTGGTTAAAAAAAACCTAATTTTCCCAGAAAAATAATATTTAAATTCACTTTGGCATTCAAAAAATATTAGGCTATTCCTAATGGGGAGAAACCTGGTAACTGGGGTTTAACCCTTTCAGTATGAGCTGTAATTGAATGTAAATTGTAAAGCAGTTGTCTTGCATAGAGTGCATTTGAAAAAAAAAAAAAGACCCTGAAAAAGTCTCATCTCTTTGACTTTTTAATGTATAATTCTAGCGTTTCATTTTACAAAAAGTATAAACACTTCTAAATCCTACTCATTTCAATAGAATGTCTCTGTTTTCCATGAGGTACCAGAAAAAGCCTTAAATGATATGTGATGTGCTGCTAGTCGTTTAATGAGACATTCAATGCAGTATGATTATGACTCTGTTGCTCAGTCATTTCAAGTTCTGTCCATCAAAATTGTGGGCACTTGCTTCTCAAATGAATCAAAAAGAGTTTCCAGGACCAGGGAGATATAAGTATTGAAACAGTAAGCAACACCCATACCATAAAGTAGAAGTGATTCATTGGTTAACAGAAAACGTAATGTCCAGAGCTTCATGGTTATAGATAAAATAGGCTATGTTTATTTATCCATTTAGGGTAGTTTTTTTTTTTCATTTCGTTCCAGGTTAATTTTGATTTCCTTTGTAATAACGGGAAATTATTTTGAGATAGGCTTGTTGGTATCCTTGATTATCTGTGTGGTGTCTGCATGAAAGAGGAAACAAGTAGATTTTCAGGAAGTTTTCTTAATAGTTCAATGCAATCAGACTGGCCAATATTGAGAATTACTGCGCCATAAATAATTGTGGTTGGTTTCTAACTTTGATTTTATTCAGCCTAATAACAAGTATTGCTCTATAGATAATTGTTGACGGTTGCAGACTCTGATTTCGTTCAATTAAGCTGGTAACCTTTTTAAGAAACTGCTTGGGAGAAAGCCAAGAATTCCAGTGAACTGATTTCTAGGGGGACTGAATTGAAATTGTGTTAGCTTCAAAAATGTTTCATGTAGGTCCAGCTGTGTTAATTAACCTTTTCCTTAAACTACCCTCTCCACAATTGGAACCCCAAATCGGCAAACATAGCAAAGGACCATTTTATCTAGATTTAGGTTTTTCTCAAAGTGATTATAAACTTGGAAAGACATTATAAAATAGGTTTTTGACATATAGTAAGTGTATGAGGGCTGCTCCTTCTTTCTAAATCACAGAAAAATTCAGATTCTCTCTCCTTCCCTTTCTTCCTTTTTAAAAATCACCCATGTATGTATTCAAGAAAAGTAAAACCAGTGTATATTACACAAAGGTTTGCTTTCTTTATGTCAAATTGTTAATTTATAATGGTAAATACTGTGCTTGGAAGACAGTAGGAAACTCTATCAAACGTGCCCTTTACTAATAAAGTAGAGAATTGTCATTTAGAGTAGTATACTTGACCTATGGCAAATACTGCTAGTACTGGAATTCCATTGTTTATCTCTTGTGCTCTACACAGTGGGAGGGAAAAAGAGATGCATTGTATTGAAAGTATACATTATGCTTGGGAAAAAGTGTTTCTTTAAATAAACAAAACCTTTTCAGTAAGTACCAGTACAAGCTAAGAAGGCCAAGGTCATAGGTCTCAGTAACCATGTATGTCAGTAAAAGGCATCTTGTGTGTTTCGTGGTTACAGTTGGTCTATAAAGTTGTATTTTTGGTCACCCAAGTAAGAGGCAAGAGAGCATTCGTAGGATTTCCTACTTGGAAAAGGTAGGGAAGAAAAAAAGAAAAGTGAGAAGACAAAATTACAAACTTCAAAACATGCTTATTTGATGATCAGTAGTAGGTGTTATCTTTGTATACAGAATCTTTGGGCTGATTTTCGTTAATTGTATCAACTTGAGTAATAGTTCTTATTTCTGGGAAATTAGAATCTACCAAAGAACAGCTTGGGAAAAAAAACCTGTTAATACTGGGTTTCAATACGTGAAGCTTTGTCATTTGCTGATGATCTTTATTCATCACATTCACAATTCACAAGATTATTTCTAAGGTGGGTTTGATTTACTGACTTTTCCCATGCTCCATGAGAGCTGCCATATGCCTGATGATTCTGGGCTGTCTCTTCTAGGTTTTTTATCCACCCCTTGATAGCAACAGTTACTTCCTATATCCCTGGGACAACTAAGCGGAGGACAGTAGTTAACTAAAGTGGCTTTGAACAGTGGCAGAAAAATGTGCTGGGAATACCTTATATTCTAAGCAACCTCCAATTTCTGTGAGCTAAAAGTGCTATGTAATGTGATAAAGAATATAACATCAGGAGTTTTGTTTCAGGAGAAAAAAGTGAGATAATTGGCTGAAATGGACAAGTTTTGAAATTTACTAGCCTTGAGCAATGATGAATAACTGAAAGTGCTGAATCAAACTGGCCTTTGAATTAAAGCAATATAACATACTGTAGAGGTTCGTCATTTCCAGCAGATAGGAGGTCCTGGCACACACAGTAAGATAATGTGAAGAATTAGCTTCAATCTATGATTTTTGACCTTCAGTACAAGTCTAACTTAAAATATAATCTTCGAAATTTGCATTTTGGAATTTGTCTTTTCCCTGTTCCTTGCAAAACCACATACATCAATATACATTGATATGTGGGGAAAATGATCTACAGTGGTGTAAATTTAACATGCAATTCTGGAATACTAACTTTTGAATTTCGCATATTTAAGTCTTTTTATATTTCTAGAATTTTCATACAGGATGTGATAACTTGATAACAAACTCAACAGTAATTTGCACCATTTCAGGTAACCTACTGATTAAATTTTTTTATACTTTATAGTTATTCTAACAATGATTCCATTTTCAGAGAGGTTCTCTGGGCTTTCTGCTTCATGCCTCCTCTAGCCACCCTGAACGATTATATCCTAAGGGTCCGTATTCTAAAGGTTTTCTGACACTGGCCTTGGTTCTCCATTTCATGATCTTTCTGACTTTAGACAGAGATGTTTTCTAGGCTTTTTCTATGCCTTACTTCTCTTACATCTTTAAATGCATTTGTAGATACTTTTAGATTAAATTGTGCTCAAACATATTCATAAAGCAGAACAAACAGCTGACTTATATTTGGGAGGACTTTTACATAGTGGGAGTTCTAGACTCTAAGAACATGCCATTCAATTTTAACATCACTTCTATTGAAAAAAGAGATTTATCATGTATTGCTTTGATTTACCACATCCTTACTGGATGTTTGTGGACAGAATTTGTAGATAGGAAATGTTCTGCAGTGGATCCCATATTGAAATTTGTGGATTCCATTTGAGATTTACAGACTAATATAAAAACATAGCGATACAAATTTAATGACATAATTCTGAGTGTCATAATTGTCATTTCGAATTTAATGCTTATTCTTATAGAATGAAAATTGTTTTATATGTAAGGTAAATCTAAGCCTTCCAAATATATTTTATGCTTAATACAAACATCTTTTTGTTCCAAATTAGAGTAGTCCAGTAATTGAAGTAAGCCAGAACTAATGTCAGTGCCATCATTCTTTAATAGTAAAATCATAGGAACGTTGCTGCAATAAGGTAGTGGAGAGTTCAAAATCATAATTTCATTAATGGAAATATGCTGGACTATCACTAATCAATTTATTTTTGTTTAGTTTTTAATAGTATTTTTCCAAATATTTTAAATTTAGTCTTAGTATTAGACTTTGTCAAAGTATTATAATACTGAGCCTAATAGTAGGTTTGATGTATTGAATGTCATACTTAAAACATATTTAAAAGATTTAAGCAGATTCAAAATAAATAAGTAGCATAATGAAAACAGTTATAGTGCTAGCTGAAAAATTAAACTTTCAATTCCATTGGACTATATTCATAATAACCTTTTCTAAAAACAAAATAAATGTCGAATGTAATGAATTGCCAGAATGTGATATTTATGAAGCATCAATCAGCATTTTCTTATTTTCAAGGAAGGTCATAGCTGCAACTTAGCAGGAATAAAAGTCTCTGCTCCCTCCCCTAAGAAGGATTCATGTGTGTTAAATAAGAGTCACACAGAGAGAATACCTGTAACCCTACTGTACCATCATTGAGCTCAGAGACTGGCTAACTTGCAAGCACCTTCCTATTTTCCACTACCATGCTATATCATCCCTAGAAAGTTGAGGAAGCACAGATGGATTCATTTGCACCTACAGTGTCAGCTTTCTCATCTTTCTTTTGATTTTAGCTTTCCTAAAAACCACTCTCAACATTACAGCACAGAATAGAATGAACATTTACTGTGAATTGATATTGTAAGTATGATTAATAGGGATGGCTGCCCCTTTTCCTGATATCATGATTCAGTAACAAATAAACAAAGATGCCTTATTTTCTCTTTTCCCGCCTCTCTCTCATGTACTGGCATACAAAAACTGTGAGCCTCTCAATAAAAAGGCAGGCTGTACATGAACTTAATCACTGTATCTATTTCAGAGAAGATATCTGTCTCAAATTGGAGTTAGGGTATGGAGAGTTTTAGTTGACTTCACTTTTTTTTATTTTAAAGTTTTGATTAGAGTACTATAATTATAAAATAGGTAGCATAATTATATCTACAAAGTGATGTTGAAAATACTTTAAAAAATAAAACATCCTAATCAAGTAAGTTTTATGGAAGTATAGGAGCAGGCTTTTAGCACAAAATCTTGGGAAGGAAAAATAGATATCTGACCTTAAAATTTATATATAATCATCACATTGGCCAACGTGCCATTTTTAAATGACTCCATGTAAATGTATGACTGGTTTTCTCAAACACGGATTCAAGTTCATAACATTTATTTTCCTTTTAATATGCATCTAAATTACTAACTGACCAAAACAAAATAAAGTATTGGTAACTTGGGGGGAAATTTCTGTCTCAGTAAGCTAACTAATTGCTTCAATTATTTCAAAATTTTTTCCTATTTTTAAAGGAAAAAGTCCAATTTTTGGTGCAAAAGTCACAGGCCTAAAAGTGCAATTTGAAATAACTGCAGCAGCTTTTTTCCTCTGATTTTATTTCTTCTTTCTATGTAGATGCAAAATGCAAAATTTATCTCAAGAGGAATAGTTATCTTTTATTTGCTGATTAAGCTAACCAAATATACATCTTATTATTTTGTTTTGTTTTAGCCCAGGGTCTAATAAAGTTGTATAAGAATTTCTTGGGCCTCAGCCATTTATTTGAGGTAAATACTGTGGTTTGAGAAAAATTTTCATGTAACTTAATTTCCTGAGGAAATGATCTATGAAATATTTAACATCTAGTTGCTAGCATACTTTTTAGTGCTAATAACCAACTCCAAAGAGAAAGAAATGGCATTCTTTTTCATTTTATTCCAGTGGTGTGTGGCATGTTAAAATATGACACATATTTGGAAAAATACATTATATAAAATTAAATGTTAAACCTGTAATGCATCATTTGATTGATTGAGCAAGATAATTTCTTGAGAAACATTGCTACTAGATTATGGAAAATATATGATCAAGTTGTTAAGATGGCAAAAACCTACATTAATTCTTTAAAACTAGGGACATTTATGTATTTGGAGAGCACTATTGGGAAAATAAGTAATTGCGTCAACTCATTCATCATTTGCCCTTTATACTTAGAGCTTTAAGAAGAGAATGGTAAGTGATACTATATCCACTCTTTCTTTGGCATTCAGACAGTAACTTGTTCAATTAAAAATTCTTGTTAGGTCAGACATAATGGATTCTTGTTGTTACTTTAGTATTTATTCAATGAAAGAGATCAATATTTTTGGCCCCAAGGGAGCTGCACTGATAAGAGACTCTGCAGTAAGTCTCTCTGTTCATTATAAACTTTTGGCTGGCAGGTGCAGTGTCTGCTGTATGACCAGTTTTAATTAGAACATCAAGGTAGAATGAGAATTCAGACATTCTTTTTCTCTCTTTTTAATAGCATATATGCTTTTTAATAGCTTTTTGCCTTCTCCTTCTTCCTTTTCTCTGGTGTGTGCCCTTTTTAGAAGGTATTTCTTAAAGGGAATTTGAGAACAATAGGTCTGATTTTGAGAAATTTAACTATTATCCACTTGATCGCATGTGTTTCAAGTTTGAGTAGATTAAATCTGATGATGGTTGTGTAGCCTCATTGTACGAGACAGGTAGAGAAATAATCATCTTTCATTATCATGCCCACCTTTGCCAAGTTTTTAATGTATCTGTGTTTAAATTTAATGGAACTGATTTGTGATTTTTTTGGAAACATGACATTAAATAAAGCCATAAAAAACTCTATTTTGCTTTGCAACTTCAAATGCTTTCTAAATATGGCCTAATGCTCTATTCAAGTAACAAAGTCGTTTGCAGAATAAGCTGTCACATTCAACAAGCTCTAATTTTGGCTAGATCTATTATTTTACAAATTAAACGAAGGTGCAGGTCTCTGCCTTCCCCGCAACAAAATCTTAACCAGACTATCACATTTAATCTGCTAGATGATTTATTAACTTGCCATTTAATTCATTTCATTAAAATACGTAATTCAGTTTATAGATTTGAGAGCTGGCAGAATCTTTTACAAATCATTTAGTTTTGCCCCTTTCTTTTACAGATAAAGAAACTTGAGACCAAGAGAAATTAAATGGCATGCTCAAAGTTACATGTCAAATGGTTGCTACAGAAACCAGCTCCTCTAATTTAGTTCTCTTTCCAAATAGCATGGCAAAGACATTTGTTACTATATATAAAAAACAATACTTGTTTAAATGTATTTATTAATAGACATACTGATTTGTTTTCATACCCCAATTTACTTAGAGGTATCATAATACAATACATAATGATTTAAACCTGTGGGACATGCAAAAAGGAATCATGTTTAAAGGTCAGAATACATAAAGGTTAAATGTCAGAGGCCCAGAAATAAGAGGTACAGCTTTTAAGCCTAAACTTTAAATTGTAGGCTCTGTAAGTGCCAGGACCATGTTTTCTAGGTTTTCATAAAAGTAAACCTTAAAGGTCCGAGAACTCACAGAATATTGTTGCCTGAATAATTAAATATTCCAAAGAAGGTGAGAATTTCAGAGAATTTTACTTGTTACTAACACCAGTATTTCCCACACTGGAATAATACTATTTGTTTACTTTTCAGTTAACACTCTTAATATGAAAAAAACCTGCTTATTTGAAATTAGACATTTCCTGAAGCATATCTGTCTAGTCAAAAAAGGTCCTAATCATATTAGGAGAGTGGCAATTATAGTAGTTTAGACTTTGCGTATAACATAGCGATACATTAGAGGAAAGAAGTATAAAATGCCGAGGCAGGAAATTATTGTTATCAGAAGTATATTTATACTACTGTGGCCATTAGGCAGACTAAACATAAGAATGACCAAGAAATGGAAAATATCCTCACACCTGCCATTTATAACAGCTAATACATATGGAGTCTACTGCTTGCCATGCCCAAAGCACCTGATTTTCTCTTTATGACTTTACTGATCAGTTTTTGCATTGTCTGTAATCATGTTGAGACTTCATTTTGGAAGACCTGATACTGTTGTTTTCTAAGTTCAAATAGAAAAGGGTAATATTCATATGGCACTTTTGTACTTTGGAAAACTCTGTCTCATAATAAGCTGAGGAAACCTGTGGTTACAGGAAAGAAGAGTAAACAGTATCAGTTATTGAGAGCCTCCTATATGAGAGGCATGTGAGACACCTTCCCTTAGAAAATGGTAAAGGAAGGTATTAGTGTTCTTAAAAAAATAATAGTAACAGGGAAATCTAGCTATGAAGTGGCAGAATTCAAATCTAGGTCTTCAGAGTTGAAGTCAGGCCTATAGACTCAAGTGACTTCCGGGGCCAGGGAGGAAAAATGAAATTGTGAAATTTATATGTCTTGTAAATCTTTGCTCTTCACAGTTGTATAGCATTGAATGTCTAAGGCCTTGCTCTTCAAGACTTGACAGAAATGACTGTTACCGTGTTTTTCAAATGTCTCATCTCACATGAGGTTATGCATTATAGCATTAAGAACTATAACTCCCCTAGAGCTATTTGTGGCTTAGAATAAGAGTTTTGTTAAGATTTCTTAGTACTTTAGACCTTAAATGGAAAAAATTGCAAAGTGAAATCTATCTTATGGTACATAGTGCTTTTATACACACATCAATGTGAAGTAGTTCTTTATGAGATTGATTTTGTAGCATTGAACAACAACAACAAAAAGTAAATTACTGAAGGCTGAGACAGGTAAGGAAACAGAGAAGTCTACCCACATTTCTGAACTCTTTGCTGAAGGCAGCTGTGTCCTAGAACTTACTAGTTTATGACAGACTATACACTGCTTTTGAACTGTTTCAGATTACTCAGAAACAGCATTCATGGCCAGCCCAGAATTAATGTGTAAATGACCTTTCACAGAACCAGGATGGAGGAAGACGTCACTTAACTTTGGAAGAGGTGGATATTTAGATGTCATGAACATCTCTAGGCTTCTCTTAGAGCTAAATAGTAAAAGGGTTTCCCTTTCATAAATCTTCATTCTCTTTATAGAATGAATGGGTGATATATAGTTCCATCTACTTCTAGATGCTTGCTGTTCATTTGTGTGATGTTTAATGCAAAGCAAGAGGAAGGAAAATGTAGTTCTTTAACAAAGATCTTTTCAGTATATGTTAAATTTACCACTAGAGATGAAAATACATTGTTTTTTAAGTGTTTGATTTTGTGAGGTCTTTGGGTAGTGGAATCAATTCACAGTCAGTTCCATGTAATTTGGATATGTGATTATTACTTAGAATCCCTGATTTCTCTAAGTTGTAGTTTCTTATAAGACACTAAAACATTTTACTTTATCATGCAGATGATTTCTTATGCAAAAGCAGTGCTCTGTAGTGCTTCTACAGAGTTTACAAAAAATGGTTTCATGATACTAATTTTTAAAGTTTTATGTGTCAGTTTTTTTAATTTTAATGACAAAATTTTCATGACAAAAAAATCAGTATATGGAAGTCATCAGCCCTAGGTTTTAAAAGTAAGAAAAGAAAATGGGAAATAGAGTAATATCTTACTTTTTTCAAGAGAAATAAAAGAAAATTAATTGGTAAGAATAATATTGCTTTCACTTCTTATATAAATCTAATGTCTATATCTGCCCTGCATTTTATGTAATGAGGACTATAGGACAGATTTTACTTTATGAGCATTCATTTTAAATTAAAATAATAACGTAGTCATGATTTTCATTAATTAGAAATGCCCTATTCTAACATTTCCTCAGACAGCATGGAATACACTGCTATGGCCTCTAGTAGGACTCTTCAGTGTGACGCTAATTAAAACCAACATTGATTCTGCTGTTTTATTGACATACATCAAATTTAGAATGAAAAGTAGCTTTTGAGTGACTTTAATTGTCAAAACTATTGAATTAATTTTGATATTTCTGAGGAAATGATCTTCATTTAAAGTAAAACTTACTGAGGGTTTGTGTAATCAAATGCCTATCAAAATACTTGATATTCCTGTATAAAACATGCTCTACTAAAGTAGTATGTTGAAGATAAGTCAAATCAGCTTTTAGCTATTGTGTGGTATTCTGGAGAGGTGTAGGACATTGTAATGTGGATCCTAGACTCAGAGTGGCTGGGTTTGCCTCAGTCATGCTAGCTGTGTGACTTTGGGTAAGTTACCTACACTCTCTACTACTCAGTATTCTTATCTGTAAATAGGGGATGATGATAAAACCTAGGTAGGATTGTTGTGAGACTGGAATGAGTTTTATGTAAATGCTTAATACAATTTCTGAGCTGTTAGCTCTTTTTATTTTTGTTGTTGCTATCGTTTTTAACACAGAGTAAGGAGACATGATGTACTCAGGACCAGATTTTAGTTTACTGTTGTTGGATTTTTGTGTTTTGCCATGGAAAATAATGTTTAAATAAGACCACTGTCATCACGCTGGAGCTCTGTTTTCCCTAAGTACGGTATTTGAAAGGAATTACGCAATATAGTGTCTTTTCCCAGCTGGGAGAGGCAAGTCACTGCTTAGATGGCCGGTCCTGGATATGAAGAAATTTGGTCTACTCAGTGTGAGTGACATATTTACCCTCCTCCACCATGAATGTGCCCATGCACTTAGCCATTTCTGCAGAGTTGCACAGATTCTGTACTTGCTGAAAAATATGCTTGCATGGAAAGGCCTTGTGGCGTATTTTGTGGCATTGAATTGCTACCATCTGTTTCCTAGCCAACGTTAAAAGAAAAAGAAAAAAGAAGAAGTAGCATTAGAAAATGTGCCATTTTACAAGTGCTACAGTAAAATTTTTTTTACACTTCATTCCCTACCCTCGAATATGTGGATGTAAGAGTGGCTTCAGATACTTTCAGATTTATCAATTCACAGCTGCATTTAATAAAACATTTGAAGTTTATCACAAATGCTTTCACTGTTAACTACTACTTCCCCGCACCCCGTGGAATTGGTGGTGCAAGTCTTAATTACATTTTGTGTTATTGACTAATATATATTTTAATATTTATTTTAAAGATATTTCTTCCCACAACGATATCTGTTCCTAGGCATAGAAGAATGGCATTTTAAGAGAATTTGACATAGTAACTATTAATAGCTTGAAAACTGAAAATTCTGACTCTTACAATAAAGACTCTATTGTCTTTGGCAATCCCATTTATAATAAAGCATGCTAAGGTGACCTTTATCTTTCTATTAAAAGGTGAATCCATATACAACATAATAAATGAGCAAAGGATTGAGAAACCTTAAAGTGCATATGTAGCAATATCAGAGGAAGAAGCTGCTGTACTTTGAATAGCTTTGGTAAGAAAAAGTTAGCTAAAGTATAGAAGTCTGAAAAGTATTTGGTGACAGAGTCCTGGCATGAATAGTCTTTTTCTACCTTTCGTCATGAAGAATCTCTAACAGTTTAATGAGCAAATATAAAAATGATAAATGCTAACATTATCATAGAATCCATGGGAGAGACTGCCATCTCCAGTATGAAATTAAGGAGTTACTTTCAAATTGTATCCCATTAATGGAAGACAAGAAGAGAAGAAATATGTTATGAGCTTTAAACTATGTTGGCCCCATGTTGAAAACATCAAATTCCTTGTAACACTGAATTTCCATGAGAGCAGGATTATTTATGCTGTGTTCAGCAATTTATACTCTCAGTATCTAGCCCAGAGCTTCTCAGTAAATGCGTTGAATAACTATATTTACCAGAATGTGATTTAAAAAACAACATATTAAGGGTTAAAAAATGTAAGTTCTGTGTTTGTTTTTTTGGTTATCAGGGACAGTGTGCTGGTTAGTAAAGAAAACCAGATTGGGCCAGATAAAATGGAGTGATTTTGGAGGCAGAGGCAGGAGGATTGCTTGAGGCCAGGAGTTCAAGACCAGCTTGGGCAACATAGCAAGACCTTGTCTCTACCAAAAAACAAACAAACAAACAAAAACTGCTTGGTGTGGTGGTGCACGCTTGTTGTCATTGCAACGTGGGAGACTGAGGTGGGAGGATGGAGCCCAGAAGATCAAGGCTGCAGTGATCATGCCACTGCACTGCACTCCAGCCTGGGTGACAGAACAAGACCCTGTCTTCAAAACAAAACAAGATGGACACTTTGAAATCTGCTTCTGGCTTTGCCACTAACTAGTTTTTTGTTTGTATGTTTGTTTACCTTGGGAAAGTCACTTTCTTTTTCTAGGGTTCACTGTTCGTTCTGTAAAGCAGTGGCCCAGAATTGCAACTGAGGGCACTTTTAGCCTACAGAATTTATAGATGATGGAGTCAACCTGCTATACTGCCCCAAACTACATACTGTTCATACAACTGGAACAAGGTAATTTTTCTTGGCTGTCAATGTTGTCAGTTGTGCCATTTAAACCTGTGATTCACTCTTTTGTATTATCAGAGTAACTATCTTTATAAGTTTATCTGAGGGTAGGGATTCTGCCTTTATCAACTTAGAATGGTACCTGAAACAGTGCTTTTTAAAACCTGATAAAACACTTTCTTCAGTAGTCACAAAAGTTACCATTTAATGATAGCTAAATCTCCTAGAGCATCTGCCTAGTGTTGGTAGCTAAAGGGTATTTGCTTTCATTTTCATAGGATGTGCATACATGAGTTCATGTTGATAAAGAGTATGCTATCTAATCAACATACTATCTGAAGATAAAGCACTGGGCGTCTGGTTTTTCTGTTTTTCCCCAGAAATCTCAGAGTGTCCTGCATAGTCGATCTAGTCTGAAAAGTTTGTTTCTCTATGTTCTTTGAAAATTTGAATTAGATTGCTTTAGAGGGAGCATGCATGTTTCAGTTTGGCATAGATGTTGCCACTTGCTATTACTTCTTCTCAACCCACTTGACCCATTTATATAACCTGCCTGGTCCCTGTAGGCCTTTAAGTGTGAACCATGTCTAGACAGATCAAGACTGGGCATTTGGTTACTTACATATCTAAAATAAAAGTGATGTCTGTTGGCCTCAGGGGAGACCCTGTTGAATCTATTTATTCTCTTAAAAATAAAAGTAGAAAACTAAATAAAGATTAAAGAAGTAGACATTTGTGAATCAACTTTTATTTTATTATTTTTTCCAAGCATTAGAGCTCAGACTCTGTAGCACAGGCCAAAGAAAGGCGTTAGTGAAAAGACAATAAGCTGGCATCAGAGTTCATGATATAAGGGTGCAGGCCCAAAACAGAAAGACGGGAGAGTTATTCTGGTGAAATGAAGAGTAAGTACCTAGGTGCAAAGGCTGCTAGACAGAAGAAGTTGATTATCTTACTCTGAAAACCAATCCATTAAATAAAGGTCATGCTGCTGGGGAGAAAGGAATATATTATAGTTTCCTCAACATCTTTAGTATGTTGACATCCTCAACAAAGAAGGCTCTTTCCCCATCATTACTCTAGTGCTTCCCTGACAAACCCCATTAGAGGTATGTCAGCCATAAGTCTAGATGCTTTTAAACCATTTGTATTTCTGTCTGTATGACTTCTTGGGTTTTTATGTGTAATGCTTGCAGTATAGATAATATATCTTTTCATTTGTTATACATTTGCCTCCTTTAAACTTAAAGGAACAGCATTCAATTCTGCTATATATGAATTTAGTGAATTGTCACTAGTGACGATTTTACAGATTTTGATCACATTTATTCTTTGTTTTGGCTTTTGGGGCTAGAAATTCCTGTACTAAATTGTTTAGTGGGATTTCCGCAGATGTGTTTAAGGAATCATTTTGTGTTATAGATTTTTGAATCCTTTCTGTACATTTCTAATTCATTTTTGTCAATTAGTAAAATATAACTGATCTTCATTTTAGTCAGGTTTATTTTTCTTGTTTAGACAGTCTTCCCATTTTGTTTTTTGCAAGCTGGGACTTTAGTAAGAAGACAACTGAAATTTAGAAAGAAAGCCTGCATTTTAATTCTTTTTATTTTTTATAAAAAAAATTTAACCATGAATTCCTAGGCATACTGCTTAACACTCATATTGTGCTCATCTGAAAAATAGGGATAATACCCAATATTATCAGAGTAGACATCATAATACCCAATATTAAACAGAACAGATACTGTTGTGAGAATACAAAAATTAATGATTAAAAGAAATTGGAAACTTCAAGTCCTGTACAAGCTTAAATTTTTATTTTCTACTGTAACTATTAGAATGAAACTACCCCCTATTTCATTTGTTTATTTAAAAGATAAGTCTGAATTTTAGCAAGTGTTTTTTTGATGGTTTCTGACTACCTATGGATGGAGTTTATAAGACCTACATAATATTCCCTGAAACTTTACTAGGGCCAGGCATCTAAGTTCAGTTTCTGACATTGCCACATAGTGGATGTATAATTTGGGACCAATAAATCATTTATTCTCTTGAGCCTCAAGTTCTACATTTTCTGAATGATAATATAAGCCTGACCGAGTTATAAGGACTAGAGCTATGAATGCGATTTTTAGAACGGTGCATAGATTAGTTCAGTAAATGTTTCATACTGCTTTGTCTTGATGAATGCAGATAACATAAAAAGTACGTATTATACGGCATGACCCAGGTAGAAACACACATATTAGTTCCATTCTCCCCTTCTCATTAAACCTATTTATTTTATTTAATTTATTTATGTCATATTTACTTATTTAAATACTCTTTTTTTGGTCAAGGTTTAAATAAATTTAAATTATTTAGGTAGAGTCAGCATCTTGGTGTAGAACTGACTAAAATCCACAATCCAAAATCACAGGGATATAGTGGGAAAAAAATGCTTGAATAGGAGTCTAAAGATCTTAATTCCAGTTCCAGAGCCACGCCTTGCCAGCTGTGTTGTTCAGAACAATTTACTTAACCTTCCTGAAATCCATCTCTTTCATTTATAAAAATAGGATAATGATATCTATCCAATGTGCCAAAAAAGACTGTTGTGAGGATCAAATAAATTAATATGTGTCAAAATGTATTTTAAGCTCTATTGCTTATAATAAATTATAAAAATAAATGCTATTGTTCATATTAGACCTAGCAATGTAAATATTAGGAGTGGCCACTTAACTGGCATATAGACAGATTCTCAGACTTGTAGAAGAAGCAGTAATGACCTAATCCCATGAGGGAAGCCAGCCAAGATTTTATACCTGCTGGGTAAACTCTCCATTGTAAGGCTTTGTGACTGTGAGCAGTCAACAATTTCCAAAGTGCTGGTCAGGAAATTAAGAGAACAGATTAAAGTAAAATTGGGTAATGTTTCCCCTGGATCTTGATACTTAAAATTGTTCAACTGAGACACAGCTGATCCTTTCATTTTTTTTTAAGAAAAAACCTATTATAACTGGCTTTGGCTGCCTATAGTTATGTCATGAATCATGTTTATATGTTGAAAAGATTGTCCCTTTCATCTGCCCTTTCTCTTGCTCCCTGACAGACATGCAGCTAAGATCTAAAAATATTTCTTTTTTCCTCAAGGGAATTTTCTCCTCAAATCAAAACCCTGGAGTTTTGAGCAAAAATAATTAATGAGCTAGTAACAAATTGAATTTTAGCTTTTAGAAAACGACTAAAACGTTTTCTATGCTATTTCTAGTAGTAGTCTCAGTGTTGAAAATCAGAAACATGACATCAGATTCCAAAATATCTTAGCAAACATTGCAGTACTATTTCTTTTTCTTTTCTTTCTTTCTTTTTTGAGACGGAGTCTCACTCTGTTGCTCAGGCTGGAGTGCTGTGGCATGATCTCAGCTCACTGTGATCTCCACCTCCCGGGTTCAAGTGATTCTCCTACCTCAGCCTCCTGAGTAGCTGGGACTACAGGCATGCACCATCATGCCCACTAATTTTTTTGTATATTTATCAGAGAATGGAGTTTCACCATGTTGGCCAGGCTGTTCTCGAACTCCTGATATCAAGTGATCCACCTGCCTTGGCCTCCTAAAGTGCTGGGATTACAGGTGTGAGCCACTGCACCTGGCCGTGGTACTACTTCAAAGGGCAAAAGAAGCACTTCAGTAGTAAGAAATGGTTTTGAGCACATATACAAAAAGGAACAGATAGGAGCAAGTACAATATCAAAGCTTAATTTTTACTGTAGATTTTGTATGTTTGCATGCAGGCATGCCAACGCTTAATTCATGTTGAGCAAAACTCCTTTAGTAATAAAATCCTTGTGTGTCTACAATTTAGTGCTTTAAACATGTTGTTGCTCTACGTCTGTTCATGATCATAAAAGAAAAATATTTCAGACTCCAGCAGATCATGACTGTCTAGACAGGTTTCAAAAAGGATATTGCATTATGTGATAATGGAAGTTGTAATATTTCAGCTTAGGGGCAGATACTTTAAAAATATGGATCTGTTTGGACTGAGTTTTGAAGCCAAATGGGTATCACTACTGATACTTAGTTTACTTATAAGTAAACTGCTATATCAAAATTGGGTATTCATTGACATTTCTGAGTAGTATTTTGTTTTGCATCTATTAGGTGAATAGTTTCCCTGAATACTAGTTTAGGTGAATGCTAGGTTCTCTGAATAAGATTCATTTTTTCCTGTCATCCAGGTTAGTGTCTTCCCATTCATCCATTCAAAATATGTTTGCTGAGCACCTTATATGAATATTGTAACGAGAGATTTCCTTTTGAGAGTGTGGTCAAGGGAAGCATCTTTAAATAGACAGCATTTAAGCTCAGACCTAAAAAATTACAGCTAGCCCTTCATCTATAAGATGTGGTTGGACTTTATGCTATCTAAGGCCACATCTATGATTCTATATGTATAAAAGTGATACAATCCAATGTGGCTGGATTTACCATGTTTCTTCATGGATTTACTTTTCCATTTGAGGACTTTACATGTCTCTGTTGCTGCTTTTCCTCCTTGTCCATCTATTATGTATATATTTTTTCTCCAATTCTGTACCCCTCATCCACCGCCATGCCCCATGAAAAGAGCACTTGGATTCAGGAAATTGATATCAAGTGCGTTATTCTTATATGGTCTATTGATAAATATGTGATATGGCCAAGTCACTTAACCCCTTTGGCCAAAGTTTCCCCGTCTGCAAAATAAGGATAAATATTTGTTGCAACTACTTAATGGGTAGTAGTAGCTGGTTGAGACTTCTATATCAAATGTACAAATACATAGGAATGTACTCTGAGAAGTGTTGTGGTACCTTCATCCCAGAAAAGGTTGACACTAATAGAGGAGATACAAACCCAGGCAGTTTATTTCTTTCTTAAATTGGTTTAAAGTATTTTCTTTTCTTTTCTTTTCTTTTTCTTTTTTTTTTTTTTGAGACCGAGTCTCGCTCTGTTGCCCAGGCTGGAATGCAGTGGCGTGATCTCAGCTCACTGCAACCTCCACCTTCCAGGTCCAAGCGATTCTCCTGACTCAGCCTCCTGAGTAGCTGGGACTACAGGAGCACGCCACCATGCCTGGCTAATTTTTGTATTTTTAGTAGAGACGGGTTTCACCATATTGGCCAGGATGGTCTCGATCTCCTGACCTCATGATCCACCCACCTTGGCCTCCCAAAGTGCTGGGATTTCAGGCATGAGCCACTGCGCCTGGCCTTTATTTTCAAGAAGTATAAATTAATGAAAATAAAAGATGTTGCTGTAAAAGGTGTTACTTCTTCTCCCTAACACACCTAGTATACTAGATTACCTTTAAGTACACCATGTTGTTTTTGGAGAGGTAATAGAGATTAAACATTAGATAATGTTAAATTAAAATTTCCTTCCCCAATGATAGTTTTGTATTGTCTGAAATTATTTTTCCTGAGAAAATTATTTCAGAGTAGATTGGCTTTCTAAATTACAAGATTGTTATTATTTAATGGTTAAAAATGTATCTAACATCTTTTTAAAAGGAAATAGATAATTAACTTCAGAAGTTCATGTAAGGATGCATATTTTAATAGCAAGATATTAGAATTAATTTGTATGTCTAACAAAAAGAGATAGATAAATATATTGTAATATATCCACTTAGCAAAATGCTTTGCAACATTTAAAACTATTGATACAAAATTTACACTCACTGAACTGGAAAATAGCTGTGGTATTTTATGGAACAAGAAAGATGAATCAGTCACCTAATATGACCTAATTTTTTTTGAAGAAACATATTGATAGGTAGATACAATAATATATAAAGCTCTGGAATATTATGCATCAAAATGTTATGCTTCAAGTAATTTCTGGTATTTATCATATATATTAGTTAATACTTCCAGTAATTACTGGTATTTATCATATATATACATATATATGCCTAACTTTTAAAGGTTGACAAATATTGCCTTATCATCAAAGTAATAAAACTATTTTCAGTTTTTTAAAAAAGGTAATAGTTTTTTTTTAAGAGAGTAGCCATTTTTAAAAGGTAGTACCGAATGGGGTACCATCCCAAAGACCAGCAAAATTATAATATTCACATCCAGATTTTTAGCTTTGTCCATTGCTGCTATTATTTTTTAAAGCTTTTTTACTTGTAAGCTTCCATTTGCTATCTCACAATATTTCTCTGACCTAACCTTTGGGTACCCCAAGAGTAAAATCTCTCGCACATAAAACTGTAGGCTCTAATGAGAACTAAATATTTTAAGAGGACTTACAATGCTTGCAGGTAGCTTTATTTTATTGCATTTAGAAATTGTTAATCACTAAAAATGGCTATGGGGACTTTATTCCTGGATGAAGCATTAAGTTACTAACAGGTGTGGAAGAGAAGGCAGAATTTATACTTCTGAATCTTCAGATTAAGGTACTCCTTCCCTTTGGTTCCTTCTAGATGCCTTATCGCCATGAAGCAAATGCAGGAGAGATTAGGGCAAAGTAAATCAGTAGAATTTCGTTATTAGATCCAGGATGTTAGCTGGCCTTGACTGAGCATTAGTTGCTTGTCCCGTTAAAATCTTCTTGAGCAGTATTCTATTTCTTTTATTTAGACAAAACCATAACATTGATTTGGAAAAGAACATTTTAAAATTGGAAGTATTATATTTAAAAATAGTTTTTAAAGTTTAGAAAGTCTTTTCAGTTTATCTCATCAACATCATCTTTCTAGATTCACCAATGTGAATATACCTTCCAAACCACCCATTTTGTTTCTCTGTACTGGTAGGGCACTTGGCTCTGTCTCTAGCTCCTCTAGCTGTGGGAACTATATCTAACTTGTCTTTCATTTGGCTATCAAGATTCTGTATAGAATGACTTCTGATTTTCCTTTCTGCTAATAGGGAATATTGTCATAAAATTAAATATAATAAAATAAAAACTGATAACTTCAGTCTCCTCTAATCATTCATTGAGATGAAGCTGAGAATACTAATTTGCATATTTTCAAGTTCTAAGGAGGCTTCATGAGTAGTCTGTAAAGAATGCTATTTATATGCTTTCATTCTTTCTCTAAAGTATGGCAACTGATAATAGAATTTTCAGCTAAAGAAGATTGAAAAAGGTAAGTCTCATAATTTTAAAGACCATGTTAAACTTCTACTTTCACAAGATCAAATTCAGGACTCTATAATGAGATTTTATATCACATTTTACATCAGATTTAAAATCCGCATTTGGTTATTAAATTGATTGATTTGTAACTATTTTAATATTCATATAAGATCATTTTGTGTATGGGTTTTTTGCACATGTGGTAGTGTAGTATAGTGAGAAGTTGGCTTTTGGAGGCAGGAAGTTAGATTTATAATGCTTTTGAAGGTCTTCAGCAACCATAACATTTTGAGTTTTTTTAGTCATTTTTTTGGATGACTTGTGGCTTCATTAAAGGGATGCTAACTTTTTTTTACTAAACATAGTAAATTCTTTCTTAGTTCCTATACATACAAATCTTTTTATCTTGTTTTATATTGCCTAAAATTGTTTACTGAGTGTGAATATTGGTAACAGATTTAAAATGAATAGCACTGATAAAAAATAAAACCTCATATTTCACAGTTCTGTAGTTGAGGTTTGTTACTGATCTTTAGATTCACAATGGAAATTAAATAAATTTCAGTTAAACAGTTTAAACCTATTCATAGAGCATAACAGCTAGTAGTTATTAATATTTTGTTCATTGTTACCTGACAGACCCAGAGTTTTTGTTATCCATTGAAAAACTTCAAATGTGAAGACCCTCCTCTTAATATGACATGTAGAATTCTCACAGTGGATATCAAGCCTTTTTTATTTGATCATGGTTCAGATATATTTTTATCTACATGGTTCTTCCTTTGTAATACATTCTTATGGCAAACAGAACATTAAGAGGCCAGAATGGAAGGTTATGTTTAGCTAACTGGCAGATCACACTTTAGAAGGATTATCTACAAGGCCATGAATAATTGTATTACACACTGCTTGTAATTTAGAAAGATAAAAGTATTCCTCTCTGTTCCCTTTGTGTTCATATTTTCTCTTCAAGTAACAAATGTTTAACTCAAACTTCTGTTTTAGTTTTATGGTAACTGCAGCCACTGCTAACTTGATGGCTAAAACTTAGCACCCACAAAAATTGATCCCTAAGAACTGAGAGTTTTTCAGGGAGCTTTCTCAACTGTGTTCAAGAATAGGACCTCAGGTTCTTCAATTCCATCTTTTTCTGTTTCTCTTTTCATTCCTTTTTTCAATAGCTGCTTCATATGCTGATGACATTAGTGAGATTTGCGCAGCCTGTCTTCTCAGCTCTATTGATCACAAATTTTGTCACTAACTCTGGCCTTTGGAAATGAGAGACACCACTCTCCTCATTTGCAACTTCATTTCAGAAATGGTACAGATTGTTTCTTCAGTTCTCCAAAGTGCAGATCTGATGGTTCAGACTTTATTCAAGTTCAAGGATAAAGGGAAAAAACACGACATAGTAACTTACAAATTACTGTGTTATTAAATAACTCTCAGATCTCAGAGACTAAATTTATCCTCAGGGTCTTCTGGCTTCTTACCCTGTTTGCAAATAGCTGGGCCAGTTTACCTTACCAAGTAGAATACTTTAAGCACCTGATTGTCCGTGCATTTTTGCCCAAATTTGAAAGGGCGCTGCCCAAAGTCCCTATCTCTCTTTACATTGAAATGATTTATAGTATTAAGGTCCACATTCTAGAACATCCCCCTCAATTTAATTGTATAACTATGTAACGATACCTGCTTGCATACAAAATCACAAGGTTGTAGTCCTTGTGTTTGTGAACCAAGTACCTAATGGATCCCAATGCACTTTGGATAGTTTGTCCTTGATAAAATAACCTGCCCAGTCCAATTTTCTTCCATGGCGTCTTAATTGATGTAAAGGGATACTTATGTTCTTAACTCCAGATACCTTACAAACAACTGCCCAAACATGCATTAATTTGCAGTCATATAAGTGAGAGAGGCCTTCTAAGGTGAGAGATACCTTTGACTTTGAAGAAGTTGTTACTTCTTTAGAGGTAGCAGCTCACCATCAGATTGCAGCACATTGATAGAGTATTAACTTACTTAAAACATAGACTCAACTTCCTTAACCGCTGAGACAACTTATTTCCCTTCTGAAATATCAGCATCAGGTTATTCCATTGCTTTTAGTGCTGCTACAAGAAACAGTGGACCAGTTTCTTGTTTTATAATTGCCTGATCTAACCAATAAAGCCTACACCACTAGGTACAGAAAATTATATGACAAATTTAGATAAAAGTTTAGCACCTACTGTTTACCAAGGCTTCCCACCACATATCATTTGTGAGCTGCATATTAATGACTAATCCAGAAATATATATTTTCTGTGTAAATGTATGTAGAGAGTTTTTTATTACTAAATACATTTAATGTTCGTGTTTTAAAAGTATGGTTTAAATTTTTATGAGAAAGCTTTGTCTAGGTATCAAAATAATTGGACATTGGTAATGAAAATTTTAGGATTGGTTGTGTGCTTTCTTAAAATAAACAAATGGTGAAATTGCATTATCTTGTGGGGGAGGGGGTGGAAAATAAAAATGGAAAATAATTTATATATATAAATCAACAAAGATATTTTTCATGCCTCTTTTCCTTACTTTCTTTTCTCCTTTTCTCCTCTCCTTTCTTCATGTCATTCAAATTATCCTTCCCTCTTAAGCCCCGCTCTTTGTTTTTTCATGTATGTTACCAATCTTTGTTTAAAATCGTTCTATAATATACTTATTGATCTTAATGTCCAAAAGTATGTATTTGTGAGATGGTTGGCCACAGGTAGTTACTTGGATATGGAGTCTCATAATGAGAGAGAAACTACTTAATCTGTAGAGAAAGAAAAAAATACGACCCTGGCTTTATTTTGAATAATGCTTTAACCAACTAGTATATCAGACATAAAAAATATCGTATCACTGGGTGCTAATTACAGTAAAAGTTTTTACCACTTGGACAAATTTGATAAGCCTTTAACAAATTAAATTATAGATTTAGCTTACTGCATAAAATTATCAAATATTTATTGACAAATGGGAGGGCAGATATATATGGTTTTAGTTTTCATATCTGGGATACTGTTCTGTGTTTCAAGTCAACTACTTCAGTAATTTTCTTGATCTTAAATTTGAGGAAATACATTTTCTAAAATGATTCTATTAATATTTTTCCTCGGTTTCTCAACCATCTGCTTAGGTTGCAAATCCATTTGGGTTGGTTCTCATGTATTTATATATTTTTTTAGCAGTGTTGCCCCACAGAAATGGGTTAGTATCCTCAAAGCTGTCCTGTGCTATTTGGTAAAATACGGCGATTCAAGACAGTTAGGCATTGTTGTAAACAAAGGAAAGCATGTGTATTCTAACCTCACTTTTAATCTATTCTTTGTTTAGTTAGGGGTTTAAAGGAACCCAATTTTGAACCTGGCATTATCCTAAAAATTATTGTATATTTTGTGAAATGCTTTGTCCTTTTGGTGCTCTCCTTACAGGCCTGTGAACTTGAATTCACTTAATATGGTACCAGATATGAATAGAGAGGAGGCTAATTCCTGTTAGAAAATTTAAAAAGGAATCACTTGCTTTTACTTGACAGCTTTGACATAGGTTTCTACTTTACTTTTTTTTCCCCTCCAACTCATGCAAAGGAGAACTACAGAAAAGTGTTTCATTCTCTCAGAATCATTTAAAAATGAAACTACATCTTAAATATATTAAAATATTTTGATTTATTCTGCTATAAAATTAATCCTTTTTGTGGTCAGTTGTTTCACTACAGAAAAGTGTTTCATTCTCTCAGAATCATTTAAAAATGAAACTAGATCTTAAATATATTAAAATATTTTGATTTATTCTGCTATAAAATTAATCCTTTTTGTGGTCAGTTGTACAACTTCTTGGCATAAGAAGATATTGTATATTTTTAAAAATATAATTATTTAAAACTTGATTTATCTTTTTTGGCTCCATTATTTGAACCCATAGAATAATTCACATGGGTTACCTGCCGAATTCATGTAATCCTCAGAGAGCAATGAAGGTTTTCTTTTTTTTTTTTTGAAATTTTAGAGTATGGAGTCACTTGTTTAGTATCTTTTTCAGCAATTAAGATTTTCACCTCATCATGCTAGCTAGCTGACATTAGCAGTGAAATTTTAAAAGGATGTTGATTTTTTATAGTCATTTATATTTCTTTGAGAGTAAAATTTAAAATTTTTTTCTAGAATATTTTACAGCATTTTAGATATTGGCAGAAGTCATTACATGAGAAGATAAATTCAGTCTGACTTTGAGATAGTACCTATATAACTGAAGCAAATTGGTGAATTATATATCATTACTCAGTAATTGGGAGATTGTGCAAATAATTAAATATAATAATTCAGTTTGACATGATTTTTTTCCTTTTATATATCGAGATAAACCTAGTGGATAGTTGTAAATTCTTATGTAAATTTATCATATTCATTGATATTTTGAAAAAACAGTATTTTTTTTAGAGGCCCTAACGTGAATGACATGAGAAAGGGGACCACACACACAATTTCTAATGTATAATCTTGGGAATCATCTTTCTTTAATAATTACAAAATCCTTACATTTCTTTTCTTAGAGGTCACTAGTTGTATATACATTTTCTCTTTTCAAATTTCAAATTATTTTTAAATTTTTGGTTATCAGGATATCTATATTTTTTAGTAATTATGGAAGTCAAAGGCCTCTATCAGTTTATAAGAAAAACAAAACAGTATCCAGCTTTCACTGACTCATGTTTAATGATTAACATCACCAATAAATAAGGGATTTTTTCATAGTAGGGATTTTCAATATGTAGAAGATTCCATATTCTCTGTACTTGAGTAGAAAATACGTTTTACCACACCAAGATAGAAACAGTCCAAGTACACAATGTTTACAGTTTTTGTAATCATATCATAGAAGGATACTGCAGTGAAGACCATTTGACTTCTTGAATACTTTAGGATTTTAGTAATGCTAATTTTAATAATACTAATATAATCTCTTTCTATGCTGTGATATCGCCTGCAAGAGTAAAAATACATTTGATGATGTTGTTAAAGGTGACCTATCCTGTTCTAACATATCGACATTTCCATTTTAATGCACTTTACTTGTCTGGTGAGGATAACTTTAATATGCTCTTAAAACAGTAGAAAAATTACCTAAATGAAAAAAAGTGTTCGCAACGAGGGATAAGAGATCATTTAATTTACTATTTTTATACTATTGGAAAACAATTGTTTGAATAAATGTTACTGTTTATGTGCATTACCAAACTATAAATTAATTCTGTATGTAGCTTTCGGTCTGACAATCAAGGGCATAGAAATGTAAAATCTTTAAAATTCTGATAGAAAGGAGAAAAGCTGCCTCCCTGTTGTGTTTTATAAAAGTCCCAGGATTCATATTATTGGGTCTGACTGGCTTGATTTGGAGAGTGTGTGGGTCCTAATCCATCTGGAGTGCCATGAAGATGACATGTACTAATTGCCCTAACTCAATCAAGGCTTATCCCTGGATGGGTGTGAGACCAATTTCCCATGGCTAGGAAATTCGGGGTACTGTTTGGAAAACATAACAAATTCAGGGGCAGAAAATAACAAATATTCATGGAACTCATGGTCATTGAGACTATCTATGGGTTGAGCGGGCCTTAGCTTAAAGTTTTATGCTTTTGAACATTAACATTCACTCTCTCCCCCTTACTTTTAGGATCTTTTTATTCATAATACTACATCCAGCCAGTGTATTGGAAAAAATGAAATTGAACACCATAACTGGAACAGTATCTAATACAATTCTTATGGACATCCCCCAAGCCCAGTTCTGTTGGGAGAGGGGCATTTTCACTGAGAAAACTGTTTTATGCTTTCTCCTTGTCATGTTCCTCCCCTCACTAAATAACATCCCTTACTCTCTCCCTAAGGTATTTTTATTCCACTAAATAGATACTTCTGGCTTAATCATGTAGAATCCTTTTGACTATACATAACAGAAAACCAAGCTAACCATTAGCATTAACTAAAAGGATGCTTGTTTACTTAATATTACTTCCAAAGTGGTCCCTGTGATGGTTTGGCCTTGAAATTGAATCATCAAGGACCGACTCTCTTTTCAAAATCTTTGGTTGGTAGTTGCTGCTGTTTCGCTGCTGTTTTTTAAAAATCTCTGGTTAAGATGGCTTTCAGATGTCTTCACATCAGGTCTTGACGTAACAACACTCAAAGATAGAATATAGTGAATTGAATAAATGGTTTTCAGAAGTCTTCAAGCACTCTATTTATATATTATTAGCTAGGACTAGGTTACATAATATTTCCTAGCTACAAGACAGGGTGGTAAATGCATATCTGAATTTTTCAGTTTCTATGGTAGGGGCTGCATCACATAGAACGTTTTGAGAATAGTTGTATGGCCAATGTTTCCCAAAACTGTTTAAAGTAAATAAGAGATAGCTCCCTTTGTTTTATATAGAGGCATGTAAGTAAGAGGTTGGTCTCATACTGAAAACTTTGCATTGAGATCCATTTCTCTGGTTTAGTTCTTGAGCTTTTCAGCGGTTCTAAATTTTTAGGACAGTGCCATTTTAGTCAAATATTTCATATAACAGAACTGGTTATACTAAACTTGTTATACTGGTGTGCTTCCTCAACCAGGGCACTAATCGTTCAGAAACAGGATGGGTCAAAATAAATTAATAATGTAAAATTTAAAGTAAAATTATACATATATTTATATATACACACACAAGATACCTAGATATACGTACATAAGTTAACGCAATATAGAGGTTATAAAGTTCTGTGATGTAGCACAGCGGAGGAATTCTAGTAACTTGAAACAGACTTATCATATTTTCTTTCATTTCCTATTCCCACACTTTTCTTCTTTCATAAATTCTAACAGGCATGACTGGCTATCTGTCCACTCAAGGTATGTATTCATGAGGGCTATATGTAAGAGATGCTAGATATATTTTCACCTTAAATATTTCACCCTAAAATATTAGCCTTTCCTCTGAGTAAAATTTGCTTATTGTGTTTCATACCATCTTTCTCCTTTTCTTACTTTGTATCTGATTAATAAGATATTTATAATTCTACCAAACATAAATAATTATGACATGAATAATTTTGTTTCACTGGTCACTTCCAACATTAGAAGACTATTAACATACTGCGTAGTAGATTATAGGAATATACATTATGGCAATAATGTATCTGGCAATAATGTATGCCTTTATGGCATAGTCATAATTTATAATATAGTAAGGCACCCATTTAGAGTTAAGATCTAAGGTAATTGTTTTTTTCTCTCTTACGCCATCAGAATAAGAAATATTCTGAATCCATGTTTCCAAGCTTTTAACTAGGCAAATAATTGGATATTGATGTACCAAGGATTTTCTACATGATTACTTTATCTTTGTTCAGGTTGGGCAAATTTAAATAAATACAAAAGCCAAAGTAGGGATTCTGGCGTAATATAAGGAGATAGTAAGAGGACACTAAAGGCAGAATGTCTAGGCAGAAAACCTGGCTCACTACTTACAAGCTGTGTGACCCTGGGCCACTGGTTCCTCAGGTTACTCTTCTATACAATGGCTGTTATGAAGGTTAAACAAAATTACCCATGTAAATCTGTAGCATAGTGCTTAAATTATGGTAAGCACTTAGTAGCTCTTAGCACTTGTCATTATAATTTGATTTGTGAATCTTATGGAAGAGATACTTAAACGTAAAGTTGTATCTTGAAAAATGGAAAACAAATAAACAGAACATACCTCCCCTATGAAGGAAGTATTGTGGGTCTTTGTGTGTCCACTAGCTATTAGATCATAGGTACAGAAAGCTTTGAACATATACTAGGCTCCATAATTGTATCTGGATCATTGAATTATGTTGATTAGTACCACATTTTGAACCTATCCACACGAATCAGCCACAGCTTTTATAATCTTTATGAAATTTATCTGAGATTAATTTAGAGTTGATGACCTATTGGACTTGGCATTCATATATTATCAGAACATATGGTTAGGTTGATTAATAAATTAAAATACTTATGAAATTTAGCATTCTAATTTATTACATTGTCATATCATTACAAACTTAATGTAGTGGCTTATATTCTATCTTTCTCACTATTTCTCTATGTTTAAGCACATGTGCACACACAATGGTAAGGAAGATAAGGATAACATTTAAATTATTTTAGCCAGGTGTGGTGGCTTATGCCTGTAATCTCAGCACTTTGGGAGGCTGAAGTGGGAGGAACAATTGAGCCCAGGAGGTTGAGGCTGCAGTAAGCTATAATTGTACCACTGCATTCTAGCCTGGGTAACAGAGTGAGACCATCTCAATATAAAGGAAGGAAGGAAGAAAGGAAGGAAGGAAGGAAGGAAGGAGGGAAGGAGGGAAGGAGGGAAGGAGGGAAGGGGAAGTGGGAAAGGAAGGAAAGGAAGAAAAGGAAAGGAAGGAAATTAATTTTAGTCTTCATATGTTCTTTTATTTACAATGTGTTAGGCCCTGACCAGGTTGACTACTGATTAATTTCATGTTTATCCAGTGGCATGTTATGATTTTTTAGTTTCTCATACTTCTAGATAAGAATAATGCAATATACTATAAATGCAAAATATTAAAAATGAAGGAGCTATTAAAAATGTGAATGATTTTTTAAAAAACTGGATTGCTATCTTTAAGTCACTTGTGGTCACTAGTGAAAATACTAATCTTGACTGAAAGGGTAAGTTACAAATTGGTGAAGGAAAGATTACTGCCTATGCCATTATGGTTCCTTATTAAGACATTTTCGATGTTTATTTTCAGTTTTAAAGAACTTTGCTATATGTATTTTGAATTTTAAAGGCCTAAGATTTTGCCTGGATCAATACACACACACACACACACACACACACACACACACACACACACGCACACACACACACCCCTCTGTGTCCATGGATTCCACATTCATGAATTCAACCAACCAAGAATCAAAAATATTTGGGAAAAAAAATTGAAAATAACTGTACAATGATAAAAATAATACAAATATAAAACAATACAGTGTAACAATGATTTATGTAGCATTTACAATGTATTAGGTATTGTAAATTATCTAGAGGTGACAAAGTGTATGGGAGGATGTACATGGATATATGCAAATATCACAGCTTTTTATATAAGGGAATTAAGCATTTGTGAATTCTGGTATCCTGGAGTTGGGGGATGGTGGTCCTGGAACCACTTCCTTGGATATGAAGGGAAGACTATATATATACATATATATATATATACATATATATATATATATATATACACACACATATATATATATATAAAATATTTATTTATATATGCATGTATAGAGAGAAAGAGTGAGAGAGAGAAAATGAATGAATGGTTTAATACAGAAGCTGAACAATAGTTTCTCATGAAAAGTATTAAATTATCCTTATACTGTTCTTAGTTTATAAAAAACTGCTGTTGAGACAGAAGTATTAATATAAAATGGAGACGTTCTATATGCGAAGAAGAGTGTAATTATTATCACATTTTGGGAGAATATTTTGTTTCTGTTACATCTAGTATGCATTCTTTAGGCTGGGTCTTTACATTTTATGGTATGATAATTTTTACAGGCTGATGTATGCACTGCTTTTCTTTGTTGAAAGTGTCCATTTTAAACAATGATTTTTTAAAAAGTCATGGCATTTTTAATCACTATTAAAAGGAAGGAGAAAATATTCCACATATTATGGGAGAACAAATGAGATGGAAACTGTGTACTGCTCATTGATGGTATAAGGTTTGTAGGGTCAAAAGTATACAGCAACAATTAATACTGAAGTCAGCATGAACCTCAATAAATAGAGCAGGTGCAACTTATAGAGGACCTAAATCACTTCATAATTAAAACTATAACCTTAAGCTTTCCTGAAACATATTCCTTTTCCATTAGGGCTGAAGTATAAAATATCCTTGGAAAGACAGTAAATTTAATTTTGTGTGTTTACTTCAATGGGAAAGTATTCTAAATGTGATGATAAAAATGAGTATAATAACAAAACAATCTCTGGGAGTTTTGAGGCTATAGTTGTGAAACTAGTAATATTAACTACAACTTATATGAAAGAGACTGATAGTGTCTGGGAACCAGATTATTGTTCAGCTAGGTAGCTAGCTTGTACATGCATGTTATTATCTTTTGTTTATATAGAAACATGCCACGTGTGTATGTGTAACTGTGTATTCATAATTTGGACTTTAACTTGCCAGTTTAAAGACTGCCAACAGTGCATATGACTGTGCTATGCATCCGATGCATGGTCGTACTAGAGTGAATAACACAAATACCAGAGCATCTGTCTGGGGTCTTTCTTTGTCAATACCAAATTTAGAGACCTGGAGTCAAAGAAAGAAAATCTTGAAAGCCATTGGGAAGCTGGAAGGCAGGAAATAATCTTGTTTGCAAAGGTGGAGATCTTAGATGCTTTTTATGTTCTTTTTGATGCCTATTCTCAAAATGTTCCCCTTCAGATTGCACCACTGGGAAGGCAAATAGAACCTTCTTGACCAAAACTAAGAGTGATTTTTAACAAAATGCGTACCTGAGTGGCTTGAGTATATCTTCTGAGCTGTAATTTCCTAAGATCGCCTGTCCAATTTGAGGCCCCAAAGGAACATAAAAAGGGATTTCACAGACCATTCAGGTTAATCGTCGTCTTTGCTTCCTCTGTTTCAGTCCCACCTATAGCTAGTTATCAAATACTGAACACTTGCCTTAGCAGAGCAGGGCTGAGCAGGGAGCAGTGTTGGTGAACTGCTGAGACACGTTGTGTAGCAGCTGGAGGTTTTGTGAAGTGGAAGACACCAAAGTCAAACTCAAGTTCTGAGTGTATTGAGAGGAAAAGAGCTGGGAAACAGACTCACCAGAAGGAAAAGCGCAGACACAGAGAGTGGAGAGTATACGATTCTCTTTCCTCTTTTGTGTTTTAAACCATCATTACCACAGCCTATTGATAGGGTTCTGCATAAAACATGATTTCTGCTAGGTTTATATTAAATATGGTTGTTGAACAAAGCTTTCTTGATTTTGCCTGTAAACCCTATGATTTAAAAGCAGTTGCTCACAATTCTAAAATGGATTTATTTTCATGCTCTCACAATGATATCAAAACTGTACTTTAACTGTAAATGGAAATATATAAGTAGCTGAAGTACTCAGATTTCATACTTATGACTTATTTTAGTTATGATATACACAACTGTGCTGCATATAATATTAGTAAATGCCTACTTATGTGTTCCATGTCACAGCTGCCTTTGTTAATCAGAAATTAATAGATTCAGATGACAGTGTTTTGATTAATGCTACATTTGCTGATAATACATAGAATAAAGCATAGAATATTTGTAAACTCACTTTTTAATAAGCTAATCCAACTACAAATCTGTTAATGAGAATTCTGATATAGCAAGCAGTGAGCTTTGGGGAAAGGTCAACCAATGTGGGAATAGATTTAAATCCTAGCTCTGACCTTCCTAATTATGTTACCTGGAGCAAGTAACTAAATCTCACTCTGCCAGTTTCTCCACTTCACAGATGTGAAAAGGTCTCTTGTGGGTTTTAGGGATAAAATAGGTAATGAACTTAAGAGCTTTGCATAGTGACTGAAACATACTGTAATTTATCCCTTCTGAGACCTACACTGGTATGGACAGTCCCCAACTTACAGTGGTTCAAAATGATTTCTGACTTTATAATGCCACGAAAGTATACACATTCAGTAGAAACCACTTTCGAAAATACTTCGAAATTGGAATTTTGATCTTGTTCTGAGCTAGCTGTGTGCAGTAAGGCACTCTTGTTTTGTTGGGCGGCAAGCTGCAGCTCCCAGTCAGCCCTGCGATCACGAGGGTAAACAACCTTCAGGTCAAGTGTGTTTCCAGCTGAGTACATGTGTGGTGAGTACCCATAGCACAATTCCGTTTTTCACTTTCAGTACAGTATTCAATAAATTACATAAGTATTGAGCATTTTATTATAAAGTAGGATTTGTGTTAGATGATTTTGCCCAACTGTAGGCAAATTTAAGTGTTCTGAGCATGTTTAAGGTAGGCTAGGCTAAGCTATGGTGTTCTGGTGGGTTAGGTGTATTAAATGCATTTTCAACTTATGATATTTTCAACTTAGGCTGGGTTTATTGGGACCAAACCCTATTATAAGTCGAGGACTATCTGTCTTCACATTTTAACATATCTGAAATTGGATGCATCGTGGTAATTGATAGTGCATCAGTTTAATTGGCAAATTATTTTTCTTACTGGTACATAAAATAATCATGTTCTGTCTTATAATCAGAGGCATCTTATCATTGTTGAAATATGGTTCATAAAATGGCATATAAAATAATGTTCTGCCCTTTGATTAGAGGCATCTTAATATCTCATCAATATGGAAATAAGCGCTATTACTGCCCCTTACTTTACTGTGGAACTGTTATTTGGATCTGTCAGCCATTGTTTAATATTAGTATTTAATATTGCTCTCTGGGACTCAATGTAAATTCCTTTTGTGGTCTTCAAATTAAATTTTACACACACACACACACACTCACACACACACACACACACACACACACACACAGTAGTCCCCATTATTCGCGGTTTCACTTTCTGAGGTTTCAGTTACCTGAGGTTAGCCATGGTCTTAAAATACTAAATGGAAAATTCCAGAAATAAACAATTCATATGTTTTAAATTGCCTGCCTTCCTGAGTAGTGTGATGAAATCTCACGTTGTCCTGCTTTGTCCCTCCTGAGACATTAATCATTCCTTTGTCGAGTATCTCTAAGCTGTCTATGGGCCCCATCCTTCCGTCACTTAGTGGCCGTCTCCATTATCTGATGAACTGTCAAGGTATTGCAGTGCTTGTGTTCAAGGAACCCTTATTTGACTTAATAATGGCCCCAAAGTACAAGAATAGTGATGCTGGCACATTGTTATAATTTTTCTATTTTATCACTTGTTACTGTTGTTAATCTCTTAAGGTGCCTAATTTATAAATTTACCTTTATCATAGGTATATATGTATAGGAGAAACACCATGGTATATATAGGATTCAATTCTACCTGCAGTTTTGGCATTTGCTGGGAGTCTTGGAACACAGTCCCTGTGAATCGAGGGGGAATGCCTGTGTATATATAATTAATAAAATAGAGATCTAGCAAATATCAAACAAGTATAAAAGTACTAAACTTTTTGAAACTGAGCAAGTTAATAATTGTTATGATTTAGTTAAATATATTTTCATACCTCATCAAATCTCCTATAAAACAATTGATTTCTGTATAATACTTAGGAATTTTTAAAAAGTAAGAGCGGGCTGGGCACAGTGGCTCATACCTGTAATCCCGTCCAGCATTTTGGGAGGCAGAGGTGTGAGGGTCACTTGAGCCTAGGAGTTTGAGACCAGCCTAGGCAACATAGAGAGACCACTGTCACTACACAGATTTAAAAAAAAAAAAAAGAAAAAAGTCCAAGGGTGGTGGCATGTGCCTATTGTCCTAGCTACTTGGGAGGCTGAAGCAGGAAGATCGCTTGCGTCCAAGAGTGTGAGACTTCAGTGAGCTGTGGATCGGCAACAGAGTGAAATCCTGTCTCAAAAAATTAAAGCAAAACAAAAACACAAGCAAGAGCACAGTATGACATTGATAACTGAACCTTTTAGTATATGTTATGTGTTTTAAAATTGAAATTCTGTGGTTTCTTATCTAAGGTAAATTGATTTTGGTGGCTGCATAGTATGAATGTGTGCAATTTATATGTGTAGTACAAAAAAGGTATTTTAAAATAGACACTAATTTTTTGGATAAGAAACAAAAGCAAAGCTAACTTAATAATACTGTTTTTTCTGTTGCTGTGTCAAATTATGTGATGAGGGAGACTTGTGTCGGAGTGCAGCGATGAAAAATCAGAATCAGAACTTGACAGGTTGAGAGTCACAGGAAATGAAACAGAAGGCTGAGTGACTCTTTACTCAGAACAAGTCTCTCAGGTTAACTGAAAGTCTGGGGATGGGAACAAAGACAAATTTATTGCCCTTTCATGGTAAATGTCTGCAAACCTAGGCATAAGAGAGCCTTTGATGCCCTGGTGTGCCTTTCAGCAGATTTGTAAATTCAGTAGATATGTGAAATAAAAATCAGCAGTTGCCTTGCCTTATATTTTGATAGATAAATTGCTTAAGGATTTAAAATCCATGCACAGTATGGATAATAGATACTGGATTAGAATTAAGGGATTTATTTAGTCTCCTTTTCTCAGAAAATCAAGATTACTTCATGTCAAAACAGTGTTGTCAGAAAATGTAAATAGCAAAAGGCTTTACCTGAAACTTCATTTGGAAATGAAGACTCTCATTTTCAAAATATAGTATCATTATAAGATATGATATTGTGTACCTTTATTTCTGAAAATAAGCACCTTTACACAAAGCTAAACACCTTAAATTATATTTATAAAATATTACTTCGTGAAAGAAGCAATGCTCAAATATGTGATTAATATTTCCATTCTTTGACTCACTTAATTTTACGTTAAGTATATCATGAAATTAAAAATGCATTACTATGATATATTTGACATACATCATATTGATACTATTTGAAAACGGTCACTATTTCAAAAGAGAAAGATCACTTTTAGAGCAGTTGACACTTCCCCTACTCCAAAGATACCATAAACAACAAAAAATAGTAGATCAATGTGTAGCACATTATTATAAATACAACATTATTCCAGTCATTATATGTTTCTTAATAAGAGCAATGAGCCTATTTCTGTGTTTGATGTTGTCTGTTGCACTTTTTGATTGCATGGGTAACAAGTTTATTTTACAACTGGTCTGTTTTTAAAATAGATAATTCTGATCTCGGCTACATTTAAAAACATTACTAAATAGATCCCAGAAATGTTTTTTGAAAAGAAAACCTTTTTGGGGGTGTCTGTGTGTCTCTTTCATTGCATTGAATAGGCAGCTACCTAATCAGTTTATTAGTTTGCATGTGCCTCATATAATATATGCTAAATTGCCGATTTCAGTCTTTATCAGTGGAATGGGGACGTGTCTATACTTTGAGGAACTATGGGAAAAATAAAGATGTTGAAAATAAATTTTTAATTTATTGATGATTATAAAAATGTGCATTATTTTTAGTTTTTGCCTTGAATTTCCGTAAAGTTTTAAGGAACAGTACTTATTTTTAACAAAACATTTTTTTTCCTTGTTTTTTACTTGAGTCATATGACTTTAATTGAAGGCACAAGGTATCCTGGAGATGAGGAGGGATTTTGAATTGGCAGAACTTACTAAATTCCCACCTTTTTTTTTTTAACCCTAAATTATTCTCTTATTTTTGATGCAGGGTTTGTTTTAATTATCTCAAGAGATTCTTGTGTTAAATGAAATACCCTCTGGAATGTTACTTAGTACCTACCACTACAACTGTTACCACCGCCACCGTCACTACCGTCGCCACCACCACCACCACCATCATCACCATCACCACTGCCACTGCTACTACTACTGACCACTATTACAGTATCATTTGCGAGACTTCCTGCTGTGTGTTTTACCTTAAGAAGCTTATATAATACTTTATTTTATTTTATGTTTCCATCCTTTCACTCTAAGGCAATTATATAATACTTTAAATAGCCATTATATACATAAGGAAACTGGAGTGAAAGAAGAATCAGCTCTTCAAGATTATACAACTAGCATATATAACATTCAGGAATTTTAGTTACTGTTTATTTTTTACTGTATTATACTTTTGTTACTAATTAAATTGAGTATGTTTTAATTATCAAATATTGTTAAAGTAATTATTAACCTCTCTGTGTAAAAGTTATTTAAATTGTTATTTCTATATGCTTCCCCCTCGCCCCCCAAATGCATGAAGATACAACTGTCATGAGAATATCATAGTAATATTCAAGGGAATAGAATTAGATTAATTTCATTTATACCATGTTAACCAGCCTACGTTTGTGGTCCCTCTAGTTGGGCAATTGTGCTGCTTGCTCAATTGTGCCGGTAGAGATAACCCTTAATTCCTCCTTATCCAGTTTTTGAATCATTTCATTAAACAAAAGCCTTTTTGAGTCTTCTTTTGTTGCTGAGAACAAATGATTAGATTTTAGGAACTGTAGCTACTTTTGTTATTCACAAATTCCAGAGCCATTCAAAATTTATCATTCACATTCTCTGCTCTGCACACAATCAGTCATTATGTCAGCAGCTGCCCAGGGAGGCTTACTTCAATTCATTCAGCCAAATAATGACGATCAGGACAACCATTTCTACATTAAAAATAATAATAAAATAAAATCCTTAAACAGTAGAGTTCTTTACTTCTGTAGTTAAAAAATTAATTACTTATATTCAGTAGAAATCCCATTGTACGTTTTGACAGGTAGGGAAAAGCAGTATCTGTGTTGAAAATTAATTGATTAGATTGATATGTTTTAATAATAGAGAAGGTTATAAAGGGTTCCATTTCCAAATAAATGACTTCAAGTGATTTATTAGAGGCTACGATAACTTAATCAAATGTTGGCTTTTCATTTAGTAGTTTAGTGACAGCAATAAAAAATTGTACCATTTGAATAATTATAAATTTTGAAATACCTTTAATGCATGCAAGATTCTACTTTTGCAAATGAGATAATAAGTACAGTAAATATTGAGTATTTAGCTTGCTTTTAAATACATAATGCATCTGTGATTAAATTAGAAAATATTTTAAATTTCAACTTGTTTTCCCCTCCATCTTTCTCTCTACATGCCCGCCGTCCCCATCTTCCCCCCCTTTTCTGTGATGTGTCTTTCTTAGATTTCAGTGGCATCGTTCAGAACATTGAAATAACACTTCACATATCACAAGCAAAGCATAAGTACAAATATTAATTTATACAGCATCATAGTGAGGCTGTGTCAGGGACATGCATTCATAGAATTCCTTTATTTAACATCAGGTTCTCGTTATTTTAAATGTCTTTGATTGTGTTATTCCATACTAGTGTCTTAAATGAAAGCCTGCGTTTTTTGTCAGCATCCTCAGTTAATTTCTTTCTTATTCTAAAAATAAAGAAAATGAGATGTAAATGCTGACTCAGATTATCAGTTTGCTGGCAATTTGCTTTTAAGTCACATATGGAATTAGAGACATCAATCTATGCACAATGTTGCCACCTTCTGCTGAACACTTTACATCTTTGAAAAGATCTGTTTTACTTTCAGAGTCAGCATCAACTTAAGCAAATGTGGGGCTTTATATTAATTTAAATTCAGTTTTGGTTAAAAATAAGACGTTTATGTCACATGACCCAAAGAACTGCTTTCTTTTACTTTGGTATACGTGAGGGCTATTGGTAAGTATCTGAATGTAACTCTTTATATAAAGATTTATGTTGTACATTTTCCCAGTTCTTGGCAAAAGCTTAATAATTAACAGTTCACTGTTCCCTAGCAAGTCTGATGCAATAGAAATGCTTTTCTAAAAGATTACCAAGAAAATTTAACTTTTAAAGTAGAATATACGCCATCTATTATTATTATTACCTTTCTGGTTTTCACTTACTGTCTTATTTATTATCAGATATTGAAATCCAGTTTTCTTTTTATAGACAAGCCATAGCTGTATGTTGCAGAGTGGGCTTTTTATAGGTTTAAGAATATACCCAATTTACACTTGTTAATAATAAATAATTCTTACAATTTTCTTGTATTTTACTTATTGAGATGATTAACTTATTGGAAATTCATGTTTACTGAATAACTCATTTTTCATATATAATGCCAGTATCTTATCTCCAAGTAATCCCAGGTTACTGGTATCATGGCCTTCATTCAATGTTTCAATACAAATGTGTCTAAAGGGTTGCTTGGATTTTGCAAATACTTTAAAATCTGCCAGACAACTCTACATGATCTAAATGCATAAATCTTACAAACAAATCTGATTCAGGATTAATATCAAACTGGAATGGGCCAGTCTAATGAATGCCAAGCTTAATGTACAATCTATTTTTTGAATAAATCATACTGGAAAATTGCAGAGTGTGTAAATTACATAGCCATCATAAATCAATATCCTTTAGATTGCTCTGCCTTGGATAAGGGGTAGCACTGCAGAGGCCATGACATACTTGAAAGTGAATGAGAGGAAAGCAGTTAAAGTGAGAAAGGAACACCTATTAAGGAAAAGAAATGCTCAGAAAATTATTATAAAAGTTGAGTACACAAATTACATGTCTCTGGGTAGTGGTTATTTTATGTAGAGTGTGTGGATGAATGAGATGGCTCATGCTGGTCTTCACTATATGACTGCTCCAGGACTAAGATGTTTGAATCATTCTCTGCAAGTTTGTCCCTAATGCTTAAGAATGAGTTTTGTTTTCTTTTCTTTCTTTCTTTTTTTTTTTTTTTGAGACAGAGTCTCGCTCTGGCACCCAGGCTGGAGTGCAGTGGCGTGATCTCAGCTCACTGCAGGCTCCGCCTCACGGGTTCAAGCAATTGTCTGCCACAGCCTCCCGAGTAGCTGGGATTACAAGCGCCCACCACCACGCCCGGCTAATTTTTGTATTTTTAGTAGAGACGGGGTTTCACCATCTTGGCCAGTCTGGTTTTGAACTCCTGACTTTGTGATCCACCCGCCTCGGGCTCCGGAAGTGCTGGAATTACAGGCGTGAGCCACTGCGCCAGTCCAAGAATGAGTTTTCTAAATTCTAGCATAAAATAATTGCTTAAGAAAGATTTGGAAGTCATTGATAAAGCTGCAGATTATGGTCTCTGTTCTAATCTCAGTTCTGTATAAAATATTAACTTGTCTGGAAGATACTAGTAATTAATCTGTTTAAAATATTTCACCTGGGACTGCCATTTTATTATAAATACACAAACGACCTTGCAATTCATTTTCCATTTTTATCGGCTAAATAAAGAAAAATATTAGCCAGCAATGAGAAGATTGGGAATTTAAAATATCACTTTAAGAAATATTGTCTGTACTGGCAAAACAAGTTTTACGAAGAGATGTGAACACTTTTTAAAAGCTTTTTCACAGGATCATATTAACTGCCAGGAAGTTTTGCCAAACAGATTTTAAGGGGAAAATCAGGCTATCCTAACTGTCCAAATGTTTTCTCACGTTTCAAGCAAGCAGCTGCTGGAAGTTCCTGCCAGTAGTAAACCTTTCAGGCAGAATGTGAGCAGCTGCCAATCTTGTGTCAATATTTTAAACACACTTAGAACCATCTTAACTGGTGTAAAAAATTTCTCTTTCCCCCAAAAGGGCCAACAGATATCTCTTTTTGATGCTTTGCCTTCTTTTACTCTTCTAGAGGTGACATAGCAGCAATTTTTGTAGAAAAAGATTTTTCTGGAATATTGGGAATAAGAACAAATTTCAATTTGTCCATGGACAAGGACAAATCTGAAATAACAGCACTAAAAAGAACATAAAAAATTGTAATCAATGAATAGTTCAGCAAATATTTCAGTGGTGAATTTTAGTGCTATTACCAGAGCTTAAAAAGAAAAAAATAATCAAAGCCCAGAATTTAATCTTCGGAAACTTAAGATCAGGGTTGGCAAAGGCAAGAAATAACTTCCTAGAAATCAGTTCGAAGGGATCTATTAAACTGGGAATAATTGTCTACTTGACTCTTACATTATAATACAAAGTTTGTATTATAATCCCTGGTCTCAAGAAGTTATTTTTAAGGTAGATGAGAATCAGAGTGCATGGTATTATTGCAGAAGTGGATTAAAAGGATAAAAATGGCAGAAGATTGTGCTTGAGACCTGATGAGATGAATTTTTGTTTCCTAGATTAGGTGGGCCTTTGATTTTATTGAAAGGGTGATGATGGGCAATAATAGAGTTAAAATGATGAAGGAGAGAGGTGGGGGAACAATAAGACGAGACCAGTGTGTTAATAAGAGACCATGAGTTTGTTTGGAGAGTGAGAATTCACAGAGACCAAAGAAGGTGAAGTGAAAGGCTACTACTAGTGGAGCCTTTGAAGCAAATGGTTTATAATTGGTTCTGTCTTTATGCTTTTATCTAAAAAACTAGGTATTGGATTTTTTTTTTAATTAAAAGTTGAACAGTGTGTGGAACTGAGCATTATTTACTTTAATCTTTCATTTTCTCTTTTTTCCTTGTCTTTCTATTTAGACTAAAATTCTTTTGTCATAGATGTTTTTAAAGATTTAACTTCACTCCTAAAGTTTTGTGATATTTTGATTATTCAGGTTCAAAATTGCTAACATTTTTCATTATGCATATTAATATTTTAAAATACCCAGAAAACAAAATTCTAACTCATTATTCATTTTAGATTGAGATATAACTATAAAGTAGTGTAATTTTTAAAAACCAAGTACCCGAGTTAGAGTAATTAATGCAAATAAGGCACATTTTACAAGTAGTCATCCTGGAAAACTATATACTTATTCCAGTGATGAAGATATTAATGAATCATTTTTGAAACATTTCAGTTGTATTGTCTTTATAATCAGGAATGGATAAGAAAATAAATTTCATTGCTTTGCTGAAAACTACATGGACTATTTCTTTCTGTCACTTCACCTCATCGGGCTTGGCTTCAAATATATTAGGACTTTCCAAAAAAATGAAATCCATTCACAAAAGACGACAGTATACTATTAAATATAATATAGACATCATTGACACCTCCAAAACGTTAGTGAATTAATGAGTAGAAATATCAACTCATGTGACTATCCAAATTTAGAACCATTGTTGATAGAATTAACACACCAAACATTTGCTTTTTGGAAGAGTGGTTTGGATAACTAATTGCAAAGTAGTTTTACTTTCAAAGACTGGGAGATACAATGCCTACTTTGAAAGCCCAGTTTTAGCCATTACCAGCTGTGTGGTTTTCAGTGGGCAAATCACTTCATCTTCCTGTATCACAGTTTATTCTTCAGTAAATTGGGAATAATAACCTTATAGGTTGTAAAGATTGATGACTTAGTGCATGCGAAGTGCTTAGAATGGTGCCCTGCACATGGAAAATATTACCTAATTGTTGACACTTAATAAGGTGATACAGATAACTCTGGATTTGCCAGGTTTTTTTTTTTCTTCACTAACAAAAGTAATATTAAATGGCCTTTAAAAATGTTTTTACCTGAAACTAGCTGTGACAGAAACGGTTTCTGGAAAATATCATTATGTGACTAAAACTGTCATTTTTTTAATTGTTTGAAATCTTACACTTTTGTAATAAAGAATAAGTGGTTAGATGTTTATACATTGTACATTTCAGGTGGCATCATTAAGTGTCTGAAAAGTGGGATTTTTAAAGTTAGTACAGCTTTCCCTCTCAGGATTTTAAAATGTTTCTGCGTTCTCAAACATTAGTGGTGAATTTATGAGTGGTTTTACAGACTCTCTAGTACAGTTTGATTACTTCATTCTATTTTATAAATACCAAAGAATGCACACCAATTTTGAATGGTTACACAAAACACAAATCTGACAGAAAAATGAAGCTGTATTAAAACTTACACAAATCACAATTTAAAGATACACATTTAAATACAACCCAGAATCTCTGTCCTATTCACAAGGCATCCTGTTCAGTATTAGGAGATAATAGATACCTTGTTTTTTCAAGGGTGTGAACATGTTTATTCTCTGACTTGGGTAGCAGCTGTGACTGCTGTGCACAGATGTGATAGCACTCCAGGTAAATGAGAGATACAGTGTTGCTTGTGTAGCAGCTGCTGATAATTGTAGAATATTTGTGCAGTAGCCCACCTATGTTGCTTTTCTGCTGATTCATAGAGGTAAAGACTTCATTGTGTGGATTGGTTTTCCCTTCAGGTAATTGATTCAATCTTTGTTTCTCATTTTGTAGTGAAATGCATTTGATTTTAATCCAGTAGTTGTGCAATTCTCAAGGGAATACACACCTTGCTATTGTAGATGAAATTCTCTCTATGTGTTTAAGATTGTGAGGCTTTCAGCCTCTTTGTTTATATTATTGACTAAAGTGATTACATACCAACCTTTAGGTTATGCTACTAAAAAACAAGCTCCTGAATGGCAGCAGGCAGTGAGGAGATGCTCTTTTTTAAAAGGTAGTCTTTATGCCTGAGGTTTTGTACTTTATGCATTCTTACCCTTTAACTGTGTGTGGAGGTTTTCTAGCAAAAGTATCCCTGTCATGTTTTTTTCCCTTTCTGGTGTTTGTTTTAACTTTCACATTTTCATTTTAGGAGAAATTGATTGGGTGAGTATGTAATTCATGTGTGTGTGTGTATTGTGTGTTTTTGTGGTTTCCTTGTGATAAAATGCTTTTGTAGTTCTGATCATGTCTGTTTTAACAAGCTCCTAAGGGTTTTGATTGGTAAAACTTTTCTTGGGTGTCTTCTCATTGATTTTGATCTCATAAATGAGTGTTACTCATGTAGTGAATGCTTGCTAAAATCCCAGAGCAGCATGGACCATTGATAGGAAGGTTCTATCCATCTTAAGATGAGAATCACCTAAAGTGATTCTGATAGTCCTAGAAGTGAATCAATTTAGACAGTGTAACACTGGTACCTGCCTTAGAATATTCCTATATGTTGTCTTTGGAGACTACTGCTCAAGATATAGATAAAGAAAGCAGAGTCCTGGCTTATATTTATAACTAATTAAATTGGAAGAGAAGACTGTTTTATTCAAAATCAAACATCTCATGTTTTGTTATTAATCATAAGCCTGGTGCCTTGCATAAACCATTTGCAGGAATAATTTGAAGCACTGAATTCTTTGGAACAGCAGATTTTGCAAGTGACTTTTTTTTTTTTAACTATTTTGAGTCTATAATAAATAAGATACACTATTATCACAACACTTAAATTGTGAATATCTTCCTTGGAAGAATGAATTTCAGTCTAGATTGAGGCTTCTCAGTAGCAACACACATGTATTAAGAGTTTCTACATTATTATATCATTATAGAAAATTTGTAGCATCTTGTACCTCTTCCAAAAGGAGTTCAAGTTTAAAGTACTAAAATAACTGTAGTACATATGGTGTTGTGGAATGGGTTGTAAAATCAGTGAGGCTTCTGTTTATATAAGTAGATGTAGTTGCTGTAGGAAACACTGGAGTTGGAGGGTCTGGGGCAAACCTTTTCTAAATGGACTGGCTTTTACTCAGCTTCAGTGATTGTAGCCTTGAGGAAATTTGGGTTCACTCTTCCTAGAACTTCTGATTTTTTAAGAGAAGTAGAGTATCTATGTTATTGACAAAGTCGGTCCCCCAAAAGATAGGGTCTTTCCCTGTTTGGTGTTGTGAAGCCAATACGTGAAACTGAACTTGAGCGTCAAGCAGTTAAGGCTTTATTTGGTGGCCATGGAATGGAGAAGTGGGAGCATGGCTCATAAATCCACTTCTCCACTCATGAAAGCCAGGAAACCGTAGATATAAGGCATCTTTAATGAAGGAGTTGGGCATTGTAAGCAAGTGGAGGAATATTCATGTCTTCTCTGAGGGTGTGTGGAGAACCAGAGTGCTGCCTTCCTTGTTTATGGTTTCTTCCAGTCATTGTCGTTATGATTGCCAATTGTCATGGCACTGGTGGGGGTGTCATTTAGCAGGGAAATTCAATTATAATGAAGTTAGAGATTCTTCAAGTGAGCTGCCTTCTTGGATCCTACCAGTTTTAGCTGGTTTGGTCACAAGGATGAACTTATTTATTTATTTTTTATTAATTAATTAATTAATTTTTTTTGAGACAGAGTCTTGCTCTGTCACCCAGGCTGGAGTGCAGTGGCATGATCTTGGCTTACTGGAAGCTCTGCCCCCTGGGTTCACGCCATTCTCCTGCCTCAGCCTCCCAGGTAGCTGGGACTACAGGTACCCGCCACCACGCCCGGCTAATTTTTTTGTATTTTTAGTAGAGACGGGGTTTCACCGTGTTAGCCAGGATGGTCTCAAACTCCTGACCTTGTGATCCACCCACCTTGGCCTCCCAAAGTGCAGGGATTACAGGCGTGAGTCACCCCACACCGCCAAGAACTTCTAACTGTGGGCTTCCTGTTTCTTAAAGATAAGCAGAGTTAAGATGGGGTAGAAATTCTGTGAGGCCATGTAGGCATTACACTGAGTAACATGTAAATTTCCATGTGAACTTTCCTAGTTTTAAAACCATGGCTACTAATTCAAATTTTTGCTTTTCGATATTTATTTAATGATGCCTGGCTCATAGATGAGCAGATGTGCAATGTCTTTCTGGAAAAGCTTTCATTTCTCCAACTCTAGGATTAGCCTGTGCTTTAAAAAACTGAGACACAATTAATAGAAAATAATATGCACACCTCTTAAGTGTTCTCTTTCATCATTTTTGACAATTTTATACAACTATGCAACCACCACCCCAAACAAAATTTAGAACATGTCTCTCACCCCAGAAAGTTATCTGTTGCCCTATTTCAGTCAATTCATCATTCCTTCACGTGTGCAACCATTTTCTAGAACTTTATATTATAGAGCAAAGAAATTGTGTCTTTACACCAAATGAAGCCCAAGGGCTACAGCTACCATTGGCAATCTCCTGCTATAAAGCAAAATAAAATGTACTATCCTTTTGGATGGGATGAAGAGAAGGAAAATAATAATTGTTGGATGTTTTTTGTGCACACCACTTAATTTTATTGAATCCCTGTGTGTAAAAATTTCTGTGAGTTTCAATGCATCATGTTCTAAATGCAGGAATTGAGGCGCATAATAAATAGGTGACTTGCCCAATCTTAAACAGCTTTTAGCCAAAATGAAAATGAAAAATCAGACCACAGTTTTCCCGATTACTTTTTCACTACTATAAGACTGGAAAGATATTTTGAAAATTAATATAATAATGAAAAATGGTTATTACTACATGATTATGACAATATCTAAAATATTTGACTATATTTTAGTTGACTAACACAATTCTGAGATATTATGTCTAACCTTATGTTCAAATTTGTGAGGTAATTTTTTATCACTATTTCACAGATTTCACAAAATAAATGTCAGTGTTAGTAAGTACCTTGCCCAAATTCACGTAGCAAATGAATCATGAGGCTGAATTGAAACCAGGGGCCTTTAACTTTAAAGACTTTGTTTTCATAAAATTACTTTTTTAAATTATATTTTACTGTTGTAAAGTACTGATTTTTATTTTGAAATAAAAATATTTTTAATATGTTATTCACTCTGTGACAGATACGTTTGTGAATTGCAAATATCAGCTAATGAACATGAAGTATGAAAGTATGCAAACAATATGGATGTTTCAAAAAGTATCAGAACAAAATGGATGAAAAAGATATGTTTTGCATATAAATGTAATATAATATGAAAAAGTAAAACCAATGTGAGGTGCATTTAAGGTAGATAGCAAATTGTACTGAAGGATGAATTCTGTAATCCAGTCATTGGATAATTAGCAATTTGAGTTTTTGTCCTGTTGGTTGGAGGCTGAATAGTATGAATTAATCATATTCTCCCTCTCTGTCATTTCTCAACTAATTGGAAAATTAAGATCATGTTGTCATTTTTAGATTGTTAAGACTGATTTTAAAAACGCTAGTTGCCTCACAAAGCAGCGTTTCCAACTACATCCCCCTAAAATGGTCTCGCCTGCTTATTTGTCCAGGAAGAAGCTGGAGAATAAAGATCTCTCTGAAAACAAGAGCAATACTTGTCCTAGTTACTGGCCACTTGGGAAGAAAAAGTTGCTTATGAGCATGCAGACCTATGAGAAAGGGAAAGGACCCAGAGAAGGGCCTCACCCTGGAGGGGTGACGATCATGCGTTAGCTGTTCCACCCAAAATGAGTATGACTTACTGAAATCTAGTTTCTTAGCAATTCTTCCACTCCTTTGAGAGAAGCAAACACCAGGAGGAGGGAGGGAAAAGTCTCCCACCCTAACACTGTTCCTGAGAATGGAAGGGTTGCTGGAAGTACACCAGCACTTCCCTGGAAGGGTGACAGTGAGAAGAGAGGAAGGGATAAAAGTATCCTCCCTGTATTAATTGTTGCTCATTTTTGTCATACACTTGAGGTTTCAGTTTGAGTGACAGGAAAGTGTTTGTGTGTGCATACTTTAGGTGTTTTTAAGACTTCCTTAGGGCACACTTACTATGCCTAACCTATTTGTTCATTTGAGTCTGCTGCTAGTGTGTTAACTCAGTCTGGCACCGTAACTGCATCTGAAATTCACAATAAAATAAAAACCATTAGTAAAGGCATCAGTCAGTAATAAAAATAAAGTCTGCAAAGCTTGTAGTTTAATTAAAAATGGAGGCTGTTGAAAATGAGAGATTAATGGAGTCATAAAGTAGAAAAATTAAAATGCATATGTAAAATGGGATGGAATGATAGTCCTGGAGATATACCTTGTCTTAAACAGGTCTTTGAAACCTTCTCATCATTAGTTTGAAATTTTGAAGGTCATGAAGTTAAAGAAAGAAGAAAGTGCACAATCAGCTTGACTGAACTAGTGATAGGGTTTTACAGTTTACTGTCTTATTTTAAAAATTAGTACCACAGAATATATGATACTATTTGGCCACTTCATTTCATTTTTTCTTTCTTTACAATAAGGTAATATATATGTTTGGCAAGTTCTTCAATTATATTTTTGCTGCACTTGTAGACAAAAGAATTACCTTCGCATTATATGATTTTAAGGTAAGTTTCAAGAGATCAAAATTTACTTTGAGTCATGAAAATATAAAGTTTTAAATGTTACTAATTTCGACTTAATTTTCTAGAGGGCAGAAAATGTTAAGAAAGAAGGGAAGTCACATCTGTTCATTACTTTTTGTAAACCTATTTGAATTCAGTAAATTAAAAGATGGCTTTGTCTACTATGTGGTTCAATATCCGAGGTCAGGACATCTGGTACCCTAATTTGGTTCTCCCCCTGTTATACAATGGGGATTTGGGTCAAGTCATTTAAACACCTTTTTCACTCCCTCTATCAAGCCTCTACAAATTAAAATGCAGCTTAGTAACCCCTGGAGTATGTTACAAGCACCTTATTTACTCATTGCATATGTGTGAAAACTACCAAGACAATTACGTCCACCATAATATTTTTCTGTTGCTGTGTAGCAATAATCATCTATCATACTAAAAAATCTATTTCTTATGTATACAACTTTCCTAATAAATTATCTATAGTATAGTAAGCTTTTCACTTAAGAGCCAGAATGTCATGCTTTAAAGAGGTTGGAAGGAAAGAGAAGATAGATTGCTGATGAGTCATTGGTTTAGAGTCTTAATTTTTAGATGTGTTCACCAATGGACTTACAGTAGATGGACATTCTCCACAAAAATCTCACTACCACTGCCTTCCACCCAAAAAAGTGAAAGATAGGATTTAGTTGTTCCATAAATCATCTTTCCAAGAAAGCGAGCTGTTCTTGCAATAGGATGGCAGATGGAACAGCTTTTTACCAGTGGGGGGTTTTGTTCTTTGCTGCCAAAGATATTGAGGAAAGAAGAAACTATGCTAATTTATCTATTTTTCTCCTTTGCAAGCAACTTTACATGTATAAGGAACTCACTCACTCATTTTGAGGTCTAAGTTATTATTTTTTGGCACTTGGCACATAGTACAACTGTGTGCTGAATGTATATGCACTGTTTAACCTTTAAACATTAGATATAAATGCAATATACTATTAAAGGGTCTTCTGCTTGTTGAATTTCAAAAAGTCATGAGAAGGTTAAGATCTAGAAGACATTCCAGATAGTCTCTCTTGATGCCCACTTTCTGAGATCATGTGCAGAATATGAAAGCTCTTATAAAAATAGGGACTTTATTTCCCCTAGCTGAAACCCAATAAATGAAAATATATAAAATGGGCCAGGTTTCATTCTGATTAACCACTCAGTGATTATTTATTTATTAAATAGCCATGTTTACGGAGGAATAGAGCGCTTAGGCTCTTGGTAAACTCTGCCCAAAGCATTGATTTCTGACAGATGCACTGATAGTTTTACTGTCTTTCCTGACTTTATATAATGAGTGTTTAAAGGCAGACTGTTTCCTGTCTGTGAAGAACAATACCGATTTTCCATGTTTTGCCAAGGGCATGGGTTATTCCAGGATGTAGTCAAGTGATCAATCCATTGGGACACACAATTATATCCTATGCTTTGGTGCGTTCAAAGAGAATATTTTGGAAGAATTATTAGTTTTCTCAAGCAGTCATATGTGTATTGAAATTGCAAGATCAAATCCAAAATCCTTTGAGCTTTTATTTGGAATAAAGATACCATGTGAAAATGATGAGCACCCTCATTACAGTTACTACTTTCTAAGAAACTCTTTTTCATACCCTGTAAGATCAGTTTTTTTTTTTTTTTAAATTCCTTTGTTCCCTTTCCTTTCATCTGCTGCTTTTTACTTGTCCCACTTCAGGGGAAGATAATTGAATCACCTCCGGCTGAGTGCTTGTGGACCCTATAAATTTAATGCCTCTAAATAAATTATGAATGTTACAGAGAAGTTAGAAAGAGTGGAATGGATATATTCCAGTCTAGGTTGTAGTTTCAGATGATTAGTTAATATCTTAGGTGCCTTATATTGCTTTGATAGGGAAAAAAATGGATATCTAGATCTTAGGCAAGGACATATTACTTTGTGCCAAATTTCAACTCTAGGAAAAAAAAAAATCTAATGTTTTCTGAGCTCCTCATCCTGACTGCTGAGTGATGCTGACAAAAACACAAACAAAATCCTAATATTTTTAGTATATTATTCAAGATAGTATAGACTATGCTGCAGTGACAAATAAGGTATTAACACCATAAAGTTTGGTTTCTTGTATTCAGTGCATGACAGATCATTTTCTTGGGTATCTCTTCTCCAAATGGTGATCTGTAGACCAAGATTGTTTCCATTTTGTTGTTATTCCTTCTGGAATATATGGCTTCTACAGTTGCTGTGGACGTATTAGAGACCCAAAATACTGGGAGCTGTATTTGGAAGGCCAGGTCTGCTCACATTTTATAAGCCAAAACTCAGTCATGTCATTTGCAACCTTACTGCAAGGGATCTGGGAAGAGTAATCTTTTCTGTGTATTCAGGAAGAAGAAACAATGTGATGAACGGGCTACACTGTCTCTGCCATAGTTAGTGCTCCTATGAACTCACATAATACAACCCATGCTTTTGCCCTCAGTGGCACTGTCAAATAATGTTACTCACACCTAACTACCTTATGTGTCTTAGTGTTCATAACACATCATTTAAAATTGAGAAGCTGAAGAATGAAGTAGGAGGACTGACAATACCTGACTTCAAAAATTACTGTAAAAGCACAGTAATCAAGACTGTGGTATTGGTGAAAGAATAGTCAGATTCTTATTGTCAAAAAAGCCATGCTTAGGGTAATTAAAATACTCTGGATGATACTACAGTGGTAGATTCACATTATTATACATTTGTCCAGACCCATATATATTTGTACACAACCAAGAGAAAACTGTGATAGAAACCATGGGCTTCAGGTGATAAGGATGTGTCAATGCAGGTATATTAATTGAACAAATGTACCACTCTCATGTGGGATGTTAATAATGGGGGAGGCTATGCATCTATGGGGCAGAGGGTATATGAGAGATCTCTGTACCTTCCACTCAGGTTTTCTGTGAAGCTAAAACTGCTCTGAAAAAAATAAAACCTTTAAAAAAATAAATGGAACAAAATAGAGAGTCCAGAAATAGGCCCACAAATATAGTCAACTGATCATTGACAAAAGTGCAAAGGCAATTTAATAGGGAGAGGATAGTCTTTTTTAACAGCTGGTGCTGCAATAACTAGATATCCACATGAAAAACATAAAAAATGAGTCTAGACACATACCTTACACCTTTTGCAAAAATTAACTCAAAGGTGGATCAAGACCTAAATGTAAAGTGAAAAACTATACATATCCTAGAAAATAACATATGAGAAAATCTAGGTGACCTTGAGTTTGACAAAGACTTTTTATACACACAATCACAGTCAATCCATGGAAGAAAAGTAATTGATAAGTATAATTTCATTAAAATTAAAAGCTAGTAATGAAAAATCTAGTCATATCTGGGAGAAAAATATTTGAACAACACATATCTGATAAAAGGCTTATATTTGAAACATACAAAAACTTCTTAAAACCCAATAAGAAAACAATCCAATTTAAAAATTGGCAAAAGACTGGAATTTACAACTCACCACAGAAGATATACAGATAAAAAATAAGCATACTTAACATTATATGACATTATGGAATTGCAAGTTAAACAACAAAATACCACAACATACCTTTTAGAATGACTAAAATCCAAAACACCAACACCAGCAAATGTTGGTGAAGATATGGAGCAACAGGAACTGTTACTCATTGCTGGTGAGAACGCAAAATGGTACAGCCACTTTGCAATATGGTTTGACAGTTTCTTACAATACTCTTACCATACTATTCAGCAATTGTGCTCCTTGATATTTACCCAAATGAACTGAAACCATATGTCCAAACAAAACCCTTCACATTAATGTTTGCAGCAGCCTCATTCTTAATTGCCAAAACTTGGAGGCAACCAAGATATCTTTCAATAAGTGTATGGATAAGCAGACAGTGGTATATCCATACAATGGTGTGTTATTCAGAGATAAAAATAAATAAGCTATGAAACCACAAAAAAAGACATGGGGACATCCTAAATGCTTGAAATGTAAGCATTAAGTGAATCTTACATTGCTTAGTGAAAAACCCCAGTCTGATTCCATACTGTGTGATTTTACAATATGACATTTTGGGAAAGGCAAGCTATACAGACAGTGAAAAGATCAGTGGTTGCCAGAGGATCATGGGGAGATGAAGAAAGATGAGCACAGGAGATTTTTAGGGCAGTGAGAGTACTCTATATGGCACTGCAATGGCTGATACATGCCACTATACATTTGTTAAAACCCATAGGATGTACAACACAAAGAGTGAGCCCTAATTTAAACTATGGCCCTTAGTTAACAATGTATTGCTATTGGCTCATCAGCAGTAAAAAATGTACCACAGGAATGAAAAATATTAATAGAGGGAACTTTGTGTGTGCCCATGCAGGGGAGAAGGCCAGGTATTATATGGGAACTCTGGACAGTAAGTCCTCACTTAATGTTGTCAATAGGATTTTGGAAACTGTGATCTTAAGCGAAAACAATGTATAACACAACCAATTTTACCACAGAGTAAGTGATGTAAATAAAAGTTAAGTTCCTACAGCATATTTCTAGTCACAAGAGCATTACCAAACTTCTAAATTAAGACCCCCAAATACTTCTAATGTTAAACATTGAAATAAATGTAAACTATACATACATTTAAGAAAGATTAATAAAAAGAAGTACGGTGGTTTTTTACAAAATGATTTTAGTTCCGGGTCTTAGGTGACCAGAGCCTAACCTAACAGGTCAGAGCACAGACGGGAACGAGCCTTGGCCAGGACACCATCCCATCGCAGGGAGCACTCACAACGATGCCCACACTCACTCAGACTGGGAACCTATAGACATGCCAGCTCTCCTAACGTGCACATCTTTGGGATGTTGAAGGAAAGTGGAGTACCCAGAGAAAATCCAGAAACACAGGGAGAATGTGCAAGCTCCACACAGAGAGTGGCTCCTGGCAGCCGGGAACTGATTATTTTTCTCATCAACATTTTAATGGAATAACATTGAACAAAATGACATTTTTCAAGGGACTGCTGTACTTGTCTTTTTCTTTATTAATAAACCCATCTAGCACAAGCTGACTTTGTTTTATCTGAGTATACCTACTTTGAAGTTTTTTTTTTTTTTTTCTGAGATTGAGTTTCGCTCTTGTTGCCCAGGCTAGAGTGCAATGGTGCGATCTTGGCTTACCATAACCTCCGCCTCCTGGGTTCAAGCAATTCTCCTGCCTCAACCTCCTGAGTATCTAGGATTACAGGCATGTGCCGCCATGCCCGGCTAATTCTGTATTTTTAGTAGAGATGGGGTTTCTCCACGTTGTTCAGGCTGGTCTCGAACTCCTGACCTCAGATGATCCACCCGCTCGGCCTCCCAAAGTGCTGGGATTATAGGCGTGAGCCACTGCGCTGGGCCCCCTACCTTGATTTTTACCACTGATCCCATGCAGTGATCTTATGGATGCTTTAGCTCTGCCACTCATGGGAGGTAAAGTCTTCATCATCTTGCTGGCTCGTTGAAAAGTTTTACTAACACAGTTGCAGTTGATTCTATTAGTTTACTTCTGGCCCAGTGATTCTCAAACCCAAGGTTTATTGCCCTTCTGGAGACATTTGGCAATGCCTAGAGATACTGTTGGGTTGTCACAACTTGGGCTGAAGGTGGTAATACTGGAATCTAGTGAGTACAGTTCAGGAAGGCTGCTTAACGTTCTATAATGCATAGGACTGCCTCCCACAACAAAGAAATATCCACTCCCAAGTGTCAATAGTCTTGTGGTTAAGAAATTATGTTTATTAGCTATTTTTAATGGTTGGTTGGAAATTGAATCTATTATCTGATTATCTGTATCATTCATTAATTCATTCAATGGATACTTACCGGATAACTGCTATAATTGGAAATGGCAATTCATTTTTATGGTTGAATCTGTACATGGGATCTTGATCTAACCTGGGTTATGAAAGAAGGCTACCTAAGGAAGGGACATGTAAGCTGAGATTTGAAGAATAAGAGATAGTGAAATTTGTAATCACAGTAAGGAAGGGTGTGGAGAGGGAAGAGTCTTCAAAGCAAAATGAACACTCCCTATGGTTGATATGGTTGAGTCTAGACAGGCTTCTCAACGTGGGGAAGTTCTTGTGCAAGTTCTGAATTTGCAGCTGCCCTGTCCATAGGTCCCCTTACTTACTTGTGATCTAATATTTCACCCCATGGATGGTAAGTATTTGCTTTTCTGCCCCATTTCCAGGACACAGGATTGATTGTGCTGTATAGGTCCTGTCGAACTGCTTATAGGAACAGAGTGGAACTTTCAGTGTCTAACCTAGACTAGCCATAAATACCATTCATGGTGGTGAGGCTCAGGATGTTAGGCAAGGGCTCTGTATACAAAGTTCCTTCTATGAGGTCAGGAACTAAGCCTGTTAGTAGCAATGTTAAAAAGTATAGCTCACGTGATCCTGGTGGAGAAGGAGGGGCTGGAAAGGCAATCAGGCTGGGCTTGATTTTGAGGCCTGGAGATATAAATGTAATAGCATCTTTCAATTTACCTCCAACTCCTGGAAACCATGAAAGAAAGGAGTGTAGAGACATAAAAGTAGCCATACTTGAATGGGCTGTTTAGGGCTCTTGGCAGCTGTTTTTTAAACCGCCATAAAATCATTTTCAGACCTGCTGTTTTGGTCTTAGATGATAAAGGATCCTCAAGATAATGCTACTTCTTGGCAACAAGTTAAATGCCAAATGAACTTGTAGACTAAGTTTGCCTTCTCCTTTCCATTTTCCACATATTTATCATGTAAAAATACAGTTCAGAAGTATCATACGTTCTCTTTCATACATTGGATATTTATTGAGCACCTACTATGTCCCAAGACTGAGGCACTAGGGATATAACAATAAACAAATTTGTTCCATGTTCTCATGAAGCTTAATTCCATTTGGGGGAGACAGATTATGAAAAAAAGTATAAATAACTTATTAAGTAAAATAATTCCAGATAGTGTTGAATATAATTAAAATAGCACAGAATACAGGTACAGAGAATGATTTGGGAATGAGGCTCAGGTAGGCTCTGTTAAAAAAATTAGATTTGGAATAAGGCCCAAATGATATGAAAGAGGAAAGCTCTTGATGATCTGTGAAAATAACATTTGAAAGAGCCCTGAAACAAACAAATTGGGCTTATTTCAGGGGTAGGAAAGACCAGTGTGGCTGGCATTTAGTATGGTAGGCCAAGTAGGGTAAAAGACAAAAATTAGGAAGACAGGCAGGGTCTAAATTAGGTGGCATCCTAAGACGTCAGAGCAAGAAATTTGGATTTTTTAAAATTAGGTTGGTCAAAAGTAGTCATGGTTTTTGCCATTAAAAGTAATTGCAAAAACCGCATTTACTTTGACACCAACCTAATACTTTCTTGTGAATTCTTCTGGTGAATTGTAAGAAGGAAGAATGACGTATCTTGTTTACACCGTAAAAAGATCATCTGGTTGCTGTATGCATGGGTAATGGACTGCTGGTGCGGTGGGAGTAAGACTAGAAGGCAGGAGGTCAGTTAGAAGCCTGCTGCAGTTTTCCAGGTGATAGATAATGATAAGTTGCTCAGATTGTAGCTGTCAACTGTAAAAAGAACTGGCTATTCAGAAAATGATTCTATTAAGTTCTATGCCATTTTCATGTTTGTATGACTGTTTACTTTGAGATCATTTAAAATATTTTAGTACATATTTTGCTAACAACATGTTAAGTGGCTGATACATAATTACATAAGTGTCTATGCCTTCTCTTTATTATTTTTTTTGTGACATGTCTGGAAACTATGTAAAAAGGAAATAAGGAATTTTAGGCTACTTTTCTTCCTGATAATACAGAAATTGAACATAGAAATTGATTTCTTTTAAGCCTTTTCCTTAAAGCTTTGAACCTTTTAAGCTTCCACCAATACTTACCTTTGCAAGTATTTCTTTCATTATCTAGAAAGGTATAAGAGAGGAGTAAACCTTGAAACTTATGGAAATAAAAGCACTGTTGATTTCTAAGTTCCTTTACATGTCTGGAAACTTTGGTCACTTTTGTGTGATTATTCTTTTAAAAACCTTGAGGCCTGGATTACCTGTTCTTCAAGTACATTAATACATTTCTTAGAACTAAATCTGGGAGTGTATCTGGCAGACCAATATCTTAGCTATTTGTACTGCTAAAGAAGAAGTAATTATTTTAACTTTTTAAAAATCTACAGCAGATTTTTTGTGGAACCATATGAAAGTACCCTAGTAGATTGTAAGGCATGTTTGACCCAAAGATCAATAGGATCTTTACAAACACTTTTCACATGTATTTCAAAGAGTGGTTAGAGTACATTCATTATGTACTGCCAAGATCCTTAAGGGTTTTACAGGAGAGCTGGAAATGGAATTTTCTACATCAAAAGCTGCTAACTCATTTCTTTCTCCTTCTTGTGTAAGGCCTATAATAGTAGGTTTTTCTTTGTGTATTAGGTTTGGTACTTTTTTGAAGGACAGAGGAGAATGAGTTGTGAAATGTGAATGAAGATTAGTGGACAGCAAGGTAGCTTGTTCCTCGTTACACTTTTTGATTGGGGAAGGAAAGACAGAGGCTGAAGATTGTAGCTTCTATCCTACGTAGAGTAACCAGAGTCTATATATCATACTTCCAATCTGCCACACCAACAATATTAATAGTAAAATACCTTCTTAAAATTATTTTACTCTTCTCCAACCCAGTACAAAAACTTACAAGACAACTATTATGTCTATGCATTATAAAAAGAAAATATATAGGGACAGGCATGGTGGCTCACGCCTGTAATCCCAGCATTTTGGGAGGCCAAGGTAGATGGATCACTTGAGGTCAGGAGTTCAAAACCAGACTGGCCAACATGGTGAAACCCCATCTCTATTAAAAACACAAGAAATTAGCTGGGCGTGGTGGCACATGTCTGTAGTCCCAGCTGCTTGGGAGCCTGAGGTGGGAGAATCACTTGAACCTGGGGGGCGTAGGTTGCAGTGAGCCAAAGGTTGCAGTGAGCCAAGATTGCACCACTGCACTCTAGCCTGGGTGATAGAGTGAGAACCTGTCTCAAAAAAAAAAAAAAAAAAAAACACAAAACACACACACACACACACACAAAAGAAAATATATAGGATAATATTATAAATGAATGATTCTGGAAATAGTCTGCTTCAACAACTTTGGAGGAAGACTCATAAACAGCACTGGACAAGAAGACTCAAGATATGAATTTTAGCTCTGGATTTGCTGATGGGCCAACATTTTACCTTCTCAGAGCTTCAGTACCCTCATCACAAAAGGGCTATAATATCTGCCTTGCCTTTATCTCAAGATTGTTTTAAGGATCAAGTGAGGTAATGCTTAGAAAAGTTTGTGAACCATGAAGTAGTGTAATATCATTATAATTTCCCTGATTTGAGTCATCACCCCTTTTTAGAAGAATTAACTGAACACGCTGTCTGCTGAAGTCTTATCACTCTGTGCTAGAGCCTTAACCCAGGCTAGGCTACAACATGACAAAAGCATTATGAATTTAATCTTTGGTAAATGCCATTAGAGACCTTCATCAGGGTAATGGCTCTGCACCACCCTAGTACACTACAACTCTGATTATAGTGCACACCACACTTTTGCCCAGTTATAAACTATATGATTGCAAAAATGAAAACTTCAGTTCAATTTTCTATGATTTTTCCTTAGCAAATTTAATATTCCAGAGAATTTAAAATATTTTACATAATGTAATTTTTTATATTGACAGTCAATACTCATTACCTCTCACATTTATTTAGCAATTATGAGTTGTCAGATATTTGGCAAGTTCTATAAATTCATTCTCTAGTTACTCCTTGCAGCAGTCCCATATTTTTATGCCCAAGTTAGTGAAAAGAAAATGGAAACTTAAAGATACTAATTGGCTTGTTCAAGATGACAACTGGTGAATGGTGTCATTAAGGAATAGGCTGCCTGTATGTTGTTACTGGAAGTCCAATGTGTACACTGAAATAGTGCCTTATAACATCTCCCTGGGGTCATTTTTTGGTGAAAAGTGTAAAAATTTGTTAGAGATGTAGCATTTCCAGAAACCAGAAAAACACCACTCAATGAAAATACATGACAACTTTTAGTCTCATTCTGGAGAAAGAAAATTTCAGTCCTCCCTACAACCACTTCAAATAAATCACTAAGTAATTTGAAAAATATCTTCACATCAGCATTACTTTCTGCCCCATATGCCCAAGATACTGAAAGCTTTGGTTATCTTTTATTATATTAAGATCCTGAGAACATTTATATGTTTATAGTTAGATCTAAGATAAGGATAGAAATGTCTGGTTAATTCCTGAAAATTGACTTCACCATGTTGTGTTAGTCTAGAATTCCCTCCCCTTTCCCTCATGTGTTGCAGTTGATGAGCAGATCTGAATATGCAAAGCCTATTTAAAATCAATGGCCTTAGATCGAAGGCCCAACTTACTGTTTGCCAGACTAATAAACTGAGAATTAATGTATCTCATTGAGCTCAAATTTGATTGTACGTCAAATGAGAATAATTATTAATGATGTTGTTTGTAATCTGTTTGAGAGTACTTTGTAAACTCCAAAGTGCTATATAAATTAATTAATTCTATTTTAATGTAGTAAACTAGAGATCTCTGGCAACTGAGTAAGGTAAGGTGCTTCTGTCTAATTCTCTTACATTTTACATATAAAATCTATTAAAATATGTGCATGAGCTTTGAAAAATTGTTTCTCCTCTGGTATGTACTGAATTGTGCTCCCTGCAGCCCAGTTCATATATTGAAGTCCTAACTCCTAATATGATTGTATTTGGAAATACAGCTGAGAAGGTGATCATGGTTAAATGAAGTCCTAAGGATGAAGCCCTAATCAATAGAATTAATGCTCTTATAAGAAGAGGAGGAGACACCAGAGCTCTCTTTCTCCTCCATATGAGGGCACAGTGAAAAGGTGGTCATCTGCAAGCTGGAAAGATACCCCTCTTCTGGAAATGAATTGGCTGGCACCTTGATCTTGGACTTCCTAGCCTCTAGAACTGTGAGAAATAAATTTCTGTTGTTTAAGCTACCTAATCTGTGTATGTTGTTACTGGAAGTCCAGGCCGACTAATGTACCTTCTTATATGCAAATATACCTAAGGATCCTTGTTAACAACTCAAACCAGTATTAAATTACTAATTGTATCAGTGTGTCATTCCTACTTGTGTTAGTCAGAGTTCTTTAGATAAACAGAACTAACAGGAGAGAAAGAAAGACAGAGATTTATTTTAAGGAACTGGCTCACATAATTGTGGAGCTCCCAAGTGCAAAATCTGTAGGGCAAGCCTATAGGCTGGAGATTCAGGTAAGAGTTGTTGTTTGCAGTCTTGAATTTGAAGGCTGGTAAACTCAAGCCTTTCCATGTTGCAGCTTGGAGGCAGAATTTCTTCTCCCTTAGGAAACCTCCATCTCTGCTCTTAAGGCCTGCCCATATTATGAAGTCTAATCCCCTTTACTTAAGGTCAACTGACTGTAAATGTTATAACATCTAAAAAATACCTTTACAGCAACATCTACAGTAGTGATTTGCCAAATGCAAGTCTAGCCAAGTTGACTCTTAAAATTAACTATCACACTGCTGTAACAAATTACTACAAACATAGTGGCCTAAAACAACACAAATTTATTGTTTTGCTCTTCTGGTGGTCAGATGCCTGAAATAGTTCTCACTGGCTTAAAACCAAGATGTTTTCAGGGCAGAGTTTTTTTCTGGAGATCCTAGGAGAAATATCCCATTTCCTTGCTTTTTCAGCTGCTAGAGTCTGCCTTTATTCTTTGGCTCATGGCTTCCTTCCTTTATTTTCAAAGCCAGGTCTGTCTCATACTGCCTTCTCTCGAGCTCTCTGTTCTATCACCTTCTTTCATTTATAAGGGTGATTACATTGAACCCATGTAGATAATCCTAGATAATCTTTCCATCCAAAGGTTAGCAAATTAGCAATCTTCATTTCATTTGCAACTTTAATTCCTTTTTGCCATGTAACATAATAAGCTCTGAGCTTTAGGGCATGGGCATCTTTGGTGGGCCATTCTACTGCCTACCACACTGGCTGATCTTCATGGACAAAGAAATGTATGTTCATTGTTGAGGTGAGATCTTGGAGTCAGATCACCTAAGTTGGTAGTCCCAGCGTTTCCTCTTACTATGTCTGCACATCTGGCAAGGACTTTGAATTGTTTTGCCCCATTTTTCTCATCTGTAAGTTGAACTAACTATTCTTAAGAGGATTCAATAAGTTGAATTACCTAGAAAAGCATGTATCAGGAAATCATTAACTTATTTTTTATAACAGTCATATGTTGCTTAATTATAGGGTTGGGGATATATTCTGAGGCACGGGTCCTGAAGCGATTTCATCATTGTGGAAACATGGAGTGTACATACACAAAGATAGATGGTGTAGCCTACTAGATAGACACTGAGGCTATATGGTGTAGCCTGTTGCTCCTAGACTACAAATCTGTACACTACTGAATACTGAAGATAATTGTAACACAATGTTAAGTATTTGTGTATCTAAACATGTCTAAACGTAGAAAAGGTACAGTAAAAATATGATATTATAATCTTATGGGACCCAATGTCATGCATGTGGTCTGTTGTTGAGTGAAATGTTGTTATATGGTGCATTGACTGTATTTTAATCACAGATTTCAATTGTGGTTGTTTCAGAGAAATAAAAATAATATAAATTGGTTAGGAGGAAGGAGGTAGATTAAATAGTCATCAGGTTGTTACATAGTTTTTTAAAAAAATTTTCTGCAACCCAGGAAAACCCACTGTATTAGTCCATTTTCACACTGCTGATAAAGACATACCTGAGACTGGGCAATTTACAAAAGAAAAAGGTTTATTGGACTTACAGTTCCACATGGCTGGGGAGGCCTCACAATTGTGGCAGAAGGCAAGGAGGAGTAGGTCACATCTTACATGGATAACAGCAGGCAAAGAGAGAGCTTGTGCAGAGAAACTCCATTTTTAAAACCATCAGATCTTGTGAGACCCGTTCACTATTGTGAGAAAAGCACAGGAAAGACCCACCTCCATGATTCAGTCATCTCCCAACGGGTCCCTGCCACAATATGTGGGAATCATGGGAGATACAAGATGAGATTTGTGTGGGGACACAGAGCCAAACCATATCGTTCCACCCCAGTCCCTCCAAAATCTTACATCTTCACATTTCAAAACCAATCATGCCTTTCCAAGAGTCACCTAAAGTCTCAACTAATTTTAGCAGTGACTCAAAAGTCCACAGTCCAAAGTCTCATCTGAGACAAGGCAAAACCCTTCTGCATATGAGCCTGTAAAATCAAAAGCAAGCTAGTTACTTCCTAGATGCAATGGGAATACAGGCATTGGATAAATACACCCATTCCAAATGGAGAAATTCACCAAAACAAAGGGGCTACAGGCCCCATGTGAAAATCCGGCAGGACAGTCAAATGTTAGAGCTACAAAATGATCTCCTTTGACTCCATGTCTTACATTCAGGTCACGCTGATGGAAGAGATGTGTTCTCATGGTCTGGGGCAGCTCCACCCCTGTGGCTTTTCAGGGTACAGCCTCCCTCCCAGCTGCCTTCACAAGCTGGCATTGAGTGCAGCTTTTCCAGGCACACGGTGCAAGCTGTCAGTGTATCTACCATTCTGGAGTCTGGAGGATGGTGGTCCTCTTCTCACAGCTCCACTAGGTGGTGCCCCAGTAGGGACTCTGTGTGGGGCCTCCCACCCAACACTTCCCTTCTGCAATGCCCTAGCAGAGGTTCTACATGAGGACCCTGCCCCTACAGCAAACTTCTGCCTGGGCATCCAGGTGTTTCCATAAATCCTGTGAAATCTACGTAGAGCTTCCCAAACCTTAATTCTTGATTGCTGTACAGTCATAGGCTTAACACCACATGGAAGCTGCCAAGGCTTGAGTCTTGCACCCTCTGCAGCCACAGCCTAAGCTCTACATTGGACCCTTTTAGTCAGTGTCTGGGAAGCAGGGCATCAAGTCCCTAGGCTGCACACAGCACCAGGAACCTGGGCCTGGCCCAGGAAACCACTTTTTCTACCTATGCCTTCAGGCCTGTGATGGGAGGGGCTGCTGCAAAGGTCTCTGGTGTGCCCTGCAGACATTTTCCTCATTGTCTTGGTGATTAACATTCGGCTCCTCGTTAACTTATGCAAATTTCTGCAGCTGGTTTGAATTTCTCCTCAAAATATGGATTTTTTTTTCTATTGCATTGTCAGGCTGCAAATTTTCCAAACTTTTATGCTCTCTTTCCCCTTTGAAACTGAATGCCTTCAACAGCACCCAAGTCACCTCTTGAATGCTTTGCTGCTTAGAAATTTCTTCCACCAGACACCCTAAATCATCTAAGTTCAAAGTTCCACAAATCTCTAGGGCAGGGGCAAAATGCTGCCAGTTTCTTTGCTAAAACATAACAAGAGTCACTTTTGCTCCAGTTCCCAAGTTCCTCATCTCCATCTGAGACCACCTCAGCCTGGACCTTATTGCTTATATCACTATCAGCATTTTTGTCAAAGCCATTCAACAAGTCACTAGGTGGTTCCAAACTTTCCTACATTTTCCTGCTTTCTTCTGAGCCTTCCAAACTGTTCCAGTCTCTGCCTGTTACCTAGTTCCAAAGTTGCTTCCATATTTTCAGGTATCTTTTCAGCAATGCCCCACTCCTGGTACCAATTTACTGTATAGTCTGTTTTCACACTGCTGATAAGACATACTCAAGACTGGGCAATTTACAAAAGGAAGAGGTTTATTGGACTTACAGTTTCATGTGGCTGAGGAGGCCTCATAATCATGGTGGAAGGTAAGGAGGAGGAGGTCACATCTTACATGGATGGCAGCAGGCAAAGAGAGAGATTGTGCAGAGAAACTCCAGTTTTTAAAACCATCAGATCTCGTGAGACCCATTTACTATAACAAGAACACTGCCCCCATGATTCGGTCATCTCCCACTGGGTTCCTCTCACAACACTTGGGAATAATGGGAGCTACAAGATGAAATTTGGGTGGGGACACAGAGCCAAACCGTATCACCCACTTTTTCTGTTTTATCTTGCAGTCTACAGACACAGTGACATTTTCTGTATACACATATGTACCTACTAAATCAAATACATTTTATATTTGAGAAACGTATACCTGGAAGTGGAAATAAATAATGCATTACCAAAAAGATTAATAAGCATGTTAAAAAAAAAGAATGTTTGAATGAGAGCCTGATTTTTCCTGCTTTTCTCCTGATTTTAAGGAAGAGACACAAGTTTGAGAAGATGTAGTAAGGTAGATTTGATTATTTCTAAGAATAAATAGCCCTATGATTAAATGTAATATTTTCAGATTAGAAAATCAAAAGCAAAATCTTTAGATTATAAAATTGACTTCATACATAGACTTGTTTTTATAATTTTTATTGTTGAAAATGAAGAGTAATCTGCCCAATATTGCACTTATTAGGACCCTTCTGCTCAACAAGCAAATAGGAAGCAACAAAATGTTATATCTTACATTGATTTTGAAAATTTTTACTGAACACTTTTTATGCAATTTTTAGATTTAAGATTTTTAACACCAATAACCATATACTAAACTTTTTGGCATTTTTGTCTTGGCTCTTACTATTCCTGTTTGTGACAAATATTGTGAATATAGTACTTACATTGGCATGGAAAGAAACTAAATTTTCACTAATCATTTGCATAGTGTAATTCATTAACTTATTATATTAAATAGAATTTTAAATTATTAAAGCACCAAATACTATTCTTATTACCATTTGGAATTCTGACTTTACAGATTACTTTACTAAGTGCATTGCTTAAAAATAGCATGTAGGTCGGGCGCAGTGGCTCATGCCTATAATCCTAGCACTTTGGGAAGCTGAAGTGGGTGAATCACGAGGTCAGGAGATCGAGACCATCCTGGCCCACATGGTGAAACCCCGTCTCTACTAAAAATACAAAAATTAGCTGGGCGTGGTGGCATGTGCTTGTAATCCCAGCTACTCAGGAGGCTGAGGCAGGAGAATCGCTTGAACCAGGGAGTCGGAAGTTGCAGTGAGCTGAGATCACTCCACTGTCCTCCAGCCTGGCGACAGTGAGAGACTCAATTTCAAAAAAACAAAAACAAAAACAAATGAACAAAAAATAGCATGTAGACAATTTATAACATACATTTATTGATATTTTTATTTATGTTGTAGAGCAGTATTTGACACTAACAAATGCTCATATATTAATGCAGTAGTACTTTCAAAATATCAGCAAGTGGAAAGAACTTTCTCAGTAGCTCAGTAGAAAACTTTGAAGGTTGAGTGTGAATTCTCATTTGTTTAACAGGCTTATTTTCTCTTTTTCATTTAGCAAATACTTACTGAGCATGTCCTATAATTCTAGGTGTTGAGGGACAGGGTAACAGAAGAGAAAAAGTTCTGCCCCTGTGCATCCTATAGTCTAGCTTTATTTTATTTTTTTCTAACATGATAAGTCTTTGTTATCTTTCCTGCTAATTTTATGATACTATTCTTTTGTTACAGAAGATATAAAATAAATTAGTAGAGTAAAAATATGTTTAATAAAGTAATCAAATTATTGTCATTTGAACTAAAGGTATTAAGTAACTTACTGTGGAAATAGAGAAGAGAGTCATTAAGTGAATAAAAGTCATGATTACTAACATATTGAAGAGAATTGTGTCCCTCTGAGAATATTAGAACTCATTACATTCAAAAGTCTAACTTCCAGATAGCGTATTAAGAAATATGGCAACAGAGAAACTGGAACCTAGAGAGTTATTTGCCCATGATTGCACAGGTGAGGAATAAGGGTCCTCAGCTAAGATGAGAACCCAGGTGTGTTTGATTCCAACACCTATGATTTTAACTCAAATAAAATCTGACCTCTTGGATTTTATGTTACTCATTCCCTTGAGTGAGATGTTCAGTGCATATATGTATGCTGTTAATGCATACATGCTTAAATGTATACATGCTTTCAATAAGCATTTCTTGAGTAGTTACTATTTACTAGGTGCTGGGTATAAGAAGATGAATTAGCCGGTTTTTTTCCTCTAGGACCTAAATATCTAGACATATATTCACATCCTTTCAAATTTTCAGGAGACACAGAAGGAGATTCCTGACCATTTTCTACGTTTTATTAGATCTTTCAATATAAAAAAGTTTATAATCGTAACTGTTCTTAAGTTTTTCTTTTAACCATTATAACTTATGTAAATCAAATTTGAGGTAACAAACTAGTATTACCCCTAATAGTAGCTACAATTTGTCGTTTAGTGTGAAAAAATCCATGAATTTTTATTATATTTTATTTAGGAGAATTTAATATTGTGATTTTTTTTTTGCAGTATTATTGGTCTCCAGCTAGCCAGTTATGCCAGATAATGTGTGTGTGTGTGTGTGTGTGTGTGTGTGTGTGTAATTAGAAAAACACAAAAATTTAAGAATGGTGAATGGGTAATTATCCTGAAAAACCTAAATTTTTGTTGGAAAATTTAAAATTTCCCTTCTTTTGGGGAGCTATTGCTCAAAAGCTTTGGGGTAAATTTTCAACACAGTATGTGTTAAAATTGAACTATGCATCTCTTATTGACATTAATGGGAATCTCTCAGCTAAATCTGCTCATGCTGTGCTAAAAATGTACCCCCTAATGCTTGAGTAGTTTCTTGGCTATCATTGATGCTAAGAGTTATTATGGTCCACAATATAAATATATATTTAGACAGTTTAAAAAATATTTATTTGATATAGGGTTATGTGAATTGTTATACAAGCACCAAACCTAGGTGCTTGTATAGTGTTATACAAACACTCCACCTTTTAATATTGGAAATAGTGGTGTTCAGTCAACCAAACTATATATTTCACTTCACACAAGGCAGAGATACTTTGCTTCACTTTGAGTTCGTTTTACTCCTTGCTATGATTCTTAAAAGAAGCCACTAAGGTGCAAAGTGAGAGCACCCGACGGGCTTGCTAATATAATGCTGTATGTTAAATGTATTCTTAGAGCTTCCCTCTTTTTCCCTATTGTCCTTATTTTTAATTTATGTACATCCAGAGCTTCAAAAGTATTCTATCTAGTATAAGCTACACATTGAGTTTTACTCAGTTTTTTTTTTTTTAATTTTGCTGGCTAGGGTACATAGAGATTTCCTGTAAAGTATGCTCCTACCTGTTTTCTTTTTCCATTTTAGAACTGTCTAAAATGGAAAAATGAAGTGCTAGGAATTGGAGAGAGATTACACATTTAAGAACGATGAAAACTAGTTTAGACTTGTTGAGTTCAAAGTTCTTCTAGATGCCATAAAGTATCGTCTAATCAGATTAAAATTTAAAGTTTGTGATGGGGAAACAGTCAATTCAAAGGACTGATTTTGGAGTCATGAGCATACAGGTGGCAGTTGAAATTCTAGGATTGGAGTAGATCACTAAGGAAAAGCAGGTAGAATAAGAGGTGAAATGAATGGAGAAATAATACAAATAAAGAGATTGACAAAGAGAATTTGAAGAGTTGGGAAGAGATTGTAGAAATGATAGACAAGGAAGAAACAATTTTAAGATGAGGTGATCAAATATTTAATGTTCCATAGTATTATAGACATATAAATGGAGAAATGGCCATTTAATTATTAATCCATGATGATGTTCAGTAGTTTTAAAGAAATAGGACTTGGATTATGAAATATTGAGGCATGAATGGAAAATGAAGAAATGGAAATTGCTATTAAGACTGTCAAAAATTATTTCAAGGAATTGGCAGTGAGAAGGCATTCAGTAAAATGGTAGTGTGCAATGGAGCATGAGTTAGAGGAGGATTTTTTTTTCTGACTTGATTGCTTTGGATTGGCAAAATTTGCATACATTTAGTAGTAGGAAGAGCTTTTAATATGTATTCCAAACTGGGTTGCTTCTAACAGTGAAAATGAGGCAATGACTCCAGGATAACAGGCATACACTGTGACTGTGCCTAGTAAATTAAATCTGTGGAGACCCCAATGTAGAGCTTGAGTGAGTTAACTTCAATTTTAAATCCTAATCTATTGAGTGAATAGGCCGGGGTAGCATAGAAAGCTTTTAGGGTTCTGGATGATACAGAGCACAGAAACATTTTGACATTTATTTCGGAGATAGTAGGAACTAGTGATGCTTTCCCAGTGATTGGTTATATGCATAGGCAAAACTTGTAAGGCATATGCCAGTGATCTCATTATATGTTAAAGGATATCCTCCTTGCAATGAAAGGAAAAGGCAGAAACACAGCTATGACTTAAGGCATTTTTATAGGGGATGTTTTTATAGCATATAAAAGAATCTGACAAAGAAACTCCTATCTATTACAAGAGAAAATAGCTGCAAGTATAGATTTTTAAACATATGCATTTATTTATTTGTTCATTTTATATTTTATTAACGATTAATTTGAGCTATGTCAAATGGGGACAAAGAAGCTTCAGATAAAACTATATTTGCATATTTCAAGTTATTTAATTTTCAAAGTAGAGTATTTTTCTAGAATAATATATTAGGGATGTTAGATGATACAATTGGCCTCTTTTTATACTAAGATGGTCTCATTTGGTTTCGTTTGTTTATTGAATTCTCCTACTCCTGCTCCTGCCTTGTTGTGCACTGTTCTCCATAATCCCTCAAGCTGAAAATTGATCTCCATTCAATAGTGTGCAGTGATTCGTCCTGCTCTGTAATCAGTTCCACTATGTGAATGAAATTCATCATGGGAGACTTGATTACTATCTCTGTTAGGACTGACCTGGTTGAAAGGACTGTCAAGTGGCCTGAAATTTGCATGCTTTGGATGTGTGCCATAAGGAATTAGTTGCTCAACAAAAAGAGCTAAATTGAGCAGACATGAAGGACTGGTGTTTACTGATTTTCTCCCTCTTCCTTCTGAGCAGCTAGATGAAAGGATGCGTATTTAAAAGCTATAACCCTACCATTTAAGTAAAAATACTCCTCTACTCTTATGAGTCTTACTGATGCAGTTTCAAATAACTTTATAAAGTAAAACAAGATTTATAATTGAAAAAAGATATATTTAGATGGTTAATAAAAGCTCAAAAGAAATCTTCAACAGTATTGTATTATTTCTTGTACTTACTCTAAAAAACAGATAATGATATCAAGTAATTCTTCCTGCAGAGATCAAACCATCCTTTGTCTGAAATCAAAAGTCAGTCCTTTGATGTTGCACTGAACTTTTTCTTTATTTCTTTTTTAAAATTTCTCTTCAGGTTTATTTTTAAATGTAGAAATTTAATTTTTTAATTTATAAAAAATGATAGATGCTCAATTAAAATATAAAGAGAAGAATAAAATCACTTGGCAGCTACACAAAAATAAATTTTGTTAAATTGTTCTCTATCTTTCCAGATATCTTTCTGTGGTGTGCACATATACAGAATTGATGTTCAGTAAACTGTTTTTTACTCAACAGTATGTCATGACCATTTTATAAGAAAAAAAATATAGTATACAGTTTTGTGTTGTCTTTTTATGATTGCATAGGATGTAGATATTTAACTGATTTTCTAATGGTGGACATATGGAGTGTTTAATATAAACAATGCTGTGGAATAACTGTCTTATTCAAAGATTATTGTCAGAAAAGAATCATTTGAGTTGTATGAGCAAATAGGGGTGTCAGTAGGGTACAAACACACCTCAGAAAACCTAAGGTTAGTCCATGAAATTGGGCCTCCTTGAGGGCCTGGAATCAAGAAGGAAATTGCAATCACTTTGACACATTCTCTTGGCTTAGCTCCTCTTTGGTATCTGCCTGGTTGTCTTTTTAATAAGATTCCTGGTTATCTTTGCATTGTGCATATGCTGGAAAATACCTGCTCCACTCCTACATGACTTCACAATTTAAGACTAATTGAAGTTTTCTTTTTTATTTCCCAATTTCAAGGACAGACGTATTCTTTGGTGAATATGATTGATGGTTAATTTGATGTGTTTACTTGACTGGGATATGGGATGCACAGATAGCTGGTTAAACATTATTTCTAGGTGTGTTTGGGAGGATGTCTCCAGAAAAGATTAGCATTTGAATTGGTAGACTGAGCCAAGAAGATAGCCCTCAGCAATGTGGGTGAGCATGATCCAATTTTATTGAGAGCTCAAATAGAAAAAAGGTAGAGGAAGGGTAAATTCTCTCTCTTGAGCTTAGGACAGCCATCTTCTCCTGCTCCTCTCAGACACTGGATCTCCTGGTTCTTAGGCCTTTGGGTTTAGACTGAAACTATGCCTGCAGCTTTCCCGGTTCTCAAGCTTGCACACAGCAGCAGATTATGGGATCCTTTGGTCTCCATAATCATGTTGTGTCCTGAGTTGGTTCCTTCTGGTGGGTTCTTGGTCTTGCTGACATCAAGAATGAAGCCGCAGACCTTCACGGTGAGTGTTACAGCTCTTAAAGTTGGCACGGACCCAAAGAGTGAGCAGCAGCCAGATTTATTGTAAAGAGCGAAAGAACAAAGCTTCCACTGCGTGGAAAGGGACCCCAGCAGGTTGCCCCTGCTGGCTGGAGTGGCCAGCTTTTATTCCCTTATTTGTCCCCACCCATGGTCTGCTGATTGGCCCATTTTACAGAGTGCTGATTGGTGCATTTTTACAGAGTGCTGATTGGTGCATTTACAATCCTTTAGCTAGACACAAAAGTTCTCCAAGCCCCTACTCAACCCAGGAAGTCCAGCTGGCTTCACCTCTCAATGTGAGTCAATTTCATAAATCTCCACATGTATTTATCTTCTGTTGGTTCTCTTTCCCTGGGGAACCCTGACTAATACAACCAGCATGGGTCAAGTGGTTCCTGCTTTTGAAACCAGTTAGGTTCAAGGGGAGGGATCATGTAGACTGCTCCTTAGCAGGGACTGTGGAGATAGTATGTTGTGTCTGTTTTCTAAAGAGAAGTGGGGAGGATAGAAAGAGAACAAACTTTGCATGCATTTTTGTGCACAACAAATTATAACTCTAGTATAAATACCTATACGTAAATTTTAAGATTAAAAAGTACACGTTGTAAATTTTAACATAGGTCATCAACTTAATCATCAGAAAGGTTATGTAGGAGATACGTCCTCCAATATTTCCTGAAATACTTTTGTCCTTGATACTTATACCAACAATATTGGGATGTCAATATTTTTCACTTTGACCTATATGATAGCCCAAAAATTATGACCAATTTTGGTTCAATAAAATTTATTTAAAAGTAAAGTTAAAAATTTTTACACAGTTTCCTGGTATTTCTTCTGTTTTAACTTTTCTTCCAATACATTTTCTATTATCATGTTTGCTCAGTTTGTAAAAGGTTTTCCTTAATACTTGTATTATTGATACTTTGTCTGTCATTGATTGTAAATTATTTTCCAATTTAGGCTTTCAAACTTGTTTGAGGTGATTTTGCCATATAGATATTTGAATTTTGTATTTAGTTATCTTTAAGTACTATAGAATTTTGGATTTAAAGAATACACATTTTAAGACTAACCCTAGCTGTCAATAATAGTTTTAGTCATTCGTATGTATAAGTTCCTAATAAAGGTATGAAAATATATATAATTACATTACGGTATAGTCATTTTTCTAATATAAATGCATGCATTGTCATTTTAAATCAGTCTCTTATTTCCCAATTTGAGGAAATAAGAGCACAAATTTTGAAACCCTTTCATTATAATATTAATGAGAGAAATGGGTATAGTCAGTGTTCTGTAGGAGTGGACAAGTGGCTTAAAGGCCAGCTTTTTATTAAAATTTACTTTCTCCAAAGGCTTCATTCCAAAAAAATTTTAAATTATTTGCTTTAAATACTCAATTTTGTCAAATGTAGGAGGTGATCACATGTAACTTGTAAGGAAACTAGGAACAGGAATTAATAATACCCATGAACAAGAGAGAACCTTTGGAAATTTACTAGTGACTTCTATTTATATTTTGCACTACCATCATAAATTGACTTGAAAACAAACTATATCTTGACTAAATTCTTAAAAGAAAAGCTTTAGTGGACCTGTGTTACTATTAACAATGCAAATTTTTGATACTCAGAAGTATAAGAAATCACTGACAAATTGATTTCTTCGATAGTTAAGTGTTCTGAGTGAAGGGAGATTGAAATTTATAAAGCGTGGACCAGTTACTTCAATCTTCAGTTCTAATACAAATATGCCTAAAATGTTTTAGCACATTTATTTGTATGGAGGATGCAGTAAAAATGATATACCTTCTTTGATAAAGGCTTATAACGCCTGAGGATCATTTTTTGTAATATGAAGTTTCTAATTATAATTTTAGGTTATATGTCTCCTGAGTCCAGGACTGACTCTGCTAACAGTGTCTTAATAATAATAATTTATAGTGTGTTTTCTCGTGATTTATCTTTTTCTCTGAAAAACTAGTGCAATAAAGAAAGTTAGTTGATGTTTTGTTGATAATTAAGGTTTTAATGTGTCTGTCAAATACAAGGATGTTTGCTGGTCAATGCCGGTGACCAAAATGGACTATAGAAAGATTAGTTCAGGTAAGTAAATGGTTAGGGGTTGAAAGAAAGCCGTCATCTCAAGCTTGCATATTCTGTCTTGAAAAAAATGCACTTATATGTTAGGCCAAGGTTAAGGAATTTGCTGTCTTTGAAGGCTCTGACGATTGGGTTGCTGGCATGGTGAAGGCATGGTGAAAGAATCCGTATTCTATTAATGGGTGAACTTCTCACCCTTGTGATAAATAGTATACATTATAGAGAAGTATAATGATGAGATTTATTTCCTCTGTTTCAGGGAAATGAAGCAATGTGTGTATGCCTGTCTTAACTTAAAAAGCTGTCTCCTTACCATTTTTATCTGTAGATAAAAATGGCATTTTTTGAGTTTAAGTTATAAGCACATAAAAATACTTATTAAAATTTTATTTTCTTTGGGCTCTTTGTAAAGTAAATGAAAAAAATATATTGGAAGATTTTAACTGTGGTGTACATAGTACTGGTATTGCTGATAGAACTAATATCTTCATTATAAAATAGCTATATTATATAAGGTCTTACCACAAAGAGCCATAATGATTCAGGGGACATTATTGGAACTCTGGAATCCTTATAAACTAATGGGGTTCTGTTTTACTTAGTGTTCTGTTTTTCAGTGTATGTATAAAACATCACAAAATACATGCAGTAATGTAATATCCTGGGAACCTGCCAAATTAAAAGCCACCTTAATTGAAGTGTGGTGTATCACTTATACGGTGTTGTATTTATTCTTCACATGTTGTTCAACACTTATTTAAATTTTTAGTTTTATGGCATTTCTTAATCTTAGTATTACCAAACCCTTTATAATAAAATTTCATTTGCACTTTTTGTATTTTTTTTTCTTTTGTTTTTTGACAGGATTTCACTCTGTCTCCCAGGCTGGAATGCAGGTCACAATCACGGCTTACTGCATGCAGCCTTGAGCTCCTGGCCTCAAGCCATCCTCCTGCCTCAGCCTCTGGAGTAGCTGAGACTCCAGGCATGTGCCACCATATCCAGCAATTAATTAATTAATTTATTAATGTATTTATTTTTTGTAAAGAGGGAGGCTCACTATGTTGCCCAGGCTGGTCTCAAACTCCTGGATTCAAGTGATCTTTCTGTCTTGGCCTCCCAAAGTGCTGGAATTACAGGCATGAGCCACTGTGCCCTGCCTGTATTTTTTTTTTTTTTTTTAGAAAGTCTCTTTCTGCCACCCAGGCTGAAATGCAATGGTGTGATCTTGACTCACTGCAATCTCTGCCTCGCTGGTCCAAGCAATTCTCATGCCTTAGCCCCTCCAAATAGCTGGAATTACAGGTGTGCACCACTACGCTTGGGTAATTTTTGTATTTTTAGTAGAGACAGGGTTTTGCCATGTTGGCCAGGCTGGTCTCAAACTCCTGGCCTCAAGTTATCCTCCCACCTCAGCCTCCCAAAGTGTTGGGATTACAGGCGTAAGCCACCGCGCCCAGCCAACATTTTTTTTAAATGCTTTTTATAGTGTACATGAACTATAATATTTTTCTCCTCTATCCAAGGGTTAGAATAGATTTACCAGGGCATTTGATAAGAGGATCTACCCTGGCAACTTTTTGTAAATTGGTCCCCTCCATCTGGTGAACCCTAGAAATAAACTCTGACGATTCAGTGCGGTGGAGAGATATTAGTTACTTTCAACAAAGTTTAAAGGGTATATTTGATATGAAGTGTAAATTAAAGGAAGAATTTTAAATGGTGTCAAAGAAGGATCCAGAGTGACGACTATCAAAAGAAAACCATGGCTGAGTGTTTTCTGGGGCAACTCTCCTTTTCTGATATGAACTGTGATCAGTTCCCACAGGTCTAGAAAATGTGTCTTCTAAGTGAGGTTTCTCTAGCTGTACTTTAAGATGCTGGAAAACTTCTGCAGCTATGTCTCCAATTGGGTTTTACTATGTTAATTGCTTTTTTGGGTTAGGAACACGAAACCTGAAAAAAATTATATAATATATATTTTAAAGACTTTGCTAGGCAAGAATATAAAGTACGTCTTTTTCAAATTCAATTGAGTTATATATGTGAGACAACTCTGGTGGGATTTTTCTATTCATCAAATTGGATTTAGGAAGAGATCTGTCATCCTAATAGGTTAAATAGGGATAAAATCTAGACTTCAGTTGTATCTTACCATGATGTTGAATAAAATTTTACCAAAATTTATGTTGTAGGTAAAATACTTTCTTCCTCATTAAACAAAAGAAGAACTATAATCTGTATGAAGTGAATTCATAACTCTTTTAAAAACACATTTACAAATGAATTGTTTGTATCAATAAAAAAGCAGAATGATTTCTGCTTTTTTTGGAAGGGGTTGCTTAAAATAATAGAACTGGTTTATTAAAAATTAATAAAATGTTGCGTTAATAGCTAGTTTTCTGTTTTTTGTTTGAAGAAAAGGCATTTAAACAAGCCTCATCTTTAAGAAGAATTCATTTCTGGAGTTATGAGAATGGGCTTGTATTACTTACATGGGGGATACCTATAAAAGCAGGATTTAAAGCATAGATTTCTTTTCAGTACGTTTTACTCTTAAGATTATTCAGGTTTTAAAGAAATACCATTACTGTTTAAGATTATCCCTGTAATGAGAAATCACAGCATGCCTCTTGAAAAATGGTTCCACTTCATCTTTTCTCATTCATTTGCTAGCACAATTATAAATGCATGAGTGCAGTGCATGGCTATTCAGGTCAAATTCTCTTTCAGGACTGATGTTCCTGTTATACAGTTTATCCATCTATTAACATCCCGAAATGTCAAAAGCTTCATTTTTTAAGAGTAGAATGTCAGTTTCTTTTTTACTTAGAGCAATTTAGCCAGCACAAAAAGGGAGAGATTTGACAGTCATAGCTGTCAGGGCAAAGATTGGCTGATGATTTGAGGAAATAGGAATAAATGTTCAAATATATATCAGGGTGCCTGCACTTATATACCTCTAGGACAATTTATGAGGTGAATTGGAAAGACAAATAAATTCGGTGTATGTGTGTGAAAAGAGCTGCATTTAACTCCTAAATTTCAGGGTTTTGAGAAATATTTCTTAATTTCTATAAACTCTTTTCTTTAAATGCTTAAGTGACTTTTGTTTTGAAACCCAGTATATCATTGTCATTGTAGGAGAAAAGAAGTTTTCAATTAAGTATTGTTTACACCTCACTATTTGAAGCTGTGCTCTCATAATTTTCAAAATTCATTTCATGGATAATTCTAAATTTATTTATTGTAAACATGTTGATAAAAAGAAAATCAAGGAAGTCATATATATATGGATAAGGTATTGGATAGAGAACAAATACTATATTAGGTATATTCTACATGTACTTATTTATTGTGTATAGAATGAATAATATAAAATACTGAAATTGCTTTAAAAATACTGTAAATTATATTCAGATCAGTGGAGACTATACAAACTGTATATATCCCTATTTTCAAGTTGTCAGGTTCAAATCCAAACAATTAGTTTCCCCTGAAGCCTCTTGAAAAATTATCCTTTTGTGGGAAAATGGATTGGGGTGGCTGTTTTCCTTTTTCATTTCATAAGCGATTTGGACCTGAGGAATGATTTGGTTGTTATCCACACTCCATATGGATTGCAAATACCTTCCCATGTTGTGGGAGTCATGCAGTCCTGGAAGGTCTGTGAAGCTAAGTCTCTGCTCCTTTGTAACATTTGCATTTTCTGAGGAGTAACGTACTTTCTTGAGACGGTCTATCTGTTTGGGCTTTTCCTCTCTAAAAAGCAGTCAAGAGCATGGAGGTTACAGGTTATTTTGGTGGCTTGTTTTCCTCAGCGTGTGAGGGGTAGGGTGGTGTGAGGGTGGAAATAGGGCTCATTACGCCTTTCAGTTTATTCGTTTGTTGGTCCTCTGTCAACCTGCCAGCCCTCTCTGTGGGATAACTGCCCTTTGTGTAATAATCTGCCAACATTCATGGTGGGTACATTCACTGTACCCATTCTACTGTGGCACTCCATTACGACTGGGTTTTGAATGCAAAGCTTCATGATATCTGGGTATAAACAGTGTGCTGAGCAACAAAGGCATCCTTTGTATTTCTTAGTTTTCTTACAGTTCCTTTTTTTTTTTTTTTTTACTAGCTTTGAAGAAGGGATTTTCTTAAAATAGGGATGAAAATGCATGCAGTCACCACTCTGTTCCATACTTCCATAAAGCGGTGTTTGGAATGGGGAGGTACAGCTGATTTGTTCCTTAGACTAAAATGGGCTAAATTTGAGGCTAATTTCCTACCTGTGGAGGTGTGGATGAATTGCCCTTTGTTTTTTTGCAGTTTCCTTGCCTGGCAGGTGGCCACATTGATTATTCCTGGCATGTGCTTTAGAAGTGCCTCTCTGATCCTTGTAAGCTCCTGCTTTGTCCACAGCAGTCCTGTAGAATTCTTAGCTCTGAACTCTCATCTCCAAGGAAGATGTACCCCTGACCCCTTTGTGGGTACCTTGTCTGATCTGTTTTGTTTATTCCCTCTTGTCTGTGGGGCCTTGAGGTCATTTTGAGAATACAGCTGAATGACAGACAAGTGTCAGCAGACAAGTGACAGTTACAAATTAAGCAGGGAAGATTTGTTTTCCTTCCCTCCACACTCCCACCCATTACTTTGCAGTTAGAATCAAGGCCCCAAGTTATGAAGAAATGCAACATGCTTGGGTTGCTACAGCAGACTGGAGAAATGCTGTGCCTCAGCTTTCCGGCCATTTCCTGCCCTTCTCAGGGGTCTTGCAGAGGTTTTTGTGAAGATCAAGGGACTACCTTCCTCGTTTTCTTTTCCTGTTTAGTTTTTCTTGAAATCTTTGACTCCAGTGGAGATAATGTGTTCACTCTGTTTGTAAAAAATCAGTATAAACTGACATTTAAATGGTCACCTTAAAATTTATTGAGCACTTGCTGTGTGTTATGCTTCACGTGTATTTTCTTTTTTAACTGATGTACTTATATGTGACCATGAAAGTCAGTGCTTGCTTCCTTTAAAGATTCTTTGGCTTTTAAGGCACATGAATCTATTTATATTATTGTGTCTCTCAATTATTTGGGCAGAGCATTAACCTGCAAGGTTCTTATATGTATACTCTTAAACACATACTCTCTCTCTCTCTAAATAAAGGAAAAAAGTCCTTGTTATATCATAATCTCTAACATTGACTTTTAATACATTCAGAGTAGTACTTAGAAGACTGCCATGACAGGCCGGGCACGGTGGCTCACACCTGTAATCCCCCAGCACTTTGGGAGGCGGAGGCAGACGGATCACTTCAGGCCAGGAGTTCAAGACCAGCCCGGTAAACATGGTGAAGCCCCATCTCTACTAAAAATAATAATAATAAAAATAGCTGGGCATGGAGGCACAGGCCTGTAATCCCAGCTACTCGGGAGGCTGAGGCGAGAGGATCGCTTGAACCTAGGAGGAAGAAGCTGTAGTGAGCTGAGATTATGCCACCGCACTCCAGCCTGGGAGTGATAAGTGAGACTCTGTCTCAATTTAAAAAAAAAAAAAAGACTTCCATGACAATACAATACAGAATCAAGGAAACATCTTTCTGTTATTCATGTTTTCAGGTGGTTCTCAAAAGTTAGTATGATTATCATTCAGTGTGTGTCTGTGTGTGTGTGTGTGTGTGTGTGAAAGAGAGAGAGAGAAGAGATTGATTTGATTTAGCAGGTGTTATGGTGGCACAGGGATCTGCATGTTAAATAAACATTTAATTTCTGTGCAAAAGGCTCAGAGACCATAGTTTGAGGATCACTAAGAAAAGTCATTATATGTGGCAGCCAGCATTATAAATGTATCATTTTGAGTGAGACTCTGCTCACAAACTGAACTGATTTAACTATGTGTTGCTATTTCCGAATTGGATGTCCAGGAGAACAATTTATCCTTTGTATACTTTCATTTTATGTACATATGTGATTATTTACATATTGTACAGGTAGAACCATATACCAATATATACCAATATGTTTTTCCATTCATCATTCAAAAACTATTGAATAAATATTAAGTGAAAGTCAGCATCATAATGAACATTTTGTGTAAATATGTATTATTATAGTTTTTCAACAAAATTTAAATAAACTAAGAGAATGTAACAGTATTATGATAGTCTAATGTATATCAGTTGTGAAGTAATGACATTTCCACGTGTTAGCAAACTTAACTCATGTTTTACACATGAAAAGTAATCCTTATCTATCCCACAGCCCTTATTAATGAGTACTGATGATAGTGATAGTGTGGGGAAGATTTATACAATTCCCCTCATAGACCACTAATAGAGTATTTAAGTGCTATAGAGTCAGATTGACTCTAGAAGTGATTGATCCAACTTCAGTCTTTTCTAATCTTTGACCAAAGATGCTTGACTTCTCAGTACTTTCTATTAAATGATTATAAGAGTAGTCCTATTAGGTTTATTTTGAGGTTTGATGAAAGCATATATGAACAACCCCGTAACACAATGCTTCACACATACAAAACCTTTCCTATATGTTTAATTAGGTGCTCAGGGGTGTAAAACGAGCACATACAATCTGCAAATTTGGTGATTGTATCAGCATGGTTTTGTTTTATTTTGATAATTGTTAAACTCAACAATGCAGAGATCTTAGACATTTTAAGTAAATATCCATGTCCACCGTCATTTTAGAAACTGAGGAAAATATGAACAGAATAAGTGAGCTGGCATTGGATTTGGTTTACTTGATCCAGGAATGGACTGTACTTGCAAATATTAAATTAGGATGCATTAATTCACAGAGGTTGAGTTCATTGCCATCAAATAGCACCCACTTTCTAGTTATTTATACCATGCAAGAGACTTCATATGTTTTTTAAATATTAGCAAGAATGTGAACTATTTTTCATATTACAATTTTAAAAAAATTCTTTTGAATTTGTTCTATTAACAACATATAGCTACATAGCCTTGTAACTAAAATTGTCTTGCCCTTTGTACATTAATATAAATTGTCAAAGATGGTTCTGTGGTTTGGCAGTGGTTCTACATGGTGATGGAGCCCAAGGGTACAATCTTGGGTCTCTCTGTCTTTGGGTTTGTGAAGCCCAGGTGTTTTGAAGCCAGTCTGCTGCCAGCTGGCATATTTCTAGAGGAGATGCTCTGGCAGTAACTCTTCAGGCAGAGAGAAGCAGTCAGGTTGGTCAAATAACTGAAAAACAACATTATTGGGATCCCTGTTCAGGATAAATCCTTGTTAACTGGCCCTGGCGGCTGTGTAAAGAGTGTGAAGTTGAGTAGGGTATCTGTGCTTATTCTGCACTTCATAAAGTATTTCATCTGAGGATGCAGCACTTTATTTTGGCAGCTGTGATGTGGTGATTAGGCTTGTATTTTAGACAGGACATGCATCAGAGTCATTATCCCTCAGATTCAAACTAAATTGGATATTTTGCTTTACCCGCATCTGACTGTTTGCTGCTTACTGGAGGGTGGCCTTACCAGTTCTATTATCCTCATTTTAAAGCCCAGTCCAAAATATCACGCTTCTCAGTGAATTTGTTCTCTCGTTTCCTCTTTGCTTCCACATCTTCCATGCTTTTCTCTATTATAGCAATTCAAGATTTATAACTTGTCTTACTTTGGGAGCATGGGGTCAGTGGGATAGGCATTCTCTTTTTTTTTTGTACAGCTTTAATTTTTCAAGTTCCCAGTATAATCCTAAGTACATACTAAATGCTTAATAAAAGTAAATGAATAAATCTGTCATCGGATACATCTTTCTAAGGTAGACTTTAATATGCTGTTGTGGGTCTTGAGTGAAGTGTTGCTATTGTCCAGCTTAAAACTAAATATAATTTATATCAGTCTATCTCTCTTATGCTGTGTATCTTATGCTATGTGGAATACCACTGCTTATCTGGGAGATTTATGCACAGACTTTTCCTTTAAAGCCTCTTTTGAAGCTAATTTACTAGTATTTAGCAACAATACAGTTACAATAAGTACTGATACATCAAGAGCCAATGGATTTTGATCTAGGTTTGTTTGCTGTATTATATATTTATGTGTGTGTGTTTGTGTATATATATATATATAAAATATTATACAGATAGAACCATATACCAATATATACCAATATGTTTTTCCATTCATCATTCAAAAACTATTGAATAAATATTAAGTGAAAGTCAGCATCATAATGAACATTTTATGTAAATATGCATTATTATAGTTTTCCAACAAAATTTAAATAAACTAAGAGAATGTATCAGTATTGTGATAGTCTAATTTATATCAGTTGTGAAGTAATGACATTTCCATGTGTTAGCAAACTAACATATATATATAGACACACACACACATTTACCTATCCTTCATTTTTCTTCTTTTGCTCAGAATAAGTTGTATGTGGGGTTTTGGTTCTTGTTTTATTGCAAAACCATTCATTAAATTTATAAACTATTGAAATCAATAAATTTTGAGGAATAGCTATATTTCATATTTTCAAAACTTGCTTGTGGGGAGATTTGCCAGTATGAGGATATTGATTAATATTTTCCTTTGAGTAAACTTTATTAGTATATTATTATACAAGTAATTCATGAATTTTTATAAAGATATCAGAGTACAGAAGTATGTAAAATAAAAAGTATGAACCTCGAACCCCTAACTTCACTGCCCACAGCAAATGCTGTAAGTGATTTATCATATATTTTTCTAGACTTTTCCTCATATATACAGAGTCATATATGGGGCATCATATATATATATTTATTATATATATATACACACACATTTATGTTATGCACATGTAATGCATAAGATATTCATTTATTTAAAAATAGAAATATAGCTGTTATGCAAAATGTTCTCTTAGATGCTTTTGTTATTTCAAAATTTATCTTAAATATCTTCTTCTGATAGTGTATATTTAATTCATTCTTTTCATCAGTCCCATAGTAGTTTCTATATGCAAGGCCCACAATTTAGTTATTCAGTTTCTTATTCTGGGAATTTAACATTGCTTTCAGCTTTTTCATACTTTAAACATAGCTGCAGCAGACAGCATGGGCATACTTATTGATGCACTCGTGTTTGGTGGAGAATACATTTGTAAAAGTGGGATTACAAGGGAAATCATAAAATTTGTAATTAATATTTTGTTAAATATTGCCAAAATACTCTAAAATGTAAGTGTTCTTTCTTATCTATGGTTATTTAAAGATAGGAGCTTGATATTTTCAGATAAACACTTTTTTTGGATTATAAAATAATGTATATTCATTGTAGAAATTTTAGAATTATATATGAGTGTTAAATGATAAGAAAAAAGCTTTATAATCCTACTATCTAGAAGTAAACACTATTGATATTTTTATACATTTAGCCGGCATTTCAAATTTTCCTTGCTGCTGCTGAGGGTTTTTTATGATTCCTGGAGGCCTACAATCCATTTAACTCCTTATGTGTATAGGCATTTCTCTAGTTTTGGCTTAAAGTTACAACTTGGCTAAACCTCTTGAGTCTGACAGTTGACCAAACTTATTAAGCAGTTCGTGAACAGTTATTTACTTTATAGTCTATAAACATTGTGGGGATAACTAATCATAAACTACTAAATTATATAAATATTTAATAGTGATAATGACAACTTCAGGCTATTTCTCTAGAGAAATGCCGTACAGATACAATTCTTTTATGCTTTGTCAACTTCTGGGTGATCTCTGAGGGACCATATTTCTGCATTCATGCCTCCCACACCCCTCTTGCCTAAGGACAGTCTCTGTCAGTCTCTTCTTTGGATGCCATTACCTCTTTCATATTTATCCTCTTTTTTGACAAGCCGTGCTCTTTTGAGACTCTTGCCATCTGGCTCTCCAACCTTCTTTCCCATTTATTGCTGATGTGACTGATCTCCTTGTCATTTTCTTCATTAAGAAACATTCTAGCACCCGTCTCATAGCTTTTGTCTTGCCAAACCCTTAAACTTCTTTTCAGTGACTTCAAACAGCCATAATTTTAACACATTTCAGTTCTTTGGCTTAACCATCTCTAGTAGCCTCACCACTCTGCCATGATTTTCCTTGTTTTAGTCTGTTCTCATGCTGCTAATAAAGACATATCCGAGACTGGGTAATTGTAAAGGAAAAAGGTTTAATTGACTCACAGTTCCACATGGCTAGGAGACCTCACAATCATGGTGGAAGACAAAGGAAGAGCAAGGGGATGTCTCACATGGCAGCAGACAAAGAGAGAAAAATGAGAGCCAAGTGAAAGGGAAACCTCTTTTAAAACCATGAAATCTTGTGAGACTTGTTCCCTTACCAGGAGAACAGTATGGAGAAACTGCCTCCATGATTCAGTTATCTCCCACAGGGTTCCCCCTAAAACACATGGGAATTATTGGAGCTACAATTCAAGACGAGATTTGGGTGGGGACACAGCCAAACCATATTAATCCTAAATCTCATTATCACCAGATATTTTAATTTTCAAAACCACAAAAATCAGCGCTAACTTTCTGCCATCAGACTCCTATTCTTCCAACTCGCTTTCTCAGATATCCTCATAATGTCAATATTGTCAATACATTGATTTTCTTCTTTACCCATATTAGGTTCCTGGGTCATCCTTTTTCTTACAGCCTTGCAAGTACTCTCAGAAACCTTGCTTTTTATCCCTCAATCACAGCAGCCTGGCAAGATGCCTTACCCTGTATCAAAAGTGATGTGTGAGAAGGAATCTGGCCAGTTCAGGCTCTGGTCCTGTCTCGTGCTTACTAGCTATATAACCTGTGGCAAGTCACTTCTTTAATCTAGGCTATAAATAAACTGTGGTGTTTGGACTAGGGCATCATATTCTAAAACATAATAGATACTAGACCTGGATGTTAACATGAAAAAAAAGTTCCACAGTCAAATGAGTTTGGCAAACACAGCATATTTTTTCTTCTTGTAAATCCACAGTGCATAATATCTTAAAGGCTCTGTGAATTCCTACAGGGGGAAAAATGATTTAACATTGTTTATCCTTGCATTTCTCAACCTATTTGCCTACTGAGCTTTTCACCCTTAATTCATATCTGCAGAACTTGAGTTCAATTAAACACACTTTGGGAAATACTGGGTCAGATTATCTTTAGCATTATTTACTTTTCATTTTCAATTTTGTGATTCTATAACTTCACTTTATGTGCTTGTTTAGTCACTCTGAATGTCTGTGATAGGTATACTTCAGCATCTCCATAATTCAGTGAGATGGATTTATGCAGCATATCACCCACAAGTAAAATAATGAAATAGTGCACTGATAGTGGTCCTTTTAAAAGAAGTATTCTCTTGAGATCAGCAGTATTTTATCTGCTATGTGAGATAGAAAGAGAGAAACAATTGCTATGATTTATTAAGTACGGTGTGGCAAGTAATTCCTTATTCCATTGACGTTGCTCAGTGAAAAAGAAGATTTCTTTAAGACCTTCCTTCAAAGTCACTTGAATGAAAAGTAGATACATTTTTTTTTGCCACTGCATATATATAAGAATTGCTAACAGTTGCTTTGCATAATTTAGTGATTCTGATAGGTTGCCTGAGTAAAGTACAAGTTAAACAGATGCACGCAAGTACAGGATTGTAAAGTTCAAAGGAAATGCAAACTTGATTAACAAAAGTCACTGTCAGAGACTAATTGTAATTCTGCAGCATATGAATCCTTGAATAACGTCCCCTAAAAGGTCAGCCAAAGTCCTGCTTCTGTCTACTATTCCCTTGAAAAGAACTTTCAAATTTAGGTATTTCCTGGCATCCTGAAACTCAAGAAAGCTATAAGACTTTTTTTTTTCTTTTGAAGTTTCTTTTACAAGTTTTACAGTGTGAGATTGGTGAGAATGATCATTGTGCCTGTCCTGGTCATTAAGTAATAAAATGATGTATCTTTTAATGAAGTTAACTAAGTGTACTACATGTAAATCATAGCTCTATAGATTGCATACATCTCTTTTGCTTGTTTACTGGATTCATTGTCTTGAATTTATTTATTTATTTATTATTTATTTTTGAGATGGAGTTTCCCTCTTGTTGCCCAGGCTGGAGTGCAATGGTGTGATCTCAGCTCACTGCAACCTCCGCCTCCCAGGTTCAAGCGATTCTCTTGCCTCTGCCTCCCGAGTAGCTGGGATTATAGGTGCCTGCCACCATGCCTGGCTAATTTTTTTTTTTTTTTGTATTTTTTAGTAGAGACAGGGTTTCAGCATGTTGGCCAGGCTTGTCTCGAACTCCTGACCTCAGGTGATCCATCCGCCTCGGCCTTTCAAAGTGCTGGGATTACAGGCGTGAGACATCACGCCCGGCCTTACATTTATTTTAAATAAATATTTTAAAATTTGACCTTTAAAAAATATAGTATGTTAGTATATTAAAGATCCATGCCAATGTTATTAGTTATGGATTTAAAAATAATTATGTTGGTTTTATTATAAATATGGGATATAATTTCCCAAGAGCATAGCAGAAATAATGAATTAGTACTTAGACATTTTTGTAGCTCTAATGATTAAATGATTGCTTCAGTAGTGCAATTTTTCAACTGTACATGATTAATGACTCTGAATAAGTAATTAAATTATATTTAATTTTGATAACTGTTATGATTAAATAATTACATATTTTGTTATTTCCTTAAATTATTTGTTTTATTGGTTGTGATGTTGACTGAGTTCTCACTCACTTAATTGATTTTTGTTTTATAGAAAGTGTTTTGTAAGACAAACAAAAAACTCATGTTAACTTAATAGCAAAAGCTCTATGATTATTGCATGGGCAAGAATAAAAACTATGGTCCATGTACAAGGACAATTGCATATATATTATTAACTCATTAAGGAAATTGTACCTAGAATGTAGTCATTATTGGAACTTTCTGAAAGGAAAGTTTCTGTGGCATATTACACTTTTCTGTTTCTTTTGTCCTCTTACAAAATGTTCAATATTTTGATAGTGACTTGAATAAAGATATCAAAGAGAATTTCTGTATATTTGTGGAGGACAATTATTTAGTAGCAAAATATTTCATTTCAGAAGCAAATTCCAAAACTGGTCTAGACAGTCTATAAAATTTGCATGAGTTGTAGATTTTTGTCATCTCATCCTCTTCGATCCAAGAATTTATTAGAAAAAATACCATGTTGGGGTGACGTGGGTTAGGACCAGCTCATGTTGATAAGATTGAAGGGTTTTTATTCATTTGTCAAACCTTTTCAAGGGCTTAGTACATTCGAGGCCCAGCTGCTCCTGCGCTCACGGCATGTATAATTAATAGCTGAAATAGATATAAACAAATTAGTGCGGTTCAAAAGTATAGATCCTCTGTCAGTGACTAGGCATACTGGTATGCACCTATAGTTCCACCTACTAGGGAGGCTGAGTTGGAAGGAACATTTAAGCCCAAATGTTCTAGTCCAGCCTGAGCAACTGGGTAACACGGTAACATATTGAGTCTCTCTCTCTCTCTCTCTCTTTCTCTCCCCCCACGCTCTCTCTCTCTGTCTCTCTCTGTCACAGTCTACACACACACACACACACACACACACACACACACAGCTCTGTCAGAAGTAGATGGCTTGTATGGGGGAGAAAATTAAAGTCGTTTTAACATTGGGCATCACTTTAGAAGTTTGAGATTTCAGTAATCTTAACAAAATTTGATCATTGTGGTGGTGTCATAAAAAGCTAAGATGGGCCAGGTGGGGTGGCTCATGCCTGTAATGTCAGCACTTTGGGAGGCATAGGTGGGAAGATCACTTGAGGCCAGGAGTTTGAAACCAGCCTGGTCAACATAGCAAGACACTGTCTTTACAAAAGAAAAATAGAAAAAAAAAAAAATAGCCAGACATGGTGGCTCATGACTATTGTCCCGGCTACTCTGAAGGCTGAGACAAGAGGACTGCATTAGCCCAGGAGCCCAGCAGTTTGAGACTGAAGTGAGCCGTGATTGTGTCACTGGACTCCAGCCTGGGCATCAAAGCCAGACCTGTCTCAAAAAAAAAAAAAAAAAAAAAGCTAAGGTGAATCTACATTGTGTTAATAATTAATATTATCCTGAATAAGGCAGTTATTAGTGTTGGACAAAAAGGAATTTTAAAAATTAGTACCATTTTTAGAGGTCTTAATTATGAAAAACTGTGACTGTGAGGTTCCAAACTGTGTCACATAAAGAAATATTAGCCTAAGGAAGAGAGTACTAGAGGGGGCATGATACCTTTGCTTAGATGTTAGCAAATGCCCTAGTCTGTGCTCTCACTATTAGAGCTTCTTGTAAGTGTATAGAATGTTAGAGTTAAAACAACTTTCCTAGCACCTTAAATTACATACAGTGAGTGTGCTCAGAACCTTAAGTATCTTCACTGAATGTGAAACTTACCCTAGATTTGTAAAGATAATTGTTTCAAACTTTTTATGTGCCTTTCATTACACCAAAAGAAAATTTCTGGCTTTAGGAAAATTTTTAAAAAGAGGCATAGTTATTTTTTTTTCCTGCTACTAGATAGAGAGGTATATTAAATTTGATTCCCCCCAGCGACTAAGTTCCTAGAGCTATAGGAAGGTACATTAGCTCTTTTAGGCCAGCAGGTATCATTCGATGCATTATGGATATAATAGAGCACATTGTGTTATTAACACACCATCCTAGTATTCAGTATGTAATTCATGACTACTTAGAATGGTGTTTTGAACTATAGTCCTACAGTATGATGGCTAAATTCACCAAATTGAAGAAAGCAAATGCAATGTATGCCTACGTTAACCCCCCTTCCCTCTGGCCTCATATTTAAAGTCCTTGGAAAGTAATGACTCAATTCAAATGAAAGGGTCTATCACAGTGCTTTGCTTTTTATTAAGTTGGACCCTAGAAAACTGTGCATATGCTGTGAGAAAAAAAATGTTGAAGTCCTGTACTGTGCTCAAAATCAGAATCAAAAGAGAAGGATTAATCAGTATGATCCTTGGTGTCTGTTTTCATTTACTCACATTTTGTACATTTTATATCTGGAGAATTTGCATTTACCTTACCACAATAAAATAAAAAGTCAGCTTGAGATCATTCTTAAAAAATATTATTAGAAAACGTCTATCTTTATTCTTTCTGAATCTATCTAAAAAGACTATATTCACATTTTTTTCTTCTCATTTCTTAAAACAGACTCTCTTAGTGAATGATTCCACCCCTAGTGAATCATTTCTTGTTCATCATTTATTAAAGGCAGACAAGGTGACTTGTTAATGTTTCCTCATCATCTAAAACCAGAAAGCACCCTTGGATAATTTTAGCACTTTTCAAACTTATAAGATAAACAATATTATTTGAAAAAATAAAACGTAGATTACCAAAAGGAAGAAACTACATCAAATCAAACCCCCAAACCCAGAGACAGACGCTCTTTATTCTTATGTGCACATAAAAATGTTTTAATCAAAACGATCATAATATGATTATTTTCCTTTGTAGTTGATGCATTATTTTGATTATGTTTAAGGCACATATATTGAAATAATAAGGAGCATAATTTTTGAATGTATATTGAGACATTTGTTAATCTTTGTCTTTATTTAAGAAAAAAATCACAGTGTGCTTTTTTAACATTCTGTAATTATTCTTCCCTGAATACTTCAATGAGATCACGTAATAAATATTCTTTATTATTGCAAAGCAGAGTTGTGGGAAAAAACATGGCATATTCAAATGAGTATCCTAGTAGTAGTGCCAGAATAAATGTATAATCTTAACATACATTAACCAAACTTACATTCTTTGGAAGGTGGAAGCATAATTCTCAAATTAAATTTTTACAAGACAGAATTAAGGTTATTTAATTGGTGAAAATAGATTTCTACAATACAGCAAGCCTGAATGTGAGAAAAGGACTAGTCAAAGGTGTAAAATATAGTTGATATAATAATGAATTTAAATACCTTAGTAAATCATGACTATACCACTTTATTAGACACTGTTTCATAAACTGGAAGACCTGACAATCTGATAAATCTGCCTTTTAATATTTAGTGGTTAATATTTTAAATAAATTATTTCTTTGTGTTTTACTGCAATAGTTAGCTAAATCTGTCTTGAGGAATGTGGAAATCTGAAGTCTTGCCAAAGAAATAATACAGTGTAAGTAAAGAATTCTGGAGTTGGACCTAAACAGTTAAAACTATTATTTTAACTGAGTTTTTTGGTGTATTTTCAGAAGTTTGAATATAGCAGTCAAGGGGATGTGGGAGGGGTAGTTATTTAAGACAAATATATTTAATTTAACTGCCTTGAAATATTTATCTTACTCCTAATAGTTAAGAACCAGCTATTGTTGAATAAGCAAATAATATTTTATAATAAGTTACTAGTTACCATGTGTAAAATTGGCAGGACTAGTTTTAAAAATAACAGAACATTTTGAATCTTGTGAAGTAGCAAAACTTCATAATAAATAGACTTTTATATTGGTGTTCAGAAATGTGTTCCATCAATATGTGGATTTATTTCCTTCGTAATTTTCAACATTTAAAAAGTGTTCTCTGAAAAGCAGATAATAGTAATTTTTAAATGTTTTCATTCTACTGAGAACCATTATGTGTTTTTTACTTTAAAGGTAATTAAGTATTTGGTCATTATTTTTCTGTGAATGATTTTACAAAATATAACAGCTCAACAATTACCCATGGTTATTTTAGCAATAAATCTCTCTTTCCTAAAGTGCTGCACCACGATTACCTGTATAAAGCTCACCATAGTTTAAAACAGTATCCCTTTATAACTTTGATCAAGTCCAGACTCCTGGTTGCATTGTTACATGTAAGACTTTAGCTGCTTACCTCCTTTACCGCCTGTTAAATAGCATCCTATTAGTACCTGTGTTGTAGATTGTAGTGAAGATTAAATGAAATAATGCTCAATAAATACTAGTACCTTTACATAAAGTAAGCACTCAATAACTGTTAGATGTCATTATTTTTCCATTAAACTGCGGGGCCTATAAAGCCTTCTTCTCTGTGATATTTATCCCTGGCTCCTAAAATTGTACCTCGCCCATAGAAAATATTTGTTAAATGAATCAATAGATGAATGAATGACTATTTCATGGATGGCATTTCCATACCTTGATCTTATTTGGTTTTCAGTTAGCCACTGAAAATATAAACATGCATTAATTCTTTTATTTATTCTACAAATACTTATTGAATAATCACGCAGAACAAGAACACTATTTAAGGTTATCATCTGGCCAGTGATATATTTCATTATTTGAAAGTTCATTAATTTCCCAAATATATATTGAACACTTACTAAGGACTAGGTGATGTAGATGATATTGTAGATTGAAAGCAGAGAAACAAATTCAAACATGTTGCTGATATCAGTTAGAGAAAATAATTGGAAATCTTGATATCCTTGAGCATAAACCCATATATCTAATATTTTCAGTTAATATAGTACAGTCATTATTGTCCATTTTGGACTTTGAATTCTGTACAGAGGAATAGTTATGAAATAGAGAGTATAATTTTTATGAAAACGTATGCCTCCCAAAAACATTCTGATGGAGGTTTTTTTTTTTTTTTTTTTCTATCTGGGGAAATGTACATCTTGATAATAACTGTCTTTGCAGTAGTATAAATTTAAGAGCAGTGATATGGTGCTCTTTACGTTATCCCCAATTAGACACATACCTCACTTTATTGTGCATCACTTTATTCCACTTCACAGATACCATGATTTTTGCAAATTGAAGATTTGGGACAATCCTTCATTGAACAAGTCTTTTGGTGCCAAACAAGTCTTTTGGTGCCATCTTTCCAGTGGCATATACACACTTTATGTCCGTGTGTCACATTTTGGTAATTACTACAATATTTCAAACTTTAAAATTATTATATCTATTAGAGTGATCTGTGATCAGTTATCTTTGATGTTACTACTGTTATTACTCTGGGGCATGATGAGCTGTGCCCATAAAACACAGCAGTGAACCTATTCGATAAATGTATGCATGTCCTGGCTGCTCCTTGAGCCGGCTGTTTTGTGTCATCTGTCTCCCTTCTTTTCCCCCCTCTGTGCCCTGAAACACAACAATTTTTAAATTACACCAATTAATAACCCTACAATGACCTCTAAGTGTTGAAGTGAAAGGAAGAATTGCACCTCACTTGAAATCAAAAGCTAGAAATGATTAAGCTTAGTGAGGAAGGCATGTCAAAGGTGAGACAGGCTGAAAGCTAGGACTTTTGTCCCAGTTGGTCAGCTTTTGAATACACAGGAAAAGTTCTTGAAGAAAATTAAAAGTGCTGCTCCAGGGAACACATGAATGATAAGAAAGCAAAACAGCCTTTTTGCTGACATGAAGAAAATTTCAGTGGTTTGGATAGAAAATCAAGGCAGCCACAGTATTCCCTTAAGCCAAAGCCTAATCCAGGGGAAGGCCCTCACTCTCTTCAGTTCTGTGAAGGCTGAGAGATGTGAAGCAGCTGTAGAAGAAAAGTTTGAAACTAGCAGATAATGGTTCATGTGGTTTAAGGAAAGAAGCCATCTCCATAACATAAAAGTACAAGGTGAAGTAGCAAGTGCTGATGTAGAAGCTGTAGCAAGTTATCCAGGAGATCTAGCTAAGATCATTGATGAAGGTGGCTACACAAAACAAAAGATTTTCAATGTGGACAACAACCTGCTATTGGAAGAAGATGCCATCTAAGACTTTCATAGCTAGAGAGGAAATTTCAGTGCCTGGCTTCAAAGCTTCAGAGGACAAGCTGACTTTCTCATTAGGGGCTAATGCAGCTGATGTCTTTAAGTTAAGCCAGTGCTCACTTATCATTCCCAAGATTTTAGGGCCCTTAGGAATTATGCTAAATCTACTGTGCCTGTGCTATATAAATGGAACAACAAAGCCTGGATGACAGCACATCTGTTTACTGAGTATTTTAAGCCCACTGTTGAGACCTACTGCTCAGAAAAAAAAAAGAAAAAGAAAAAGAAAAAGAAGAAAAAATCCTTTTGAAATACTGACAATGCACCCAGTCGCCCAAGAGCTGTGATGGAGATGTGTAAGAAGATTCATCTTGTTTTTATGCTTGCTAATGCAACATCCATTCTGCAGCCCAAGGATCAATTGAAGTGCAGTAATTTCAATTTCCAAATGTAATTATTTAAGAAATGTAATTCATAAGGCTATACCTGTGATAGACAGTAATTCCTCTGATGGATTCAGGCAAAGTAAATTGAAAACCTTCTAGAAAGGATTTACCATTCTAGATGCCACTAAGGAAATTTTGGATTCATGGGGAAATATCAAAATGTTAGCATTAACAGGAGTTTGGAAGAAGTTGAGTCCAACCCTCATGGATGACTTTGAGTGACTCAAGACTTCAGTGGAGGAAGTAACTGCAAATGGGGTAGAAATAGCAAGAGAATTAGAATTACCAATGGAGATGGAAGATGTTACTGAATTGCTACAGTCTCCACCAGCCAAAAGATTATAACTTGCTGAAGGCTCAGATGATTGTTAGCATTTTTAGCAATAAACTATTTTTAAATTAAGATATGTACTTTTTTTAGACATAAAATGCTATTGTACACTGAATAGACTACAGTAAACATAACCTTTTTTTTTTTTGAGATGAAATTTCACTCTGTCACCCAAGCTGGAGTGCAGTGGTGCGATCTCAGCTCACTGCAACGTCCATCTCCCAGGTTCAATTATCCTGCCTCAGCCTCCCGAGTAGCTGGGATTACAGGCACGCAACACCACCCCTGGCTAATTTTTGCATTTTTAGTAGAGACAGGGTCTCACCATGTTGGCCAGGCTGGTCTTGCACGCCTGACCTCAGGTGATCCACCCGCCTCGGCCTCCCAAAGTGCTGGGATTACAGGTGTGAGCCACTGTGCCCGGCCAAAACATAACTTTTATATACACTAGGAAATCAAAAAAATTTTGTGACTTGCTTTATCACAATATTCACTTGATTGTGGTGGTCTGGAACCTAACCTGCAGTATCTCCAAGGCCTGCCCATACTACTTTTGTAGTAGGTTGGTGCAAGAGTAATTGAAATTTTTCCATTACTTTCAGTGGCAACAGCCACAATTACTTTTGCACCAACCCAATACATCTAATGATTTGAGTGATAGATATGAATTGAAAATATTCCAAGTGTGCTAGTATCCAAACTTGCAGGTCAGTATGAATAGAAAGGAACTTAGTCTTTATATCTATTTGGCCCGAGGTTCGAAAATCCTATGAAAGGGATCTTTTTGGCTCAGTTACCGTATCTTAGGGAGACAGGCCCAAGAATTTCCCAGAAGGAGGAGTTTGCTGTTGCTTTTGGCAAAGTGATCCAGGTAGTTTATATTGTCCTTTATTTGTGTGCTATTTTGAATAAGTAAATAAATAAGTCTGTATTTTTACATATAAATATGTAGGTACACATATATTTATGTGTGTGTGCATATGTATACTCGCATATATATGCTATATATAGTTATATAATGTGTTTTATCACAATATTCACTTTATTGTGAATATATACATTTTACATACATATAAACACACATACACCCATTTTATACTCTTTCCATTTTTAAGACATTTTAATTTTAATTTTATGTTAACAGTTGTTTCCATGGAATACATGTTTTAAAAGCCCATTTAGTTATTCAGAGCTTTGTACAGATGTGGATTTAAAAATACATATATGTAAAAAGGCTATTAGTCTGTTCTCTGTTTTATCTAAAAGAGGTGTTTTAATAGGTATCCCTTGTAGCTGGGACTACAGATGTGTACCACCACACCTGGCTAATTTTTTCTTTCAATTTTTTTTTTTTTTTTTTTTTGTAGAAACGAGGTCTCACTATATTGCCTAGGCCAGTCTCTAACTCCTGGGCTCAAGTGATCCTCCTGCCTTGACCTCCCAAAGTGCTGACATTACAGGCATGGGTCACTGTACACATCCTAAGTGTTCTTTATTTTAAAATATTTCAGCTTCTACTCACCCCGAAATAGATGAACCAAACAGGGAAAAATTTTAGCATTTTTGTAGATGATGGGCATAAATATGTGTGTTACATTTTTCTCTCCACTTTTCTAATTTGAATTTTTTAAGTAATAAAATTTACCATACCATTTCCCTTACCATTTCTATTATCACAGATGGATTTAACATTCTCATTTTCATTTTTCTATGTGTACCCTATAGCCAGCAGTGCTTTGTATTTATTTCTCTTCTTTCCTTTCAGAAAAAAACATCATCTATAAATAATAACTCTAATACCAAACATTTACTGGTTGCTTACTATGTTCCGTGTATTACCTCAGTGATCGACTTGTATAAACTCATTTAATCTTCACAACACCCCTATTAAATAGGTAATAATATAATCTCATTTCATAGAGTAACAAACTGAGGTACAGATAAATTAAATGGCTTGTCCTAGTTCTCACGACTAATAATTGAAAGATTAGGGATGGGATCCTTTGCAATGTAGCTGTGTTGCTCAGGTTATTAACCAATAAACTATATTGCTTCTCTAGGACAGTTTATTTCAAATACATGAGAGTTCTCCATATGCAACAGTACATTACACAATGGACATCCGCATATATAAATTGTTTAAAAAATATGTTAAGGCAATACAAATAATTACAGGATTGAAATAAATGTTAAAATGATAAGAAATTTTAATGGCTGAGGTTGTTTAGTTCGGAAATGGTGTATGATCGCAAAAGCAGCATATATTTTATACTTCATATGAAGTCTTTTATTACTCATAGATGATAAGACTTTGTCTGTGTGTGTGTGTGTGTGTGTGTGTGCGCTTTAGTGACCCAAATAAAATACCAACTCAATAAGCTATTGTAAGATACATAAAATTTTCAAAATTATTAATCAGGAATGTGAATAATCTGCCCATTACCTCTGGGTTCAGAGAGGCCAGGACAGTGGGTTCTGAAGAAATTAGCATGATTTATTAGTAATTCCAAGTCGTATACATTTCAATTTATCAGCATGACCTTGCCAAGTCTCTTTAAAAAGCTTCTAGTGTTCACCTTGAGTCTCTATTCTGCCTTGAACAGTGGTATAGTTTTGTGACCTTTGTTTCTCATTTTAGTTTATACTTGCTACAACAGGTCAGTCTCTGGTTTCAACTTTCCTTTAGTCACAGGCTGAATTGATTGGAATATTTATGTTCAATGGACCAGAATAATTTGTCCTTGGTCCTTTACTGAGGTCCTTAAAAGTAGCAATACAAAGACCAGGTTTATTTGATGAAAATGGGAGCAGAGACTTCTTATTCTAAGGCCAGTTCCTTAACTCTCTAGTGGGTGATGTTACACAAGACATTTAACTAAGGTTCAATGTTCTCATATTAAAATTTGGCAAAATGAGATGTACTCTGTTTGCTGTATAGAAATGCTGTCAGGTTCAAGTAAGACAAAATATTTTAACAGCTCCCACATCTGTTCATATTATATTATTGTGACTGATTTTTGTTAATATTCTTGTGTCCATTTTACTTTAAGCCTCTGCTGAAGTGCCTTTCTCTCAGAGGCAATATATCTTATTCTCAGAATATATATTATGTGTATCTATAGTTCATCTTTTTGATAATTTCTCAATTCTTAATGGTAATGCATTATTCACTTCACGGAGATAGTTGACTCCTACTATCTGTAAGTGCAACTATTGTTCTTGGTCTGAAAGCATTTCCTAAATTCTCAGGTGATGGGGCATATCAAAATATGGAAACCTGCACTTTACCTATCTTTCTAAAAGTGACCATTTGAAAATTAAATTGGTATTTCTAATCTGTGACAGACATGTGACTGAGCCCTTTATATCCAAGTCTATTTAGACAAAATACACCTTGGCAGTTACAGCAAACATTGATCCACTCTCTCCATAAAATATGTAGATAGTGTCTAGTTGTTGAACATTTCACCTCTTGGTACAGCTATGCTAATCTTCCTATGGGAGTTATAGATCTAGCACAGAATAAAAGAAATGGCAGTTTTTCAATAAGTGTTGAATAAATGGATGAAGAATAAAGTTTATATTTTAAGGATAGTCTTTTGGCTTCACAGATGATATTCATAGCAGTATTCAAGTTTTGAAGTGTAATCTTGAAGCTCTTAATGTGTAATATGATTCCAGTTATTAATTTAAGTTTTAGTAAAAATTTAATAATTTATAATGTATTTGATCCATATACGGTAGGGATGCCATTTCTGTAGGAAAACTGACATTTGATACATACACATAGAATGCAGTATTTACGAATGGTGAAGATGATACAAATTTGACTACACCTTCGTTTCTTTCATTTGTGATAAATCCATTTTTATTTGACTCTTTTCTTTCTTCCTAAAACAGAAGAACATAAAATCTTTTGCCACTACTTACTCAGATTACGCATCTACTGATATTCTCATTGGTGTCTAGGTAAGGTTATAGATTTTAACATAAAAATGATTTTGGATAAGAGTACATTTAAGCCTTAAGAAATCTGTTATGCAGGATTTGATTAATTATTTTCTACAGAATACTTAAGGCTACATCAAATGCACTGTCTAGGGGTACATCATTAGTTAAATGGAACACTGTTTTGTTATTTCAGTAAAAGTGATTCTAGATATTAAGAAAAAAACAAAATTATTTCTCCTCAAAGAGAAAAAAAAATTAGTTATCTAATGATCATATACAACAGCTTTATTAATTTCCATAATACTAACTGTAGTTTTTATTTCATTTTTGTAAGCATTTTTTCATTTTTGTAAGCACTTTGTAATACTGCAGTGAAGCAAACACATGTCATTCCATGGAGTATTTGACAAGGTCATTGCATCAAATAGCTTCTTGAATTTTTGCTTCTTAATTTTATTTGCTTGGTTTGATTTAAATTAAAAACAAACATAAAAATTTTCCTTGCAGTTACTTATCATAAACAAAATGGCTTGGAAATACAGTTTATCATTTATCATAGAAAGGACAAAGATAAGTGTTAAAAAAACAACCCACTAAAATAACCATGACTGCAAAGTCCTGGCCTTAAAGGTTCTGTTTCTTTTTGTTTGACACAACTAGTCAAAACATCAGGCACTTTTTCCTCCCTGAACACTTTCAGGCTGTTTTCTCAATGTACTCATTGGTGTTTGCCAACTTGCTGATATAATTTACTGACAAAATACAGTGCTTTATTTTTTTTTTCAGTAAAATATTGGTCAAATTGTGTGTGTGAAATGACTCAACAAGTCCATTAAAGTGTCATTAATTTTAAATTCTGCCCGCACATACTCAGTTCATTAGCATTAGGGATTTTAACGTTTATTTTTTAATATCTATCTGGGGAAAGTAATGAACCATAGCCTTACTTTTATCAAATAATTACATTTTCTGATTTTACAGTATGAATGTACTAAATTAATTGCTTGTTAATGATTAATATATGTTTTGATTCACATATGATGTTAATTAAAATAATATTTAGGAATACGAAAACTATTTTCTGAAAAGTTGAATTCCAATATAATTATAATTTAAAAATGTAGTAGAATTTTTTGAGTTCCATTGTAGGATAATAGTAGAGCATGCTGGTGTTTTTCCACTGTCATATTAATGTATGTCTATTAAGGAATAAATACAACAAAGAGGAAAATAGGAAATTTGTTCTTGCAAGTTAACCAAATCCTAAAACTATTTAATGTATATCAGTTTACCTATTTTTACAGGTATTTAAAATTACATAGTTGTAATATTCCTACGTTGGCTTCCTGCTTTCTTTAGTTTACACTGTGAGTATTTTAAAGAGTATTTTACATTTTCTATATTGACTGTGGTTTGATTTGTGCATCAAGTCAATTTTTGTAGCAATTTCATATTAATAACTGGCCAAATTTGGCCCCTGTGAAAATACATATATGTAAATTTTTTTGACACATATGAAAGTTATCTTCAACCAATAAACACTTTGATCTGTTTGGAAAAAGAAAAACATAAACTGAGTATCTGAGAAGATATTGTTTACTATATTTAAAATGGAACACTTCTATGAAAAAAAATCTAAAATAAATCACAAGCAGACACCTACATATGATATATGAAGGAAACTTCAAGGTTTAAATAAACAATATAGTCAGTGGTCAAGGTACAGGCCTTAGAATTAGAATGATTAATTATGAACAATTTATTTAGCTTCCCTATTCTAATAGGGAATTGCAAGTAGTTACGAGGGTGAAAGTTGCTGATCAAATATTTCTCTTTTCTTCCTCTTTTGAACACATTCCCATCAGGCTTTAGTTCTTAACCATTTTACCAAAGCTGTTGTTTTTCTGAAAAAATATTCATGTTGTCAAATCCAAAGTTTAATTCTCAGTTCCCATTTTACTTTATTTCTTATTATAAACTACTGGCCACCTATAATCTGTTCTCAACACAGAAGCCAGAATGTTCATTTTAAAATGTAAGTTGTATCATGTTATTTTTCTGCTCAGAATCTTACAGTGGGTTTCTGCTCATGAAAGCAGACCATTGGGCCGGGAGCGGTGGCTCACGCCTGTAAGTCCAGCACTTTGGGAGGCCAAGGTGGGCGGATCACGAGGTCAGGAGATCGAGACCATCCTGGCTAACAGGATGAAACCCCGTCTCTACTAAAAATACAAAAAATTAGCCGGGCGTGGTGGCGGGCGCCTGTAGTCCCAGCTACTAGGGAGGCTGAGGCAGGAGAATGGCGTGAACTCGGGAGGCGGAGCTTGCAGTGAGTGGAGATCGTGCCACTGCACTCCAGCCTGGGCGACAGAGCGAGACTCCGTCTCAAAAAAAAAAAAAAAAAAAAAGAAAGCAGACCATTGATGTCTTCTTGAAAAACTTTTCTCAACTGTCTCCTGGGGCATCCCACTTTCCTTGTATTTTTCTGGCATCTCCCTTAGTTTTCTTCAATGATTTCTCATGATCCTCTCTAATCTACAAGTTTTGGAGATTCCCAAATCTCCGTCTTGGGTTTTCTTGTGTTTTCTATATTCACTTCCTTGGTAGTCTCTTCTACTTTAACATTATATGTGATTTGAATGCTTATTATTTCCAAATTTTTACCTCTAGCCCAAATGTTCCACTCTAGGTATATAGCTACTTTCTCAAACATCTTCACTAGGATTTTTGATAGGCCCATCCAACTAATATGTCCAAAGCTAAACTTCTACTCTCCACTCACACCCCTAAAAATGTCTTTTTTAAAAGCTTTTACAGTTTCAAAAATGACAACTCCTTTCTTTCATTGGCAAAAGTCAAAAACATTGACTTCTTCCTCTCATACATCACATATAGGATCCATAAGCAAATCCTATGGCTTCTACCTTATGTACATTGAGATATTACCTCTCACTGCTTATGCTGCTGATACTTTGCAACCAAACGACCCTCATTACTCATCTGGATTATTGTGTATCTTTGCAACTAGTTGGACTGGCTGCCTATAATCTATTCTCAACACAGAAGCCAGATGATCAACTTAAAATATAAGTTGTATCATGTTACTCCTCTGCTCAGAATCTTATAGTGGGTTTCTGCTCATGAAATAAAAGCTAGAATATGAATAATAGCCTACCTACTTCTACCAGAATTAGGATTTAGCCCCTTGTTGGCTGTCTGATCCCTCCTACCATTCTTCTCCTCCCTCCCTCTGCAGCCGCCCATTAGCCCCCTTGCTGCTACATAAATCCCTTTCAGCTCTTGCCTGAGGGCCTTTGCACTTGTTTCCTCTGCCAGAAATGCTCTGAAATGCTCTCCTTGTCGTTTTCCACATAGCTTCCTACCAGTTACATTCAGGTTTTTACTCGAATTTTACCTTCTCAATGAAAGAGTCTTTGGTCATACTATGTAAAATTGTAAATTTTACATGCACTTTTATCACTGCTCACTGAATCGTACCTTGTATTTTATTTGTTTGTCATGTTTTGTTATTGCTCTAAACTCCCCAAAGTTAGGGTTATTTATTTGTTCATTGCTTTATTCCCAGTACCTATAAAAATGCCTAGCACATGGAAACAGCTCAATACATTTGTTGAATTAATTAAATATTCATTGAATGCATGAATTTTAAATCACATAGTACATATTCAGCTCATAGGAAGCAATATTATGATGATGTTATTGATTTTATTATTATATATAGTGGTATGTATAGTACTGATTAGTCATTATCTGTAGTATTAATTTTTCAGCTGATGTTTCATCTCAATTGCATTTCTATGGAATAAAATGTCTTCTAAATTATCTACTGCTACACTCCTATTAGTGGAGAGGGACATCAGAGTGAGGGTATTTCTTTCTCTCATTCAATAGAATATATGAGAATTAGGACACAACACATATTCCTGAGAGGGATCTCAGAAGATAATAATCTATGCTTGATGTGGACATGAGAGCTAGAAAATTTCATGCTGTGATCTTAAGGATTTTAAATATTTCTGAGATAACTTTGACTACTAAAGCCAAACCAAAGAGCTATTTGTTAGAGGTAGGGGAACTAAAAGTGACCAAAATCATTAGAAAAGATGATATATGAAAAATTTCTAAAGATGTTGAGATTATTCAGTCTTAAGAAAAGTTGAGAAATGTCCATCTTTAAGTGTATGTCAGACAGCACTGACCAAATAGTTTCTATAGCTACCAAAAAGAGAAGGAAGGAAATTACGCAGTGGTCTTTGGCTCAAATTTAAAAAAATTCCGGCAAGTTATGGTTGGTAAACATGAGGATATGTTATTTAATAAAATATTTTCTTTTAATCTTTCATGGTAGTTTAAAAATAAAATAAAACTTCTTTCCTGGAATGAGTCAATGATCTAAACTCTAAGAAGGGTTTGCATTTTAGATGCAAAAACATAGCTGCTGAATGCAACATTTTTCAATGAAATTTTAACAATAGCACATAACGAAGGCTAAAATCCTTTAGACATTTATTATCTATTTGTCATATACCACATACTAGAAATACAATACTTTTTAGTGTATGGTGTACTCTCAAATAGCCTTCCCCTAAAGCATGACAATGTCATATAAACAACAGCAATAATAATAGCACCTGAAATTTATGTATCACATTCTTTAAGTAAGCATGTGTCTGTGTTGTCTCACTTAGTCTTCAAAACAATACTGTGAGGTAGATACTACTATTATGTTTGTATTGCCAGTGAAGAAACTGAGGCTAGGAGGTAATGCTACCCACAAAACACTATTAATCTAATAAGTACAGTGATGTAGTTAGGAGCACTTATGGCTCACTCCAAACCCTGTGCTCCTAGCCCCAGTGTTGTTCTTTCTAACAAGTGCTAGAATGCTGTGTGATGAGCATGCTATCAGCTGCGTGGGCTTGAATCCTTTAACAGCCCTTTGATTTCCTGTGACTTTTTAAATGTCTGTAGCTCTCATTTCTTACATTTATAAAGTGGGTTTAATAATAATAATTATATCATCTGTGAGATGATTTATGTGTAGAAAACAGTGTTAATATGCATTAAGTGTAAGCCATCAGAGAAAAATAACAGCATCATGAGATGAGAGGGAAGCTTTGATTTGTCTCAGATTGCATGACTGTAAAAAGCATCATTGAAATATCTGCTTTTGAGTTGAGCCTTAAAGTATAAATAACATTATACTAGTCAAAGAAAGTAAAGAGTAAAATGAAGTACTTTAAGGGTATGGCCTTTGGGGTTAGATAGGCTTGATTTCTAGTCCAGGCCTTGTCAATTACAAATTAATTCCTAGACCTCCACAGGTACATCTTGAAATCAGGGCAGTAATGATATCCACTTTCACGATATTGTGAAGATTAGATGAGTCACTGTAGGCAAAAGGCTAAGAGCAGTTTGTGGCACACAATAAAGGCAGCTATTTTTATTGTGAATTATCTGTATTTAGGACAAACACAATGGAAGCAATAAACAGTAAGACTTGAAAGAAAGAGAATAGGAGATGGTGAAGACTATGAAAGATTTTTGTCAATTAATATTAGCAAAAAAGTTTAAAATGTTAATATCACAGAGTTTTGTGTTTTTTAAATAAATAAGCATAAAGTATAAAACATGTATACTCAACCATAAAATTGAAGAAAAATATTTAGAAACAAAGAAGATAAGAAATTATGAACTGTAGTATAACAGTTCTCTGAGGAAGGCTTTTTTTAATGATATAATCATATATATAAAAATATATATATAAATACATATATTTTTTAATAAATTGCAACAGAGTCTTGCTCTGTCACCCAGGCTGGAGTGCAGTGGCATAATCTCTACTCACTGCAGCCTCCACCTCCCAGGTTCATGCGATTTTCCCACCTCAGCCTCCCGAGTAGCTGGGACTACAGGTCTGCACCACCACGCCTGACTAATTTTTGTATTTTTAGTAGAGACGGTGTTTCACTATGTTGACCAGGCTGATCTCAAGCTCCTGACCTCAAGTGATCTGCCTTCCTCGGCCTCCCAAAGTGCTGGGATAACAGGCATGACTCATGGCACCCTGCCTGATACGATCGAATATTTGAAAATTATATATATATATATATATACACACACACACATATATACACTTGACCCTTGAATGACTCAGATGTTAGGAGCACCACCCCTCCACCTGTCCCCCAACCCAACACCATGTAGTTGAAAATCTGAGAATAACTTCTTCCTCCTCTAAAACTTAACTACCGATAGACTATTGTTGATTGGAAGTCTTACCATTAAGTTAAACAGGAATCAACACATATTTTATAGGTTAGGTATTGTATATTGTATTCTGAAAGTAAGCTGAAGAAAAGAAAGTGTTATTAAGAAAATCATATGAAAGAGATAATAAATGTACTGATTATTAACTGGAAGTGGATCATCATAAAGGTTTTCAGCCTCGTCTTCACATTGAGTAGGCAGAAGAAGAGTAGGGCTGTTCTTACTGTTTCAGGGGTGACAGGCAGAAGAAAATCCCAGTTATTATAAATGGACTCATGCAGTTCAAACCCATGTTGTTTAAGAGTCAAACTATATAAAGTTTCATATATAGATGACTTTTTCATATAAATATATATGATTTTGAAAAAAAACCTTCTGATCACTTCTGCTGTAATGTATCTCCATGTCTATTGCTAATGTATAGTTTTCAAAGCTTTGTATAGCCATTTACCAATGAAAATCTCATCGTCCTATATTTTGATTCAAAGCATACCATATTGACACCAATGTCTCCTGAATATCCCTCAACTGACTTTTTCATGGGTTTAAAATCTGTGTTATTGATACAGCTGTCTAGCTTGAGGAACTTAAAATATTTCTTTTAGAACTTTACATTGAATAGACTGTGATGCTAAGATGGCAGTTTCTCTATTTAAGCAATATCTTAGATATGAGTAGCATTTGTCCTAATGTTAGTTTCAGGGAGATTATTGTAATATAATGAAAGCCCACAGTGCTCCTAGAGATGTCCTACCTTCCTACTGCTGTGGGTGGAATTTTCAGTTGTAATTACAGTCTTCCTTTCTAAAGCTCCAATTAATTGAAGTAAAAGCCGGTAATTTTTTTTTTTTTGGATTTTTAAATATTTGGTAGAGTTTGTTCTTCATTTACTCTGCTATATTTTTATCTGGTAGTGACACTCACTTGCTTCTTTTGAAATGGCTAGAGTTGTAAACACGTAGGTTATGATGCCCAACCTAATATACGCATGATGCTTATTTCTCTCCTTTTTGAGTATTGTAGATACATGTTGCTTTGCAGCTGTGCCATTTAGAAATTCTCTCATGTTAAGAAAATGTTAACTTCCCTGAACTACAGATTCATCATCTGTTAAATGGTGATAATGTTATTTACTCTATAAATTAGGATTTCAAAAAGGATGTACATATGAAACATCAAGTTAGCATTTAAGGCCTGACTAGCTGAACATGTTTTGTGCCAATTGTGTGCTAGAGATAGTTCTGGATAGTTTACTTGGATTTTTTTTTAATCTTTTCAGTAACGCTTTAAGGTATCTCATAGTCCCGATTTTACAGATGAGTAAATTGAGGCAAAAGTACTTTAAGTAAGTTCATGCAGCTAATGTAAGAGGTAGAATTTGTAATCGAGCAGCCTGTGTCCAGAGCACGCACCTTTTGGGTTGTTTACTGTTATGCATATATATTTTATATGTCATATATATAATCTGTGATAAATAATTGGTGGGCGTGGTCAAATAATAAATAATATATGCCGTCCTCTGGGTTTATCATAGTGAATGATCAATAAAACATGAAATAGGCTGGGCGCAGCTGTAATCTCAGCACCTTGGGAGGCCAAGCCGGGTGGATCACAAGGTCAAGAGATCGAGATCATCCTGGCCAACATGTTGAAACCCCGTCTCTACTAAAATAAAAAAAAAAATTAGCTGGGCATGGTGGTGCACACCTGTAGTCCCAGCTGCTCAGGAGGCTGAGGCAGGGGAATCGCTTGAACCTGGCAGGCAGAGATTGCAGTGAGCCAAGATCGCACCACTGCACTCTAGCCTGGTGACAGAGTGAGACTCCGTCTCAAAAAAAAAAAAAAATAATAATAATAATAATTTTAAAAATCATGAAATATGAGTATATGGGCAATATATGTCGTGATTTATAAAAATTAATGGTATCACTGTATTGAGGATTTGGTTTGTTTTGCTTAAAAACATATTGTACTTCTTCACTGCTTTCATTTTTTTTTAAAACAAAACATTGGCCTTACTTTTTTAAAATATTTATTTATACAACTTTCTTCCACAGGGCTTTAAGCAGCTATTTATTTTTGTAGCACACGAAATAGCACACTGTCTAGAAAACAGCAGATTTAGAATAACTATTGTAAGATAAATGAATAAATAAGTAAATGAAGCCATTAACACGGACAGAGAATTAGAGAAGGACATTCTAAATGTGAGTCACCAAATGTACAAACAGGTTGGAGTTAGAGATGAAGACAGAGCATTTGAGAGACAATAATCATCACCAAAATTCAGTAATAATAGCAATGGTTACTGTAATGTTGTTTGTGGAGGTCTTTTCTCTTCGATAGTACCTGAACGTTAATGTCATTCAATGTCAACTTTTGAATGACTGTGGTATGATATTTTAATAGATACGATAAATAATAATTCAGTGCTCATATTCTTAAAAGTTCTAACAATTGTGACAAACCTTAGCCTGAGGTTGAATTTCTAGAGGGATCATTAAATACTAGGATATTCTCTAAAAGACAGAAAAAAATGCTTATCTGGAGAAGGGAATGGAAGATAAGTATTATAAGTTAATATCATTATGCCCAAGTCATAGAAAATGGTTATGACATTACGACTATAATGCAGATACATACTGCCCAGACATCTCTTTAGCCAAAGTTGGTTCTCTAAATAGGAAGATTTTAAAAAAATGAAATCATTGTTACTGAGTTTATTTGACTGGAAGATCACAAAAAAATTACAAAAAAAAAAAATTGAATACAATTTACCACTCAGAAGTTTAACTGATTGTTCTAAAACATATAATGTAATTTTCTTTTGCTCTACTGAGACTGCTAAGGGGACCAATATCTTGGCAAGTGCAAAAGGCATAGAACACACTCCCAGCTAACAGAGGCTCTTGATGTTCAAGAGCATTTGGGCTAAACTATCTCAGAAAGAATTAGATCATTCATATATTGGAGGCAAGGGAAAGGTATCTGCCTTGGTGCCTCACTTACCCTGTGTTTTCAGGAGGCCTAGATATAGTTTGCAGCAGTGCTGCTGGATACTAGGAAGTCTCATCTTCAGTATCTGCTGAGGCTGGGGGTATGCCCCATGGCAGCCAATTTAAAATTGCTTCAGCTTCAAGAGGAAAAACAAATTTTAGAACACCTGAATCTCTGCAGGCAAATCTCTGAATATTTTCCTGCCTAAAGCATATAGCACTGTAGATCACCAGTTAGTATCTTTAGAATTGGCAACTATTAACTGAAAAATTAATTTTTCTTATTATCTCTCTCTCACTTTCAAATAACAGAAAAAAATGAGAATTTCTATTTGTATAGTTAGAATTCTATATAATACCTGCAACATTTTCAACACATGATGAATATAAATTGAAGAGAATAATGATGAAAGGAGGAAAGATATTTATGGGGTTTAGAAAAGCTATAATCTTAATTTTCTTGTGAAGCATTGTTTCTCAACAAGTTATTTTTTTAGAACTGGTCTGAACTAGAGTTTACAACTTACCTATAATTTTGTTTGGCAAAGATAAATGTTTAGGTATTCTGTGATATGCTAGATCCTTTCCTTGAAAATAGTAGATTAGTTTTAGGGAAAATTTCTGGCATTTAAATATTTTCTTTAAAAAAAAGAAATAATGGTCATTACTTGCTTTCTTTTAAAATAAGCATTCTCTTTCCAATATGTATACAGCCACCAGAGCTGCTGAAAAGGTTCTAGATTTCTATAAAGCCATGATTTTATGGAACATTTAAGTGGCAGTAATTTGGCTGGCTTTACCATCAGCTGCATAAACATCAATGTCTATTGACACATTATAAAGGCACAAGTGGAGTATAGCCTGACATCCTGATGCCTGTGCTGAGGTTTAATAGTGCATCTGTATCACTTTTCCCAGTGGGAAATAACAAGATGTTGCATTGTAATTTTTTACTACTGTATAATAAAATATAGCCGTAATAAATAGCATCTAAGCAAATAAAGCGGATTTGGACCAAATCCATTTTGCCTTCATCACTTAGTATATAGCTCATGCTTTTAAGTAGTTGTGGATCCTAAATTGGCTTAATTGGATCAACTTGCATTTGACTGTCTTTGACTGCAGTGAAGTAGAGACAGATATTTTATTTTTATTTGCTATTTAATATTTAGGTAATATTTTTTAGTAAATTTGCTTTTGTATTCCATTGTGCTTATTAACAGTTTGTCTGGATTATGATGTAAATTGTGTTCCAATTAAGTTAGTTGACCTTTTAAGCTTATTATTGCTGTTGCTTTGTTATTTTTACTGTTATTCATATACCTAATGTTGATAATTGAATAGTCAAACCAAGACTGTTGTGTACTGTTAAGAAAGTTTACAATTGACTGTGAATGTCCTGGTAGTAGGAACAATATTTAACTCAGTTTTGTAGCACAGTTAGCTAGCCCCACTTTAGGTTTACTGTGGCTCTTTCTTTGTTTATTAGATTGATTATAGAATGAAAATGATTGTAAACAATGTTCTTTTGAAATCTAAATATATAAAAGTTTGCCTTTTATGTAATTTAATTTGTCATCCATTTTAATAGAAGTAAAAGTTAAAGTAGCACATTGAAATATTAAAATATTAAAAAGCTGCTGTCTGTTAGGAATTTTGCCAAACATTAGAAGAAAATAGCAAATTTGGGATGTACAAAAATGATTTCAGACAAGTTTTTTAAAACTGTCGCTTTTTTTTTTATTTTTTTATTATTATACTTTAAGTTTTAGGGTACATGTGCACATTGTGCAGGTTAGTTATATAAGTATACATGTGCCATGCTGGTGTGCTGCACCCACTAACTCATCATCTAGCATTAGGTATATCTCCCAATGCTATCCCTCCCCACTCCCCCCACCCCACAACAGTCCCCAGAGTGTGATATTCCCCTTCCTGTGTCCATGTGTTCTCATTGTTCAATTCCCACCTATGAGTGAGAATATGCGGTGTTTGGTTTTTTGTTCTTGGGATAGTTTACTGAGAATGATGATTTCCAATTTCATCCATGTCCCTACAAAGGACATGAACTCATCATTTTTTATGGCTGCATAGTATTCCATGGTGTATATGTGCCACAATTTCTTAATCCAGTCTATCATTGTTGGACATTTGGGTTGGTTCCAAGTCTTTGCTATTGTGAATAATGCCACAATAAACATACGTGTGCATGTGTCTTTATAGCAGCATGATTTATAGTCCTTTGGGTATATACCCAGTAATGGGATGGCTGGGTCAAATGGTATTTCTAGTTCTAGATCCCTGAGGAATCGCCACACTGACTTCCACAATGGTTGAACTAGTTTACAGTCCCACCAACAGTGTAAAAGTGTTCCTATTTCTCCACATCCTCTCCAGCACCTGTTGTTTCCTGACTTTTTAATGATCGCCATTCTAACTGGTGTGAGATGGTATCTCATTGTGGTTTCGATTTGCATTTCTCTGATGGCCAGTGATGGTGAGCATTTTTTCATGTGTTTTTTGGCTGCATAAATGTCTTCTTTTGAGAAGTGTCTGTTCATGTCCTTCGCCCACTTTTTGATGGGGTTGTTTGTTTTTTTCTGTAAATTTGTTTGAGTTCATTGTAGATTCTGGATATTACCCCTTTGTCAGATGAGTAGGTTGCAAAAATTTTCTCCCATTTTGTAAGTTGCCTGTTCACTCTGATGGTAGTTTCTTTTGCTGTGCAGAAGCTCTTTAGTTTAATTAGATCCCATTTGTCAATTTTGGCTTTTGTTGCCATTGCTTTTGAATGAAGTCCTTGCCCATGCCTATGTCCTGAATGGTAATGCCTAGGTTTTCTTCTAGGGTTTTTATGGTTTTAGGTTTAACGTTTAAGTCTTTAATCCATCTTGAATTGATTTTTGTATAAGGTGTAAGGAAGGGATCCAGTTTCAGCTTTTCTACATATGGCTGGCCAGTTTTCCCAGCACCATTTATTAAATGGGGAATCCTTTCCCCATTGCTTGTTTTTCTCAGGTTTGTCAAAGATCAGATAGTTGTAGATATGCGGCGTTATTTCTGAGGGCTCTGTTCTGTTCCATTGATCTATATCTCTGTTTTGGTACCAGTACCATGCTGTTTTGGTTACTGTAGCCTTGTAGTATAGTTTGAAGTCAGGTAGTGTGATGCCTCCAGCTTTGTTCTTTTGGCTTAAGATTGACTTGGCAATGCGGGCTCTTTTTTGGTTCCATATGAACTTTAAAGTAGTTTTTTCCAATTCTGTGAAGAAAGGCATTGGTAGCTTGAGGGGGATGGCATTGAATCTGTAAATTACCTTGGGCAGTATGGCCATTTTCACAATATTGATTCTTCCTACCCATGAGCATGGAATGTTCTTCCATTTGTTTGTATCCTCTTTTATTTCCTTGAACAGCGATTTGTAGTTGTCCTTGAAGAGGTCCTTCACATCCCTTGTAAGTTGGATTCCTAGGTATTTTATTCTCTTTGAAGCAATTGTGAATGGGAGTTCACTCATTATTTGGCTCTCTGTTTGTCTGTTGTTGGTGTATAGGAATGCTTGTGATTTGTGCACATTGATTTTGTATCCTGAGACTTTGCTGAAGTTGCTTATCAGCTTAAGGAGATTTTGGGCTGAGACAATGGGGTTTTCTAGATATACAATCATGTCATCTGCAAACAGGGACAATTTGACTTCCTCTTCTCCTAATTGAATACCCTTTATTTCTTTCTCCTGCCTAATTGCCCTGGCCAGAACTTCCAACACTATGTTGAATAGGAGTGGTGAGAGAGGGCATCCCTGTCTTATGCCAGTTTTCAAAGGGAATGCTTTCAGTTTTTGCCCATTGAGTATGAGATTGGCTGTGGGTTTGTCATAGATAGCTCTTATTATTTTGAGATATGTCCCATCAATACCTAATTTATTGAGAGTTTTTAGCATGAAGGGTTGTTGAATTTTGTCAAAGGCCTTTTCTGCATCTATTGAGATAATCATGTGGTTTTTGTCTTTGGCTCTGTTTATATGCTGGATTACATTTATTGATTTGCGTATATTGAGCCAGCCTTGCATCCCAGGGATGAAGCCCACTTGATCATGGTGGATAAGCTTTTTGATGTGCTGCTGGATTCGGTTTGCCAGTATTTTATTGAGGATTTTTGCATCAATGTTCATCAAGGATATTGGTCTAAAGTTATCCTTTTTGGTTGTGTCTCTGCCCGGTTTGGTATCAGAATGATGCTGGCCTCATAAAATGAGTTAGGGAGGATTCCCTCTTTTTCTATTGATTGTAATAGTTTCAGAAGGAATGGTACCAGTTCCTCCTTGTACCTCTGGTAGAATTCGGCTGTGAATCCATCTGGTCCTGGACTCTTTTTGGTTGGTAAGCTATTGATTATTGCCACAATTTCAGATCCTATTATTGGTCTATTCAGAGATTCAACTTCTTCCTGGTTTAGTCTTGGGAGAGTGTATGTGTCAAGGAATTTATCCATTTCTTCTAGATTTTCTAGTTTATTTGCATAGAGGTGTTTGTAGTATTCTCTGATGGTAGTTTGTATTTCTGTGGGATCGGTGGTGATATCCCCTTTATCATTTTCTATTGCGTCTATTTGATTCTTCTCTCTTTTTTTCTTTATTAGTCTTGCTAGTGATTTATCAATTTTGTTGATCCTTTCAAAAAACCAGCTCCTGGATTCATTAATTTTTTGAAGGGTTTTTTGTGTCTCTATTTCCTTCAGTTCTGCTCTGATTTTAGTTATTTCTTGCCTTCTGCTAGCTTTTGAATGTGTTTGCTCTTGTTTTTCTAGTTCTTTTAATTGTGATGTTAGGGTGTCAATTTTGGATCTTTCCTGCTTTCTCTTGTGGGCATGTAGTGCTATAAATTTCCGTCTACACACTGCTTTGAATGTGTCCCAGAGATTCTGGTATGTTGTGTCTTTGTTCTCGTTGGTTTGAAAGAACATCTTTATTTCTGCCTTCATTTCGTTATGTACCCAGTAGTCATTCAGGAGCAGGTTGTTCAGTTTCCATGTAGTTGAGTGGTTTTGAGTGAGGTTCTTAATCCTGAGTTCTAGTTTGATTGCACTGTGGTCTGAGAGATAGTTTGTTATAATTTCTGTTCTTTTACATTTGCTGAGGAGAGCTTTACTTCCAAGTATGTGGTCAATTTTGGAATAGGTGTGGTATGGTGCTGAAAAAAATGTATATTCTGTTGATTTGGGGTGGAGAGTTCTGTAGATGTCTATTAGGTCCGCTTGGTGCAGAGCTGAGTTCAATTCCTGGGTATCCTTGTTAACTTTCTGTCTCGTTGATCTGTCTAATATTGACAGTGGGATGTTAAAGTCTCCCATTATTAATATGTGGGAGTCTAAGTCTCTTTGTAGGTCACTCAGGACTTGCTTTATGAATCTGGGTGCTCCTGTATTGGGTGCATATATATTTAGGATAGTTAGCTCTTCTTGTTGAATTGATCCCTTTACCATTATGTAATGGCCTTCTTTGTCTCTTTTGATCTTTGTTGGTTTAAAATCTGTTTTATCAGAGACTAGGATTGCAACCCCTGCCTTTTTTTGTTTTCCATTTGCTTGGTAGATCTTCCTCCATCCTTTTATTTTGAGCCTATGTGTGTCTCTGCACGTGAGATGGGTTTCCTGAATACAGCACACTGATGGGTCTTGACTCTTTATCCAATTTGCCAGTCTGTGTCTTTTAATTGGAGGATTTAGTCCATTTACATTTAAAGTTAATAGTGTTATGTGTGAATTTGATCCTGTCATTATGATGTTAGCTGGTTATTTTGCTCGTTAGTTGATGCAGTTTCTTCCTAGTCTCGATGGTCTTTACATTTTGGCATGATTTTGCAGCGGCTGGTACCGGTTGTTCCTTTCCATGTGTAGCGCTTCCTTCAGGAGCTCTTTTAGGGCAGGCCTGGTGGTGACAAAATCTCTCAGCAGTTGCTTGTCTGTAAAGTATTTTATTTCTCCTTCACTTATGAAGCTTAGTTTGGCTGGATATGAAATTCTGGGTTGAAAATTCTTTTCTTTAAGAATGTTGAATATTGGCCCCCACTCTCTTCTGGCTTGTAGGGTTTCTGCCAAGAGATCTGCTGTTAGTCTGATGGGCTTCCCTTTGAGGGTAACCCGACCTTTCTCTCTGGCTACCCTTAACATTTTTTCCTTCATTTCAACTTTGGTGAATTGGACAATTATGTGTCTTGGAGTTGCTCTTCTCGAGGAGTATCTTTGTGGCGTTCTCTGTATTTCCTGAATCTGAATGTTGGCCTGCCTTGCTAGATTGGGGAAATTCTCCTGGATAATATCCTGCAGAGTGTTTTCCAACTTGGTTCCATTCTCCCCATCACTTTCAGGTACACCAAGCAGATGTAGATTTGGTCTTTTCACATAGTCCCATATTTCTTGGAGGCTTTGCTCTTTTCTTTTTATTCTTTTTTCTCTAAACTTCCGTTCTTGCTTCATTTCATTCATTTCATCTTCCATCGCTGATACCCTTTCTCCAGTTGATGGTATCGGCTCCTGAGGCTTCTGCATTCTTCACGTAGTTCTCGAGCCTTGGTTTTCAGCTCCATCAGCTCCTTTAAGCACTTCTCTGTATTGGTTATTCTAGTTATACATTCTTCTAAATTTTTTTGAAAGTTTTCAACTTCTTTTCCTTTGGTTTGAATGTCCTCCCGTAGCTCAGAGTAATTTGATCGTCTGAAGCCTTCTTCTCTCAGCTCGTCAAAGTCATTCTCCGTCCAGCTTTGTTCCGTTGCTGGTGAGGAACTGCGTTCCTTTGGAGGAGCAGAGGCGCTCTGCTTTTTAGAGTTTCCAGTTTTTCTGTTCTGTTTTTTCCCCATCTTTGTGGTTTTATCTACTTTTGGTCTTTGATGATGGTGATGTACAGATGGGTTTTTGGTGTGGATGTCCTTTCTGTTTGTTAGTTTTCCTTCTAACAGACAGGACCCTCAGCTGCAGGTCTGTTGGAGTACCCTGCAGTGTGAGGTGTCAGTGTGCCCCTGCTCATGGTGCCTACCAGTTAGGCTGCTCGGGGGTCAGGGGTCAGCGATCCACTTGAGGAGGCAGTCTGCCCGTTCTCAGATCTCCAGCTGCGTGCTGGGAGAACCACTGCTCTCTTCAAAGCTGTCAGACAAGGACGTTTAAGTCTGCAGAGGTTACTGCTGTCTTTTTGTTTGTCTGTGCCCTGCCCCCAGAGGTGGAGCCTACAGAGGCAGGCAGGCCTCCTTGAGCTGTGGTGGGCTCCACCCAGTTCGAGCTTCCCGGCTGCTTTGTTTACCTAAGCAAGCCTGGGCAATGGCGGGCGCCCCTCCCCCAGTCTCGCTGCCGCCTTGCAGTTTGATCTCAGACTGCTGTGCTAGCAATCAGCGAGACTCCGTGGGGCAGGACCCTCCGAGCCAGGTGCGGGATATAATCTCGTGGTGCGCCCTTTTTTAAGCCCGTCGGAAAAGCGCAGTATTCGGGTGGGAGTGACCCGATTCTCCAGGTGCGGTCGGTCACCCCTTTCTTTGATTAGGAAAGGGAACTCCCTGACCCCTTGTGCTTCCCGAGTGAGGCAATGCCTCGCCCTGCTTCGGCTCGTGCAGGGTGCGCACACTCACTGACCTGCGCCCACTGTCTGGCACTCCCTAGTGAGATGAACCCGGTACCTCAGATGGAAATGCAGAAATCACCCGTCTTCGTCGCTCAGGCTGGGAGCTGTAGACCGGAGCTGTTCCTATTCGGCCATCTTGGCTCCTCTAACTCTGTCGCTTTTTCTAAAATATCTAGTTCATCTTTGCTCTTGATTTTTTATTGTAATAACCACAGCATGCTATTCTTAAAATTGTAATAAGCATATAATTTGAAATAGTATCCTAGAGAAATAAGAGACATAACAATTTTTCATTTATAGGTATACATAAAATTATGTTTGCATATTTATCCCATATGAATTTGAGAATTTAACTTTCATTGTTAAGGGGGAAAGTAGAAAAAATGTTAAAATGTTAAAATTTTTGTTATTAGCATTTCCTTTATATCTCTTGAATGCATACTTCAAAACGAATTGATTACATTTAATAACAATGGAAATTAAAATCAGCATCAATTAAATTTAAAAATAATGCAATACTTTAATTCAGATAAATCATTTTCATAGTTTGCTGTTCTTTGACTTTTGTTATTCTGAAAAATATTGTTTCACTTTAATAGACTTTTTTACTTTTTAAAGAGTTGTGTTGCTAGCTGTATGCAACATCCATTATTTTTAAAAAGGTCTGTGGATGCATTAACTTTTTCCTACAAAAAGCCAACAGGTTAAAAACATTTTAATGAACCTTATTTGAAAGGATGATATGAATTTTCCCCCAATAGTCATGCAATATCTAAATAACTTAAAATGTAGATTTATATACTCTTCTTTTTATGTCTATAACATATAGACATAAAATATAAATACTTAAAAGTAATGTCCTCAAAAGGCAGAGTAAAATACCCACACATACACGAATCCTTTGAACTTCATCAAGGGGGTTAACTTTTGCTTCTCTGTAATGCCAGTATTACCTAACCTTATTATGACTAGCTTGAATCATGTATGAGTAAAACTTCAGTTATCTAGGATCTTGTTTGGGTGGGTGTGGGGTGAATTCTTTGGGTAGAAAAAAATTTCTGAAAAGTTGGGGCAAATATCCCTCCTATTCAAGTGTCCACTGCAGATGTTTGCATTTGAATAGTATAACTATTTCCAAAGTTCTTTCTGTTTTCCTCAGAGCTTTAGGTATTTCTTCTGGATGTCAGTTTGTCAATACTCTGCTTTTGCTTCTTCTGATTTCTCTTTGTTAGAACTCTGTATAGGAAAGAAAGAATAAGTAGGTCTTGATTGAGGGCCTCTCCATGAAGTTGAGTTGAATTTTAGTGCAGTGTGCCTTTTTTTTTCACAAACATGTTTTCTGATTCAGGCTTGTAAGTTACATTGGTTTGATTTCCAGATGTTGGAGTCTCAGATAAGGGACTATTACTGTGGAACATGAAGCACATTTTTAAGACCTCAGTACTGAAGATTTTCTGCTTGAAATCTTAGACAAAGTGAGAAATAAAGCTTCATGCGATGCACTACAGGCAATGTGGGAAGGGGGCAGAGAAAAAAGGAGAAAGCAGAATGGCAATGCAATGGAAATCTGATATTTGATATGTAAGTTAATCCCTTTCAGACCTCCAGCCAGATTTTTTTTTCACTTGTGCAGAAGCATTTCTTTATTTCCTTCTTTCTGCTTTTTAATCCCACATTCTGCCCCCTGCACAGTTGGAATGTTCCCAAAACACTTTGGCAGAGGTCACTTCTCAGAAGCTTTTTAAACTTTAGTTAGAATACATTTATTGATTTTTTTTTAATGACCAGAGGAATGAGGATTTTTGGAAAAAGCTTATCTGAGGTTCAGTGTCTGGCTTGGCAATCCAAACTATTTTAAACCTCTGAGAACACTTCATTAGATGCCAGGTTCTTGTGTTTAGTAAAACAGTAAGGATTCTGGCATATTGGATTTTTGTGAGATTCGTATCACCTGACAATTTGGCCTTCTAGATATGTGACATAAAAATCATTTTTCTGGAACTGACATTCAGAAACTGCGTGAGTTTACAAAAATTTGGTAACTCTTAAAAAAAAATCTATCATGAGTCTGTAGAAGGTATTTGGTAGCATGTGTTGGCACAATAACTTGTTCTTAGGCTATTTTTCCTTGTATTTAATAGTTCAAGATTAAACTCTAAATTTATTTATCTAAATTTACCATGAAGAGAAAGTACAGTTTTGTGAACTAAAAACTGGAGGGTTAAAGACAGGATAAATAAATGTTTAAAGAAAAGGATTTTTTCTTAAGTAGAGCATTTCTGCTTGAATGAAATTTTAAATTTCTTGCTCAAATTTTGGACATAAACCGGGACAAGATTTCCTACATCCATAACCCTGAGATAAGTATCATATGAATCATCAAGTGTACTCCCTGAGTTACTCTGACTTACACTGTCCCAGCATGCATGTTTCAGGTTAGATTTTGGTATGTTTAACCAGTGTGAAAGGAAAGGAGATGGAGCAATGGTAGAGTGCTTAAATAATATATATGTTGAAAGCTGATTATTTTGCAACACATTTCAAAATGTTTTAGTACAGAGCCTCTGTAAACGGTAAATATCTCTAAGACATTCAAAGTGAATTAATTAATATGCAATCTTTCCAAAATACAGCTCCTATAAAGACCAAGGGGTCTATATGTTCTCTTTGTATATTCATCTTAGAAAAAAATACATGAGTTTAGAATTCATATTTGTAGAAGCAATAGCAATCAGTGTCACTTAATTGCAGGTATATATTGAAAATTATCTATTTGCTTTATGAGTGGTAGTTTCTCATTTTAACAGGAATTCTGAGAACACATGTTTTCTTTCCTGAATTGACTCCCTTGTATTTTGAACAATATTTATTAATAAAGTATACTGTATTCCTACTGAAGTTGAACAAATGAACATTGATCTTTGTAATCCCCTTCTTCCTAAAGCTTCTTAAGTACTTAAATATAAATTATTGTTATATTTTCATTACTTGCAAAGCAAACTTCCAATTGTTTTGAACTGTTTTGTCATAGAATATGTAAATGTGTGTACTGTTTAACAATTATTATTTCATGATATAAACTGCAGGGTAGATTTCAGCATGTTCTACTAGAAAATTACCATTTAAAAGTATAGAGGGTAGTCACATTTTATTATAAATGAGAGAAGCTTAATAATTCCATTATAGAAGTTGGAAACCATGATTAGTATGCAAATACCACTTGTCATGTGTAATTATAGTCATAACATAGCCATTTTGAGGGATAAAAACAGAGGATAAGTTAAATGCTGTTTTTTTTTTAATACTGATAATTTGAAAGCTATTTCTTAATCAGAGAAAGAAAGGAGCAGGCGTTGCTGAGGAAATATCTTCCTGGACGCCCACCAAGTCTTCCTAGGGTTACAGACATGGGCTGCTGACTACTTGTAATGCAGAAGTATTTAAAGGAGAGCAGGAAACCCCCTGCCCCAGGTCATTAGTCCATCTTGCTCATATGGAATTTCCATTTTGTACTGAATCGTTTTCTAGATGTCTGTTCAAGCCTCCATCAGTCACATCTGCTGTGTATTTTACCATCTTTTCTCCCTTCATAAGAAGCTTCTTATTTTCCTGTCTACAGCAGAATGCTAGAACTCTTCCTGAGGGTGGGTTATTCACAGCAGTTCTTGTTTTCTCCTTTATTATGTCATAGGACAATGGCTACATAGTTCCTTAGATACTAGCAGTAAGTTGAAGCATCTGTGAGTCAATCTTCGGCTAAACTTGAAGAAGGAATTGATTGTGGCTATGGAAGCTGTGGGAGCTTTGGGTAGCTTTTGATACTTGAGAAAGAATAGTTCTCTGCACTAAAGGAAATAGAGAAAAGACCTAATCCTTGGTTTTAATGTTAATAAAGTCTCTTCTCTGAGGGCAAGAACTGTATCTGTATCTGTTTACACTGCCCTATTCCTAGCTGTTACCACAATGGCTGGGTATATAGAAGACACCTCAGCACGGGTTCTTCCGTTCCCTTCTTTTGCCTTTACCTTCCCTATCATATCCTATGGTATGGTATGGTAGGGAATGGTACGGAATGGTATAGTATCATATCCTAGCCCATCCTCCTATCCTGTCCTATCCTACCCTACCTTATATGTGCAGACAGGCAAACTGATAGTCACCACAATATATTTCTTCCCTTCCTTGCATCAATTATAATGTATTTTAGTATTTATGTAAACAAAACTTATGAAACTCAGCCTTCTATAAGCAAAATTGTTGGGTAATATATTGACTAAGGTTTGAGGATCATTCTCTGGATTTTCTGCATTTTTTCCCCTAATAATAACCTGTGAGTTTCCTTTTTGTTGTACATTTTTATGTCCTTTATGGATCTGTTGAGTATTACCAAAAAATCAATTATATGTTTTTCAAGGAGGAAGAAGCTTAAGAGTAATTTCATCTATTTGTCATGTTAAAAATGAAAATGCTACCAGATAGAAAAGGTGAGGGATTTTTTTCATAGCATAAATAAATAATCAGTGAGATTTTAAATAATTAGTAGTCATTTTAACATTGGTCTTCTGGTAAAGTTTACACCTTCTTTCCTTTATTCCTCTATTCTTTCCTTCATTCCCTCTTTTTTTGCTCACTTTGCATTTAGCTCACTCTTCTTTTTCTCTTTGTTTAAGGTAGAAGCTTTGATTATTGATTTGAGATCTTCCTACTTTTCTAATGTAGGCTTTTAAAGCTATAAATTTGCCTTTGAGTACTGCTTTCACTGCATCCCATAAATTTTGCTATGGTGTGCTTTTGCTTCCATTTAATTAAAATATTTTCTAATTTCTTTTGTGATTTCATCTTTGACCCTTGGGATATATAGAAATGTTAACACTTTCAAATATTTAGGGATTTCCAAAATCTATTTTTCTTTTTATTTCTAATTTAATTCTGTTTTGGTTAGGCAACACAATTTATATGATTTTTCATCCTTTTATATTTACTAAGATTTGTTTTTTGATCTCACATTAAGCCTATTTGGGGATGGGAGAGAGACAGGAAAATTCCCAAGCAAAATGACATAGGACCCCCATTGTTCTTACCAGAAGTTCAGTAGTTTTTCTTGATAAACATTTCCTAATTTGTTAAATGACTGGCTAATTTCTATAGTCCTGAAACAGTTGTTTTTGGCAATTTTGTCCAGTTTTATCATTGATTTTTGTGGAGACCATTTGCCAGCCTACTCATTTAGCCGTTCTCAAAGTTCCACCCCCAGATACTTTATATAATGGAGTACCCTTTCTTGGGGCCATTGGCTAACAGGTAGAAAATATGGGTGCATTTAGGACTAAACTTTGTACTACTGATTTAAAGTTTACCAAGCATATAGAGATGAGTCTGTGCAAAAACAGTTGAGCCTAATTTTTTCGGAGGATGAGACTTCAGCACAGTGTTTAAAACTTTGAACAAGTGTACAGGGGATCACATTAGCTGACAAGCCACTCTGTTCAGAATAATCTTGTCTGAGGTGCCAGTCAGCAACCCAAGCTCGCTGTTATGGAATTCTATTTGGAGTAGGGTGGTGTCAAAAAGTGGTGTTTGTAATACAAAAATTGTATTCATCCTTTATAAATTCTTGAAAACCAGACTCTGTGAAAAATAAAACAGTGCTTTTGTGGATTATTGAGCAGAAAATCATCATGAGAAAAATGAAGTCTTAGGTTGTTCTGGGAACCATTTGCGAGGCAGATTTGAGAGGGGCTTGAATGGTCTTCTGAGAGGTACTATTGAGGTGTGTAGACCAGTGAGACAAGATTAGTGGCAGGTGGTTGAACGAAGTACAAATTGTCTTGGACTTTTGCCTTTAAAGTATTTATGTAATAACCATGGTAATATTCGTGAATTATAGCTTTCTAATCTGTAAAATAGGGTGAAAATTTATTTTCTGTCTATTTTACACAGTGATGAGGATTATGATATTGGAAATAGAGATGAAAAAACAATCTGAACACTATCTAGAGAGAGGTGGCACAAGATGATGCTTATCAATAAGAAACCAAAGTAGAAGATATTTGAAAATCACCCATAGACTAGTCGGGTGAGACCTGAAGGGGGTAGTTGGAAAAAGGATTTGACCATCATAAGTAAAAAGATAACATTTGAAGGCCTAGTTGTGGAGGTGGACTGTCGTAAATGTGATAATTATGTCTATTTTCAGATCATTGATTCACATTTTCCTATTTAACATCCAAAAAAATTGAAATGATGGATATGAAAGCCATATACTTCTTTTTACAAATCATAAAATTATATTAGTAATACCTAATATGTAACTGTCTAGTTCTAAGAATGATTTAAGGATTAACTCTTGTAGACAAAAAGATACTCCATCATAAAAATTTCTCTAACTCGTTGTATTGTTTTTTAAGTCTCAATTACACTGACCTTTTTAAAAAATATCACTGTCATCTTAGGCTGAAAGCCATCTAATTAACTGACAACACAATAGTCTTTTAAAAACATGTTTGTTCATGTCACTTCTTCATTGACTCATGAACCCTGACTGGATAGTTCAGTAGGTGATGCCACATAATATTGGAATTAATGTCACTTGGACTGAAAAAATAACATATTTTCCATCTTAATTCCACATTAATTTATAATGGGATTCCTGGAATCTTATTTTAGTACCAAAATGTGAAAGTGTCTTCTAACAGTAATCAGTGTCATGAAATTCTGAGATGATCATTTTCTAAAATATTGATTTTGGGAAGTTTATTTTCTGTCTTTTGTTATAAACATCCCGGTAAGAAACAAAGGCAGTAATAATCAGTATGTTATTTGAAAGGCTTGAGGATGTAGAGTCTGAATTTGGCTTTTTTGCCTTCAAATTCTGGCCTTGCCACTAATATCCATACCAACCTCAGAGAATTGTTTTAAAGGTTAAATGTGAATTTAACTTGCCAAAAAAGTAAGAATTTTACATATAAATAGAAAATGTATGTAAATTATTTATACATATATCTATTACACATAGTAATATAGTAATATATTTTATAAATATGTAAAAATGTGTGTATGTATATGTATATGTATAGACACAGACTCACATTTTCTGTGTGTGTGTTTGTGTGTGTGTATGTGTATGTATCTATCTCTTTCTTTCACTTACTGCTCCACAACTGGAATGCAGAGGTTAGCTCTGTGAGTGCTATTTTCATCTGTTCAGTTCACTCCTGAATTCATACCAACTAGAGCAGTGCCTGGCATTGAGTAAATATTTGATGAATCAATGAAGTTTCTCTACTTTTTAAACTTTCCATTTTAGGATTAGAAAATGTACCTTGAACATTCATATTTATCATGTATTCCAGTTTTTTTGTAATTGATGAATTGAATGTCATTTTTATTTTATTTTGCATTTTGGAGATCTTATATATGTGATTGCTTTACAAAGTTTGATTTAAAGCAAAAATTAATTTAACTTTTAATTTTTAATTAAAGCAATCTAGTACTCAAACTCAAAACAATTCCATCTAATTCTCAAGACCTAGAGTGAGTTGCAATAATTTCTGGTGCATTGCTTTTTATGTCGCTTTCGAACGATATGGAACTATAAAGTAATGAAGCTATGAACATATATTTGCCGGCATTTATTTTTATCCAAAATAAATTACACTTTTTGTCTTTCCTTAGTGCTTTGCTCCTAAATAATCACATTGCTCAAAACAATATTTCTAGTAGCTCCTTTTAAAAGATCCCTTTTAGATCAAGTTTCTTAATTACAAAAGAAATTCAGTCGTATTACTTTTTACTGATAGAACAGTATCATTTGATATAATACCTTTTCCTGCCCTTCTTGCAGTTTTCTTTTCTATTTTCTTCACCCTCCTGCTCGCCTTTTTCTTTCTGGTGTTTTCCCTCACACCTGGTTGCCTTCTCATTAGCAGGCTAAGTGGCTCTATGTAAGCCTGTCCTTGGTTGGAGCTGTCTGCTGACTCTCAAGTGTCATAAGTGGCTGTAATTGAGAAAGGCATTGAGATGTTGAATAGCCAAAGTGTAAATGGAAGACTCTCTGTCCTTACCTATAAAAAGAAAAAGAATCTATAAAGGTAGCTATACAAAGAAATTGAAAGACACATATAATAGTGTACTTTTGTTTTTGGTCTCAATTTATGTGCAGCCAATACAGACAGTTTCCAATAAACAAGTTTGTGTGTGTGTGTGTGTGTGTGTGTGTGTGTGTGTGTGTGTTTAATTAAGAAATGGAAATGATTTGTTTACCCAGTCAGCATTTCATGGCGCGGTTAGGTGTTTGGTTCCTTAGAGAGGGGTGATACAGATTGAAGAAGCCACAGTCTCTGTTCTCTAGCAATTCATATTGTAGTGTAGCTTTCAACAAAATAGAGAAATGTACAAAGAGGTATAGGAGTGTCAGGGAAGATAAGATTGGTTTTATCTGTGGTGGAGTGGGTTTGGTAGTATCAGGGAGAACTTTGTGAAATTAGTCATGCTTGGATGTCAGAATGTATTTCCCAGATGGGAGGGAAAAAAATAAAAGATCTTAAAGGTGATGGTATTGTAGGTAAACCTGTAGAGAACAACCCATGATTGTTTAGATATGTAGAACATTTGAAGATGAGATACGCCAGTTCTTCAAAAACCAGGGAAAAAAGTGACAGCCAATAATTATTGAGAGAGCATGCTAGAATGATCATCCAGTGAAATTTAAGCAGTTGATTAAAAATTTGTTTTTCCTGCCCAAGCAGTCAAGTGTGGCATTCAAGTATGAACTTGAATTGTTCTTGTGGTACAAAAACCTCACTAATTGGGCAAATAGAAGTGGACACTCACTCCAAAAGATACAGTGAGTTTCATTGCTTTAATATTTTTTAAGTTCCTGAACAAAATATAACGCTTTTATTAGTGAATAGCTTTCACTAATTTGTTTTCATTTTATATCATAGTATATCTTATTTTAATCAATAGTGATTTGGTAAAGTAGAGCTCAACTTTAATTTTATGCTATTGACTTTCTGCCCTGTATCTCATTCTTTATCCATTTGGGGGCAAAATTCTAGAATAGATAATGGATTTTGTCACTGTTTAGCATGTATGTAGTTACTTAACCTCCTGATTGCATACTAACACTAATAGCATAAATAAATACTAAATATAATAATAATTAACTAATACAAAGAGCTTTGTGTAAAGCTCTTTGTGTAGTCACAAACTAGTAACTAAAACTAAAGAGCTTTGTGTAAAGCTCTTTAAATAGACATACTAGAACATTCAAAAATTGATATGGCCAGTTGCAAAACCATTAGAAAATATTAAATATCTAAAGAAAATACTTTGAACGATAATACTATTTTCTGGGTGTAAAAAGTCTGTTTTATTATTTGTTTAATAAAATTAAAAAATTATGGTAATTTAAAGAAAATAAAAACTCAAATGCCTCTATAAATCTTTCATTTAAATAAACTTACATTTCTGTTTATTTCTTTCTATTTTTTAAATCCAAATTTATTTAGATTATTGTGAATAAATAGATTACAGTATTTGTGTCTGTATACATAAATAAGGGTGTGTGTATGTATATGTGTATGATTAGATGTGCTAAGGTGCTTCTCAATTTGTTTTCTATGCCTGTTACCTAATGGCAAAAGTGGTAAGACTAATCAATCCCAGTATCTTAGCTTGAAGAGCCTGTGGCAAGAAATAGGGACATTTCTTGGAAATAGCAAAATTTATATTAAAAACTGTTATAGTCTTTTAATTAGGAAAAGAAATCTGTAGCTACCAAATCCATCAATTTTCCCAGTAAACATTATAATAAATTAGATAGTCTAGGAAGATGTGTCATCTGCATCCTAAATTTCCTCTACATACCATAGTTCTGCTGTGAGACCTCAGGCATTGTGGGAAATAATAGACTTGACAACCAACAGGAAATATTCAAAGCATTCTACAACTGTAACCATAAAACAGAATATTTAATTTTTCTCATAATCAAATTAAATATTTTTTTCTTTTTTTTCAGAAATGTTTAATTTGGTAAATTGGAGGAAAAAAACATGGATTTTTAGCAATTGAAGAGCAAATTAAGGTAATTAGTAGATTATTATTGCCAACCATATAATTTCAAAATTTATTTAAAAATATTTACATTCAAGTTAATATATTATTTTGAGTCTTTATCATATTGAAACATCAGCATATTTGTAATGTGTTACTAAAATGGAATTTTACATATTTTTGGAAAATAAATTGCCATTTCTTGTTATACATTTTCCAAAAATCATATTTCTTGTGAACAAATTATAAGTGATCTAATTAAAAATATTGCTGTTGTGAGGAAATATACTCCAGTTATATGAAAAATAAATGAGCTAAAAATAAGAGTTTTAGTAGGTCTTCACCTTTTCAGAAAGGCACGTATGTTTTATTACTTTCTTAACTAATGTAGAATAACCATATTGAGTTTTTTTCAGTTGCTACATGTACACTAACACAATGTGTTAAAGTCATTTTTCTTTAATTCATTCAGTTTTCAATTACATAATTCATAATGTTGAATATAAATATTAGGTAATAAAATATATTCTTTTGGTAGCAACACGATGTTTAATATTAAGCAAATTACTTTAAAAATTATGTTATTTATCAGAAATATGTTTATGAAGTCCAGCATTTCAAGCAGTGTAACTTTAAGTCAATATCCATATTTACATCTTCCCCAGAAAATCATAGAAGGCAAAACAGGCCCACATATTAATCAATCAACAGTTCAATGAGAATTTCCTCTTTTCTTGAAGTTACTGAAAGTAATTCCTGTAAAGTTACTTTGTAAAGTTTAGCATGTACATTATTATAAATACAGAGCCTAATATTTGAAATATCAACTTTCTTATTGGTCTTCATATTAAAATGATTTAAGTTCATTTCATTTTGAATTATTGACATAATTGATATGTACTTTAATTGCTATCATCTATTTTCAAATATTCCGTACTTTTTTCTGAGCTTTAGGAGTAAAGAGTGACTTAAAACTATAAAAATATTGCACTTGCCTTTCTGTGCACTACGTTTTCCAGTTGATGTTTTGTCTTTTAAATATTTTTGCTTAATTTCTTTGTCATTGTTTTCTTCCCCCTATTTATTTCTACATGCAAGCAATGTTGTTCCTGTTTTACAGAAGAGATATGATTGAATCTCTTTCATTTGGAATTTCTTGTCAGTGTTTTCTTCTTCACACTCAGTCACATTTGCAAACAATTAATATTATTTCCTTCTTTCAGAATAGATGTGATTGACTCTTTCATTTATATTTATTAGCTTATTTATATATTATAAAATATACTACTATATTACTATGTGTAATAGATATATGTATAAATAATTTACATACATTTTCTATTTATATGTAAAATTCTTACTTTTTTGGCAAGTTAAATTCCTCAAATCCACTGGTAATATTTATATTCATTTCTATAATTACTACATTGGTTTCTTCAATATAAAATTAACCCTTCTAGATATATTAACCATGCAAATAACATAGGCAAAATCTTTTTATTTAACGGAAGTTTAAAAACTCAACTGAATCTTTCTCTTTTCTACTTTTTTTTAATCAGCACTCCAGTAGAAGCTAATAAACTCTCAGCCCTAAAGAAATGAAGTAACGATTCATGTTACAACAAGGGTGAAACTTGCAAACATTATACTAACTGAAAAAGACACACACAAAAGGCCAAACATATGATTCTATTTATATGGTAGACCCTCAGTGATAGTATGTTAGTGGTTGCCAGAGGGTGGGGCAAGAGTGGAATGAAAAGTAACTGCTAACGGATACAAGGTTTCCTTTTGGGGAAATAAAAATATTCTGAAAGTAGAGAGCAGTGATAGCTGCACAACTTAGTGAATATAGTTTAAAAAACAGTGAATTGTATACTTTGAAATGGTAAATTTATGGTATATGAATTATATCTCAATTAAAATATTAGAAAACAAACCTGCCAAACATTTAACGGGGCAACAATCCCTATGATTTCTCCATAAACTTCATATTTGGGACCTGTGGCAGTCATTAAATTAAACATTATTTAGCCGTAATGCTTTCTGATTTTTCATAAAGAAAGTAAATATGAGGAGATGTTCTGAAATTTTATTCCAACATCCCCCTGAATACTTTTGAACACTCCGGGGGCCTCTAGAATAGAAAATTAAGCTTTTGTAAGGCAAACATGATACTTCACAGACTGTTCCAAGCCAACTTCGCCTGACTCCTCTCCTAACATTGTCTCACCACATATGTAATCCTGCAGCCACAGTGGAAACAGCAATCCTTCAATGGCCACCCCTTGCTCTTTCACAAACTAGTGTGTGGGCCTGGAATGTATAACCTCACCTTCCCTGTCACAACAACTCCTCCGTGAATTTCACAGCTTCTCTGAAGGTTTCAGCGCCTCCAGCAGAAGTGAACTGCTCCCACCTTTCTTTCTTCAGCAGTCTGTCAGGAACTCTCAAAATGTGCACAATAGTATCTGCAGTACTTCATCTTTCTCACTAGTTTTTAATATGTCCACAGCAAACATATCTAAGTTTGTTTGGATTAATTTTTGTAAAAAGGATGATTGCCTGAGCATGTTTTGTATATTGATTTATTTCACCAACATTAAGTACCAAATAAACTATTATATATTCAACTTTGTAAAAGAATGGCTGCCAAATTTAGTTGTTTTATAAATATGTAAAAATGTGTGTATGTATATGCATATGTATAGACACAGACTCACATTTTCTGTGTGTGTGTTTGTGTGTGTGTATGTGTATGTATCTATCTCTTTCTTTCACTTACTGCTCCACAACTGGAATGCAGAGGTTAGCTCTGTGAGTGCTATTTTCATCTGTTCAGTTTACTCCTGAATTCATACCAACTGGGATTTTGATGGTGGTGGTTGTTTGAAAGGGTATTTTACTGTACTCGTGTTGCATGTATTTGGTTAAGTGTATTTATGGAATTACTATCATTTTTAACTAAATGAGTCCTCACATCTAGAAAATCGCTTTTATGTAGCCCTAACGTCAAAATTGGAAAAATGAAGATTATTTTACTAATACATGACCAAGGCAACATTAAGAAAATGGCAGCTGATATTTCCCCTAATTCTATTATAGGTTATTTTTCAGTTTCATTATATAACATAAACACTACTCAGATTTATTAAGGAGCTAGCCAAAAACTTAAAATAATCAAGAAGACTATGAAATATGGATTTGACTCTTAAATTCTAAGTGATTAAACTTGTCCTAAGAATATATTTTGTTTTGAGGTATAAGTTAATGATAGTACACAGCAAAATAAATAGTAAGATTTGTAATAAATTAACATCTAGAACATACATGTAAAACCTCTGGTTTTGTTCAGCAGGGTTTATACTCATGGTCAATCTAGCAATTTACAAATTTTTACTAAACTTTGTGATAAATCTTTAGAAGCCTTATTGGAGATTTCTTGCAGGGAAGGAATAAAGTCATTAGAGAAAGTGTAGCTCTTTCTGCTGTGGTAAAAATGGCTGAAATCACATGAGAAAAATATGGCAACAAATAAAAATGTATTACTTTATCAGCAAATATTTTTAGAAGATGACATAGAAAACACTGCCTTAATCAGAAAAAATAAGTATTAGAATGGATTATATAATATGAGAAATTCAGTCTTCATTTGGACAAAATGTATGTATTTCCAATATGTGTCAATTTATATTTGCTAGATTGTATTTTTTAAAGGCTGGTTTATTGATATCTATTTTATATATAATGAATTCAGTCCGTGCAACATATGAATGTGTTTTGACAAGCACATAAAGTTGTGAAAATATCACCAAAATCAAGATCTAGAACGTATATAGGGGGACCTGCCCCAATAATCACGTAGGTTCTTTTCTATTTTTCCTAAGCGTTGGCCGCCTTGAGAAATAAAGGGACAGAGTACAAAAGAGAGAAATTCTAAAGCTGGGCATCTGGGGGAGACATCACACGTTGGTAGGACCCGTGATACCCTACAAGCCACAAAAACCAGCAAGTTTTTATTAGGGATTTTCAAAAGGGAAGGGAGTGTGCGAAGAGGTGTGGGTGACAGACATCAAGTACTTAACAGGGTAATAGAATATCACAAGGCAAGTGGAGGCAGGGCAAGATCACAGGACCACAGGACCGAGGTGAAGTTAAAATTGCTAATGAAGTTTTGGGCACCATTGTCATTGATAACATCTTATCAGGAGACGAGGTTTTGAGATCAACCGGTCTGACTAAAATTTATTAAGTGGGAATTTCCTCTTCATAATAAACCTGGGATCACTATGGGAGACTGGAGTTTATTTCATCTCTGCAGCCTCGACCATAAGAGACGACCACGCCCCAGGGGGACCAGTTTAGAGACCCACCCCCAGGTGCACATTCTCTTTCTCAGGGATGTTCCATGCTGAGAAAAAGAATTCAGCGATATTTCTCCCATTTGCTTTTGAAAGAGAAATACAGCTCTGTTCCGCCTGGCTCACCGGTGGTCAGAGTTTAAGTTATCTCTCTTATTCCCTGAGCAATTGCTGTTATCCTGTTCTTTTTTCAAAGTGCCCAGATTTCATATTGTTTAAACACACATGCTGTACAATTTGTGCAGTTAATGCAATTATTACAGGGTTCTGAGGCAATATACATCCTCCTCAGCTGACAGGATTAAGAGATTAAAGTAAAGACAGGCATAGGAAATCACAAGGGTATTGATTGGGGAAGTGGTAAGTGTCCATGAAATCTTCACAACTTATGTTTAGAGATTGCAGTAAAGACAGGCATAAGAAATTATGAAAGTATTAATTTGGGGAACTAACAAATGTCCATAAAATCTTCACAATCCATGTTCTTCTGCCATGGTTTCAGCGGGTCCCTCCATTTGGGGTCCCTGACTTCCCACAACAAACGTATCCATCATCATCCACCCCTCTCCCACTATCAGCTCTGGGGGCCTCTGGACTCCATTTTAATAATAAAATACACAAAACAACTGAGATAAAGAGCTCAAATTTTGAAGACAGAGTCAATAGAGGACCTTGGGCATGGTATCTATCCTCTCTTTGCTTCACTTTCCTCACCTGCATAAGTGGGTTAACAATATGATCTACCATACAGCATTTAGAATAGAACAATGCCTATCTTAAGGACTACGTAAGTGTTTGTAAAATACACTACAGTTTTTTGAGCCTCAAAAGGAAAGATGTGCTGGAGAAGGTCTATTTTCCACAGGAAATGACCTCTTTCAGTGTATTTAAACACACAGGGTGAAACCAAAGTTTTCAAAATAAGAAATCCTATGCAGTAACATCATTCTCACAGAAGTTTGGGTTAATGGCTCCATTCTTACAGTTCTTTGGGCACAAATTATTGGAGTAGTTCTTTAATCCTCTATCTCACACATCCATCAGCATATTCTGTCTGACCACTTCTAACACCTCTTAGGCTACTACCTTTGTCCAAATCACAGTCCTCTTCTGTGTGGATAATTACATCACCCTCCTGTTTTCCTTGCTCCACTGTTGTCACAGACAGCAAATGGAGACCTGTTCCATCTTCAACCTTCTCTGCTCTCCAGCTGCCCTGGCTTCATTGCTGCGTGTGGAACACACTAGGCCACTCTACCTAAGAGTGTGGGCCTTTCTACCTATCAGTCTTCCCAGTTATTCATGTGGCTTGTTTCCTAGACTTCAGGTATTCTCTTCTCATGGCAGCCTTCCCTGCACATTCCCATTTAAAATGGAAACTGTTTGGGAGTAGCCTCTACCCCCATCTCCTGCCTTATTTTTTCTCCAGAGCATACATTACCACATTACACAAAATTTGTTTATTGCCTCCTTCCATTATTTTATGTATTCTAAATATTTCCTCTTTATAGCATCCTTTTAATTTCTGTTTTTATGTGTCTTTTATATTGCACCATTGGCTTTGCTCATGGATTTGTATATTAGAAAGATAACTCTGGAAGCAGCATGCATGATCATGTGACTGGAGGCAGGTGGATTACCCAGGAAATATTTGCAATAACTCAGGTGAGGTATGAGAAAGATCCAGTTTAACACAACAACAATGGGGATTGAGTGGGAGTAACACATTTAAGATTATTTAGAAGGCAGTTGATAGGTCTTAGTGACTGATTGCATTTGAGTAGTGAGAGAAAAGTTGAAATCAGGAATGAGTCGCAGGTTTGAAAGTGGCAACCCTGTTTGTGATGGGGCCATTTATTGAGCAGTGTAGGGAGCAGAATTCTTTGCTTATTTGCTTTTATACACTTTTTATACAGTAACGATGTAATGTCTTCACAGAAATAGTAATGTCTGTTTTTTTACAGAAATAATATCCAGAGCCAGATGTTAATTTTCATCTCTAGGTAGGAGTGATTTCTATAAATTTACACTTTAAACTGAAGGTCATTAATTGTGTCGCTTTTTTACCCCTTTTTTTTATAGAAAATTTAAAAAGAAGTTTTGGTTTGCTATGAGATTATGTTTTCTAATTAATTTCAAAACCACAGTCAGAATGTGTGGGATGTAAAAACTGGCTATGGGCAGGGTAAAAGCACATTAATTATTCAGACAGTCATTCCTGCTTATTCCTCTCTTGGAGATATCGTGGCTGTCAGAATCTGTCAGCTGTATATAGTTAGTGCCCTTCAGAATTTACATGCATAAATGGTGACCTTTAGAAATCTACATAAAGATAAGTCTGGCATTCGAATGATAGCTGCCAGTCAGTTGAGCAAAGCAAAAGTTGTCAGCTACTACTTAATCCACAGAGCAGGCTGTGAAGCCATGAACAGCAAATGGAGTGTATACAAAACAACAATAATACTTTTTTTCCCTCCAAAACAAAAATAAAATTCATTTTTAACAGAATTTTACAAAGGTTATAACCAATTATTTGGATCAGTATTTTTGGTGTGTATAGCTTTTCTCACTAAATCTGTTAAAACTTATGTTAAATTTTAAAATAATGACTAATTTTAAAATTTAGTTATTTTAAAATAAATGTTTATTACTAGATTTTTATGTTACAAAGTGAGTGCATACTCATTTTTCTGTTAACTCTCTATTTTTTCTTATTTTTATGGCTAAACCCTGAGCTAGCAGTAGCCCAGTCAAAATCTTGTGTTCTGATCCTTGTCTTGACCAGACCTTAGTTATCTTAAAGTGTCCACAGCTGTGTCTAATCCACGGCATTGAAAAAATATTATGATGGTCCAAAAAAGGCTGCTTATTTCTGCCTGAATCAAGGATGCTACGTTGAATAGAATGAGGTCTGTTCTGAGCTATAAATATTTATAGATCGGTGTTTTGTGTCATAGCTAAACAGTGCATTATTAGCTATTGACATTTTGTTTTCTTGCAGGAGGGGGATTTGTTCATTGTTCTCTTTCAGTTGGCAATATACATTTAAATTTTTTGAGAACATACATTTAAAATTAGTTATTGTAAATATTTGATGAATTAACAAATAGATACACCCATGCAACCACAACTGTTGCCTTTCCATCTGTATTTATGCTTGTAGTCTTTTTGTTTGTATGCTTTGTTTTCTGTAGAAAATTCTATGAAATGGAAAACCTGTAGAGAATTGTGTAATTTTTACCACAATTAGGATACAAAACAGTTTTATCACCTAAAAATTCCCTAGTGCTGCTTCTGTGTAGTCAAACTCTGCCTCTGCCCCTAACTCCCCGGCAGCCACTGGTCTGTTCTCCATTCCTATGTATCGTACAATGTGTAGCCTTTTGTGATTGACTTCTTTTTCTCAGCATAATGCCTTTGAGGTTCATCCCTGTTGTTGAGTGCCCCAATAATTCATTCCTTTTTAAATTGCTGATTAATATTTTATTGTATAGATGTATCTCAGTTCATTTATCTACCTATTGAAAAACACTTGAGTTATTTCTAATTTGTAATGATAATAAAGATTGTGTTAGTTCATTGGTACGCCTATAAAATACTGCTAGTACAAGGCAATTTATAAACAGAAAAGGGTTTATTGTGGCTCATAGTTCTCCAGGCTGCACAGGAAGCATGGCCCCGGCATCTGTTCCTGCTGGGGGCCTCAGGGAATTTACTGTCATGGCAGAAGGCAAAGAGGGCCCAGTGTAGCTCATGGCCAGAGAGAAAGCAAGAGACACAGGTGGGGGTGGTGCCACACTCTTTTAAAAAAACAGATCTCACGTGAACTCAGAGTGAGAACTCACTCCTTACCTCAAGAAGGGTACCAAGCCATTCATGAGGGATTCACCTCCATGACCCAATCACCTCATACCAGGCTACACCTCTGGCATTAGGGATTACATTTCAACATGATGTTTGGAGGGGACAAACATCCAAACCACATCAAAGTTGTTATGAACATTCATTTGCAATGTGTGTGAGTCTGCATGTATGTGCGTAAGTTTTCATCACTCTAGGTTAAATACCCAAGTGTGGGATTGCTGGTCATATAGTAAGTCTATCTATTGATTTTTTTTTTATTTCTAAGTTTCATTTCTATTACCTGTTTTGTTCCAGTTTCTATTTATTTCTATTTATGGTGCCATTTTTATTAAATTGATGGTATGCAGAAAGTTTTATCTTCTTCAAACACTGGATTTTGTTAATTTTTTTAACACTAGGATGACTATGGCAAGACCTGCTTTTATTGCTGTTTAGATTTAGGTAAGAAAATTATCCAAGTGAAAAATGCTACTTTTTTTTTTTTTTTTTTTTTTGAGATGGAGTCTGGCTCTGTCACCCAGGCTGGAGTGCAGTGGCGCGAGCTCGCCTCACTGCAAGCTCCGCCTCCCAGGTTCATGCCATTCTCCTGCCTCAGCCTCCCGAGTAGCTGGGACTGCAGGCGCCTGCCACCACGACCGGCTAATTTTTTTTTTTTTTTTGTATTTTTAGTAGAGATGGGGTTTTGCCGTGTTAGCCAGGATGGTCTCGGTTTCCTGACCTCATGATCCACCCGCCTGGGCCTCCCAAAGTGCTGGGATTACAGGCGTGAGCCCCCCTGCCCGGCCAAAATGCTACTTTTATGATATTTTCCTTCCATGATATTTTTGTCTTTTCTTTATGAGTTTTGTCTTGTTTCCTATCGTAGATGATGCCAAAACAATTGACCATAGAAATAAGGTTTAACTGTTTTCGGTACTGGATGGATATTCAGCTGTTTTATTCTAATTAAAGCTCACGTCAAGTGCCCTTCAGAATTTACACGCATAAATGGTTTTCTTTTTACATAGAAAAGAGTCTCAGGCGCCGGGTGCGGTGGCTCACGCCTGTAATCCCAGCACTTTGGGAGGCAGAGGGAAGGCAGATCACGAGGTCAGGAGATCGAGACCATCCTGGCCAACATGGTGAAACCCCATCTCTACTAAGAATACAAAAACTAGCTGGGCATGGTGGCTTGTGCCTGTAGTCCCAGCTACTTCGTAGGCTGAGGCAGGAGAATCGCTTGAACCCGGTAAGCAGAGGTTGCAGTGAGCCCAGATTGCGCCACTGCGCTCCAGCCTGGTGACAGAGCGAGACTCCATCTCAAAAAAAAAAAAAAAAAAAAAAGAAAAAGGAAAATAAAGAAAGAGAGAAAAGAGTCTCATGAGAAAATATTTACAAATATATTCTAACAAATTTGGTCATCTAGTATACAAAACCTCTCAGATTAAATACACCAAATTATGAAACGATGGAAATACTAACAACAAAACATGAATCTGGCATTGGATATTGGGAATATGAACCAAATAAACACTAAAAATCATCATAAAATTATTAAATATAGCTGGCTACATCTCTTATATGTCACAGCAAAGTTTCTCTATCTATCTAAGAGCCGCTGAGTTATACACAATTTTCGAATGTGGTTCCTATTAGGAAGAACCCTGGATAAGGTTCTCTTCATTCTAACCCTGGTTTTGCCATTAACTTGCTCTGAGACCCAGGACACACCACACAGTCTCCCTGGATTGTAGTATTCTCATTTGTCCAATTAGCAAGAACAGCACTAGATTATCCATAAATGACCTTCTTGATCTAAAAAAATATGATGTTGCAATTCTGTGATGGTCTTGGGTCATTGAGAAGAAAAAGTTAGTTGGCCTCTGTGTTTAGTATACTCTGTCAGAAGTCAATGATATGCACATTTTTAAAGACCTTAAAAAAATACTTAAAGAAAAACAGTTTTGGTGCCTGACAGAAATCCACTAAGTAATCCAGAAGCTTAAATATTATAGAATCATTAATTTTTGTAATGTTTTTCAAAATTTTAATATTAAAAAACTTTTAGATGTAATTTAGATTAAGCAAATACAAGAGTAAATGTAAACTCATTTCCTCATTTTTTTAGTATAATGAGATTTTATTGAGAATTACATTTTTCAATTTTTTTCAGAATTTAAAATGTCAATAATAATTTAGAGCCTTTACTTAATTATGAAACACAGGCTTTATTATAAATTATCATTTTTTTCAGGGTGAATATACATTTTTAAAAGTTTCAAGCTTATATACTTACAAGAAAAGGAGACATTAAAAATATTACTTTTACTTCTATTGGTGTAATGCAGAACATTAAGTACCATCTTTCAAATGCTAATTTGAAATGCTAATGAATATCATCATAACTCTTGAAGAGGAATGAAGAATAAAATATGTCAATTTTAATTTACTTTAAAATAAATCATTTATTTAGTACATATTGTATTAGTGTCTGGTGTGCATAAGACCTCGGCTGTGTTGTGGAGTAATAATGTCATACCATCTGGAGAAAATTGGAAGTCTAGTTGGGGCTACAGAAACATGTACTGCTAGCTGTATGATAATATGACAAGTACTCTAATAGGAACATGAGGAATAGAGAGTAATTAATTCTTAACAAAATTCTTTGTGAAAACTTTGCAGAATTTATAGCATATAAAAAGGGTCTTATTAGTGGAGAACAGAGAATGGTCATTCTAAGAGTACGGTCATGGTAAGACCATATTATTTATTATAGAATAATGAATAATCTCTTTTGGAGAGAATATAATTTTCCTGAGTGATAGAGTATTGGATAAAGAAGCAAACAAGAGGAAATTTAAGGACATATTAGGAAAAATCTTTTTATATTATTATGTGTTTAGTAGGGACCTAAGTATACATATCATATTGTTCTCTTAAAGAATAAGATCTCTAAAGAGTGTAAGACATACATTAAAGATGGGATAAAATGATCAGATAAAAATCTGAGATGGATGGCTGGATCGGATAGCTACAGTATTCTTTGAACTGTTCCCAAAATGCAGTGCCCTGAGCACTGATGAAAAGTTCAAATGACAAACTCCCCTTACTGAACTTTTACACAAACCATTGAAATATATACATTTAGAATTTATTTGGCCCAGGAATACCACACTTTTTCTTCTTTAAAACATTACAAATTTACACTTAAATATAAAAAAAAATTACGTATCTTCCCTATCCATCCAATATACAATACATGTAGTTGTTTTCCCTTGATTTCTAAAATGTGTTTGTGGAAGAGAATTTAAGTGCTTTAAAAAAAGAAATAAAGAAATTGGATTGCTTGGTTTGGCTTACTGCTGCCTTGAATGTTCTGAGAACAATAATGCAATTAGCTAAAATGTTTATTCACAAAATTTAATTCCTGGGGAGTATATTCTCAAATTGCCTCTTACAAGTGTAATGGAAGCAAGCAGTTGTTTGTTGGCTTTGCTGCCAAAATTCTGAATGGCTAGATTTTTATAAAACTTGGGTATAATGTATGTATAATCTTGTAAACTCTCCATTTTAAAACGAAGAAACTAAATTTATGAAGAAACTAAATAATGAAGAAACTAAATTTTACACATACTTTTGTTAATTGTGTTCTCAGCCACAAATGAAGAAATCTTCAGTGTTATTAATTCCACAAATAAAAATTTTAATAGATTACGTTTCATTTCAATTTAATTTCATACCTGATTAAATATGCTGAATTAATAGTATTCTTGGATTGTCAGTTCCGGGACAATCTAGTGATAAGGTGGTTGAAAATATAAGTGTGGTATTTATTCTAGACAAAGTATAAATATCCAAGAAAAATGAATGCTTCTTCTCATTACACCAGTATCAGTCAGTATTGCAGCAGTAATTCCCTATGATAACACCTTTGAAAAGAATTGCTAATAGGACAAGGACAGAGGAAATGTATTATAAAAACCTTTGCTGTATATATGCTTATATGGCTTGTGAAAGGCACATTGTGCTAATGCTAATTGATAAACAAAGAATAATGAATTAATGGAGTCTTCACCAAACTAACCAGGGTGTTTTGTTGTTATGAGACCATAATTTATTCACAAAACTTATACAGATAATTTCTATTAACTTTGCTTTACTGTATTATGTTATTTCAGGTGCTTTCTCAGCTGGCTTATTTTCTAGCTGCAGTTAAAACATACTCACTATTATATGTTAATTTTACATGACAAATATAATAAAAACATGAAGGTTTTAATAGGTAATGACCTATTCTGAATTTGTTCAGTAAAATATAACAAATTAAAGCTTTCATTGAAAAAAATAGCCAATTATAACCCATTTGAAAGAGACCAGAAAATGATAATATATCAGAAAATGATAAGATATCTGAAAATGTTTTAACTGGCATGGACTTCAATAAAATACAAGGGAACAAATTTAATATAAAACAATTTGGAAAATTTTGATATGGAGGGGAATAGCTGAACTGTTAATGTAGAAGGAGGAACGCACAGATTTGTTATCCCACCTGTTGAGAGCGCATTGTGCTAATGCTAATTGACAAACAAGGAATAATGAATGAATGGAGTCTCCACCAAACTAACCAGGTTGTTTTGTTGTTATGAGACCATAAGTTGGGAAAACCACATCTGAATTGAGATCATATTCAAATTGCGTTTACTATAGCCTGTTTTAGCTAAGGAGGGAAAGGATTTATTTGTAAAGTGCTACCTACAGTGTGCTTTTCACCCAAATGCTTGACAGATTTCCCGTACATACATGTCATCTAGTACAACATCCTTTTAGCTTTAGATGTAGCAGAAAGTGAACTTTTAACAAAGTTTAAAATTAATGAAAAACCATTAGATTTTTCTCATTATTTATATTTATGTTTAATATATTTAGAATGCAAACTAAGTTATAATGTTGGCCCATTTCTGTCATTACTGATGATAAAGTTTTTAATTTTAAAAAAGAAATTATTTACCTTTGTTGATAATGCCATAAATCAGACCAAATTGAGTATTTAAAAAAAAAACTTTTATAGGAATATACATATCAAATTACATAATCACATTTGTGATGTTAATCAGTAAGGAGAGATTCTTACTTGGTTTACATTGGCTGAATGATTGCCAACTTGATTCAGTCGAACTGAGGTGTTTGGCATTATTTCATTTTAAGGACTTTGACCTCTAACAACATATTTTACAGTGTAGGTCAAAATGATGAGTAACCAACACAATTTTGACTTTCCCAATCACTACCTTTTCTGTTGCATCAAAGCTTATATCATCCAGGAGGGAAATCTTTGTCATTATTATTAATGCATAAAGTAGTAACTATAAATTTACTATAAATCTACTTTTTTTTCCAGCAAATGGATTCATTTATAATTCAATGCTAATAACATGTATTTTCATAGTACTTTGGCCTTTTTGAAACTTCTCACATGTAAATGCATATTCAAGTTAACTTCACTGAGTGTCTATTATGTTCCAGGCAATATGAAACATGCTTTCATGTAATTTACTAAATAATTTGTTAGCCTAGTAAGGAATATATTATTATTATTATTATTATTATTCCTGCTGAATGAGACTTTGGTTCAGGAAAATAAAGGTTTATATTTTATTAGTTTTCTAATATGATAAGTATATATTTATACTATAAAATAATACAAAACAATAACAATAGTGCAGTTTCTAGGACTTCAATATTTTAGCAAATATCATCAAATTTTATGACATTATTTATAATTGTTACCAAATTATATAAAGTTATGTCTTTTAAACCACAAACTTTTTTTCTTGCAGATTAACATTGCCTCTTTTTCCTGTTGTTAAAACCTTTTCACTTTTTCTCCTCACAAACTTTTTAAATTGCAAATGAATTTCACAATCATTCTAGGAAGTAATCCATTTACAGAAAAAGAAATTAAGGAACAAGACAGATGTGACTGAAGCTGAGTCACGCTCCATTTGTGTTCTATCCAGCCTTAAACACAAATAGTCAAAAAGAAATGAGGCAAGTGTGGGGATGTGGGGTGGGAAATATGAAAGCACATGACCTTCTGTGGTCCTGCTTTTTCAGATTCCTTCAGGACCCACTTTATTGCCTAGAGAGTTATGAGTTGAAAGCATCTCTTTTAGCTCTCAATTCCTGGTTTGCTCTGTTGTTTATTTCCTCACTTACTTTTCCACCACATAGCCAGAATACCAGTATTCCTAAGATTCTGGGTGAGAACAATTCTGTGCTTCAGTTTTCTAATTGCTTCATATGAATACCTCTACCAGGAAGATTTGAGAACACATAGTATTAGCTAATTTCCTATAAAAAAAATTGTCAGTATTAACTGGCCTTTTCAGGCTGCAAAGGGTATGTTGAACCTCTTATCACTAAGAATCATTTCTCCAAAGACAGATTTTAAACTTTAAATGAAAATCTCTATTTCTCTGTCTTTTACTCCCAAGATCACTGGAATGTATAGCTGTTGAAAATATAATGGGTAAATAATAAAGTGGTCATTGGAGAGCTATCCATGCTGTAATTTGAACAGGCAAGTAAATCTGGACAGATGCTCTGTTGAAATTTCTGGAGGGAGCCATTCTTCATATTATTGTAGATGTCTTTATCACACTCACTAGGCTAGACTCTGAGTGATGAAATAATAAAGCGATATTGGTTTTGATGTGTTTTACTTTACCTTGTGAACAAAATCATTGAACAATGTCTCACTGAAACTGCAATCCTGAAAGTGTTAATGTTCTTTGTGATATGTTCAAGAATTAAGAATAAGAAATAGTTGAAAGAAATATGATTAAAGAGTATTTTACTAGAAAGCAGATTTTGAAACTTTAAAAAGAAAAAAATGATGATTTTTACTTTGAATTTGGGTGAATTGAAAAAAAAATCAATTTTAGTAGACCCTTCATTAAATATCATGGAGTGAGAATGATGAGCCTTCGTAAATGTATTGACAATAAATGACACCACATTCCAACCTGAAGATTGATTATTCTTTTTTCACTGAGATCAGTTATCTTTTTTTTTTTCTTATGTCTATTAATATTTAAGACCTGGCAAGAATTTTGTATTTAAAATCTTCAGCCAGACCTGATTAGCAAGTTTAATTCATGTTGGTCCTATCTAGCAAACTTAACCTGATGTATTACTTGGTAAAGTAATTACTTCTTTTTTGCCTTTCCTGTCTTCCCTAGGTTTTGCTGACCATTCCATCCTTTTGGCTTCTTCTGTTTTTTTATCCTCCCACTTCACTTATGGAACCTCTGGTTTACAATGTCTTTCACTCTCTCTCTTCTCTCTCTCTCTCTGTCTCTCAATATATTTTACTCCCTTGCCATAGTCTTGAAATAAGAACTGATATATTCAAAGGATCTTTCAAAATCTAATATCTAATCTGATGTAAGAACATGTAAATAAAGGAATCTTAATTTTTATCTTCCTCTTTCCTCTCCTCTTGTCTTTTATGTGTACTTTTTCTCCTTCCAAAACTGTGTTTCCTTAACTTCCCACAACCCCCACCAAAACACACACATATATGTGCTTTTTCTTCCATCATTCTGTCTAACTGCAAAGAAAAGAATAACTTACTCTTGGGTTACTTGAATTTATTCATATATTCTAATTAGAAATTAAAGTCCTGAATGGACCATTTATAGGACAGGACAATCCTTTACTTGTAAGTAGAAAGCATATGGAAATGGAAATTGTTGATGGAATCAGACGTTACTAAAATTATTATTTATTCTGCTGTCAAAATGATGTTTGAAGTAAAAATTTTTTATGTCAGTTAATACTCAGATCTTTAGTTAAGGATGTATAATATTTAAATGAAATATGTAAAATGCTCAGGAATGGAGATGATTTTAAAATATCTTTTACAGTAGGAATTAATATTAATTAGTAAAGTGCACTGCTTATTAATTTAGCCATAACTTTGAAAGTTTACGTTAAGATACATCTTAAAAACAAAATATTTTCAGTGTGAAATAAAATTTGAAATGACAATTTATATCAGACAATGATATATAACAAAATTATTAAAACAATCCCAATTTCATCTTTTTAGGTTCATTTCATTAATTTTCAAGTTCTGTTTTACAAATGCCATGTGTGCATATTCAAGGTAATTAGGTTTGTAAATAAAAGTAGAAGTTGTCAACAAATAGTAAGAGAAATGTCACTCTTCCATAGTGAATAATTTAAAAATGTTAAATCAACATCTAAAACTGCTAGTACTGGTTCTACTGCAAAGATACCCCTTAAGCTTCATGGACCTCAATTTCTACTCTAAAAATTGAGAGTGTTGGACTTAATGACTAAATTATCCACTGAACTCTAAATGTTTAATATTTAAAATCTTCCCTCTTGCTCTATAAACTTAACCTGCTTTCTTTGGGATTTTAGGAATGAGAAGGAATGTCATTTGTATTTGCTCTTATAGATGTTAAGGTAGACAAGAAACTCAGTTGAAATGACAGAGTATAATTTCTACGTTTAAAATGTTGTGTTGACTAATGCAATTAATTTGTACTCAGTTATAAGTAGAGGCGATGAGTACCAAGGCATATGATCAGTGCAAGTATACCCCTGAGACAATATAATTTTCAGGGAATCAAAATAATCAGCAAGAGAGCATATATTTCCTTAATGGAGTACTGAGAGTTTATTAGCTTCTACTGGAGTGCTGATTAAGAAAAAGGAGAAAAGAGGTTCAGTTGAGTTTTTAAACTGCAGTTAAATAAAAAGATTTTGCCTATGTTATTTGCATGGTTAATGTATCTAGAAGGGTTAATTTTATATTGAAGAAACAAGTGTAGTAATTATAGAAATGAATATAAATATTACCAGTGGATTTGAGGAATTAAAATGTCACAGTTTCATTTATTACTTTACTATATCAGACCTGTGTTAAAAAGTTTTGCTCCAGTTGAACAAACGAGTAAAATAAATATAGGAAAAAATACCCCAAAAACTTTTACGGTATATAAAAAGAAGAAAAGCGATGTACTTTTTATTTTCTAGAGGTGATGAAAAGTGAACTAGAAATAATTCCTCTGTTAAACCAGGCATCTTGTAAAAGAGAACCATCACTATATATTGTTCCTGGGATTCCCTGTGAATAACTGGCAATGTGAGGCTATAGTAGTCACAGCTCTTTATTCCTTCCAAACCAGTTATTGTGCTGCTAATTAGAATTGGATATTGGTGGTAGTGGAAATGGGGAAAACTATCAATGTTACTTTGTGTTAAATTTTAATCACACAAGTTAGGACATTCAGAATTATGGTTTCCATGGTAACCACAACACTGAGTCCTGTGTGAAGGCATTACAGTGGGGGTCTTTGATTAAAAGAAAGTAAACCAGAAGTGAAACAAAAATGCTCCATATGTGCAGCTAAAGTTACAAAAAAAAAAAAAAAAAAGTCCTGCTCCCTTGTCCTTAATTATATTTGCTTAATGGTATGTCACGTGCTTGTGCAGTACACTGAAAGGTCTGTTAGAATTCTCATGAGGATGCTCTGTTTGCATTAGATTTTAAATGATTATTTTTATAGCACCTTTTCCATTTTTGAATTTATCTTTTCTCATTTTAAAAATAATTATAGAATCTGACTTTAGGGACCCTGTGACAATTTATGTGGAAGGAAGATTCTTTTTTTTTTTAAAAAAAAGATTTTTTGAAAATGCAGTGGATAGAATTATAGTCCTGGAATTTTTGCTGATAATTTTTCATTTTGAACAGTGAGGTTAAGAAAGTTATTTAAACTTTCATTTTTATTAAGTTAATTTGTATCACATAAAACAACGTAAGCAACAAATTATACTGATTAATTCAGGGTGTGGTAGAATACTGGATCTATTAAAAAGAGTGTAACAGTAAAAAGGAGTTGAAGTCACTGATCACTACAGACAAAATATATGTGGAGAACATTTATTTTTGAAGAACACATTTAGCCCAGAGATAATAATCATTAAACAATTATATTACATTCCAGTGTGATTTTAAATAAAAATGAAATATTTAGTATGTAATGGAAAACAAATACGTTTCACACAATGAAATACATGTACAAGCATGAATAGAAATGCTTCTGCTGTAGGAACATAAAAGCCTGCTCAAATATAGAGCTTTTTGGGTAAGAGTGATTTATTGAATAACTATTATGGTTTAAGTTTTGCTAAGTTTATTATCATCTAAGTTGAAATGTTTCAGGAAACATATGGTCTAGTGGTATTTTTGTCAAAAATAAGTAAACATAAGGACACAGATTTTTCTACATTTTTCATCTCTAAATACGGAAAATGCTAGTAAGACTAATACTTCTCCCAATGTGGTTCAAAAACCTGTAACATATATTCAAACCAGATATGTAGATTCAGTGTTTCTCTAGTAATAGGTATATTTCTCTTAGGCATATTTGAATGCCAGTGTTTCAGCTTTGAAGATCAAACATCATTTTATAGACCATTAATCTGTTGAAGAGGTCAGCAAACCTTTTGAGTAAAGGGCCAGATAGTAAACACTTTAGGTGTTGAAGGATATGTGGTCTTTCCTAACTGCTCAGCTTCCCTGTTGTAGTGCAAAGGCAGCTTTAGTCAATAAGTAAACAAATGAACATAGCTGTATTCCAATAAAATTTTAATAGGTGCTGAAATTTGAGGTTCCTATAATTTTCACATGTCATGAAATATTTCTTCCTCTTTGACTTTCTTCAACACTTACAACATGTAAAAAACTTAGCTTGAAAGATTTACAAAAACAAGCAGTGTGGCAAATTAATCTTGTGGGCTGTAGTTTGCTAAAGCCTCGTCTATTGGATGTCCTGTTTTGTACAGGAAGGGGTTGTTTGTTTATTTATTTTGATATTATTTACCTGCATGAGAAAAGTTAGTGCTTAAATATTCAAAAAATTTTTTTAAAAATTATTCTTTGCTTCCACCAATGATTTAATCATTTGATGATCCATTCCCCATTTTGAAATTATAATGCTGTCATCTACATGGATTTGGTAGGTTCAATAAGTAGCACTGTTTTAACACATACGAATTTTATTCAAGTTGAGAGCTAGATGAAGATTTGGACAGATCAACTTAAAAATGTTAATAAAGTGGTTGGAGCATACATATCTCCTAGGTAGGGTGATGTTGCTACAACACTTATAGTGTGGAATAATACACCAGAATCTCTTTCCCTTTGCATGCTTTGCTGCCCAGAGAGGGGAGAGGGAAAAGAAATGAACTGGGTATGTCAGGTTCTTTTCCTAAACTTATCAGCTAGAGAAGTCACCCTTCTTCCCTCCAGCAGAGTGAAGAAAGGCTGGCAACTGCCAGAAAGTTACATTAAATGTTATTCTTTCTTAATAAAAATGAATTGGGGAGGTGCGTTTCCATCATATTTCATTCATTCATTCATTTATTCATTTAATCATTTAACAAATCTTTTTAGTTACCTGTTGTATTTATCTGCTTGGGCTGCCTTAACAAAATGCCATTGTTTAGGTGGCTTAAAAACGGTAGTTTATTTTCCTACATTTCTGGAGGCTAGAAGTCTCCCATTTCAAGGTGCCAGTTTCCAGCGTAGGCCCTCATCCTGGCTTGTACATGGCTGCCTTCTCACTATATCCCCACCTGGCCTTTCCTCTTTGTGTGCACACAGGGAGCGGGAACTCTCTGGTGTCTCTTCTTATAAGAGCACTAATCCTACTGGGAAAAGGCTTCATCCTTATAACACAATAAGATATACATATTTGGTCTGTATTCCAGTTTTCTGACACACAGCTCCTAAAACCCTTAGAATCTCTGAAGTGGCAAATGTCTTTTTGTAGGCTAATGAGATTAATAGTGGCTGAAAGCTCCTAAATACCTTCAGAATCTGGACTAGTTTCCGGGGACATCAACCATGTGATTAGAAGGTGGGAACTGAACGTCCTACCATCTAACCTCCAGAAATGGGAAAGGGCCTGGAAATAGAATCAGCCACCATTTGCTCATGATTTAACAAATCATGCCTACTTAGTGAAGTCTCATAACCCAGAGAGATTCTGGGTTGGTATGCAGTGGAGGTGCTGGGAGGCCATTGCACTGGAGAAGACCTTGAAGCCCCGTGCTCCTTCTCCCATACCTTCCCTTATGCATCTCTTTCACCTGGTTGTTTGTCAGTTGTATGCTTTTATAATAAACTGGTAATTCAGTAATCAACTGTGGAACAATTTTAACAAATTATTGAACCCAAGGAGTTGTTTGTGGAAATCTGCTATTCATAGCTAGGGAGTCAGACGTGCAGTTGATTATCTGGATTTGAAACGGGTGTTTGAAGTTGGGGGACAGGCTTGTGTGACTGATCTCTTAACTTGTGGAGTCTGTGCTAACCCTAGGTAGGTGGCGTGAGTATTGAACTAAATTATAGGACACACAGCTGGTACCTGGAGAGCTGGAGAATTGGTTGGTGTGAGCAAAATCCCCACACATTTGGTGACCAGAAGTATTGAGAATAATAGTAGTATAGTGAGAAAACAGGCATTTTTCCTTACAACCCTTATCGTCTTATTTAATCTTAATTGCTTCCTTAGAGGCTTCATCTTTAAATACAGTCACTTTGGGGTTTAGGGCTTCAATATAAGAAATTTTAGGGGATACCATTCAGTCTATAATATCTGTACTGTGCCAGGCTCTATGCTAGTTAATAGATATATAATAGTTAGCAAGTTTCTGGCAGCATGGTGTTTACAGTCCATTGGCAGAGACAGGCATAACTAGAATAATTGCACTAACTAATGTGTAATTGCAAACTGAAATAAATTGTCTGAATGAATGGAACAATATCATTTGACTACATTATAATTATAAATAATATATATGCCATATACAATAAACCAATCTAACCTAGCCCAATGGGTTCAGAGCAGACCTCCCTGAGGACTAGAAAGGAGTGTTCTAAAGAAAGGAAACATTTTGGGAGCATGTTTTCCTGTTTAGTTACTCTGAGGAAGACTAGTACCTTGCTGCTTTCCAATTGCAACTGACTTTTTGCTGTACAAAAATACAGGAATAAATCCATGGGCTATAAAAAGTTACTTGGTTGAACTTCAAACGGTTTACCTGAAAAAGCATAGAATCATGTCATTGAGCATTTCTTTATTCTGGCTTGAATACTTATTATTGTGGAGGATACCTCAGGTGGGTGTGACTGCTGAGAAGTGAGAACACTCTTTAAATATGTCAATTTTAAAAAATTACCACCCTGAATAAAAATTATAAAAATCTTTATGCTATATGTAAGTCATTTGGTCTAAATCAATACCATGTTCACTTTTGTGCTTTGCAAAAAGTGTCTGTTTAATATTAATCAAGAAGGCAAATCCATTCATGTTTTCAATAATCAAGTCAAAAAGTGTCAGAGTCGTGGTTAAACAATGGCTTAGATGTAAAGCTTTTTAGTTTTTAGAACCCTGATGTTTTACTGTATTACTAGTATCCTCATATTGCAGAGGAATATCTAACAATGTTTAAAATGCACATAAGAATATCATTTAAAATGATGGGATACATATAAACAGGTGAGATATAAAAATAATGGAGTAACTATGCTTACATGGGACTCCACTTGGTCAGAAGTTCTTTGTCAACCCCATTCCCAGACTTGATCTCAGAAAGCCTTCATAGTAGCTACTTACTTCTTTGGAATGAAATGAAATTCATTGAGGAAGGAATCTTATATGAGTTTAGACTTCATGAGTCTTTGGAACCACTGCTACCTGCCCATTATGGAGAATTCAGAAATAATGGCAGATTAAAAACTAACTGATTTTACACTGAATAAGCGATTCCAGTAGGAAAGGAAACATGAAATTTCTTAGGCTTTAACATACTTTCATGTGTGTGTAATTAGTATTATAGTAACTATACATTTCTTGTTACTATACGTAAAGGACACAGTTCTGTAACAGGTATTATTTGTAGATGTTTAGCACTGCATATGAGCTGTGTTTATTATGAGCTACCTAGTTTACATGCATATCTATAGTAATTCTATAATTTGAGATTTATGGCAATAAAAATTTTGTTAAGAGTTACTGAAACATTCCTATATCATAAGAACTGTCCATTAAGCCTAATGGAATACCAAACTGTCTTCTGGCAAACATCACTTATTTCAGTTTATTCAAACCCCCTGTAGTCCTCAGATAAAAATACAAAATGTAAAATTATATGCTAAATATTAGTACAGACTATGAGATACAGTATTTTTTAAAATATTTAGAGATAAAATAGAATTTGGAATCACAGATTTTTTACCCTAACTTTGCCAAATTCTTATGTTGAGAAGCTTTTTTTGTATTAAATGCAAAACATGTTTTCCACGTGGCCTAATGGTAAGCTTTCTAAATAATTAACATTACTCTGCGTAGTGGTCAGCCACAATCAGAAAAAGAACGCATTTTCTTCTGTATAATTCAACATCTGGTTGTCACTATACTGCTAAACCTACCAGAAATACTCTTTGCCAGATGTGACTTATAGTTACATTATACTTTATTCAGTTCAGCAAAATATATTTGAAAAGAAGTCAAAGATATCACCAGGAATAAACAAACTTCAAACATTTTATACATTCACTCACTGAAGTGATAAAAACATTCATAATGAAAATAGTTAACACTTATTGAGAGCGCCCTATATATCTACTGTCTGTGTATGCATTATCTTGTTTAATTTTCACTCTGTGAGAACAGATTCTGTGTGCTTCTTAAAGATAGATGAGAAAACTGAGGATAAAAAAAAAAATTGTGGAATATCACATAGCTAACATGTGGGAAAGCCAAGCTTTGAATCCAGGCTGAGACCCAAGTGCCATACAATAAAGCTTCCATCTATTTGGCTGTAGTGTAGTGTAACTTTTGACCCTACCTGTAAAAAAAAGTTGGGTGTTAAATTTCGTAGGTTAAATGACTTAATTCTCATAATTAATGAGGGAGTACATATTGCTTATATAAATTAATAATACATTTTATAGATGCTATATATTATTAAAGTAGATAAGTTACTATTTTATCAGTATGTCTTTCTCCATTGAACATGCAGATTTTTTTTGGTGTCTAATGTTGTTTTTACTGTCTCTGTATTGATAATGCATTTTAATAAAAAACTAAGTGGGATGTTATGTCATTCCTGGGCTTATATTATTTTAAATTTAACTTTTTTCCTTTTATTTATTAAAAAATACTAGGATATATATGTGGTTAATAAATCATTGGAGTTATTAAACATTTGAAATATTCCACATTCGTGTTTGGAGAGGCAAGGGTAGCTCAGATATTTTAACTGTAATGTGTTTGTACAAGAAAAATATTCTGTACAACTTATTCAGCATGCCAGGTTGGTAAAAATATAAAACACTGTTAGTATTGTTCTTTAATAGGTGAGCTTATCTCCTATAATGGCTAAATGATGTCATTGGAATTTGCTTCAGCTAATAACAGTATGCTACATACTACAAATCATTCCATGGAACCAACTGTCATAAATGAGAGTGTAAGGTTTTATATTTCAACTAAGGTTAGAAATAACAAAATAAAATATTATGGATACGATTAACTTAGTCTGATTTGTATAGGTCTTATTGCATTCCTAAGGCATTCTAAGTTAGGCAAATAATTATACAAATAATTCAGCAGGATGTCTGTAATTGGTTTCAGTGATAAAATTTATATTCAGTGCCTAAATCTGAAACAATAAACCCTTACAATAATTTATTATAATTTTGCAGATTTCATAATAGAGATAATTTGAGGTTTTTTTGTAACTGGAAGTCAAGATTGCAGCCGCATGAAAAAACTGCATTAAAATTATACTAAAGTAAGGTGTTTAAAAAATAACTTGCTTTGTTATTACAGAAGTAGATAGGTCATTAGTCTTCACATATTAGTTTTCTTTTTTCTCAAAATATATAATGAAAAAATAGTCTCTGCCTTTTAAAACTTAAATAAAGTCTGAAAGTATAATACAATAAATAGTCCCTTAATTTCATTTCTTTATATCTTATGAAGCCTTCAAACTTCAATGTTGGTGGTTCTCACAAATTTTCTGTATTCACAACATGCTGATGGTGTCACAGAGGTGTCCACAAAAAACTGAGGAAAACAACCAGCTGTGTAAACCAATTTTTAGTTTAACTTGCATCGTTTTACCTGCCAAACAAAGCTCTGCAGTAACAGATTCTCTGTCATCATTGAAGAACAACTTGAAGGGTTAGAAAAAGGCAATAGAGATTCAAATCCCAAGAGACGAGGGAGACTGCATTAGCTCATATGAAATGTACATACTTTACCATTAATTTTACAAACACATGCATTTAAAGCTATAAAAACACTTTTGGCTTGCATTCTCAAGTATGTATGTACTCTCTAAATGAATGAATTCACTAGAGAATGAATGAATACATGACTGAATGGAGAAGTAAATACAGGGATCCTTTATAAATCCTGAACTCAAAATTATAAATTGGTTTTCCATAACAAACATTTTGTAGATTATCGTTATGAGGAATGCATCTGGAAAAACAGCTATCTAAATACATATGTTAGTAACTCTATATTACGTCATTTCTGAAATGAGAAATTGGGGCTTCTGGCAGGGGCTGGGATTGTGGAGCCACGCGAGGGAAGAGGAAAGGAAATAAGAGAAAAACAAATTAAAATGAAGGAACCCAGTACTATTTATAAGATGGATCTAAGGCTGTCAGGGAAATCTCACCAGAATTTAAACTTCTGCAAGGTTTTTTTTAAAGATCACATAAAATTGACTATTTAAACTCTTCTGTATGTTTTCTTTTTGTTAAAGATTTTCCTTCCCTTGGTCCTCAATGAATTCCAAATGCATTGAGCTTATTAGCTTGGTTCTTACCTCTCTTGCTGAGCCCCTGTTGGCCAGTGGGAAGGCTATTTTAAACTACTGACCCTGCACCTGGGTATTTGCAGCCCATGGGGGTATTAGCTGCTGTCCTTTTTTTTTTTTTCCTGCTCTGCTCCCTTTTAAAGACTTGCTTTGTTGCCGACTATACAGAGATTACTTTGATCGTTCCCTGCTTATGAGAATAGATTTCCTTAAGCCCTACATGTATTTTCCAGTTCTTATTGGTATGAAGAACTGGCTGGACTGTAGCCTGGTTTTCTGTCTTAAGCCTTGTGAAAATGTCCCCTACTTACCAATATTTAAATTGGAAATAAATTATTTAATCTAGATTATTTAATTATTTATACAGAGTACAAAAGAATCAGTAATGATACATTTTAAAGCTCTTAAAATTAATATGCATGGTTTTAGACTAAGATTCAAATATAAATTGAGTTATAACCTGATTTTTTTTCTTGGAAGTGAGAAAACACTGAGTTTGGATGATGCTAAAGTATTTGTGTTGCCTCTTGCTAAGTCTAACATACTTTCAAACTTATTTCTAAGAGTGTTTAAATCCTTTTTGTGGATTAATTTCAAATAAACATCAGAAATAAAGCTGTTGATTCTTTAGATTAAATATATTGGCTTTAAAGTTTTATGCAGTCTCTGCATTAATTTTGTATTCCTGACCCTTAATGTGTCATCAAAAACAATCATTTTAGCTATGAGTTACAATACTTGCATATTCTGCCCCAGGACTATCTCTGCCTGACTCATTAACTTGCTTTTCAAGTTACATTTTAAATAAAAGCCAAGATATGCTTTGAGGACAAGAAAGTCACCAAAAAAATCCCAGTTAGTTGAAAAATTTTATTATATATATAATATATATTATATATATTAGACATACATAATATATATTATATATATTAGACATACATAATATATATTATATATTAGACATACATAATATATATTATATATATTAGACATCCATTATATATAATATATATTAGACATATATATTAGACATATATAATAGATATATAATATATTATATATATAAGACATATATTATATATATATTAGACATACATAATATATATATATATATTATATATATGTCTATCTCATTCCAAGCTTTCCTTTTCATATTTATCAAACAGGATATATTTCATTTTTCTTTTCTGATGTTTAAAAATAAGGCATTGTGATAGTCTTAATTAATTCATAGTTCCAAAATGCTAGTCCACATGAATCATACAAAAGAAAGGCATTCAGAAAGCCTAATTGTGTAGAGGTCTAAATGTTTTCGTTATAGACAAAGTTACTTCATGCATTTTTCACTCTGTTTTAGCAATATTTTTAAAAATAATACGATCATAAGCCCTTTTTAACCAAAATTTGATTCAGAAAATAAAATGTCATGATTTTTATTATTACAATAAAATTGACAATGATTTGATTTGTAAGGTTAATCCAAAAGAAGAATGGGTTTGTTATGCCTTTCTTATCTTTAAATAAGTGTTATCTTTATATTTTCAAATGCATTTTTAATTCAATTTTTATAGTATTAAAACAGGTCAGAACTTAAGGGATCACAGAATGGGAAGTTTAGAAAGAACATAATATGGTACATTTTTGTATATGTGGATGCGTATACTAGATTTTTACAATAATCAGATCTTTGCATTTGTGTTTTTAATCTCCTCTAAAGAAACAAATCAAACCAAAAACTGCTTAAATTATTACTTTGGCAAATAGTGAAGGATGGAATAAGTTAAATTGTGAAAGTTTTTTTTTCTAGTAATTCATGACATTAAAATAATTGATGTTGGACATTTTTAATTTTTTAAAAAATGACTCTATTTGTAAATTTATATTCATGAGTTCTAAAAATGAGTAGCATTTGGAGATGAGCTAGATACAACAGGATTTTTTCTTTCTTTTGACAAAACTACCAGAATTATACAAATAATTCTTGTATATTCTCAACGATATTCCCCAAATATAAACATTGTACCTTTTATCACATTGCTTTTTTCCCTTTCCTTTTCTTTTTCTCTCTTTACTTCAGTATGTATTGTGTATTTGCCCTCTCTTTAAATACTTTAGTGTTTAGTGCATATTTTCTTTGGAAAAAATAAGGATATTCTCTTATATAACCACACAACAGTGATCAAAATTAAGAAATCAACAATATTACAATACTATTGTGTAATCTATGAACAAGTCTAGCTATATAATTAGCAGGACCCAGTGCAAACTGATAATTCAAGGCATTGGCAGGGGAAATCAGTTTCCTCTCCAGTGGACCCACCACCCCAACCCGTGGTGGACAGGTGATCTCCAAGTGATTCCAACTTCTGTGCCTGGACATACTCAGTATATCCTGGATCAGGGTTGAGTGAGAAACCTTTGCTGAATGCCCACAGAATACACTATCGTGCAGGCTGCTGTCCTGAGCCAAGGAGTCACCTCCTTGCCCCAAGCTCCCCCAAACTCAGACATCCTGTCTGGTGACGGAGCTGCTGATGCAGTTTTGGGGCAGAGAGTGGAATGTCAGCAGGAACTGGGATTCCAAAAGGTCTGAATCAAGTAACTGAGAACCCATCCTATGGAGGTTGCAGGATGTCAGATTATACTTGAACCAAGGCCCTTGGTGTCTGTCATCCCATTGGGCTTTACTTACAAAACACAAATTCAGAGATAAAATTGGTAAGAATTTCAGGGAGATTATTGAGGTATGAAACCCCAAGTGTTGATTTTTGAGTATGGAGCCTCATGCAACTGCACTTGGTCATATGCCCATGATGTCAGCTCTGTCTATAAACCTATTCAGATTTTGTCAATTGTCCCAACAATGTCAGTTATAACAAAAGAACATTTCTGATCATATATTACATTCAGTGATCATGTCTCTTCAGTTTCTTTTTTTTCTGGAATAGTTTGTCAGTCTTCGTGTTTTATGACATTGATATTTATGAAGAATATAGGACAGTTATTTCACTGACTGTCTCTCAATTTGAGCTTTTCAGATGTTTTCTTCTTGTAAGTTTTGGCAGGAATACTACAGAAATGATGTAATATTCTTTTCAGTGCATCATATCAGGAGGCAAGTGATGTCAGCAACAGTAATTTTCCAGGCATCCCTCCTCCATAGATATTATTTTGTAACACAGCATAATTCTTTCTTAAATAGCTTGCCCAATTTTTCTTTGCCTAATATGTGAATAATCAGCTATTTCCAATTTCAGATGACCTGTATTCAGCTTCCAGGTTTGAGTCATTAATGATATTTCTGCAGCTTTACATACAATTTTGACTAATTTCTCTTTCCTTCCTTATCTTTTGTCAGAAAAATTACCAGTTCTCTTAACTTTATTAAATTATGTTTTCTCCACATTCAAGATCTGTCATAAATTTCATGCACATGTTAGGCTGAGCTGGTGGAAGGACTGCTTATATTTTATTTACTAGATGTCAGGAAATACTTGGGGTATTTCAGAGATTCCCCAAACATTTTCAGGAGAAATGATATTGAAGAGAAAATCACTTTGAAAATTAAGCTATGAAATGATAATTCCATCTTAATATGAGAATTCACTAAGTTTTTGAAACTTTTCTTCTTGTTTAGATGAAAAGTTAACAATGTGTTAACCCTCATATATTCATGTTAATAAATATGAATTGAATTCTGGATATTACATCATTGCTCACACCTCTACTTCAGTAAACTAGGTGCTATGGTTCTCTTGTCTCAGAAAGCTCAATTTTGTTGTGGTCTTTTTGTTTGTTTGTTTTTTGGAGACTCTGTTGTCCAGGTGGCATGTAGTGGCATGAACACAACTCACTGCAGCCTTGACCTGGCTCAAGTCTTCCTCCCATCTCAGCCTCACGAGGGAGCTGGGACTACAGGCATGTATCACTGTGCCCAACTATTTTTTTAATAAATTTTTTTCATAGGGACAGGGTCTTGTTTTGTTGCTTAGTCTGGTCTCGAACTCCTGAGCTCAAGCAATCCTATTGCCTTGGCCTCCCAAAGTGCTAGGATTATAGGTGTGGTCCCCCACACCAGGCCAGTACACTCAATTCTTGGCCACAGATACTACAGTTTCAATTCAGTGGGATTAAATCCTATGAAAAAGGCAGGCATTGGTTGTTCTGGGAATACTGATGTGGATGCCTGACTCAGCCTAGCCTAGATTAAGACATGAACAACTTTGGTGTTGGTGGTAAAGTGGGTTCTGCCTACCACAACTGGAATGGTAAATCTTTTGTTGTAGTTTCTGAGGCTCTTTTCATTTTTCCAGTCTGTTTCTCTGTGTCCACATTGGACAGTGCTATTGCTGTATCCTAAAGTTAGCTAACTTGATTCTTCTCTCCTTCCTTTCCATTTGGCTCTAGAGCCCAGGTGTTGTTTTAATATAGGTTATTGTGTATTTTCCTGTTCTAGATTTTTTTATTTAGAGACTTTCTATTTGTTGCTAAGATGGTGTTCTATCATTTGTTTTCATGCATTTTTGTAATTGCTCATTGGGAAATTTTTATGATGATTGCTTTAAAAATCTTTGTCAGATAATTTTAACATCTCTATCATCCTGGTATTGGATTCTATTGATTGTGTTTTTTCATTAAGTTTGACATGTTCCTGGTTCCTCATATAATGAATGATTTTCAGTTGAAAACTGGATGATCTGTGTATTAGGTTATGAGGCTCTGGCTTTTATTTAAATCTTCCGTTTGAGCTGGTTTCTTTTCTCACAGGAAGGTTAGTTTGTAGCTGCCTTGTTACTGCAGGTGGAGCTGATAGAAGTCCACGTTCCACACTCAGCTACTGCTGATATTGAAGCTTTTTATTATTGTTGGATGTGCTCAGGAGGTTAGGCTCCTCACTAGGCCTCTACTGATGCTGCCCTTACTGAGATGGGTATGAGTGCCTTGTTACCCTGTGTGACCTCCACTGATACCCGGGGTCGGTGTGCCTCCTTACTGGTGGGAAGTGATGAAAGTCTTCACCTGGCCTCTGTTTACACCAGCATCTTAGGAAGTGGGGAAACGGGTGCTCTTTACTGACAACGTGGGGTGGCAGGTCATCACTACTCTGGAGTGGGGATGAAAGTCCAAGGTCCCCACTAGCCCTGCCTAACACCACCTTTTTGGGGGTTGCATAGAGGTGCCGGGGTTATAACCTAGTGGAGATGGAACTCTAGGCTTTCTTTGGTCTTTGATAATGTGGGTGTGGGTGAGGCTAAAGTTTTCTCTGTTGTTTGCCTGGAGTAGTGCAGTGTTTATCTAAAAGTTTTCTGAATTACTACATTGCCCCTTTCCTGGTTCTTTGGCTCAGGAAAGCAAGCTTTACTGGGCCATTTTCGGTCTATATCTGTTGGTGTTTCCATGTTGCCAGATTTTTCTGCTCCAAATCTGGAAGTATGAGTTAAACAACAAACAACAAACAAACAAACAAACAAACAAACGAATGAAACCAGGGAACTCAGAGCCACGTTGTTCCATGAATCCACATTGTTCCATGAGTCTGAGGCATGTCTGCCTTATTTTCTCCATCCTTCAGCATCTTCTTACATTTGTTTTACATACAGTAGTCCTCCTTTATTCACAGAGAATACTGGTTTGGGACCATTTTATTAAAATCGTGCATTTTGCAAATAATTTCTACATATTTGACAGTTGTGTATAATTTTTCTATAGTCATTGTGAATATTTATGTCCAAAAGGCCTGTTTCTATTATTGAATTAAACAACACTGCTGGGACTAGAATTTATCAACTCTGTAGGAAAATGAAACAAGTCAGGAAATTATCTCAGGAGTCACTATTAGTCTGCCACAGACCATTCTGAAGGGCTGAAAGCATTACATGCAGATGGCAGCCTAGGACTAACTTACCTGGAAAAATTGGAATAATAATAACAAAAGCATTTTCCTACCTTTGGTTAGGTCTAATTAAAATATGTAAAGTTTCATAAACTTTTCAGTAAGCAATGCTTCTCAAACGTAAGATACATTGTCCCTTGTATGTGATTTAGAGAAAAATTTCCTACTACTAAACATATGTTAATTATTTTGAACAGTGGACCTGAAATTTGAGGGCTTTCTGTATTCCTTTATAAGAATATACTGTTGTTATTCCCAGAGAAAATTTTATTATCTTAAATTTCTTTATTCTTCTCCTCTGGTAAATAGATGAGTTACTTCAGATAACATGATCTAAATTAATATTTCCAACAATTGGATAATTACGCTTGGTATTTTGCTTACTCTGATTGGTTATTGGTCATTGAGTGGTTTTGCGGTTATATTAAGGAAAAGGAGGAGACAGAGACAGTCAAAATATGAGAATTGCTTTATGTTTTTTTTTTGGAATAATATATCAAATCAAAGAGGTATATTTCTGGTTATGTTTGTTCTGCTTGATCTCTGGTTGTTACATAAGTTGTTATATATTACCAAAGCTTATTCATCTAAAGTGGTTTTTCATTTAGTGTCTTGTAAAGGACATAATCAGTTTTTCAATCATAGTCATAGAAATAATGATAATAGTAATTTTGATATTTACATTATCTCAGCTTAAAATCTCTAAATTTTCATCAAGATCCTGAGTAAATAATATTATCTATTTACTCTGCATAGTAGCTTTCTGCTTGTTCTAAAAATAGTTGGAAAATGTGCAAACTATATTGTGTCTAAATGAAAAGAGATGCCTGCTTATTTTTAGAGGTATTTCTTATTTTATTTTGACATTAGAAAATAACTTTAGGTATTTTTTAGTGAAGACAGTCTTTATAAAAACATAACATTTAGAAATAGGAATATTAAAATACATTAGTTCAGGAATGTCTATTTTTGGCCTATTTCTATTATAATATCAAGGACCTCAGCTGAGATACTACTACTTTTAAAACACTAGATTTATTTATTAAAAGACATATACCAATACATTCATGGTTGTCTTTCACGTATTGGTAATTATTGAAAAATATTATTTATAAGTACTTGCCTTATTTCCTTGAAGTCTGTTTATTTTAGGAGGATTTGTTTTCACAAGAACTAAAGAGTTACTAAGGAAAGATAATTTGTTTTCCAACACAGTGTATCCAAAATAATTTCTGTGGAATATTAATATTGAATTGTCATGGAAAATTCTAAACTAGAAATTTATTACACGAAAGCAACAACAATGTTATGATCTTTACCATCTACCACATCATTGTTTGCCTAAGGTTGAAGTGCTGGTTTTTAAAATATAGTGATGGTAATTTTAATTTCTAAGTTAATTTATGTTAACTGTCATACATAAATTTGACCATTGTTAAATGTATCCCAATTTTCCCTATTCTGTCATTGTGTAGCTCTCCCTTTAACCTTCTCTTCTTCCTTTTTTGTTTTCTCCTCTTCTACCATCTCATGAAAGAAATGATCTTTATTTAAACTAAATTATCTTTTTTTTCAATATAGCATATATTGTCAGCTTTTTAGATAATCACTTAATTAAATCAGGAACGTACATTTCAATAATATGGCATGAAGTTTCTCAAAGTAGGGAGCCTAGATGATGGCATTTTTTCCAAGTCCTGACACTGACATATGCATATTGCTTCTGAACTGTTTTTTCCATAAAACATTGCAGAGTTCAAAAGTATTACGTCTTTTAAAAGGCTACCTTTTTCTCCATCTGTCTCTTCTATGGTTTAATTAATAAACATTCACCTAGTTTCTCTAATCTCTAGTGCTAAAAAGTTTACATTAATATAGAATATAGTTTTTTAAATATGAAGGTATTTTTCATTATTTTAACCATGTGCTGATATCTAGATTAGGTAAAAATCCATAAAAATGCTATATGACATTGTTAATTTGAAATTATTTCAGCATATTTTTACAAGCATAATAATGAAATATGTCTGTCTCAATTTTGGGGAAAAAAATGATGGAAATCAAAGAAACTAGTAATTTTTCAGGAAAAGCCGAAACTGTGAGTATTTTAATATTTCTATGCCTATTAGAAAAAAAATTAAAAGCCTTTAAACTTCTTTCAAAAAGCAATTGGACTGACATATTTTTCTTTTTAAAATTAAAGAATAAGGACATTGAAAATTTCACAGATTTCTCAAAGATATCTGTTATTTAATTCAGTTTTTATTTGTAGTAAAGAAAAAAGGACAGTTGAACATTAAACTCAGCTAGTATATGTAGGAGTAATATTGCTTCCTATTTGCAACAAGCCAAGTAAAAGTTGAGAATAAGCTTTTGGAAACTTTTATAACAATTTAATATTTGTTACAACATTCATGCATATGATCAGTGGATTTTTTTGTTGTTGTTGAGGAGGGTAAATTTTAAAAAAGAATTGGTATATAAAACAGATGCATTAAAACAGTGGTGCCCAACCTTTTTGGCACTAGGAACCAGTTTTGTGGAAGACAGTTTTTTCATGGACCTGGGGTGGGATGAGGTGGTGGATGGTTTTAGGATGATTCAACTGCATTACATTTATTGTGCACTTTATTTCTGTTATTATTACATTCTAATATATAATGAAATAATTATACTGCTCGCCATAATGTAGAATCACTGGGAACCCTGAGCTTGTTTTTCTGAAACTACATGGTCCCATCTGGAGGTGATGGGAGATAGTGACAGATCATCAGGCATTAGATTCTCATAAGAAACAGGCAGCCTAGATCCCTCCCATGCACACTTCACAATAAGGTTCATGCTCCTGTGAGAATCTAATGCCACTGCTGATCTGACAGGAGGCAGATCCTAGGTGGTAATGTTTGCTTGCCTGCTGCTCACCTCCTGCTGTGCATCCGGGTTCCTAACAGGCCATGGGCCAGTACGTGGCCTAGGGGTTGGGGATCCCTGCATTAAATAATTGACAAACAAGACCGGGGGTGGTGGCTTACACCTGTAATCCCAGCACTTTGGGAGGCGGGCAGATCACTTGATCCCAGGAGTTCAAGACCAGCCTGGGCAACATAGTGAGACCCCCATCTCTACAAATAAAATAATTAGCCAGTCATGGTGGTGCGTATCTGTGGTCCTTGCTACTTGCAACGCTGAGGTGGGAGGATCACTCTTGAACCCAGGAGGTCGAGGTTGCAGTGAGCCGAGATTGTGCCACCACACTCCAGCCTGGGTGACAGAGCCAGACTCTGTCTCAAAAAACAAAAACGAAAAAAAACAAACATCAAACAAAAAAAATCGAAGAGGTCCTTCGCCATAGACAGTTTGTGAAGCACTGGTTTCGAAAAAAAAAAAAGTCTTGTTTGAGGTGATTTTTTTTGTATAGGGTTATTCTTGAAAAAATTTAGAAAAACCTTCTTTAACGTTTAATAAAATAATAATCGATGTTTTAAAATAGTTTATGCCAAATGACTTTTTTTTTTTCACTTTTAGAGGAGGTGCATAGGATCCCATCTTGTGCTTAAGTTGGGTCCACTCCTTGAATGAGACATACAGAATATGGAGTTTGGTGAGGGAGATAGTTTTGGGGGTTAACCTTTGACTGCAGCATAGGTTAAAGGGATTAAACTGATTGTATGTTGGTAGTAGAGCAATGAAGGCCTTCAGTAAGACTTGTTGCATTTTTTAGAAAATGAAAGATGAATTTTAGGCAAGGGTTTCAGTTGGGGATTGAGATTGGTCTAAATTGCTTAAATACTGGACAAGGGGAGGAGAGGCTTCTGTGGCTGCAAAGAACTCTTTTTCTACTGTCCTTACATGTGACCTTCATTTTTGTGCTTATAAATGGTGGCTAGAGTGCCTGCCAGTTTCGGTGCTCTCGCTAGAGAAAGAGAAGAGCAAGAAGCAAAAGGCACATTTCATGTAAGATTGCTACCCATTTTGGAAATTTTGCTCAACAACTTTCTCTTATATTTTCGTTGGACAAAATATCATGTGTTCTCCCATATCTGAAAGAGTAGAAGCGCAATTTCTCTTTAGGGTCAGAACAGGATTGCTGCCAAGAGAATTGGAGTTCTGTTAAGGGAGAAGTAGAGAATCAATACTGGGTAATCACCTAGTGGTCTCTGCCATAGCAATTGTCTGATATTCTGCAATTGAGCATATTTCAGGCCGTGAACATCGGACATGGTTTTGTCTTCACAATGGCAGCAAATTTAGATAAAATTTTGTTTGGGGTCATCTTGTGTGCATTTCTTCTGTATCTTCAGCATGGTCTGTGCCTTTGTCTTTTTGCAGTATGTTTTTCTTCCTATTGATACTTTCTCTTGTCTCACTAAGAGCTTTGTTCTTTGATAAAATAATACAGATTGATAAATTCCACAAAGGAAAACAACGCACTGAATTAAAACAGACTATTTAAATACAGAAGCAGCATTCTGTTCAGATAATTCTCAGTAGGGCCAAATCTTTGTTCATTTTTAAATAAAATGATCTATTCATTCACATTAATATGTGTTAATGAAATTAATGTGGCATGGTACTTAATATTATTAATTGTGTTAAATGTTCATGCTTCCATGAGGGCCATTTAAGAAGAGGTACTCAGTTGGATATACAGGTAGCATACAGTAACATTTAAAACTTCTATCGTGTATAAAAAGAAAAAAGTTAAATTAATTTAGAAGTTTATTTACAGTTTAGTGACTATAAATAGAAATCCTATGTCATGAATTTCAATAATTTACTTGATTTAGAAAGCTTTACTATGGTTTCAATGACATTGTAATTCTCAGAATGCATAGCTTAGATGACAATTATTTTGTTAAGAATGTTGGTATACTTTCTCACAATTTAAAACATGTAGGTAGATTTAATATATAATATACAGTAAATCTTCAGTTAACATAATTAGTAGGTCTTTGGAAACTGCTATTATAAGTAAATGAAGTGATGTATAATGAAACCAATTTTACTATATGCTTATTAATGGAAGTGAGTTAAGTTCCTAAGGTATATTTCTGATCACAAAAACATCACCAATTTCTAAATAAAGACCAAAATACTTCTAATATTAACATTGAAATAAATGTGAGCTCTATATACATTTAAGAAAGAATAATGAAAACAAGTGAGATAACTATTTATTCACTTATTCCAGTTCAGGGTCGCCAGTGGCCAGAGCCAACCCAGGGGGCAAGGTGGAAACCCACCCTGGACAGGATGTCCATCCATTGCAAGGCACACTCACACAGCCACCCACACTCAGACTGGAACCACTGAGTAAGAACAGTTGACCTAATGTAAACATACTTAATTTGGGATATGGGAGGAAACCAGAATACCCCGAGTACCCACACAGACTCCACATGCAAACTCCACACAGACAGTGGCCCCTGGAAATCAATTTGTTTTTCTCATCAACATTACAGTGAAAGAACTTATTTGAGGACATGCTGTACGCAGTCAATTTTTAGCAGCATTGTAATTTTTTAAAAATTTTGATTGTTATTTTCACAGATTTAAACATATTTAGATTTATTTTCACAGATTTAAACATATTTAGATTTTTTTTTTTTTTTGAGATGGAGTTTTGCTCTCGTCACCTAGGCTGGACAGCAATGGTGCAATGTTGGCTCACTGCAGCCTCCACCTCCGGGTTTGAGTGATTCTGCTACCACAGCCTCCCCAGTAGCTGGGATTACAGGCATGTGCCACCATGCCCGGCTGATATTTTTTTTTATATATGTTTGGTAGAGACGGAGTTTCACCATGTTGGCCAGGCTGGTCTCAAACTCCTGACCTCAGGTGATCCACCCACCTCGGCCTCCCAAAGTGCTGAGATTACAGGCGTGAGCCACCATGCCCAGCCCGTATTTAGATATTTTAAACGATCTTTTTAATTTCCTTTAATCTGATTGGGCATGACAACATAATAAAACATTTTATGCCACATTTTTCTATTGTCTTCATTTGTTCTCCCATGATATCTTTTACATAGAGAGTATTTTTAATTGAGCAAAATAATATCACTATATGATGGTAGATTCGATTTTCTAATCAGTATTTTTAAAATATTTTGGTTTCCATAAAATATTCATTGGTTAGTTTCTTCACATATTTTTATCATGATGAACCCTAGAATAATAAAATATTTGCCCCAAAGGAAAGCTTTTTTTTTTTTTTTTTTTTTTTGAGGCGGAGTCTCACTCCGTAGCCCAGGCTGAAGTGCAGTGGCGCCATCTCGTCTCACTGAAAGCTCCGCCTCCCGGGTTCACGCCATTCTCCTGCCTCAGCCTCCCGAGTAGCTGGGACCACAGGCGCCCGCCACCACGTCCGGCTAATTTTTTGTATTTTTAGTAGAGACGGGGTTTCACCGTGTTAGCCAGGATGGTCTCGATCTCCTGACCTCGTGATCCGCCTGCCTCGGCCTCCCAAAGTGCTGAGATTACAGGCGTGAGCCACCGCTCCCTGCAGGAAAGTTTAAAGATAGGCTTAAAGTCTCATTTGTGTAAGTGGAAATACTAAAGCACAGAGTACCTAAGGTCATACCCAAGGTCAAAAAAAAAAAAAAAAAAGTCTACTTACATTTGGAGGTGAATAAGAACTTCATTATATAAATCTTTGTTTTTATGACTTGTATCAAAGAACACATTTTCACACTAGCTGAAAAATTCCACTCTAGTTATTTTGTAGTATTAGTGGAAGGCCTATATTCAAGTTTTAGCTCTGTTTTTTAATAACTGTCTAACCTGGGGTAAAATACTTGTCTGTATTTTCTATAAAACTGGCAAATGCTGGCCGGGCACAGTGGCTCACACCTGTAATCCCAGCACTTTGGGAGGCCGAGGTGGGTGGATCACCTGAGGCCGAGGTGGGCGGATCACGAGGTCAGGAGATCGAGACCATCCTGGCTAACACGGTGAAACCCCGTCTCTACTAAAAATACAAAAAATTAGCTGGGCTTGGTGGCGGACGCCTGTAGTCCCAGCTACTTGGGAGGCTGAGGCAGGAGAATGGTGTGAACCCGGGAGGCGGAGCTTGCAGTGAGCCAAGAGCACGCCACTGCACTCCAGCCTGGGCGACAGAGCAAGACTTCGTCTCAAAAAAACAAACAAACCAAAAAAAAAAACTGGCAAATGTCATCTTACT